>NC_000020.11:63717286-64334167 GCF_000001405.40 Homo sapiens | reverse complement strand
GATCCGCGGAATTCTATCAGACATTCAAAGAAGAATTCTCAACAATTCTACTGAAATTATTCCAAAAGACAGAGAAAGAGGGAATCCTCCTTAAATAATTCCATAAAGCCAGTATCACCCTAATATCAAAACTAGGAAAGGACATAACAAAAAAGGAAACTACAGACCAATGTCCCTGATGAACATAGATATAAAAATCCTCAACAAAATACTACCTAACCAAATCCAACAGCATAGCAAAAAGATAATCCCCCATGATCAAGTGGGTTTCACACCAGGGATACAGGCATGGTTTAACATCCACAAGTCAATAAATGTGATACACCACATAAACAGAATTTTTGTTAAAAAAATCACATTGTCATCTCAATAGACACAGAAAAAGCATTTGACAAAATTTTATGATTAAAACCCTCAACAAAATCTACATAGAAAAAAACATACCTTAAGGTAATAAAAGCCATCTGTGACAAACCCACAGCCAACATTATACTGAAGGGGAAAAAGCTGAAAGCATTCCCCCTGAGAACTGGAACAACGTAAGGACGCCCACTTTCACCACTTCTATTCAACATAGTACTGGAAGTCCTAGCCAGAGCAATCAGACAAGAGAAAGAAATAAAGGACATCCAAATTGGTAATGAGGAAGTCAAACTGTTGCTATTTGCTGATGATATGATTGTATACCTAGAACACCCTGAGCACTCACTCAAAAAGCTCTGAGATCTGATAAATGAATTCAGTAAAGTTTCAGGATACAAAATCAATGTACACAAATCAGTAACACTGCTATACACCAACAGCAACCAAGCTGAGAAACAAAGCAATAACTCAACCCCTTTTACAATAACTGCAAAAAATAAAATAAAATACTTAGGAATATACCTAACCAAGGAGGTGAAAGATCTCTGCAAGGAAAACTACAAAACATTGCTGAAAGAAATCATAGATGACACAAACAAATGGAAACATACCCCATGCTCATGAATGAATAGAATCAATATTGTGAAAATGACCATACTGCCAAAAGCAATCTATAAATTCAATGCAATTCTCATCAAAATATCATTATCATTCTTCACAGAACTAGAAAAAAAAAACCCTTAAATTTATATGGAACAAAAGAGCCCACATAGCCAAACCAAGAGTAAAGAAAAAGAACAAATCTGGAGGCATCACATTACCTGACTTCAAACTATACTACCAGGCTATCATCACCAAAACAGCATGGTACTGGTATAAAAATAGGCACATAGACCAATGGAAGAGACTAGCAATCCCAGAAATAAAGCCAAATATTTACACCCAACTGATCTTTGACAAAGCAAATGAGAACATAAAGTAGGGAAAGGACACACTATTCAACAGGTGGTGCTGGGAATGATTGGCTAGCCACATGTAGAAGAATAAATCTGCATACTCATCTCTCACCTTATACAAAAATCAATTCAAGATGAATCAAATACTTAAATCTAAGACCTGAAATCATAAAAATTCTAAAAGATAACATTGGAAAAACTCTTCTAGACATTGGCTTGGCAAAGAGTTCATGACCAACAACCTAAAAGCAAATGCAACAAAGATAAATAGAAGGACTTAATTAAACTAGAAAGCTTCTGCACAGCACAAGAAATAATCAGCAGAGTAAACAGACAACCCACAGAGTGGGGGAAATTTTCACAAACTATGCATCCAACACAGGTCTAATATCCAGAATCTACAAGGAACTCAAACAAATCAGCAAGAAAAAAACAAATAATCCCATCAAAAAGTGGGCTAAGGACATAAATAACAATTCTCAAAAGAATATATACAAATGGCCAACAAACATATGAAAAAAATGCTCAACATCACTAATGATAAGGGAAATGCAAATCAAAACCACAGTGCTGGCCAGGCATCGTGGCTCACACCTGTAATCCCAGCACTTTGGGAGGCTGAGGCAGGTGGATCACCTGAGGTCAGGAGTTCGAGACCAACATGGTGAAACCCACATCTCTACTAAAAACACAAAAATTGCCGGGCATGGTTGTACACTCCTGTAGTCCCAGCTACTTGGTACTTGGGAAGCTGAGGCAGGAGAATCACTTGAACTCCAAAGGCTGAGGCAGACGAATCACTTGAACCCAGGAGGTGGAGGTTGCAGTGAGCTGAGGTCGAGCCACTGCACTCCAGCCTGGGTGACAGAACAAGACTTCATCTCAAAAACAAACAAACAAAACAAACAACAACAACAAAAAACACCACACAATGTGATACCACCTAACTCCTGCAAGAATGGCCATAATTTAAAAATCAAAAAATAATAGATATTGGCGTGAATTTGGTGAAAAGGAAACACTTTTACACTGCTGGTGGGAATGTAAACTAGTACGACCACTATGGAAAACAGTATGGAGATTCCTTAAAGAACTAAACATAGATCTACCATTTGATCCAGCAATCCCACTACTGGGTATTTATCCAGAGGAAAAGAAATCATTATATGAAAAAAAAGACACTTGCACACATATGTTTATAGCAGCACAATTCACAATTGCAAAAATGTGGAACCAGCCCAAATGCCCATCAATCAATGAGTGGATTTAAAAAGGAATGAAATAATGGCATTGGCAGCAACCTGGATGGAGTTGGAGATCATTATTCCAAGTGAAGTAACTCAGGAATGGAAAACCAAATATCTTATGTTCTCGTGTGTAAGTGGGAACTAAGCTATGAGGACTCAAAGGCTTAAGGATGATGCAATGGACTCTGGGGACTTGGGAGAAGGGTGGGAGTGGGGTAAGAGATAAAAGACTACACATTAGGTACGGTGTACACTGCTCAGGTGATGGGTGCTCCAAAATCTCAGAAATCACCACAAAAGAACTTATCTATGTAACCAAACATCACATGTTCCCCAGAAACTATTAAAACAAAAATCATCATAGTAATTTTTAAAATAATAAAAAATTTAAAAAGAAAGACACGAAGTAGTGTATACTGTATGATTTTTATGTGAAATTCCACAACAGACAAAACTAACATATACTGGCAGACAGCAAGTCAGTGGTTAACTGGAGCTGAGGATGAGAGGAACTGACTAAAATAGGGCATGAACATTTGTCAAAATTCATTGAACTGTGCACATAAAATGGGAGCATATCATTGGATATAAATTATAAGTCAACAAAGTTGATTTTTTTAATGAAAAAAGTTTTTAAAATAAAAATTCTTGGTCCCCATTCCTAGTGATTCCAATACAGCAGGACTGGTATTAAGGGAGGAGACCACCCCTCATATTGCCTTATGCCCATTTTCTGCCTCCAAAGAAAGAAAAACTAAAAACTAAAAGGCAGAAATGAAATCCACAAGCAGACAGCCCGGCGCCACACCCTGGGCCTGGTAGTTGAAGATCGACCCCTGACCTAATCAGTTATGTTATCTATAGATTACAGACATTGTATAGAAAAGCACTGTGAAAATCCCTATCCTGTTGTGTTCCGATCTAATTACCGGTGCATGCAGCCCCCAGTCACGTACCCCCTGCTTGCTTAATCGACCACGACCCTCTCACGCGCACCCCCTTAGAGTTGTGAACCCTTAAAAAGGACAGAAATTGCTCACTCGGGGAGCTCAGCTCTTGAGAAAGGAGTCTTGCCGATGCCCCCGGCCAAATAAACCCCTTCCTTCTTTAACTCGGTGTCTGAGGAATTTTGTCTGCGGCTTGTCCTGCTACAATATAGGGCTCAGAAATCTGCATTTTCAACAATCCCCATGGATAATTATGCTGCAGGCTGTTTCACTTATCGTATTCGTCTCTAATTTGCTGTCCAAGCACCCAATTCTTGGACAGCAAATCAACTAGGCAAACAAAGAAAATTCAGAAAAAAGAGTTTGAGTTTTTGTGTGCCCTTGTTTCATCCCCCAACCTCCATTCTTTAGCTGGAATGCTGGTCACTACCAAAGCATCCTCCTGTGTGCTGTTTCCCCTAACCGTGAGCTCAGCTGTGGATAAGCTTCCTTTATTCATTCTTTACCAAAGAAAGTTTGCTAGGAAGATAAATGGGAGAAAAGCAAAATAAAAACACATCACGAATGCAGATAAACCAATATATGTGCAGAGCACAAGTTCCTTCTCATAAGGTCATTCAAGTCTGGCACCACGTGGTGGTGGGGGGTGGGCCAGCTCACTGGGCACATGGTACCCATAAATATGCCTACCCTGGGGGAATGGAAGGTTGACAGGGAGCCTGATGGACATGTGTGTGAAGAACGGAACAACACAATAACAAACATGCGAAGCGTACTCATAGCCCTTCCTCTTTCCCATCCCATTCCTATAAAAGAGGAAAGAACAACTCACTTCCTTCACGGGGCATGGTGGTATGCATCTGTAGTCCCACCTACTCAGGAAGCTGAGGCTAGAGGATTCCTTGATCCCAGGAGTTCAAGGATGGAGTAAGCTATGATCCTGCCACACTGCACTCCAGCCTCGGTGACAGACAAGACTTAAAAAAAAAAAAAGTAAAGGAAAAGAAAAGGAAAGGGTCATTTCCCTGCCAAATTAATTTAAACCAAGTGCTCTATTTCCATTCATTAGTTTTTTCCCTGCTGCCTGATGTATCTTTCTCATATCTGGCCCCCTGTTCTGTCTACCTGTTGAAATATTTCCCATTCTTCATGGCCCAACTTGAATAACACCTCTGTCAGAACTTATCAGATCAACACAGTCAAATGAATCCTCTCCCTCCCCTGAACTCTATGGCACTTGGCTTGAAGAGCTCTTACAGAAATCTTGAGTTGTGTTTTACTTATTCATGTGCATGGCATATCTACTCTATGAGATTGGAATCAACTTGATTATAGAAATGATAACTTATTATCTATGCTAGATGTGGCTTGCATAGATTCTGGTACATTACTTTGCACCTAGTGAGTGGTGATTATTGTAGACATCAATGAATGATTCAATCGATGCTGATTAATGTCTCTGAGCTTTTGCTCATGCTGTCTTCCCTTTATGGAAAACCCTTCCCACATCAAGGGTCACTTCCTGTAAGAAGCCTCCCTGGATCTCCAAGCTGCTGGCTCCTATAGCACTCTGGGCAAACCTCTGCCTGATTACTCACCACCACTATCATACGTCAAAGTTAATCATGACCAATTTCACCCACTTATTTATAAGCTTCAAAAAGCCTAAGATTCCATTCTGGTCATGCTTCTCTTACCACCATCTAGCCCAGTGTTTGGTAATAGTGTGCATTTTATAACTGTTTGTCAAATAGAATGATCTATTCAGAAGCTTCTGGAAGCGTCAGCCCTTGCCACAGAGGACCTCGTTTATTTAGTGTTTCTATCAGGAACTGCCACAGTTGTCTTGAGGTCTCACTCCCAGAGGAAACCCAGCAGGAACAGCCTTCCCATCCCAAGTTTCGTCACGGATGAAGGAAGGAGCAGGACCAGACGCTCTTTAGGGTCCCTTAGAGCCCCAGGATTCTTGTGTTCCAGGGAATCCCCTGGCAGAATAGATTGCTGCGAGCAAAAGAGGCGAGTGTGGCCCCTCCTCAGCAGGTCTCTAGATGAACCCCAGCCTCTGGAAGGCCTGGACCTGGGAAAAAAGAATTCGCGTCCCTTCAGGGCCCCACACCTTCCTCTCCTCCAGCACATTTCTCTTTCTTGGCCCCACCTTCCCTTTTTCTGCTTCCTCTCTGCTGGCCTCTCCCCTTCTCTTCCTTTCTTTTCTGTTTCTCTTCTCCTACAGGTCCCACCGCACCTTCCCAGTATCGCTGCTTCCCCTTCGCCTACTTCCCAGTCTGGCCAGTCAGATTCACCGTCCTTCTCGGGTCGCCTGCGTTATCTTGCTTTCCTCCCACGCCCCGACAGAGGCTCCCTCTCGCTGGCCTCCTCCCTCTCCTCTCTGCCCTGCAGGCAGCAGAGCCTTCGCTGACGCCAAGAGGCAGGGAGGTGGGGAGGCGAGGAGTTGGGGAGGTCTGGAGGTAGGGGGTGGGGTGGGGGTGGGGCCTTGCGCAGCCGCCCCGCCCCGCGATGCGTGTGTGAAGGTCGGGGTGGCAGTGACGCGGCGCCGGCGGGGGGAGGGAGGCTGGGCCGGTGGGAGAGGGAGGCGAGCCGACCCCTGGGCTGCTGGGCTCCCGCGCCCTCGCGCTCCCCGCCGCCACCCCAGGCGCAGGCAGGGCGCAGGCGGCGGCGGGCGGCATGGAGAGCCTGCTGGAGAATCCGGTGCGCGCCGTGCTCTGCCTCAAGGAGCTCACGGCCATCGTGCAGAAGCAGCAGAGCCTCATCCACACCCAGCGAGAGCGTATCGACGAGCTGGAGCGGCGGCTGGACGAGCTGAGCACTGAGAACCGCAGCCTGTGGGAGCACCAGCAGCTGCTGCAAGCCCAGCCTCCGCCCGGGCTCGTCCCCCCGTCATCGGCCCCGCTGCCGGCCGCTCCGGCCACCGCTCCTGCCGCCGCCGCCAGGGCCCAGGAACCTCTCCAGGACCAGGGACAGCGCTCAGCAGCCGCGCCGCATCCCGCGCCCGATCGGCCGCCGCGTCAGCACCACGGACAGCTCCTGGAGCAGCCCCAGCGGGGCCCTGGCAGCAGGGCTCACACACCCCAGTCGCCCCAGAAGCATCTGGGGACACAAGGGGCCGTGACTGACAAGGAGAAGGAGCGTCCCCCGAGTTGCTGCGCTGCTGCCGGAGCCCTCCTTCAGCACAAATCCCCCTCCGCCCTCGGCAAGGGCGTCCTGAGCAGGAGACCTGAGTGAGCGGGGAGGGGAGATGGGCACTGTTGTGGTGGGAGCAAGGGAAGCAAGTGGGTGTGAGGGAGAGACGGGGACGTTGGGTGCGTAGGAGTCTAAAGGACCGGAGTGATGTGGCCTGAAGGCGCCAGAAGTGTGCAAAGGAGATTTTGGGTAAATGAGGGAACGATATCCCTGCTTGAGAAGGTTTTGGGGAATGCTGGAGCAAAAAGGAGTAACCAGACCATTAGTAGGAGCAAAGGAGGAAGGAAGTGGGTGTTAAGCGATTGGTGATACTGGGAACTGACAGCATTTAAACGGGGTTAGGCTGGGTTGAAGTTCGAGTGAAGATTAAACTGTAGAAAAGAGAACCATTGAAGGAATCTTTTTAAGTGAGAAAAAATTTGGAAGGAAGTTTGGGTAGTAAAAGTATTTGCATGGAGACTGAGATGTGAGAAAAGCTGAAGGCTTGAAAAGAGGCATGTGAAGAGCTTTAAAAAGGCTGGGGCCCAGGAAGAGTAGGACTGGGGTAGAGGGGAATCCAGGAGGCCGGGGACAAACCTGAAAAGCAGGAGTGATGTGGGAAACCAAGGGAGCTGGAGGCAGAGGAAGAGAAAATGTGGCTCTTTAGCTGGTGAAGTGGGAGCCACAGCTAGGAGTGGCTCATTTAGGGAAGCTTTCTCTTCTCTGACCTGATTGGACACCCTTCCTCTGAATTCCCGCAGAGCCGAAGAGGTGCAAGGGAACATCCCATCAAACCAATGGAGGACTCAGGCATGGCTTGAGGACTCAGTCTGGTTACAGCTTTTTCCTCCAACTCAAGGAGGGTTTTTCATACAGGGTGTTTGGCCGTTGTTGAAAGGGAGCAATGACATGGGGGACAGTTGGCAGATGGAGTTGGTATTCAGATGCCATGCCTGTTTAAATCTCCCCGTTAAGGCCAGCAACTGCAAACCCTTTTTTCCCGGTTATCTGGTGATCACTGAAATCTTGCCTTGGGTCCTGAGAGAAATGTTAACCTCTCAGTTCCTAGAACTTCAAGCTCTTTCTTCACTCAGGAGGTCCATGAACTAGGAATATGGGAAGAAGATATGAAAGTGTCTGGGATGTTCTCTCCTCTGTACTGGAAAGGCTGTGGCCATGTCCGCTTCTTTTCTCTGATTAGGCAAGTGATGGAGAACTAAATAAAGAACAGTTCAAGGGAAATTGTCCCTGGTCAGCACCTGACCTTGACAATGGTGATACATAAGGGAATGGGGAGGGGGAAGTAGAGCTGAGAATCTCATCTTCATCCAGGTGCATTAAGTCTGGGAGATACTTGTGAATATTTGCTGTATTCCTTCAAAACTCATTTTCTTTTACCATCTGTGGTAGAGTTAGAGAAGTTGGGTTAGGGCAGGGTAGCTCACAGAGCACATTGATCAAAACCACAGGATCTAAGAGGTGAAGGTCTAACATGATCTGGCTTGGCAGACTTAAAACATTTGATTCAAGTCCCAAGAAGATACAGTTTTCTACCCCAACTCCCTCAAAACCCCTTTGTACTTCCCTCAGTTTCACATTTTTATTTTTATTTTTTCCTTATCTGGCATAAAAAGCAGAAAGTCAGTTTTCCCTCAATGCCCAAGGCTCAGCAAAAGGCAACATTGTTCCAAGATACTAAGTGGTCTTTTCCCCCACATGAGGGGATGAATTTTTCCAGTCCCCTTCCCTGAGGGCAGCCACAGCTACCTGGTCATTATGATTTCTCTCCTCATGACTTTTGGTGTCTCCTTTCTCTCCCACTGCAACTCCACTTTCTTTGCATCTCTTCAGGGCACTGTGTGGCCAAGAAGAGTTGAGGAAAGATTATTTTTCTTAGACAAAGACATAGCCATGGCCTTCAGAGTGGTCTACGGAACCCAAACCCTTTCACTCAGTTGGTCCTGCTAAGAATCCTGGGATTTAGGAATCATCTGGGCTCCTGTCCAGCCCCACATGTCAATTCTGGAGAGGAGTTATAACATCCTCACCTTTCCTTCTCACCTGTCCTGCTTTTGCTTCCCAAAGGAGCAGAACAAAAATAAGAAATAATTAGCATGGTGGAGCAGAGTGGAAGTTATTGGAATCTTTCACTTAGAAAGTTGCCCCAGGCACTTAACAGTAATGTCTTACTTTCTCCAGATTCTCCAGTTTTTTCTCCTGCTCCCCAAGCCTGCACACCCAGAAACATAGAGACCATAGATGTGCCCGCCTCCCCTCATCCCTGCAGCTCTCTTTCCTTAGATGTGAAAACATGGTAATCTTGGCTGGTTGAATATCTTCTGGACCACTCATTTCTTTCCCCACAGTGGCCCAACTTCAACACCAATTTCCCCACAGAGCTCAGGACGGAATCACCATTGCTAATGACATGTTTCATCCTACCCTGCTCTCTGCCCGTGGCCCGTTTTGTATGTTTGTTCTCCTCTGCCCATAGTTGTCCATGATGCAGGACAAGATGGAGCCAGCAGGCAGAGAGAGATCTCCATGGAGAGGGAGAGGTGAGGAAGAGGAGAGCAGAGCCAGCAGCCCCCTCCCTGGTATTGTTCCTGGGGAGCTCCCTGCAGAACTGGTTCTCTACTGGGAGTGCTGAAGCGGGAGGAAGAGATGGCACAGTGGGTCTTCCGATCATGGGTTTCCTGTGAATCCTCCCTCATTCTTCCTCTGGCCTCATTTCAGCAAGAACGCGCCCCACTGAGGTGGCTGAAGAGTGGGTGAGGGTTTCCAGAGGCCAGGCACTCTGGTAGATGCATTATGTCCTCACACAGTTTGACTTTTATCCCCAGAACTCCTCTTCCTACCCAATTCGAGGAGAGGCAGAAGCCCTAGAGAACTGGAACTGGAAAATAATGAATCATTTAATTGCCGTCTTATCTGTATTAATACATAGTCTGGCCTCTCTCCCTCCTTCAGCTGAGGGAGACACAAAGGTGGTGGTCTTGGAGGTCAGTCCAAGAAAGCAGCAATATGTGGGTGAGTGAATGTAGAGATATTATGGAAGAAAAACATTTGAAGGGTTAAAATTATTTCTCTGCATGCTTCTTGATTCTTGCTAAGCTCTGACCCCCACTGCTTTTGCCTCTTAATGAAAGCAGCAAACATAGCTTCCTCCTCTTTATTTTTTCAGTCAAGGCTCAGGCATCTACAGAATTTATTACTATCCCTTTCCTGGCTGGTGCCAGAACCTCAACTTGACCTGACAAATCCTCTTGCCATGGAAGCACATGAACTTATCTGAAGCTGCTGGCTTCAGTGGCTTCTAAGCACATTTGCCCAACCACCAGTCATGCGTTTAGTGTCCATGGATGACAGGACTTGTCCATGTCTCCAAGGCCACAGGCAGATGATTGCTGGAGGATAAATTCTTGCATCCCAATTCAAATTCATCTCCTACTCCAAATCCCAACCTCAATATGACTATGAAGTCTGAAGGGCTCCACAGCTCCTGTCTTCTCTCTGTTACATTGTTTCTTCCTTTCACATCCCTCCTCTGCCTCACTACCCTTTTTCCTTCCTTCTCTTCTCCCCTTCTACCTCTCCCCCAAACACTTTATCTCTCCCATCTTCTCTTCCTTCTATCCTTCTTCCACATAAGCTACACAGGGAAATCTCTTTCCTCTCTACCCTTATCCTTTAAACACAAAATCAATCTTGAGTATCTTTTGAGCTCCCTGTTCTCATACTGGCTGGAGGCTGGGGATAGCTAGAAGAGTTCTGGATGTGCTTTTTAGCCTGATTTGTCTAAGATGCTGGTGGGAACTGGGATCTCTGCTCCTATTGAGTCAGAGTTGCATGCTTGAAGGTGATAGCTCATGACTGGCCCATCCTGGAAACTATTAAGAAAGAAAGTGTGAAGGTCTGTCAGTCAACTATATGTATGAAGTATCCAGTCTATTCAAAACCCTGCACTCAGTGCTGTGGAAAGATTGGAAAGAAGCAAACAGTCCTTGCTCAAAATAAAAGAGACACATATCTAGAAATGCCTAAACAAGTGTAAGCATATTGCAGCTGCCTAAAGCAATCCTCTATCAGAACAGCACAAGGTAAAAAGGGTGAGTATACAAATTATGTTAACGGCCAAAGAGCAGGTTTTCTTCATTGAAGTCAAAGGTTTATGTCAGAATTGTAAGAGGCAAGGATAGCTGGAAAGGGAACAGAAAGCAGAAAATTCAATCTATGGAGATAACTGTTTTGCATGTCCATTTCATTCCAGCCTCTGATGATACAGCCCTCCGCTCATCCTAAGTCCCTACCCATGAGGCCAAACCCTATCACTAGGTGAGGACAGTCTCAACACACAGGGACTTTGTCTACCTTGTGCCCAGAAGGCCTGGTTGCTGAGGTGGCATCGTATGGCCCATGCTCATCAATCTGCCTATCCTCTTGTTCTTCCCCTATCCCCAGCAGGGAGAGAGTTTCTGGTCTAAGAAATGGGGCCAGGATGAAGGCTCACTGGGAGAAGGGAGTGTGCATCTTTTTATTCATACCTAGAAGCTGGCATAGTGTGACCACTTGCAAAGATTTGCTGCCCTTTGCCTTCCTGAAGGCCTAGGTCACTGCTCTTCCTTTCTTTTCATCCAAAAATAATGCATTTAAGAGAACCAAGTCATCCCCTGGTCTCTGGGAAACCCTGATTGTCTCACTCCTCCTTACCAGCCTCCAGCTCCCTCTTCCCTCACTCCCAATCTCTCCCCAGACCAATGCAGTGAATGCCATAGGGCCTCACAAAGGCATCCTGGCACATTTTCCTGCTGGCCCAAAACGAAGCAAAGGAAACAACAGTTGGTCCTGCTGATTCAGCAAATCTCTGCGCAGCCCGAGTTTCAAAGGTCACTTATGAGAAAAGGCAGCTGGGGTCGGGGCTGGGTGGAGAGGGAATGGAAGGGAGGGTAACATTAAAAAAGAGGGAAGGGCTGGGACAAACATCGGGGCTCACAATCTGGAAAGAGACTCAACTGCTGAATTTACACCCCATGTAAAGATTTTTGGACAAGCTGCCTTGTTGGGAAGCCTGAACATTTTTTTTCACTGGAGCCTAAGCATATCTCAGTGGCCCTGGGCACAGGGCAATGGCAGCTTAGTAAGGAGTTCTTAGTAAGAGGCCCTGGGGACACTCTCACTGCACCCAGCAGACTCTCAGAGGTGAGGCCGGCAGCTTAGTAAGGAGTTCTTAGTAAGAGGCCCTGGGGACACTCTCACTGCACCCAGCAGACTCTCGGAGGTGAGGCCATCTGGCAGGGTTTCCAAGGCTGGGACCACTGTAGCAACTTGCTCCTCTGCTTCTGGAAAAGCACAAAGTGCAGGTTCCCACAGAGGCTCCAAAGGGCTGCTTATTTCCATGGAAGAAAGGGGTGGTCATCTTTATTTCAGTCAATGAGGGCATTAACAAAAAGAAAGGGAATCAGGGCCAGGCGTGGTGGCTCACGCCTGTCATCCCAGCACTTTGGGAGGCTGAGGCGGGCAGATCACAAGGTCAGGAGATCGAGACCATCCTAGCTAACATGGTAAAAACCCGTCTCAACTAAAAAATGCAAAAAAATTAGCTGCTCATGGTGGCGGGCGCCTGTAGTCCCAGGTACTCGGGAGGCTGAGGCAGGAGAATGGCGTGAACCCAGGAGGCAGAGCTTGCAGTGAGCTGAGATCGTGCCACTGTACTCCAGCCTGGGTGACAGAGCGACACTCCGCCTAAAAAATAAATAAATAAATAAATAAATAAATAAATAAATAAATAAATAAAAAAGAAAGGGAATCAGGAGTAAGGCAAGGGCAAAGCTAAATCTTTCAGGCTGAAAGGAATTTCAGGTAACCACTGGATCACACAGTGTTCAAGATCCAGATGGTTGAGAACATGGGCTTTGGGCAAGCACGCCTGGGGAGAAATCTTGGTACCTCCCCAGCTGTGAGACGTTGCCTTCACTGTTTACTTTCTTTTAGCCTCTGTTTTTCCACTTATAAAATGGGGAAAATATCTACCTTAAAGACTTGTAAAGTTTTAAAAATTACATATCATTTATTTAGTACTGTTTGGGGTACATAGTAAGTGCTCAATACATTGCAGTATTTCTACAGATAAAGAAACCAAGATGGGCAGATCAGCTGAGGTCAGGAGTTTGAGACCAGCCTGGCCAACATGGTGAAACCCTGTCTCTACTAAAAATACAAAATTAGCCAGGGATGGTGGTCCATAGTAGTCCCAGCTACTCGGGAGGCTGAGGCAGGAGAATCACTTGAATCTAGGAGGCTGAGGTTGCAGTGAGCTGAGATTGCGCCACTGCACTCCAGTCTGGGCCACAGAGTGAGACTCCATGCCCCCAAAAAAAAGAAAAAGAAAAAGAAAAAGAAACCAGGGCCCAAGAAAGATAAAGGGTTCACCTGTTGTCAGATGACAGTGACAGACTAGAATGCAGGCTCAGGGTTTCTTCTACACTGCCAGGCCACCTTTCTACATGTGCTCTATTCTCATTTAGCCATTCCAGACACAGGAATGTTGAGCGTACCCTGAAAAGCAACCAGCAGCACAAATCCACCATCCCTCTGTGATCTGTAATGCTGTCTCACAAATTTCTAGTTGGCAAAATCTTCTTTAAGCCCAACTAAAACCTCTTCTGTTGCATTTTAAGATTATTTGCACTTCTCTTAAGGATATCAAAGAGATCTGAGTTATCACCCGATGCCCCATGGTGAGAACAATCACCCCTATTTCCTAATTAGGAAAATTACAGTCTCATCTAGGAGAAGGTACACTGACTTGTCAAGGACAAAAGTGGAGAGTGAGGGAAATGGCATCTGAACCCAGGAAGTGCTTCCCACTTCTTCAGAATGAGGCTGAATCAATTTCTCCAAGTTCCTCCTTCCTAGGGATGGAAGGTAGACCTGTACTTTTCAGGACTCTGAGGTCAGAAAGCTGAAAAGAACAGCAGGGAGGGACTAAGAGGCCTGATGTGTGGTTGTGGGTTTTCTTCTCTTAAAGACTTTTCTTACATGAGATATCTTCCAGGAAAATGAAAACAAATGAAAAAGAAAAGATGGTGGCCTTCTAAAATTCTCTCCCAGGGTGTTTGTGACTGTGAGGCCACCATAGGCAAAGACTGCTGATGTGTGTGTGTGCCGGGGTGGGGGTGGAGGGCAGACTGTTTTGCTGTTGCTCTTTGGTTGGAATAAGGGATCTGGGAGGGTTATGTAACTCTTCAAGACTGGTGTGTGTGCTGAGCGGCACCTTTCCTCCCTGGCAGGTGGGCTGCTATGGTCATGGGGGCAGCCTGTCCAAGTCCCTGCCCAGAGAAGGGCCCCATGCTCTGTGCTGGCATCAGACCATTCCCTCTAAGCCACAGCTTCAGGGGCTAGAGGCTTTTAGGAGCTGGGCCAGGGTCTCCTAGCCCCACTGGGGAGTTAACCAGATATCAGAGCTAGAAGGATTCTTTAAGGTAAACTGTTCAAAATTCTCATTTGGCAAATGAGAAAACTAAGGCCTGAGGAGGAAGTGACTGTTGCTTCCAGACTAGCTAGTGTCAGAACTAGGTTTAGAGCTCAGATTCTCTTAACTCTTCATCCGCTGCTCTCAACATTATGTGACGACGGACCAAAAGAGCCCATCACGGCTGCTTCACAGGTGTGCAAGGCCAAACTTACAGCTAGTCCCATAACCCCAGGGAGGTCCCTGTGCCTTCCAGGATATCTCAACTATGTTAATAATTCCACAGTCAGAGACCACTTTAGGTACTTCAAGGTTATCCTCCTTGTTTAAATGCAAATTCTCCTAGGAAGGGGGAAAAATCAACACATTTATCCTTATCAGTCTTTTATACTTTAGTGTGAAAGAGTTTATTTGAGCAATCTCCCAGAGAAGGGTTTGGTAAGAAGGGAGGATACTGTGGTAGCAGTGGTTAACTAAAGGCCAGGGAAGGAGGCTGCTAAGGAGCTGAAGGGCTCATGAGGGAGGCAGTTCAGTCTAAATGTATTTTTAGCTCAACTAAATTTTGCAGAGAATTGGAATTGCCTTGTTTGGCTCTGGTAAGGAAAGGGGAGGGACACAGGGCACTTCCACTGACTGGTCATGGAATAGTAAGTCTTTGGGCTGTAGAAGGGATACTTTTCCAACGAACTTCATGTGTGGAAGACATAAAGCAAGAAGTTAAAGAGCATCATGATGTGTGATAAGCTTGTTTGCTCCTTTCTAGGATCTTAAAATAATTTTTTGGATGGTGAAATGTCACATGACTCTGTTGGGGTTTGCTATGGGGCAGGAAGATGTGGGCAGGAAGAGCTGGCAGGCAGCAGAGGTTGGTGTCGCATGAGCCTGAAGGGGATGGGAGATGAGAGTCAAACTCAACACCTAGAAGGTGCATGATAAATACTGGTTGAATACATAAACTCTCCATCTGTAGGGCCCAGGCAGGCTCATGGATTGTTGAGTGGAGGTGGGTTGTGGTATCAGGGCTGAGGAAGAGTTGGGCAGAAGGGAGGACCCCTGGGTCCAACAGCACAGCTCACTGTCCTGAAGCTGAGCCCATGCGGAAAGCTGGACTCAGAGGCTCAGCTCTTCAGGCTGGTTGGGGTGTGAGACGGATGAGGGGTGAGGAGAAGACTGCCCCCGGCAATAAACAGAACCGACCCCAATCCTAGCTATGAGCAGGGAGAGCCCTCTACTCCCTCTGCCCCCAGCCTCTGACCAGTCTGTCAGCCCGGGAAGCTGCAAAATCTCTGCAGTGAGAGTTTCATCACACACACACACACACACACACAAGGCCTCAGCAGGTGGAGTGAGAAGCGGGCAATGGGCCTATGAAGGCAGGAGGGAAAGGAGGCTGGCATTGTGGCCATATCTCTGGGGGAAAAGAGAGGAAAGAGCTGGATTCCGGGGTCATGAACCAGCAGCACCCAGATTCCAGGCCCCTTACCAGGCAGGATCAGCTGTGTTCAGGGAAGTGTCAATACCGTGACGGGAGGGTGAGCAGGTGGTGCGCAGGCGTTTGTGGACCTGAGTGGGCACGACTCTGCATGGGCAACTGTGTGTTACTGACTTGGGCTGGGGGAGTTGGAGGACAACCCACACTATACTAAAGATGCATAGGCTTCACAGCAAAGATCAGCATAGCTTTATCTCAGTATCTCCCAATGACCCCTGGCCTGGTCACGCCATCAGCACTCCCGGTTCCTTTTCCTTTCTCTGCATGAAGTGTTTCATCTCCATTGGCTAGCCAGATCCTCCTGGTTCTTCCCCTCTGTAAAATGGGGCAAGTCTACCACGCCTCCATACCCACTCTGTCTGGAGCATGCGGGAGACCAGGCCCCAGAGGCGTGAGCTCCTGGGAAGAAGGCTGTGTGGAAGGGGACAGGTACAGGAGCTGTGCCACTGGAACTCTACGGAGGTATAGTGTCTGGAAGCTCAGGTACGGGGCGGCGAGACACACACAAAGCTGCAGTGTGAGTTTCCCTGCAGGATATCTCGGCCTAGCTGTGGCCAGGGCCTGGTACCAATGACCTCTCAGGGCTTTGGATGCACCAGGTCAAACCAGCCAACCACCTGCCTCCAATCAGGAATGCACGCCCCATCCCAGGCAGAGAGACAAGGGAGTTCCACAATTTCTTCCTTGATGAATGATTCCTATCTACCACAATTTTCATTCAATGCATCAAATCAACCAATGATGATTTAAAAACAGCACTACAAAAACTCCGCAAAGCGGGTGGGAATTTCCTGCTTGGGTCCAGCCTCCGTGTTTCCCGCGCACAGCCCGGTCTTTACCCTGGATGCTTCCGAACCGGCATCATCTGGCATCTCCGACAGTCTTGATGCGACTTAACGCATGGTAAGAACCCATCAGAGAAGGTGAAAGGGATTTCCAGAGACAGGTAGAGGCACTGCGCTGGGCAGCACCAGGGAGGAATATTATCTTTTCAAGCAGCTGGACTCTGACCTAGAAGCCGGAACTCCTGAGTACTGAGGTCAGCACCTCTCTCACACACCCCCAGCTATAAGCTTGAAGGAAACCCCTCCCCTTCTCTGGGCCTTGATTTCCCCTCCTGCTCAGTGGGGACGTTCTTGGTCCTCCTTCTTGCCCACTCTACCCAGTCGCCGAGTCTGGCGAAGCAGAGCTGTCTGGGGGTCACCGCAGCAGGAGGGACCGAGCTTAGATACGAAAAAAGACTTCTACACGGCAAGAGCCACAGAAAGGACGCTCCAGCTGGCTCAGCAGAGGGGCATCTCTCCCTTTCAAGAACAAAAGGTGGCAGGTACCCGGGGGCCCTGGGGCAGAACGAGGTAAATTCTGCACGGACTTCCACATCTAAGACCCCAGAAATCTCCAGCCGGCTCCCTCCGACCGTGAGTGCGTAAAACCCGGGAGCAGCAGGAGGGGAGGGCGGGGGTGCAGCTGGCCCCCCTGGGGTGTCCCCTCAGTCCCTGCGCCCCCGACCCTCGCCGGGCCAGCCTGGGGAAAGCCTTTCCGCCTCCGTGCGCTGCCCCGACTCCTCCGTGGGGAGGGAACGTGGAGTCGGGATCTCGGCGGCGTGGGCGGGCCGGCTGGTAGCCGGCAGGCGAGAAGGAATCTCCCGGCCCACGCGCGCCTCCCAGCGTCCAGCCTCGCACTTCCTCGCGGGGGCGGCGGCGAGGACCTGCACCCCGGCGCGGGGAAGCCGCGTGCCCACAGCCTCCCCGCGCCCCCGCCGCGCCCCGCCCCGCTGAGGAAGGCGGCTGCTGAGTCACCCGCGAAGGGAAGCGCGGCCCGGGCGCCCCCGCCTCCCCAACCCCCGCGCCCCAACCCCCGCGCGGAGCGCCCCCCGCCGCCGCTGCCCGCTCCCACGCAGCCTGGCCGCGCACAGCCGCCCGCCCACGGTGTCTGGGGCCTCCCGGCGCAGGGCGCCGCCTCCTCCCGCGTTCCCGGCCCGAGGGGGCTCGGAAGGGGCTTCCGCGATGCCGCTCCTGCCGCCGCCAGCCCGGGGAGCAGCGGGGCCTTCGGGCCGGGTGCTGGGTGCTGGGTGCTGGGTGCTGGGTGCGCGGCCCTCCTCGGCCTCCACGGGCCGCAGCCGGGGCTAGTGTGATGGTGCGAGTAGATTCCCTTGGAGAAGAAGGGGACATTGAGGCGGGGGCGGCTAGGAGGGGTCGGGGATGAGGACGGTGACACCGAGGTACAAATTCTACTCAGCATCCACCTTTCCTGTCTTCCTTGTACCCAAGACACCTCAGCAAAAAAAAAATAAATTTAAAACTCCCAGCCTTATCTTGGCCTTCCCATGTTTATATTTGTGTTTTATCGCATCACAGTCTTAGAATTCCCAGGGCTGTAGGTCTCCTCAGCCTACGGTGCAGCATAATAGTTCTCAGCAGGGCCCTGGGTTTGAATCTCGACTCAGTCGTTCACTAGCTGTGTGATCTCAAGCAGTGAGAGCCTCGCGTTTCCCGTTCGTAAAATAAGGAATACGAATGGTACCACCCTCCTGGGATTGCTGGGAAAATTCAGGGGTGATGCCAGTAAAGCGTCAGGCAAGCCGAGTGCCTGGCACGCAGTGAGGGCTCGACGCGGGGTGGTTGCTGTCACTTTGGGACCCTTCCAGTGGCAGAAGGTGCTCTTTGAAGGTGAGAGGCCTCACCACCCCCCACCCTGACCCCGGCATCTTCTAAGGGGCTCTGAACAGGACTCCTTCCCTGTTTGATTTCACACCCTTTCAAATATTTGAAGGCAGATAGCCATCCTTCCCTTCCCTTGCCACCTGTAATCCCACCACTTCAGGAGGCTGAGGCAACATGGCAAAACCTTCTCTTCAAAAAATTTTTTAAAAGTTAGCTGGATGTTGTGGAGGCAAGAGGATCACTTGAGGATCACTTGAGTCCATGAGGTCAAGGCTGCAGTGAGTCATGTTTGCACCATTGCACTCTAGCCTAGGTGACAGAGCTAGTCCCTATCAAAAAAAAAAAAAGAATGGAGAGAATGCTCCATGAGAGAAAGGATCTTATTTATCATGTTCACCTCCCAAGAGGTGAACATATCCCCCAAAGCCTGATAGAGAGAAGATGCTCATTAATATTTAATACATGACCATGTGCAGACTTGGGAGGAAAAATATGCCTCAGCCTATCAAAATTGGATCCTTAATAAACAAGGATGCTTCTGCATCATTTCCCCACAACACCGAACAAGTGTGGCTCACTGTGGATGTCTAAGCAAATGCATTGTTTTTCCAGTTATATATCTGGTAGAGATGAGGCCATTGATAGGAATGGGAAGACGATCTCCTTTTATTTTGATGACCCAGCATGGCTGAACACTCAGTGACTACCACTGCACTTTGTTGTACTTTCAGCATTAGAGATGCCAGCCCTGTAGGATATAAAACAGGAACATCTAGTCCTCAATTATATTCAGAATTACTCAAGTCTTAGAAGCACCACTTGTCTTTTTTCAAGGGAGAGAAATGCTCAAGTGATGGGCTGAAGTGAAGGGAGGGAGTCACTCACTTAAACGGTTCCCTTAGGCTGTGTGGATGCAAACAGCATTAGACAATGACGCTGACAGTGGGAAATGCACTGGAGACGATGATTGGCAAAGCCCTCCTTTTCTCCCCATCCACTATAGATACTGACAGCAAAGGGTTTGTCACAATGACAACTATACACTCCCAATATCACAGAAGAAGGAGGAATAAAAGGGTATATTATGAGTGACTGAAGTTTAGAATAAATTAATAAATATTATGTCCCTCATCCATAGAAACCACAAAGGTCTAGTAATGCTAAGGATATAACAAGAAAATAATATGAATATTTGCTTCCCCTTCCTAGTGTAATAGACTAAGTTACAAATGGCTTCAGGAAGGGGAGAGAGGAAGAAGAGTGGATGAGATACGTAAGAGTGCCTGAGGGCTAATTTTATGAAAGCTTTGGGAAGTTTTAAGAAAAAGAAAAGCTATTTTTCAAGGTACATGTGTGTATGCGTGTGTGTGTGTGTGTGTGAAAGACAGAAGAAAGAGGGAGACCTAAGAAGAGTATGAGACACTAAGAGAAAAATTAAGGTAAAAAAGACACACACTTAGAAAAACACACATAGGGAGGAGGGAGGAGGTTAAGACATTTTACTATGTGCTGTGAATGGAAACTACAAACTATTTTTGATATATGCACCATATATACATATATACACACATATACATATGTATTTAAAGATTTAAATTACATTTTCTCTTTTTTTAGAGAGATGGTTTCACTATGTCACTCTGCCCAGGCTGCAGTACAGTGGTTGTTCACAGTCATGATCATAGCACATTATAGCCTTGAACTCCTGGGCTCAAGCAACCCTCCTGTATTAGTCTCCCCAGTAGTTGGGATTACTAGCATATGCCACCATGTCCACCTTTATGCTTTTTAAAGTGAAAAACCATACTAAGAATGAGGCAGCTCAACTTAATAATAAAACATTTCGAATGTAAAGAAATTTACAAAAGAAAAACAATCAACCCCATTAAAATTGGGCAAAGGGAATGAACAGACACTTTTCAAAAGAATACATGCATGCAGCCAACAAACATACAAAAAAAAAGTTCAACATCACTGATCATTAGAGAAATGCAAATCAAAACCATAATGAGATACCATCTCACACCAGTCAGAATAGCTATCATTAAAAAGTCAAAAAATAACAGATGCTAGTGAGGCTATGGAGAAAAGGGAATGCTTATACACTGTTGGTGGGTGTGCAAATCAGTTCAATCATTGTACAAAGAATAGTGATTCCTCAAAGAGCTAAAAGCAGAGCTACCATTCGACCCAGTAATCCCACTACTGGGTATATACCCAGATGAATATAAACCATTCTACCATAAAGACACATGCATACAAATGTTCATTGCAGCACTGTTCACAATAGCAAAAGTATAGGATCAACCTAAATGCCCATCAATGACAGATTGGATAAAGAAAATGTGGTACATATACACCATGGAATACTATGTCGCCATTAAAAAATGATATCATGTCTTTTGCTGGAATATGGATGGACCTTCTATTATCCTTAGCAAACTAATGCAGGAACAGAAAACCAAATACAGCATACTCTCAGTTATGAGTGGGAGCTAAATGATGAGAACTAATGAACACAAAGAATAAAACAGACACTGGGGTCTACTTGAGGGTGGAGGGTGAGAAAAGGAAGAGAAGCAGAAAAGATAACTATTGGGTACTAGGTTTAATACCTGGGTGATGAAATAATCTGTACAATAACCCCCTGTGACACCAGTTTACCTATGTAACAAATGCCCCTAAACTTAAAATAAAAGTTAAAAAAAAAAAGAAAATTAAAATCTCCTTATCATCTACCTGGTAATATGAAAAACACATATCTTTCATTCATTCCTTTCAACTGATGAGGAAACTGAGGCATCGGGAGTTAGTAAAAGCCCACATTGAGATATGAGACCCACCACTGGCTGGACGCAGTGGCTCACACCTGTAATCCCAGCACTTTGGGAGGCCGATGCTGGTGGATCACCTAAGGTCAGGAGTTCGGGACCAGGCTGGCCAACATGGTGAAACCCCCATCTCTACTAAAAATACAAAAATTAGCTGGGTGTGGTGGCAGGCACCTGTAATACCAGCTACTAGGGAGGCTGAGGCAGGAGAATCGCTTGAACCCAGGAGGTGGAGTTTACAGTGAGCCAAAATCACGCCATTGCACTCCAGCCTGGGCAACAAGAGCAAGACTCTGTCGGGAAAAAAAACAAAACAAAAAAGAAAAACAAAAAAACACCACCATCATTTTGCAAGTGTTACCACTATTGTGTGTTAATATTGTAGAAGTATTCCTAATTATGATTTCTTTGTATTCCTAATTGTAATAGCTTTGTATTTGAAAAATTATTGATTCATACTCTATATGTTATTATTTTGTATGCGATGACAACAGAATATATTATCATGCTCCTTTTGTGAATCTCATTCATAATATAAAGTATAAATTTGTGATTTTGCTTTAATTTGAAATATTAATTTCAAATATGTTATCACAATTTGATACAAACTATTGACAGTAAATCTGTGGATTAAGTAATGTCTTAGTAGGTATTGGGAAAATTTGAAACTAGTAACATGGAGGACTATTGTCATTGTTTATTTCAAAGCCAGTTAAAATTCTGCAAAGCAGTGTAAATAAAAATAATTTCAAGAAATTTATAAAATACCGAGATTATGGTGTATAAACAACTTTAGATTCTTTGTTTAAGAAATTCTGCCAGTTTGTAATATATGCTTCATTCAAAGTAGCTAAGGGCTGTACCTGGCTAATAGTAGGCACCTAATATTTGTTGAAAAGGAATACTGAGTAGCTGGGACCTCCTGAGTAGCTGGAACCACACACATTTAACCTGTATTTATAAAATGACTGTTTAGAGAATAACATTTGATGGAATCATGCTTTTACTTTCTGCTTATGACTCAATTGTTTGTACTGACATTAACATCCCAAATACTTAGCATGGCCTACAAGGCCCTGAGCAATGTGGCACCTGCTGAAGCCTGCTGCCTCATTTAATAACTCTTTGTCTCTTTCCCAGATCCAGCCACTCTAACATTTTTTAGTTCCTGGACCAAGACAAGCTCTTCCCAGAACCTGACCTTTGTACCTGTTCTTTATTCCTGGAGTATTTTTCCCCTGACAAATTACTTATCATCTATCATAAATCAGGTTAAATGGCACTAACTCAGGGAAGGCTTCCCTAACTGCCTCCCTTCTCCAACCAAATTAGGAACAATTATATGGCCACATAGTATCGAATCAAGTTTATAATTTTAAAATAATTGGGAGATTTTGTTGTTTAACACTTGTTTTCACTATAAGACTGTAATTACATGCAAGTAAGAACCATGCCTGTTTGTTCACTCCTGCCACAGTCAGAATAGTGCCTGGAATATGCAGTAAGGGCTGAACAAACACTAAATAAATGAACAAGTGAATAAATGGATATTGTCTCGTTTTTAGAACAGAGTACTAAATGGATCATGAACACTATCTGGTATGTCACGTAGGTAATTTACAAGGGCTACAGTTTCAGCTCAGATTTACCTTTTCCTGGATACAGGTCTTGATAGGTCTCTTGATGTCATTTCACTTCAGATTCTTCTTTAGAAAACTTGGACAATAGCATTTGCTGTCTTGTCCAAATTGTTACTAAGAATCAAGAGAGATATCTGACATGAAATGACATTGGAAAACATTAAACACGATTGAAATAATGCTAGCCAATATGGTTATTATTAGAAACCAATTACATTTTCAACTTAAAAATAGTAATACTTATTGCAGACTCAAATGTGCTTATTCTAAAACAAGTAAATGTTTGCCTATGGTCTGAGATTCTAATCCACGGAGTTCATTCTAATCCACATTCAACACTATCATGTACCAGTGGGCCTCATAACCCACCTAGCCCTGTGATTTTTCAGGTTCACTTTTCTAAACTTGTGAATTAAATATTTATTTTCTTAGTTCAGAAGAGGAAAAAAACTCTTGAAATTGTTGCCCATTTCAGGAGAAATCTTGCATATGAAAACAAGAGATAAATATACACAACTGAGGGCTGTGGTTTAAACAAAATCTTGAGAATGTTTTTTGACCTTATACATTTGTGCTTTAGTATAACAAAATGATATAGACAAAGGTAACTTTTAATAGAACCAGTCACTAAATTAAAAAAATGACAAATTCTTCTGCTTAGCTAAGCAACAGAGAAGGTAAAATACTAATTCAATTCATCAATTTAAGCAATACTCATTAAGAGCCAAGTATGTGCTTACTGAATAAGCTGCTAAGGTTTGGTGGTTACAGAGTGTGTGGTGAAATGATGTCTACATCACAGTCCAACATTCACAGAGTTTAAAAGCCTACCAAGAATCAAGACAGACACAAATACCTAACATAGACGTTTGTATGTGATAAGAGAGCCAGAGTACAGTTTAGGAGAAGAAATTGTATGGAAGGAAGGTTCATTTCCATTAGACCAGAAAAGACAGCACATTTGAAGGCCTGAATAAGAAATATTCTGGATAAGATATTGTGGCTGCTACCAGAATGGCTCTTGATGATCTCTACCTCTTGGTATTTATACCCTTATATAATTTCTTTCCTATAGTATAAGCTGGTCCCAGGTACTTGTTTCTATTGAATAGAATAGAACAAAAGTAATGAGATGCCACTTTTGAGATTAGATTATAAGATACTGTGAATTTCATCTTGTGCCCTCTCCCTCTCTCTCTTTCTCTTGCCCTCTCATTTGAATGAAGCCAACTGGCATGCTGTCAGTGGCCCAGTGTAAGTCCTGTTACAAGAAATTGATGATTACCTGTAGCCAACCCTAAGTGAAGAACTGAGGTCCTCAGTCCTACAAATGGAGAGAAACTGAATCTAGATAAGAACCATGTGAGTGAGCTGGGAAGAAGATCCACCCTCAGTTGAAATTTAAGATGACATATTGAGCAGACATAATGAGACACACTGAAAGTAAGAGAGCAGGAGGAAACAAAACCAGGGTCATACAAAGAACACAACTGATTTTGAGATTCTCACATAAGTATTACACCTTCAGTGAGCACGTGTACTAGAAATTAAAAAAATAAATAAAATAAACCTTCAAAGAGAGCTAGCAAATAAATTTCCCTATGGTCTCAGCTCTGAGTGGAGAGAGAAAATGTTCCCTGTGGAGTTTATAGCCAGAATCCAGCTCTCAAACAGGTTTCAGCCTGAACTCATACAATCTGTGTGGCTTCCAAATTTGCAAGCTGAGAATTTAATTCAAAGTGGTCTCAGGTTGATAGCAGTCCAAAATGCTAGGTAGGAAAAAAAAATCCTCTCTGGACAAATAAATCATCAAAGCAAGCTCATAAGAGTAGGTTTCAAAGGTCATGAGCTTCTAACACACACACAAAAATCACACACACAAAATGGGGGTAGCAGCAACATGGGTAGCATATTCACACTTGAAAAGACTTTAAATATTTTTATTATTAGATGTAGATTATGAAACACATATTTTAATGTGGTTAATTTTTTTAAGGAATCAAAACTATGAGTAAAGACCAAGAAAACTGTGCTGGATGGCCACTTCCACCATGGCTCCCCTCCTATTTAAGTCTGGGTACTGTGTCACCCGAAGTCTTCAGGCACATTGTTCCAGGTTTGGGTTTGCCTATGAAAGAAACTCATGAGAGCTGGAAGTGAGGAGTGAAGAGGAGGTCTTCACATAAAGCAGGCTTAAGGATTAGACATAGCAGGTTTGACAGATGTGATGGCTTGCAGAATTCTTTATGAGCTCCCACTGTCCATCTGGATAAGATTTACAGACCTTTCAGAAATTCCTATAAGCTTGGGTTCTGTGCCCACACTCTAGACTCTCAGGCTAAGATCTCTGATATAAAACAGACCTCTTCTGATTTTGTCTAGCTGCTTTTCTAATATCTATTCACCAAGCTCTTCCAATAATAGCATAAGGCCCTAATTAATATTAAACTTTTATCATTATAATACATAGGATGTCTTCTGTTTTCCTGATCAAATTCTGACTATTAAAATATAAAGAATTGTCCAGAAATATATAAAAAAGAACCACACATTGATCTTCTTTAAATGAAAATATAACAATTGTATGGACTAGGATGATTACAGTTGTTCAGTTCTGACTGTTATTTGAAGAAAAAAGCAATAAGAAGCCTCAGCAACTTAACAGAAGGAGCTGCCATTTACTAGGAGAAAAGATTGTGGATGAGAGTGTAGCAAAGGTCAGAATTCTGTGAAGCTTGAGATGTCTATTATAATGAATTATCTTTTATACTCACTACAATTTCCTAACAATTTTGGGGTTTATATTTTTGAAAGAGATATACCTTTAATTTTCTTTCTTTGTACTATTGTTAGGTAACTTTAATGTGCAGATTATACTACAGTGAAAGTTGCCAATGACAAGGCAAAGTCACTTACATCAGACCCAAAGCAAAGTGGAGCCGGGTCATGAAAAAGGGGATCTTGTGTGTGTGTCCACGATAAGCACTATCACAAGGACTTTCTATAAACTCACAAGAAATTTCTGCCCACCCAGCACACTCTGTTTGTCCAGCTCATCCTGTAGGTGTCTCTATAATAGGACCTATCATAAAAAATTCCTCAAGACTGCAGCATTTCAGATAAGCCACCCTCACAAGAACACTTGCCTAGCAATGGCTGTTTCTGCCAGTAAGTTAACACCAGCTCCTGCATCAGACCCTGTGACCAATGATGTTTGTTTCAAAACAGCTTGCATAGACTTCTTTTTGTCTTTACATATTTTCCTTACCTCAACCTCTTGGGATGCACCTATGATTGATCATAGCACAAATATCTCAGATTATAAAACTTGTTTATTTCCAAATAAATTTATTTCTTCGGAGATCCACTTTTTCTGTTATTATACATTGACATTGTTATTATGAAATTGGTTGGGTGATGTGTCGTATTTTCTTGTCTCCAGAAGAATTTCTGTAACAGTGCAATTAAACGTTCTTTGCATGTTTGCTAGAACTCACCTGTAAAATTGTCTGAGCAACCAAAGCCTGGTTTTTGTGTTTAGTTTTTCTTTTGTGATTGGGGAGGGGGGTTTATCATACTGATTCAAGGTGTGAAGGTAACATCATTTTGATTTTATACATCTTCTTCAGTCCATTTAAGCATGTTACATAGCGTTGTTTGTTCTTTTCATGATATTCTTTACAGTAGTCTCCTAAATGTTCCCTCTGCTTCTGCCATGAGCCCCTACAATCTATTTCAACTCAGAAGCTATAGAGTTTGTTTAAAACATGTAACATATTATGCCACCTTTCTTACTGTAAAACATCCCATGGTTTCTCGTAGTATTTATAGTAAAAGTGAAATTTTTATGATGGCTTGAGAAACTTTTCCCATTAGATGCCCAAGTGCTGTTCTGGTCTGATCTTCTCATCTTCCCTTGGGTGATTCTGTGGCAGTCACACTAGCCTCCTTGATGCTCCACAAAAACTCCAGCATGATCCTACTTCAGGATACTTGCCATTGTTACTGCATCTGCCTGGAACCTTTTCTCCCATATAAACATAGAGATTGCTCTTGCCTGTCCTTCAAGTCTATTCTTAAATGTCCCATTCTCTGTGAAGCTTTCCTGCCCACCCTATTTAAATTACAGACTTCACTCCCAATTCCCCATCTACTTTAAGAGTCTTCATTTATCATTCCTTGACAAACTGTAAATATACATGTTCACTTTTTTATCGTCTGTCTCCAAATACTGGAATGTTAAGTTCTGTAATGTCAGATATTTCTGTTTGGTTCACTGGTGTATTCTTAAAGCATGTTACATACTAGGTATACTCAATGAATATTTGTTGAATAAATATCACATTGGGCTTATTCCAGAAATTCAAGCTTGTTTCAATAGTTAGAGCAATCTACAAATGTAATTCATTACATTAACTAATTAAAGGAGCTAAATCACATCACTACCACAATAATGCAGAAAAACACATTTGATACAACTCAATATTCATGTCTGCCTAACAAACATCTCATGATACTAGGAAAAGAGGAAGGGATATATTATTTTCATGTATAAAACACTAACCATTGTAGCATGCCAATATACTCAAAATTCAATGAAATTCCTATCAAAATCTTAGCATTCCTCTTAGTCCTCAACAAAGCATTTCTAAAATGTGTATAGAAGACCAAAGGGCCAAAAGAGTCAACTTCTGAAGAAGTGGAAAAAGAAAGTTGAGGAAATCTTAAAACATGTTATTGAGCTTAAAGTTGCAAAAATAAACTCATGTACCATAATTCATGAGTAGAAAAATAGACTAGTGGAATAACATAAAAATAAAAACAATGCTTACATAAAATGTTGTAACTGATTTGGATGTCATTAGAAATCAGTAAGTAAATAGATGGACAATGTAATGAAAGATGCTAGGCAAATAATGTGGTAGGGAGAATAATGGCCCGCAAAGATGCCCATGCCTAACCCTGGAACCTGTGAATATGTTACACTGAATGCAATAAAGGCTTATCAGATGTGATTAAGGATGCAAACCGAGATGGAGAGATCTTCCTGGGTTATCCAGATGGGCCCAGTCTAATCACATGAGTTCTTAAAAATGGAGAACCTTTCTTAGCTGAGTCCAGAGAGAGATGTGACAATGAAAGAATGGTCAGAGAAATGTGACATTGCCAGCTTTAAAAAGAGAGAGGAGAGGCAATGAGAAAAGGAATGCTGATGTTCTCTAGAAGATAGAAAAGGCCAGGATATGGATTCTACCCTAGCCGCCATAAAGAAACATGCCTGTCGACAACTTGATTTTAGTTCACTAAAATTCATGCCTGATTTCTGACTTGTGTACACTGTAAGATGACAAGTTTGTGTTATTTTAGGTCACTTAGTTTGTAGAAATTTGTTACAGCAGTAATAGAACAAGTGGTTATCCATATGAGGCAAATTAGATTGGATACCTATCTCCAATAGAAATCAATTCAAGGTGAATTCCAGGAAAATACTTAAAACATTTAGATTAAAAATAAATGAGAATTTTTGTTACTTTTGGTAGGTCATAGAACCAAGAAAAACAAACATTAAGGAGGAAAAATGAACATATGACTACATCAAAATATAAAGCTTCTCTATTTGGATGATATCATAAGGTGACAAATCATAAACTGTAATATTTGCAACATATATATGAGTGAATATACATTTAGAATATATATGAACTCCCAAAAATCAACAGGAAAAATAAGACACAGAACAAGCAAAATGCATAAACAAAAGAAGGCAAAACAAAAATAATGACTCATAATTATATGAAAAGAAGCTCATCTTCATAGATGAGCAGATAAATGCAAATTAAAAACACCCTGAGATGCTTTTTACATCCATGAGCCTGATAAAAGTTAGAGTCTAAAAGTAATAATTAACAAAGATGGGAAGTAACAGAAAATCTTGTCCATTACTGGTTAAAGTATAAACTGATACAGCTACTTTATAGAATATTACATTATAGAATAAAGTTGTGAGTATGTATATGCAGTGACTCAGCATCTTCATTGCTAGTATGTACTCAAGAGAAACTTACAGGAGTGGACTAGGAAGTAAATACAAAATGATTACAACATTGTTTGTTATATCAAAAAATAAAAAAGACACCCAATTTTCCAGCAAAAAAAATAAGTAAAAATAAATCCTGGTGTATTCTAACAATGGAATAATATATAGCCATTAAAATAAATCAACTATTACTGTACATATGAATGTAAGTATCAGCAAAACATATTGTTTAGTGAAAAAGTAAGAAGCTGAAGAAGAATATATACAATATGGTTACATTTATATGAAGTCCAAAAACTTGCAAAATAAAGAAATGTATTTAGAAATAGATTCACATGTGAGAAAACTAGAAGAAAATTAATGAAAGGATAAAAGGGATAGCAGTAATTCTGAGTAGTTGAGGGGATTTCAATTGGAAAAAAATAGTATCATATTCTTTAAGTCAGGTAGTGGGTATTAGCATTTGTTTTACCATCGTTCTTTATTCTTATAGCTACACTATATATTTTCAATGTATTTAATGTATTTTTTGCATAATTAAATATGCAATAAAAATGAGAAAACAAAAAAGTAGAAAATGATAAATTACAATAAAGAAATGGAGAAAAATTATAATCTAGTTGAGTAATGGTATATTACATAGCTATTTTCTTAAGTAGATGTATGTACATGATGTATGCACGATTGTACATACATGTTCTTAATTATATATAAATATATATGTACATATTTTTAATATAAAATACTAAACAAAGTACACCAAAATATTAGCTCCTATGTTAGTGAGATAATGTTTTTTTTTTTTGTATTTTAAGTTTTACATAGTAGGTGTATTTATCTGTTTTCATACTGCTATAAAGAACTGCCCAAGACTGGGTAATTTATAAAGGAAAGAAGTTTAATTGGCTCACAGTTCAGCACAGCTTGGGAGGCCTCAGGAAATCTACAATCATGGCGGAAGACAAAGAGGAAGCAAGCCAGCTTCTTCGCAAGGCAGCATGAAGAAGTGCCGAGCAAAGGGGAAAGAATCCCTTATAAAACCATCAAATCTCGTGAGAACTCACTATCACAAGAACAGCACAGGGGAAACTGCCCCCATGATTCAATTACCTCCACCTGGTCTCTCCCTTGACCTGTGGGGATTATGGGGGCTATGGGGATTACAATTCAAGATGAGATTCAGGTGGGGATACAAAGCCTAACCATATCAGTAGGCATGTGTTGAATTTTAAACTCAGAGAAAAATACTAGTGTTTTTATAGGATTCTTACTAAAGAAAAACCAGAAAGTAATAAACCATCTACGCTAAGACATAAAATTCAGTTGTTTAGTTACAAGATAGAATGTGGCCTTGTAAGAAAGCAAATTAACTTCTAACATCCAAAGCCTTAGAGAAGATTCAAGTGACTGACGGATCTTAAACAGAGCTATTATTACAACTCAAACTGCAGTAAAATATCCTCAGCAACATAGATGTGTGTGTTTCACTAGTCAGATCAATACAAATTTAATGAAACTCCATTGGTGGTGTTTTTAATCAGACAATTTCTGAAGATGTCCTGGCTTATTCATAGATGCAAGCCAAATCTCTAGAAGAGTACCATAATAAGAAAAAAAAGAATACAGGCAATTGAGAGCTGTTCCAAAGTTTAGGGAGTTTTTGTAAGGAATTAATAAATAAAAATGTTCTAGAAAGAGAGAAATTAATATGCAGTTCATACTGCCAGAATTGCAGGCAATTTATCAAACTCCCCTAATCCTCCAAAATCGCTATTTTTTTTTTTGACACACACTTTACAGTACAGAAGAAAATGTCTCCGGCAATAAATCACAGTTAAAATTACCTAGTCTACAATTAACTACACAGTGATGGTAAATCATTTTCTACCAAAAGAAAGAAATGTCTTGTCTATTCAGGTTCTGCTCTACTTAAAAGTTTTCCTTGTTGGCGAGCAAGTGGTTAGAAAATCATATTTTATACGTACATTCAGCTTAACTATCATTCAGCTCAGGAAGATGACTCAGGGCCTTATCCATACCTTCAAGTTTGCTCTTAGAAAGTAATTGTTTCAGTATCTGTATCAAAAATGGCTTAAGTCTGCAATATGTTTCTGAATGATTAACAAGGTGATAGTTCTTCATTGAATCCTGGATGCTTTATTTTTCTTAATAAGAGGAATTCATATGGATCAGCTAGAAAAAAATTAAGAGGAAAATCACATGGAAAGTTATATATTATATATCTATTATATATATAATATTATATATCTATTATATATAATATATATCTATTATATATATATTATATATTGTATATCTATTACATATATAATATTATATATCTATTATATATTATATATCTATTATATATCATTTCCAAATTCCCCAGCGTTCACATTTGTCAGTGCAAGTAAAGAGCCTTAGTGCTGATGAGGTTTGAGGTATGACCATTTGGCCAGAATTTATGAACTCTACATGTCGCTTGATGTGTGCTTCAGGGTACACTTTTTTTTTTTTTTTTGAGACGGAGTCTTGCTCTGTCGCCCAGGCTGGAGTGCAGCGGTGCGATCTCAGCTCACCGCAAGCTCCGCCTCCCGGGTTCACGCCATTCTCCTGCCTGAGCCTCCCGAGTAGCTGGGACTACAGGCGCCCGCCACTATGCCCTGCTAATTTTTTGTATTTTTAGTACAGACGGGGTTTTATCGTGTTAGCCAGGATGGTCTTGATCTCCTGACCTCGTGATCCACCCGCCTCGGCCTCCCAAAGTGCTGGAATTACAGGTGTGAGCCACCACGCCCGGCCAAGGTACACTTTTAAGCAGAGACACTACTTTGAAGGTCATAAAAATATAATAAGAGATAAGGCTAATTTCCTTTAATAATAATAATAAAATCCTTTAATAAAAATATAAAGGAATAATAATTTTCTTTAATAAAATATAATAAGAGATAAGGCTAATTTCCTTTAATAAAATATAGTAACTACATACCAACAGAATTCCAAAAAAAGAAATGGAGAGGAAGGGAGCATGGGTCATTAATCTTGTCAAAAATATAAAATTATATACGAGGAATTCCTAGAAACTGTTTTCCTTGTCTGCGGCCATTGTGCTGCTGCTACACAACTACCGCAAGCAGCCCTTCACGCCCTCCTCCCAGTACAAAGCTAATTGACTTGTGAGAAATGTTAAGCTTGGAAGAGTCAGCATCGCTGCACTTATTTTTTATTCTACTCTGACATTAGAATAATCCTTGAGTGGGGGAAAGGTTAAAAACCCCCCTGGATAAGTGTTACTAATTAATGATGATTGTTTTAAACAATGTTTGGATAATTTTTCCTTGTCCCTTGACATAAACTTGATAAATAACTGAGAAGTGAGAAGGAGATTAGTGGGTTGATTAAATTCCATTCAGGTACTTCAAGTTAGCTCCAAAAATTTAGCTATTTATAAATTGTCATGCATTGTTAATGTATAAGAGATGTAGATTTCATTTATCTTTGGTGGAGCGAGATGAAGCAGTGAATCATTGAAGACTGAAAGAAAGAAAAAGGTCTTTTCCCTTTTCTTTAAGAAGCATCATTAGTTAAAAACATGTTAGTTGATACCAGAGAACTATATTTAAAGGGACAGCAATAAGCAAATTGATTACTCTGGTGATTATTGGAGTGACATTGCCTTTTAGTTGTACTTTCACAAAAATTCACAATATTTGCCAAAGTCAAGTTATCCATTACACTATTAATTTGTCATTCTTTTGTTTATATAGTCAATATCTCTATCTCAATTGGATCTATCTCAACTGCTTCTAAACAAGCCACCATAGTCTCTCCCATTTCAACAATCTCTTCCAAGTACCATTTCATTTCTTCTTTTCATATTTTTGAAAACTTTTGAAAAACTACCTATTTTCCTCCTCCATTTCTTGTTCATTCCATTCTAGTGGACATGGAATCTGTTCCTCCTCCAAAACGGAATTTGGTAACCCTTAAATTACTAAACCCAAAACAATATGTTGTTTTTATCTTTACCTCTCTGTGGCATTTAATGATAAGACCACTACTTTCTTCTCTTTTACCCTTCTTTCTTGAATTCAGTCAAACAACGTACTTACATTTTTCATCTTATTCTCCATCTTAGAAACCACCTCAGCTTTCTCCATTCAGCCATAAAATTGTGCTTTTCCTCAAAGATTAATCTGCCTCTCCTCTCACTCTATACTATCTCTGTTAGCTAATTTTATTTGCGCACATTGCTTATACTGGGCATTATATACACATATGCATGTGTGTACATGTGCACACACACACTGTATGTGGACATGTATATATATATGTGTGTGTGTATATATATAGTATATATATAAATTACAATAACATAAAGGTGGCATTTTAAATTAGTGGAAATTACCCTGATTTGATCACTACACATTCTATACATGTAAAGAAATATCACTCTGTATCCCAAGAATATGTACAATTATGGTTTGCCAAATGAAAAAGTTCATACATTGAAAAATTTTAGATAAATATCAAACTTTCTCTGAAACTGTAACTGTAAAATGTAAAAAACAGTAATTGCTATATTGCTTATTTTTGAGTAGAATATGAGACATTTCCCTAATCATTATGTGTAATTACAATTACATATATATGTTTATATATTACATACATATATATATATATGTAATTGTAATTACACATAATGATTAGGGAAATGTCTCATATTCTATATATATAGACAGAGAGAAAATATATGAGGGAGAGAAAGAATCTTTCCATCTCCTTTGAGTTCCACGGTGTTGAGAGTCAGGACAACTGCAATTGCTTCATCATGCCTGCTTGCAATTATAGGGCTTTTGAACCATTTGTTCCCTCCTTAGATATCCTCATTTTTTTCAGATTCTTGCTTAGAAGTCACTCCTCCGTGGACCTCCTCTGACATATTAAACATTGCAGTCCATTATAAGCTGCAAGAGGACAGGGATTTTTGCCTGTTTTATTCCCTACTGTATCACCAGGGGCTACAGCAATATCTGACAAACAGTGGGCATGTAATGAATATTTGTTAAGTGAAGTAATAAATTCAATCAAATCACATCACCTGTTTAAGGCACTTCATTGGCTTCACATTGCACTTAGAATAAAGAGAAATTCTTTTTATACAATATAAGTTCCTGCAGAATGCAGACACTTTCTACTTCTCCAGCCTCTTTTCGACTCCTCTCCTACTGGCTTCTGTATTTAAGCCACATTAGACCTTTCTTCAGTTTTTCATATAGACTTTGTCGCATCACACCTCAGAGATTCTGTACATGTTCTTCCTCCTGCCTAGAAAGGGTCGTCCCTCCACTTTCGCCAACTAATCCCTGCTCAACTTTTCATCTCAGCAGGAGGCCCATTCTCTTTGGCAATCCTCTGGCCTCCAGCCCATTTATTATATGCTCACATGTCAACATGTACTTCGTACAGCATGTAACACAATTGCACTTTTATATTTTAACAAATTATATTTCCCATATTGAACTGTAAGTCTCCTGAAAGGTGGAATTTTGTTCTTGCTCATCATCAACTTTTTCAACATCCAGTGCACCATTTAGAACTTAGATGTAGTCAATACAGGTTTGTGGAATGAAAGAGGAAAAGAAAGAATTAATATTCCTTTAAATTAGGATGGCAAAGATCGTATATAGAAAATTGGCTAAGTTGTGGTCCATTCATGTTTGCTCCCAATTAAGGAGCACAGCTATGAAAAGGAAGGCTTCAAATTAATAACCAATAGATTTTTAAAAAAAGAAAACTGGCCGGGTACTGTGGCTTATGTCTGTAATATCAGCATGTTGGGAGGCCAAGGCAGGATTACTTGAGCCCAGAAATTCCAGACCAGCCTGAAAATTTGGCAAAACTCTGTCTCTACAAAAAATACAAAAATTAGCCAAGTTTGGCGGCATGTGCCTGTAGTACCAGCTACTTGGGAGGCTGAGGTGGAAGAATAGCTTGAGTCTGGGAGGTCAAGGCTGCAATGAGCTGTGATCGCACCACTGCACTCAAGCCTGGGTGGTAGAGTAAGACCCTGTCTCAAAAAAAAAAAAAAAAGAAAAATCACTAAGCAAAATAAGACATGTGAAGGATCATGTCAAAGGTAAGAAAAATTAGGGGAACATTAAAAGCTTTCTTCCCAAGCCACTAAATCAACTTGACTAACAAAATTACCACTTGATTTAGCATTAGAAAATTACATTACATATCAAACATAAACCCATTAATCAAATACTACAGAAATTTCTGAGTTAAATGGTATAATGTTAGCTTATGCCAGAGCTGACCTTGAAAGATTGTTCAAATATGGCTCAGTGTGATTGAAAGTTCTGTGTGAATATGTTTTTGGAAAGATCCAACAGCAACACCTTAGTGTATGTTTTTGAAATAAAATGTATCTGAGTAGCAGCAAAGTTATTCTCAAATTTCCATTTTATAGCTGGAGATGTTATACCGTGACATATACGACAGGACCTAATATGGATTAATCCCTTTTGGAAGTCAATCAGGAAGAGGGGAGCAGTTAAAACCGTTGCTTGGTTTACAAACATTAGAACAATTTTCTTATTCACGCCATCTGATTATTGTATTTTATTTTTTCCCCAACGTTTAGACTACACAATGAGTTAAGAACGACAAAAATAAGCTCACCAATATACTATGTACATATTTACCAAAATCTGTGCATGCCTATACATATAAACACAGCTGATAATTTATTAGTTAGGCTCATTTGTAATTTTTGTCACTATAGACCAGTTTTTTATTTAAATTGAAGATTAGTATACATTTTAAATGATTAGTCAAAATAAAAAATCTAAAATGTGCTCTAAATACCTCTTAGGTCAGAAAAAAAAAAGTCAAAAGCTAGAGTATAGAGAAATTAAGAAACGCCCTAAATTTCTAATCTGATAAAAATTCATACAAGATTTAAATATTTTAATGGAAAATAGAACAGAACTAATTATTGAAGAAATTATAGAAAGGAAACAAACAGATTATATGGAGGATTTTTAGAAGATAAGTAAATAAATTAATATACTAGGAAAAAACAAGGGAAATATAATTGATAAATAAATACAGGTAAGAGTTCTTTTGAAATAATGATTAAATAGAAAATCTCTGTCAAAACTAAAAGGAAAGATGCATAAATATATAAATAAATGATAAAACGATGTTGCATATGTATATAACTTTTTCAGAATCAAAAAATTTAAATTTCTGTAATAAAATTTAAATGTTTATAAATTTAAAAAACTGGAAGAAAGAATGTTGACTGTTCACAATACAAATAAATGACAAATATTTGAGGTGATGGATATGCTAATTATCCTTATTTGATCATTGGACATTGTATACATGTATCAAAATATCACTCTGTATCCCATGAATATGTACAATTATTTGTCTCAAAAACAAACAAACAAAAGATAATGGGAGAATGTTGAAAACTCAGAGAGAAGAGCAACTCTCACAGATAGGGATCCAGATAACATTAGCAGCTGATTTCTCGGCAGAAAGCTTGAAGGCCAGTAGGCAGTGGATTATATATTTAAAATAATTAAGAAACCTGTCAATTGAGAAATCTATAGCTGGAAAACTTATCCTTCAAAAATGAGGGAGAAATTAAGACATTTCCGGATTTTTTTTTAAAACTGAAAAAAAATCCGTTTATTCCTGAATTTGCCATTCAAGAGGTGTTAAGTCCTTCAGGTTGAAATAAATGAACTCTAGGCAATAACTATATAAGTAAATAAGCAAGCTGTATGAATATACAAAGCTCTCCGGTAAAGGTAAATACATAAACAAACATAAAAACAGTCCTATTGTAATTTGGTTTCTAACTCTGCTTTTTATTTTCTACATAATTTAAAAGGCAAATGCGTAAAATGTAATTGTAAATCTGTTAGCTGGTATACAATGAATAAAGATATAATTTGTTACATCAATAACATAAAAAGAGTAGAGCTATATGTATAGCAGTAGAATTTTGGTATGTGATTGAACTTAAGTTGAAATAAATTCAAATTAAAATGTTATAAATCTAGGATGTTATATGTAATTCTCATAGTAACCAAAAACGAAATATACATAGAATATAAACAAAAGGAAATGAGACTAGAAACAAAATGTGTCACTACAAAAAAATCAACTAAAGATAAAAAAGAAATAATTGAGAAAATGGCAAAAATCAGTAACTCTGACGTATTAAAACTTTCCATGCTACATACATCTGAAAACTCTATTTCACATAAAACTGGAGCTGAAAGAGACAAATATTTACCTATAAAGTTAAAAGTTATATAGGGAACAAACACTAATTTTTTTTAGAAAAAATTATAAAAAGAGTAAAAATATGCCTTATACTACCGTAATTTCATGTTTTACAGCTCTGGGAAAATAGAAAATAAAATGTTCTGTTAGCATGAATCCCTCTGTGCCCCCAAAAAACCCTATGGATTGCATCATTATTACCTAAAAAGTCTATTGTCAAATGCAGCAGAGTGATATTTTTTACAAGGTAGATATTAATTTTAGATATGGAATAATATTGGTGATTTCAATTTTATAACACTGGGTTAAGATGAAAGAATGAGAAGATAAAGGTCCCTCAGCAATATAACTCACAAACATGTTCAGAAGCAGTAAGAAGTTACATTAATTATCTTTTGAAAGTCGATAATCTACATCTTTAATGTATGCATATAGCATAGCTAATGTACTATCGCTGGGTCCATTTATTCAATGAATAATTGCCGCTATGTGTCAGGCATTTTTCTAGGCCTAGGAATGGATACATAAGTGAACAAAGCAAAGATTCTGGTTCTTGTAGAGTTTCCATTAAAAGACCATTTAGTAAAACTTTTCTTCCCCCAAATTATAAAATCTGTAAGATGGTTTAACAACATGTGTAAAAGTCATTGTGGGCCAGGCACGGTGGCTCATACCAGGTGTGGTGACTCATAGCACTCTGTCACCCAGGCTGGAGTGCAGTGGCACAATCTCTGCTCACTGCAACCTCTGCCTCCTGGGTACAAGCGATTCTCCTGCCTCAGCTTTCTGAGTAGCAAGGACTACAGGTGCACACCATCACGCCTGGCTAATTTTTGTACTATTAGTACAGACGGAGTTTCACCATGTTGGCCAGGCTGGTCTCGAACTCCTGACCTCAAATGATCCATCTACCTCGGCCTCCCAAAGTGCTGGAATTACAGATGTGAGCCACAATGCCCGGCCTTATTTTCTACAACTTTGGTAACTTTAGCATATACCCCAAATCTGTAAGACATAATATTATAATTCAAATGCAACTCATGGCTTCTCATTGTACTCTTTCTCTAGCTTTTGAATTATTTATTCTAATACCAGTTTTAATTCTGACACAAAAGCATGGGAGTTCTAATCAAAATCCAACCTTTTATCATAAAAATTATGAAGAAATTATGAGTAGAACTTAAACAGGAAAATAGGCCTATTAATTAGATTTGTCTTTGTAGCATTTAACTCTATAATAAATAACATAATATTTTATGCCTATGAGTACCCAACAAAGCCTCCAGCGTCTATTTAGATATAAAATGTAAAAGTCACTACTGGATCCACAAGCAAGACTATGGTAAATAAATTTCTCCACCTAACCAGCTTCTTTTACATGATGTTACATGTTTCTTTTGTTTTTTCATTTTGGCAAATATTGATTGTCATCTTCTTGTTTGTCTATGTCCTAAGTGCTGGGATACAGAATCTGAAAAGATGGACACAGGACCTGCCTTCAAGTTCACCTTTTTTTTTTTTTTTTTTTTTTGAGATGGAGTTTTGCTCTTGTCACCCAGGCTGGAGTGTAATGGTGAGATCTCGGCTCACTGCAACCTCCACCTCCAGGGTTCAAGTGATTCTCCTGCCTCAGCCTCCCAAGTAGCTGGGATTACAGGTCCCAGCCACCACGCCTAGCTAATTTTTGTATTTTTAGTAGAGATAGCGTTTCATCATCTTGGTCAGGCTGGTCTCGAACTCCTGACCTCAGGTAGTCGACCCACCTCGGCCTCCCACAGTGCTGAGATTACAGGCATGAGCCACCACGCCCTGCTAGGAGTTCACGCTTTAGTTGGGGAAAATATACAATAAGCAAGCCAATTTTTAAAAAGAGAACTGCAATTAGAGTTAAATGCTACAAAGACAATCTCACAGGAAGATGGGATGTAGAATGATAAGGCTCTCAGAATAGTAAGAGAAACTATTGCTTCTTACGATGTTTGTCTTTCTTTGTATCAGTGCTCAGCTGAGTCTGCAGTGCTTCAGAGGCAGCTTTCATTTTATAAAAATCTATGATTTCTCCTTCCAGTTGTTTTTTCTCTTCCTCGAGCTTCCTTATCTCCTCCTGTTGAATCATTTTAAGATGCTCGAATTTGTCCTGCAGCTGTGAAACCAATGTGCAGTTGTGACACCAAAGCAGTGTGGCTAAACACCCAAAAGAATATGCTTTTTTCTGATTATCAAACAAACCCAAATCATCACAGTAGAGCACGATCTTAATAACAATCTCAAAAACTCAGGAGTAAACACTCAGATATGGAATTTTTCTTTTCTTTCTTTTTTCCTTTTATAAGATGGAGTCTCACTCTGTTGCCCAGGCTGGAGTGCACTGGTGCAATCTCAGCTCGCTGCAACCTCCATCTCCCAGTTCAAGTGATTCTCCTGCCTCAGCCTCTTGAGTAGCTGGGACTACAGGCATGCACCACCACTACAGGTGTGTGCCACCACACCTGGCTAATTTTTGTATTTTTAGTAGAGATGCGGTTTTGCCATGTTGGCCAGGCTGGTCTCGAACTCCTGACCTCAGGTGATCCTCCCGCTTTGGCCTCCCAAAGACTTTTTTTTTTTTTTAATATACAGACAAGTTCTCAGTATGTTGCCCAGGCTGGTCTCAAACTCCTGAGCTCAAGTGATCCTCCCACCTCAGCTTCCCAAAGTGCTGGGACTGACTGGATGCAGTGGCTCATGCTTGTAAACTCAGCACTTTGGGAGGCCAAGGTGGGAGGATCGCTTGAGCCCAGGAGTTCAAGACCAGACTGGGTGATATAACACAATAGTAAACTTCAACAGGAGAGAGAATCTGTAAACTTGAATATAGATCTTCTGAAATTATCCAGTCAGAGGACAAAGAAAAAAAGAATAAAAAAGAGAAAAGAAGGCTGGGCGTGGTGGCTCAAGCCTGTAATCCCAACACTTTGGGAGGCCGAGGCAGGCAGATTAAGAGGTCAGAAGTTCAAGACCAGCCTGGCCAACATGACAAAACCCCATCTCTACTAAAAATACAAAAATTAGCCGGGTGTGGTGGCACACACCTGTAGTCCCAGCTACTTGGGAGGCTGAGGCAGGAGAATCGCTTGAACCCAGGAGGCGGAGGTTGGAGTGCAATGTGAGCCGAGACCACACATTGCACTCCAGCCTGGGTGACAGAGCATGACTCTGTCTCAAAAAAAAAAAAAAAAAAAAAAAAGAGACAGAGAAAAGAAAGCCAACAAGACACCATTAGGCAAACCATTGTCAGGTTATGGGAGTTTGAGAAGGAAAGTAGAGAAAGGAGAAGAAAGCTTATTTAAAGAATGGCTGAAAACTGCCTAAATCATGGGAAAGATTTAGACATCTAAATCCATGAAGCTTAAAGATTCCTAAAGAGGTTCAAACCAAATAGATACTCACCAAGTCACAATATAATCAAATAGTCAAAAGTTAAAGAAACTTTGCAGGTCAGGACAGAATCCAATAATACATTCAAAGTGCTGAAAGAAAAAAACTGCCAGCAACTAATACTATGTCTGACAAAGCTGTCCTTCAGAAAGAAAAAAGAAATAACGTGTTTCCTCGACAAACAAAGCTGAGGGCATTCAGGACCACTAGGTCTACCTTAAAAAAATGCTTAACGGAGTTTTTCAAGTAAAAAGGAATGAAGTTGGGAGCGGTGGCTCATGCCTGTAATCCCATTTTGGGAGGCTGAGGTGGGTGGATCACCTGAGGTCGGGAGGTCAAGACCAGCCTGGCCAACATGGCAAAACCCCACCTCCAGTAAAAATACAAAAAATTAGACAGGTATGAAGGCCACTGAGATCGTGCCACTGCACTCCAGCCTGGGTGACAAGAGTCAAACTACATTTCAAAAACAAAAAACAAAACAAACAAAAAAAACAAAACTTGAGGCCTGGCCTTCTGCTCCTCTCCAACCTCCCCTTCTCTGGGCCCAAGCCACCTTGGCTGAGGAGGGGGCGAGGAGGTGTGAGCCCCTGCCAGGAACCCCCTGCCCGGACCAAGTACTCGGCCCCCAGGCCTGCGTTCAGTGAGGCCTCCCGTGGCGTCAGCATGTTCGTGTGGAGGAATGTGGAAGGTCACTCTGCGGCTGTGTTCCCCTGGTACTCCATCCCCTTCCTGACCCCTCCCTGCAGCCACACGAGGCCCAGCAACCTGCCAGTCACTCAGTGGCCTGCAACCAGAGAAAACAACCTGCCAAGTTGCCAGCTGTTGCTCATGAGCGTCCACCAGGTGGGACAGGGAGTGTTGACCCTGGGCGGCCCCCTGGAGCCACCTGCCCTGAAAGCCCAGGGCCCGCAACCCCACACACTTTGGGGGTGGTGGAACCTGGTAAAAGCTCACCTCCCACCATGGAGGAGGAGCCCTGGGCCCCTCAGGGGAGTCCCTGCTGGACAGTGAGACAGAGAATGACCATGATGATGCTTTCCTCTCCATCATGTCTCCTGACACCCAGTTGCCTCTACCACTCAGATGATGTCAGGCCCAGTCCCTCAGTGCCCTGCGCAAGGAACAGGACTCATCTTCTGAGAAGGATGGACGCAGCCCCAACAAATGGGACAAGGACCACATCTGGTGGCCCATGAGTGGCGCTCATGATCTTCAGCAAGCGGCACCAGGCCCTGGCGGGGCGCAGCAGGGTCACCCCAACCAGGATAACCGGACCGTCAGCCAGATGCTGAGCGAGCGGTGGTACACCCTGGGGCCCAGTGAGATGCAGAAATACGACCTGGCCTTCCAGGTGAAGGTGGCCCACTTGCAACAAGGACCGAAAGAAGTCCAGCTCAGAGGCCAAGCCCACAAGCCAGGGGCTAGCAGCAGTGTAACAAGGGCTCGTGGGAGCGGAGCATATCAGAGACGGGCACTGCCACTGCCCCTGGGGCGTCCTCTGAACTCCTGTCAGTTGCAGCCCAAACACTCCAGAGCTCGGATGCCAAGGAGCAGCTTCTGTGGGGCAGAACGGCTGCACACAGTCAGGGAACCTGGCTCAGCCTGGCCCAAGCCTTCTCCCACAGCGGGGTACACAGCCTGGACGGCAGGGAAATAGACCGTCAGGCACTACGGGAACTGACACAGGTGGTGTCTGGCACTGCATCATACTCTGGCCCAAAGCCTTCTACTCAGCATGGAGCTCCAGGCCACTTTGCAGCCCCTGGTGAGGGAGGTGACCCGTGGGCAGCCCTGCTGCCGCCCACGTGAGCTGCTCATTCCCAGCACATGGCCAGTGAGGACATAGCGAGTGACGAGGAGCACACGGTCATCCATGAGGAGGAGGGGGTGATGATGTCATTGCTGATGATGGCTTTAGCACCACCGACACCGATCTCAAGTTCAAGGAGTGGGTGACCGACTGAGAGTGGGGACAGCTCTGGGGAGGAGCCAGAGGGCAACAAGGGCTTTGGTGGGAAGGTATTTGCACCTGTCATTCCTTCCTCCTTTACTCCTGCCGCCCCTTGCTGGATCCTGAGCCCCCAGGGTCCCCCGATCCACCTGCAGCTTTTGGCAGTCTATGGTCACACCCTGTCCTCCTCCTACACATACTCGGATGCTTCCTCCTCAACCTTGGCACCCACCTCCTTCTTACTGGGCCCAGGAGCCTTCAAAGCCCAGGAGTCTGGTCAACGCAGCAGAGCGGGCCCCCTACGGCCTCAACCCCTGGGGATGGGGGCCCAGGGACACCTTCCAAGGTGGCCTGTTTCCTCCCAATGGATCCTGCCACCTTCTGGTGCAAGAGACCTGAAAGTGTGGGCGACCTGGAGCTACCAGGCTCCTCAGTCATCAGGGTCCCTCCCAACACTAAGGCTTTCCTAGGCAGGAGCTGGGCTGAGCCACCCGGGGAGCAGAGCCTGAAGAGAAACTGACTGGGCTTTCGGGGTCGGGGCAGAGGGAACCCCACGGACATGGATCCCACACTGGAGGACCCCACCGCGCCCAAATGCAAGATGAGAAGATGTTCCAGCTGCAGTCCAAAGCCCAACACCCCCAAGTGTGCCATGTGTGATGCGGACAGCTTCCCCTTTGCCTGTACAGGTGGAGAAGCCGAGGACAGGCTCAGGGAACCGGAGACCGAGAAGGAGCTGTCCTCTTCACTGCACGTGCCCTGGACCAGTGCCGGCCCTGATCATGCAGCTCTTCCAGGCCCACTGCTTCTTCCTGTCCACTAGGCCACAGCCGCCCTCCAGGCCCACTATGCACACATCTTCCCCTCCAAGGTTTGTTCTGCCCCTGCCCTGACTCCCAGCCCTGTGGGGGTCCTGACCGCACCTCACCTGGCTCAGACTCTTGACGCTGCCCTGGCTGCCCCACCACTGCCTCTGCCCGAGAGTCACGTGAGGCTGAGAGTAGGGGCAGGGGCAGCAGTGGTGCCAGTTGGGGGGCGGTCCAGTGGGAGGAGCCTCAGCCTCGCGGGCTGCTCCGTGGGACTGATGACTGCATGATCTTCTGGGCACCTCACGGATCTTCAACTGCAGGTGAAACGGATGCTGGTGGTGGGTGCAGGGCCGCTGGGAGCTGCTGCATGGTTCCCAGAGGCTGGACTGGGGCAGGTGCCAACTGAAGCTCCTGGGTCAGCATGGGCAGGATGTTCTGCACACAAACCTTGGAGAAGAAGATGTGTGCATAGCGGGTCCACTGCTGCTGCCCCTGCCCTGACTCCCAGCCCTGCCTGACCCCACCTCAACCTGCTCAGGCTCTGGCGCAACCCTGGCTGCCCTGCCACTGCCTCTGCCCCAGAGTTGGGGCCTTGACAGCCTGGTTGGAAGGGGACACCCCAGCCCTGCCTCAACACCTGGGGGTCTCCATAACTACCACAGGCAGGTGGGCAACCCCAAAGATCCCAGGACTCACAGTACCCCCTGAGAACATGGACAGTATGTGGGGGTAGCAATGGAGGGCAGGATGGTTATCTTCTCCCAGGTGAAGCCATTTAATCCTTTCAGTTTGGGACAGAGTAAGGCCTTCCTCTTTTTTTTTTTTTTTTTTTTTTTGAGACCGAGTCTTGCTCTGTCGCCCAGGCTGGAGTGCAGTGGTGCGATCTTGGCTCACTGCAACCTCTTCCCGCCGGGTTCACGCCATTCTCCTGCCTCAGCCTTCCGGGTAGCTAGGATTACAGGTGGACGCTACCACGTCCGGCTAATTTTTGTATTTTTAGTACAGACGGGGCTTCATCATCTTGGCCAGGCTGATTTCGATCTCCTGACGTCGTGATCTGCCTGCCTCCCCCTCCCAAAGTGCTGGGATTACAGGCGTGAGCCACCACGCCTGGCCAAGGCCTGCTCCTCTTATCTATACCCCCTACCCCTGCAGCTGTGCCGGGGGAAAGCTGGGCAGTTTCCCTCCTCCGAGCCCCTGTACATACCATGAATTGTGGGACCTTCAGAGCTTTTCACTTTTCGGAAAATAGCTCCTGCTGGGGCTACAAGATGGAGTGTGAAGAGGGCCTTGGGCCACAGGGAGGCGCCTGTGGACTAGGGGGAGTTCATGCACCCCTTCTTTCCCCAGAGGGGCTGGACTCAGGTGAGTATGGGGGTGGGGGCTCCTGCACTTCGACACAGGCAGCGGGAGGGTTTTCTCCCCATTCCCTCTGCACTCCCAACTTGAGCTATACTTTTTAAGAAAGTGATTCACCCTGCCTTTGCCCCCTTCCCCAGAACAGAACACGTTGATCATGGGCGATATTTTTCATTGTGCCAAAAAGTTGCCATGACCGTCATTAAACCTGTTTAACACCAAATAATAAGGAAAATAAAATAAAAAATTCGGGCATGGTGCAGAAACTCACTCCAAATAAATTACCTACCAAAATATATAATGGTGGAAATATTCCAAAATTCAATATTTTGGGATTTATACACAAAAGATAAACAAATTAGAGGCCAAGAGGCTGCCGGAAGGGAAAAACGGGGCCTGGAATGGCCGACGTGAGGAATGAGCTGGGCCTAAAGAGGCCACTGGCAGGCAGGAGCTGGACCTGCCGAAGTGGCCGAAAGGCAGGAGCTTTGGACTGGGGAGGCCACAGTGAGGCGAGAGCTAGCTGGGCGTGGAGAGTCCGCTGTGAGGCCAAGGCCGAGGCCAGGCCCGTGCAGGCCTTCGAGAGGCAGGAGGCCGGGCCTGCAAAGGCCGACTGGAGATCAAGTTCTGCGCCTGAAGAGGCTGCCAAAAGTCAAAAGCGGGGCCTGGGAAGGCCGCCGAGAGCCATGAGCTGGGCTGGGCCGAAAGAGGCCACTGGGAGGCAGGAGGAGCTGGGCCTGGAGAGGCTGCCAAAAGGCAGGAGCTTCGCCTGAGGATGCCACAGTGAGACACCATCTGGGTCTGGAGGGTCCACTGTGAGGCAGAGGCTGGCCTGTAGAGTCCGACAGTAGACAGAAGTTGGGCAAAAGGCTGATTTGAGGAAGTTTTGGGCTTCAACAGTCAGCCACGAGGCAGACACTAGGCCTGGAAATAGCCCGACAGTCATGAGTTGGGCCTAAATGGGCCACTATGAGGGAGGAGCTGTGCCTGTTGAGGCTCCTCCAAAAGGTCATCTGTACACACACAGTAAAAATCTGGGAGTAACTGAAGACAGAGTTGGTAAGTAAAATAAGAAACAGTTATAAGAAATTAAACTATGGTATCCATAGGCACTCAGTAAAAGGTCAGTTGATGTTAGCTGCTACTTTTTTGTTGTTTAGAGACAGGGTCTCACTCTGTCACCCAGGCTGGAGTGCAGAGGCCTGATCATGACTCACTGCAGTCTCAGCCTCCCTGGGCTCAAGTGATCCTCCCACCTCAGCCTCCCAAGTAGCTGGGACTACAGGAACATGCCACCACACTAGGCTAATTCATGTATTTTTCTGTAGGGATGGTGACTCCCTTTGTTTCCAAGGCCTATCGCAAACTCTTGGCCTCAAGCCATCCTCCTGCCTCAGCCTCCCAAAGTGTTGCGATTACCAGTGTGAGCCACCACACCTGGCCAGCTGCTACTTTTATCAATATTATTCTTATTCCACTCAATTAAAAATTATTATTTTCAAGGCTATGCAACAGTATGTATCCTACAGCGTAATTGTAAAAACATATACAGTCGTCGTCCCTCAGTATACAGAATTAGTTCCAGCCCTCCATCTCTGCATATACCAAAATCCATGCTTACTCACGTTTCGCTGTCACCCCTCTAGAATCCACGTATACGAAAATTCCAAATGTTAGTTGGGCATAGTGGCAAGCACCTGTAGTGTCAGCCACGTAGGAGATTGAGATGGGAGGATCGCTTCAGCCTGGAAGGTTGAGGCTGCAGTCAGCTGTGATAGCACTACCACACTCCAGCCTTGGACAAAAGAGGGAGACCCTGTCTCAGAAAAAAAACAAAATAAAACAGGTTAGAAATTGTAATCTAACCCTAAGCCTAACCCTAACCCTAACCACTAAGCCTAACCCCTAACCCCTACCCTAACCCTAACGCTAACCACTAACCCTAACCCCTAACTCCAAACCCTAACCCTAACCCCAAAACCTAACCCTAACCATAACCCCAAACCCAACCCCAACCCGAACCCCGAACCTGAACCCTAACCCTAACCCCAACCCTAACTCCTAACCCTAACCCCTAACCCTAACCCTAACCCTAACCAATAACCCTAACCCTAACCCTAACCCTAACCCCTAAACCCTAACCCTAACCCTAACCCTAACCCTAACCCTAACCCTAACCCTAACCCCTAATCCTAACCCTAACCCTAACCTAACCCTAACCCTAACCCTAACCCTAACCCCTAATCCTAACCCTTACCCTTACCCTAACCCTAACCCTAACCCCTAACCCCTAACCCTAACCCTAACCCTAACCCTACCCTAACCCTAACCCTAACCCTAACCCTAACCCTAACCCCTAATCCTAACCCTTACCCTTACCCTAACCCTAACCCTAACCCCTAACCCCTAACCCTAACCCTACCCTAACCCTAACCCTAACCCTAACCGTAACCCTAACCCTAACCCTAACCCCTAACCCTCACCCTCACCCTCACCCTGACCCCGACCCCTGACCCCGACCCTTGACCCCTGACCCCTGACCCCGACCCCGACCCCGACCCTAACCCCTGACCCTGACCCTAACCCTAACCCTAACCCCTGACCCTGACCCTGACCCTGACCCTGACCCTTAACCCTGACCCTGACCCTGACCCTGACCCTGACCCTACCCTAACCCTAACCCTAACCCTAACCCTAACCCTAAACCCTAACCCCTAACCCTAACCCTAACCCAACCCTAACCCTAACCCTAACCCCAACCCCAACCCCTAACCCCTAACCCTAACCCTAACCCTGATTATTCAGGGCTGCAAACAGAAAGGATTTTGTTCACTGTCGATGCGGCCCCGAGTTGTCCCAAAGCGAGGCTGTGCCCCCAAGGTGTGTGCTGAGAAAGCTGCTCCACCTTTGCGGTGTGCCCCGGGTCTGTGTTAAGCAGAACGCAGCTCTGCCCCCGCAAAGGCACCCCACGCCGGCGCGGGCACAGAGAGGCCCACCGCGCCGGCGCAGGCGCGCACAGGCTGGCGCGACGTGCGGGGGAGGCGCGGCGGATGCGCAGAGAGCACGCTGCCGGGCGGGGGTTGGGTTGGGGTGGCGTGGTGCAGGAGCACAGTCGCACGCCCCTGTGCTGGGGAGGGGAGCGCGGTGCAGGCGCGGAGACGCCCGTCGCAGCGGCGTGGCGCAGAGACGGGAGGAACCTCAATAATTCGAAAAGCCGGGCTCGACCGCCCCCTGCTTGCAGCTGGGCACTACAGGACTGGCTTGGTCACGGTGCTGTGCCAGTGCACCCCCTGCTGGCGACTAGGGCAGCTGCAGGGCTCTGTTGCTTATAGTGGTGGCCAGCGCCCCCTGCTGGCGCCGGGGCAATGCAGGGGCCTCTTGCTCACAGTATAGCGGCGGCACGCCGCCTGGTGGCAGCTAGGGACATTGCAGGGTCCTCTTGCTCACAGTGTGGTGGCAGCACACCCCCCTGCTGGCAGCTGGGGACACTGCCAGGCCCTCTTGCTCAAAGTGTAGTGGCGGCTGGCTCCCCTGCTGGCAGCTGGGGACACTGCCGGGCCCTCTTGCTTGCAGTGCAGTGGGGGCACGCCCTCTTCTGGCACCTGCTGGCACTACAGGAACCTCTCGCTCACAGTGTAGTGGCAGCACGCCCCCTGTTGGCAACCAGGGCACTGCGGGGTCCTCTTGCTCATGGTGTGGTGCCCATATGACACCTGCTGGCAGCTAAGGACACTGCAGGGCCCTGTTGCTCACAGTGTAGTCGTCGTACGCCGCCTGCTGGCAGCTGGAGACACTGCCTGGCCCTCTTGGTGGCAGTGTCGAGGCAGCACGCCACCTGCAGGCAGATGGGGACTAGGCGGGGGTCTCTTGCTCCCAGTGTGACGGTTGGCGTCCCCTACTGGCTGCCTCCTGCACCACTTAAAGTCAGAGCATCAGTTTTTAAGCCCCATCAGTTCTGTAAATTCAACTGAAACGGAGCTAGTACTAGGGAGAGCTGATGTCCCAGTTCTTGTCTAACTTGGAAGAAAGATTTTCACCAAGAGGCAGTACAAAAATGGCAGACAACTTCATTGAAAAGAAATACAGTGTAAAGAGCTCATTGTAGAAAAATAGGGAGGAGTGGGCTGATCGTGCATGAAAACATCCTAGGAGTCCTGTGCAGGGAATTTTATTTTGGACTTCTTCACATTCCTGTCTCTGTCTCAAGTCTCCACCTGTTCTCTTTGTCTGGTTTTCCTGCTACTGCCTTAGGTCCCCGACTTGCCACACTTAGGCTTGTGGGACCTCCTCACTGTTGGTTGAGGTACATGTGTGGTATCAATCCGAATCCACTCTGGCACCAGCCTCCTTCCCGCCATCCCAGGCAGGCTGACAGCGGTCACGTTTGTACCTAGTGTGCCTGCCTATCTCTTTTGAATGTCCTTCTTTGCCCTAATCTGCACTTATGGTGCCAGGTTTCTCTTAAGAATGTCCCCTTTGTCCTTCTTATCAGCATGTAGCTAGCAATATTCTGACATTTTTATTGCAGAGTGAATGATGATTGGGGCATCTTAAGAGGAGTTCTAGGGTGTTTCTTTCTGCATAGGTACCTCTTCTCCCTCCTACTCACAATTGACAAGTGCCCATGCACTCCAGCACTAGAGATGCTACTAATATGTGAATTTTTGGTGGTCCCTCCAGGTGAGCCTTCCCAGACTTTCCCTTTTCTAGGAGCTCCCCTCCTGTTCATGTCTAGCTATATATAAACTCTAACAGAGCCCACTATCCTGTGTCTTTCCAAAAATAGTGAGGGAATGATTAATTGGAAACCATAAGAAGTGATATGCATGTAGATGAAAACTTTACAACTTGCACAAATAACCACTCAAAATCATCCTTACACTAAAAATGCAAAACTATACAATTTCTAGAAGAAACTATAGAAGAAAAGCTATGTGCCTTTGGATTTGGTAATGAATTTTAACAAATGACACAAAAGGTTGATATACACAGAAGAAATGACAATGTGGATTTCTTAATCTTTAAAGTTTATACTCTGGAAGAGACCTTCTTAAGAGAACAAAAAGACAAGCCACATATTGAAGAAAATATTTGCAAAATACAGATCTGAGAAAGAATTTGTATTCAAAATATATAAAAAATTCTTAAAACTAAACAAGTTAAACAGCACAATTAAAAATGCACACAGATCTGAACAGACACCTCACCAAAGAAGATCTACAGATGGCAAGTAAACATACAAAAAGATGCTCAACATACTACAGAACTGAAAACCAGGAGATAGCACAGCTGGTCTATATCTATTAGAACTGCTAAACTCTAAAAAAATCACAAATTGCTGCAAGAAAGACAATAACTCTTTTCATTGCTGGTGGAAGACAGTGTATAAGACCAGAATATGCCACCCCAAAATATGTCCCTTTGGCATAAGAATTATTCCAAGATGATTATTTTGAAAAAAAATGCTAACAAAGGAAGTTCCAAAACCAGAGTAGAAGTTACCCTTCTGTAAGGAAAATTTACATCTATAAAGGAAATCCCCATTTAAAAGCTACCTCTCTCTCGGCACCAAGAAGAGAAGGATAACTAAATCACTAGAGTCTTATCAATGGAGGACGCATGGACTTCAGTCTGCATAACAAACGTTACTCTTGTCTAATGTGGTTTTGCTGGTTAACTCCCCACTACTGTGCCTCAAATCTTCAAGTTGAAGATAGTATTTACACTTGAATTGAAAACCACCTGCTGGAGATTTACTCATTTTTCCCTGAGTATCGCCCATGTATCCATAAGGTATACATGTTTTTAAACTTTTCTACATTTTTCTCATTTTAATCTGTCATTTGTTACAGAGGGTCCAATCTAAGAATTCTGAAAAGATAGAGAGAAAATTATTTTTCCTCACCTATTACAAGTTGGGCAGTTTTTTCCAAAGCTAAATAAGTCTCTCCTTACAATCCAAAAACGACATTCCTAAGTATTTTGACAACCACTTTGATGTGATTTCCAAACAAAAGCTACCATGCAATTATGTACAGAAGCCCTATTCATAATGACCAAAGGAAAAAAAGGAATCAGAAAGTCTTACAATAGATGACTGTGTGGGAACCCCCTCAGACATCAAGAGTTATTATAAAGATTATTTAAATGAAAACATTTGAGATACCGAAGATGAAGGAAGAAATCTTACCAGAACTTACTTTATCCAATTAAAGCACAGCTCCCAGAAAATACAGCTGCCATTAACCCCATCCACGGAGTTCCTTGCAAATTCAGCTGCCGTTAACCCCATCCATGGAGCGCCCAGAAAATACAGCTGCCGTTAACCCCATCCACGAAGTTTCTTGCAAATTCAGCTGCCATGAAGATAGACTGCTCATTCCCATTAGCATTGATAAATGAAAATGAAATCCTAAGCTCCCAGCTGACTGAACAGACCCACTCTTGGCTGAGGGGACCCCAGAGTAACTTTCAAAACTGAGTTCTCAGCTTGGCCAGAATGGGATGATGGGAGTCAGGTACACCCCATTATACCCCCTGCTTTGCAAACCATGATGAGGCTTTCTTCCCTAAGGATTTAACAGAAACCAGCCCTTTCAAAATCACCACTGATATCAACCTCTCCTTTCTTGCCTGATAAGAGACCACCCATGACGGAGAGGTTCTGGACAGCACACAGAGGATGCACAGAGCGAGTTTTCATGTCCTCTGCTTCACCTTTTAATGTCAGAGGGCTGAAAACTCCACCCTGGGATGATGCTAACACTGCTATTTTTTGTACATGGGACCCATGAAGAACCAAGGAACTCAGTTGTGCATGCACGCATTTCCCCTTTCATAAATATTCATGACTCCGCCTAGAGCTTATTAAAGATGTGTATTTGGCCATGCCACTCAGCATAAATTACTGTTTCCTTCACCTCTTCCTTGAAGTGTCTTGTTTCTAGTTTCTGGCTGGAGGCTATGCTTCCCAGCCTATCAGAAGGACTACCCTGCAGGCTGCAACCCTTTACAGGAAATAAATACCTCACTGGGTGCAGTGCCTATAATCCCAGCACTTTGGGAGGCCGAGGCAGGTGGATCACCTGAGGTCAGGCGTTCAAGACCAGACTGGCCAACATGGTGAAACCTCATCTCTACTAAAAAAACAAAAATTAGCCAGGCATAGTGGTGAGGGTCTGTAATCCCAGCTAATCGAGAGGCTGATGCAGGAGAATCACTTGAACCTGGGAGGTGGAGGTTGCAGTGAGCCAAGATTACGCCATTGCACTCCAGCCTGGGCAAGAAGAGTGAAACTCCGTCTCAAAAAAATAAAAATAAACAAAAATATAGAAATCTCTCCTTTCCATATTTATGAACCTCATCATTCTTTAGTTGACAGCATTAAAAAGTTCAAAAAGACCTTCCATACTCTCCCACAGAAGCCCTAGAAATTGTCATTTTGTTAATCATTTTGGATGCTTGAGAACTGAGAATCTGACAGTGGCCTAGTATCCGGAATATACAAAGAACTCTTACAACTCAAGAACAAAAAGACAAACAACCCCCACCCACCTCCCATGCAAAATGGGCAGAAGAATTAAAGACACTTTTCTCCAAAGAAGATACAGAAATAACACATGAAAAGATATTCAACATCAGTAACCATTAGGGAAATGAAATGCAAATCTAAACTACAAAAAGATACCACTTCATACCTATTAGAATGGTTATTACAAAAAAAGAAAGAAACAGAAACTAACATGCAGTGTCAGGAAGTAGAGAAACGTGAACATTGCTGATGGGCATGTCATATGGTGCAGACACTGTGGGAAATAGTTTGGTGGTTCTGCAAAACGCTAAACAGAATTACCATAGAACCCAGCAACTTCATTCCTAGATATATATACATAAAAGAATGGAAAAGAGGTATTCAAACAAAAACTTGTATACACATGTTTATAACGGTGTTATTCACAATTTTAAAAAGTTGGAAACAGGCCGGGTGCGGTGGCTCATGCCTGTAATCCCAGCACTTTGGGAGGCAGAGGCGGGCGGACCACCTGAGGTCAGGAGTTCAAGACCAGCCTGGCCAACATGGTGAAACCCCATCTCTACAAAAGTACCAAAATTAGCCGGGAGTGGTGGCAGGTGCCTGTAATCCCAGCTACTCGGGAGGCTGAGGCGGGAGAATCACCTGAACCTGGGAGGCAGAGGTTGCAGTGAGCCGAGGGCACGCCATTGCACTCCAGCCTAGGTGACAAGAGCAAAACTCCATCTCAAAAACAACAACAACAACAACAAAACACAGCCCAAATGTCCACCAACAAATGAACAGGAAAGTCAAATATGGTCTATTTCTATAACAGCATAATATTCGGCTGTGAAAAGGGTTGAGGCACTGACATTACAATGTGGACGAACCTCAAAACATGCTAAAAGCAAGAAGCTGAACACAAAAGGTCACATACTTCATGATTCCATTCATGGAGAATATCCAGAATACGTAAATCTACAGAGACAGAAAGCAGATTAGTGGTCGCCGGGGGTCGGAGGGAGGGCACATTGGGTAGCAGCTGCTTAATAGGTAGGGGGCTTCCTTTTGGGGTTTTGGAACTAAGAGGTGATGGTTGCACAATATTTTGCAGGTTCACAATGTCACTGAATTTTACATCTTAAAACAGTTAATTTTATATTATGTGGATTTTACCTGAATAAAAAAACAAAATCCCACCCCAGCATTCCCTCACCAGGGTGAGCCCTCTTCCCACATGCTCCCTTAGCCTGGGGTTCAAGGCCCTCCACAGCCCAGCGCTGTCTAGGCCTGGCCAACCACATTCTGGACACATGTCTGCCAGCTCCTAAACCCATGGCCGTTTCCTCATTCCAGATCCAGGTCACCTTCTCTCGCCTTCACAGACACCCAGGGATCAGCAACACCTCAGGGCTCACAGGGCCCTTTGAACCTTGTCCTACTGTAATCCAGACCTTGACACATGGTCTCCAAGGGTTGTCCCATCTCAATAAAAGGAAATCAGAGTTTTCTGAGCACCAACGTGTGCTGGTGTCTTGCTCAGGTGAACTCCCTGCTATCTATAGCTAGTCCCCTGTGCAGAGCGGAGGGCCAGGCTCAGGTGGCTGAGTGACTCACCTGACCTGCAATCCCACAGCCTCCAGTGGCTTCACACTCAGGTTCCAGCCCAGAGCCAGGGCTCCAGGTGCCACCCAGGGAAAGTTTGTGAGTCAGATGAACGTGTGTCCAGCCCACACAGGAGAGGCATTGAAGCTGTGCGGTCACTTTTGTGATCATGAGGTGGTCCAGGCCCCATGAGAAACCTGATGAATCAGGCAGACCCTGTTTATGTACACCAACCCAAGGCTCCCCAGAGGCCAGCTCCAGGAAGTGGATTCACACTAGTATTTGATACTTAGTTAGAGCTGAGGATGCCTGAACCTTGCTTCCGTCCACACCCTCCCAATCTCTGGATGCTAAAGATACATTCTCAGGCCTGCCTCAACCCTGCTGACCAGGATCTGGTCTGAGGCTCCCCACAAAACCTCTGAGACTCCCCACAAACCTCAGGGGCTCGAAAGGCACACAGGGTGGGGAGGATGCTTATCGGAGCCAGGCTTTTGCCTTTGGGGGGCCTCGGACTGCAAGTACTTTTTTTTTTTTTTTTTGCCCAGGCCACAGGGAGCATGGGAACTCCCAGGAGAGGTGTTCCCTGGAGCCTGGGGTCCAGAGAGGGACCCAGCCTCTGTTTTACCCTGCCTTCAAAACTTCAGCACCCCCAACCCCATAATAGTCTCATCCCAGCCCTCACTGGGCAGAGGATCCCAGCACCAGCCCCATCCCCAGCAGTCAGGCCCTCCCGTGATCTGCCTGGGGCACCCTGGAAGGGGCCATGGTGCCTTTGGGGCCAGCAGGAATGTGGAGATCACTGGCAGAGGCAGGGACAAGGTTATAGGTTGAGTTCCATCCCTAACAATTCATATGTTGAAGCCCTAACACCCAGTACCTACAAGTATGGCATTATATGGAAATAGGGTCTTTGCAAATGATGAAGTTCGGAAGTCATTAGGGCCATGCTTCATTCATGATGATTATGTCCTTATCAAAAGGGGAATGTGGACACAGAAACACGCACAGGGAAGAAGGTTTGTGAAGACTGGAGCTTTGCTGTCACAAGCAAAGAAACTACCAGAAGCTGGAGAAAGGCCCTGGAACAGATGCCTCCCTAGGGCCGGCCCTGCCAACACCCTCATTCCAGACTCTGGACTTCAGAACTTCGAGACAACAGATCTCTGTGGACCAGGAGGGATGGGGTGGAGGTGGCCTCCCTGAAGATGTTCCCTGAGTCTCCACCCCACTGTACCCAGAGCTGACCCTGAGCCTCCATCCTGCTGTCACTGGAGCCTGGAAAACCCAGGGCTGCCCAAACCCCGTGCCTCACATCTCCCCGGGCTCCTCCTCCAGCTATCAACACTTTGGAACAGCCGTTATGTCCCTTTAATCTCTAGGAAAGGTGCCTCAGGAAGGCACAGGAAGAGGCACAAGATGGTGTCTCAACTGTGTCCACTGGGCCCAGGCTGGCCCTTTAAGGAGGTGAGGGCAGGCCGTGGGATCACATCCCTCTTCTCAGAGAGGCCAGGGATAAGGCCAGAAAGGGGACAGGAGGAAGTGTTGGGGCGGAGGGGTGGCAGTGCTGTGGGAAGAGGATGCTGAGGGCAGTGGCCCCTCCCCACAGGTGCCAAGTGGAGTGGGTGAGGAGGAGCCTTCAGCCTCCATCTGGACCAGACCTCTAACCATTGCATAGGTGCCACTTCTTGGGAGGTCCAGTCCCAGCCAAGGGTCAGCTCCAGAGATTTTATTTTCCCCAAAATGGACATGATGCAGCTGGCTAAGTCATGGTTCTAGAACTTTCAGGAGTGACCCTGCTACCTGATAGGAGTGAGCAACACCCCCTGGAGGTCCTCATGTAGCCCGTGCCTCTGCCTGTGACCAGCTACCACCCAAGCACCTCCTCACACAGTCTCTGGGCCCTGCTGGTCACAGGAAAGGCTACCGGCAAGGGCTGGGATGGCCCAGGCTCTGCGTGTTTCCTGGGATGGCAGAGGGGTGGCCCCCACCACCTTAGCGGATCAAGGCACAGTAGTTACTGCTGCTGCCCTCTGAGTCTGGGGGAGCTGGCCAGGTGGGGGATATGGGGCATTAAGACAGCCCTGATCTCTGACACAGAACAACAGGCCTGGGGCAGGGCTCATGCTGTTCTCCCTCTTGACCATCAGAACAACCACCTAACCACCCAGTGCCCAGCTGCCCAGGGCCCTCCTAGATCAAAGGGATGCCCTGCCCGTGTGGTCTATGACTCCACCCCTGCTCTAACCACCCAGTGCCCAGCTGCCCAGAGCCCTCCTAGATCAAAGGGACGTCCTGCCCGTGTGGTCTGACTCCACCCCTGCTCTAACCACCCAGTGCCCAGCTGCCCAGGGCCCTCCTAGGTCAAAGGGACGTCCTGCCCGTGTGGTCTATGACTCCACCCCTGCTCTAACCACCCAGTGCCCAGCTGCCCAGGGCCCTCCTAGGTCAAAGGGACGTCCTGCCCGTGTGGTCTATGACTCTATCCCCGCTTTCTGCTATTTCCTCTTTCATGCAGAACCTCAAGTGCTAATTTGGACATTCTGGTTCCAACATAGTGGAGCAATGGGTTACATCTCTGTCTCCAAGAGAAAGAGAAGGGAAAAGACATAAGCACAAGGTCCACAGTTGTTCAGAGCATCTCTGTCTCCAAGAGAAAGAGAAGGGAAAGACATAAGCACAAGGTCCACAGTTGTTCAGAGTCAGGTTGCAAGTGGAGCCCCTGGTGACGGGCATCTGACAGAGAGCTGGGGCACAGCAGGGTTAGGGTTAGGATGAGGTTTGCAAGGAGCTCGAATGGTGGGAGAGCATCCTGATGCCCAGCAGCAGCAGGGAACCAGAAGGAAGGGGTTTCTGCAGACGGATCAAGGAGGCTCACTGATTCCCAGAGACCATTACCCTTCATATGTCCAGGCCCCTGGCTTGAAGACCAGCTCTCCTCATCCCACTATGAGGTTGGCCAATGACTGTCCCTACTCCAGCCTGGTTTGTAATTACAGACAGGCAAACGTGAGTCTCCAACAACAGTTAAAAAAGAAAAAAAAAAAGAGATACAGCAAGAAATGAAAGATCAACATGATCAAACTGATAAATCACCTCTAGAGGAGTAAGTCCCCACATCCCTTCCTCTTTCTGGCCGTTTCCTTCTTTGTTCAAGGAAGGGCCAGAATCCACGTTCCCACCTCCGATGAAGTAAAATTTTTAAAAATTCTAATTAGGATCCTCAGAAAAGTCTATAGTACTGCAACCACAGAAAATAACAGTATATGCAGGTGTGATGATTAGTACTGTGTCAACTTGATTGGCTTGAAGGATGCAAAGTATCATTCCTGGGTGTGTCTGTGTGGCTGTTGCCAAAGGAGATTAACATTTGAGTCAGTGGACTGGGAGAGGCACACCCACCCTCAGTCTGGGTGGGCACCATCTATTCAGCTGCCAGCTCGACTAGGATAAAAGCAGGCAGAGGAACACGGAAGGACTGGACTGGCTGAGTCTTCCGGCCTCTATCTTTCTCCCATGCTTTGCTTCCGGCCCTCGAACACAGGACTCCCAGTTCTTCAGCTTTTGCACTCTTGGATTGACACCAGTGGTTTGAAAGGGGTTCTTGGGCCTTCAGTCACAAACTGAAGGCTGCACTGTCAGCTTCCCTACTTTTGAGGTTTTGGGACTCGGACTGGCTTCCTTGCTTCTCAGGTTGCAGATGCCCTACTGTGGGACTTCACCTTGCGATCCTGTGAGTCAATACTCCTTAATAAACTCCCTTTCATATATATATATCTATCCTATTAGTCCTGTCCCTCTACAGAACCCTGACGAATACAGCAGGAAGGAAAATTCAGAGATCAGTAAAGAGAGCATGAAATTATCTTAAAATATATAACTGCCAAAATAAAAAATTGGAAGGCAGAATGTAAAAAATATCCCAACAAGCACATACAATAAAAGAGAAAACATAAGCTCTTTGGGAGACTGGTCCCAGAATTTCAAGATCTAAATAACATCTGTGCTCTGAACAGATAACTGAGAATGAAAAAAAAATATTTTCTGCCCCTTAGAAAGTTGAATGTGGGAAAATTATGCCAAAAACGTTAACCGCAATCTTCAAGGCCCTATTCTCTTATGTACTTGGAGCCAGCCACTTCTCCATTTGTCCATTCCAATTTCACATTTATTAATGAAAAATAATGCCTTCTCTACATCTATTGTGACTGTCACAGAATCAAGCAGTAATACAAATATTTGCTGAAAGTAAACACATGATGTTAATAAAGAAAAAAGGTTCTTTTCTTAAGATTTTGAAAAGAACATATTCAAGAATTGGAATCCTACACAGGATGCAGAAGCAATGCTAAGGATAAAATATCCTGACTACCTTTATTGACATGATTTGTGTTTACCAGCTCATTAAAATCTATGTTTCAAATTCCCTGGATTTTCCCAAGTTCCAGACTGGTAAAAAGTATTTTTACATACACATTTGATGCTCACATTACAAACTTAATATCTATAAACTTGAAACTTGTTTTGCACAAGTCTATGGCTTTACTACTTTTCAAGACAAAAGTCACATATTAAAATACAAACTACTCAAAAGCAAATAGTTGTCAAGAATGTGGTTTACAAGACAGATCTTACAGATAATACAGACTATATTATGATTTATCTGTTTGAAAACAGAAAGTAGTGTATTATACTGAATTCTGGTATAAGGTGCGCAGGAAACTTTACTTACAATCCTTTATTTTCATAAGGTAAACACCAAAGTATTTCTCACATATATTACCACCAGATTTTTTTTAAACCAAATTCCGGTTTAAAAATCACACACTGACAACACAGAAATACGAAATGCTAGGAAAAGTCTAGCATATGAAGGAAAAACATGTCTTATGCATTCTAATATAATTTTTTACAATCTAGCATAAAGGCAAATGCGGTTTTTTTAAAAATGCAGTCCATATACAATTATAGAAAAAACATTAGTCAAGCCACCTAATATAACCAATTTCACAGATAGCACTCATTTAATATAATGTCCAAAAATTTCCAAGTAAGTGTCTACGTATCAGTTAGAATAATGCCCACAAGGATCTCCAAACTACAAAATATCAGCAAGTAAATGAAAATCACACATTTCTCTTTGAAAGACTGAAGCTTGACTATGAGTTAAAAGGCAACAACTATGAACTAACTTTCTTTAAAATGACTTAAACTGCCCAATCTAGAGCAATACATGTTTCCTAGCTATACATGCAAACTGGACTGTGTGGTAAAAATGACTCAGTTACTTAAAAAAAGCAGAAAAGATCCAAAATAACCAGAGCTCAAGCTAAGCTGGTGAAACCACAGAGACACTGAAGCCCAGCAACTCCCAAGAAGCTGAGGATTAAGATTAAAAATAAACTCTGGATACTGAATCCTATATCAACACTCTGAATTTATATTTATTGTTAGTAATTTCTATTATTCTTTTCTTTGGGTAAAAAAAAATGTTTTAAAAAGAACCAATGTTTTGGAATAAGCAATGTAACTCTGATCATTCTGCTATGTGACTACCAAAAAGGCTGTTGTTCTTTTAGCCCTACCACTTGGTAAGATAGAAAGCTCTCCACACACAAGGCCCAGAGAAGGCTGATATCACAAGTCAGTGTGAGTTACACTCTTCTCATGCAATGGAGCTACTAAAATACATACATTTGGTCTTACAAAAAAATTACAAAACTAACAAATCTTTTTCTCCAGAATTATAAAAGATAGAATCTATGAATCAGTACTAATGTGATCACAGAAAAATAGCAAACTGAAGTCAAAAAGCACAGGCTGCCCATCATAGAGTCCCCAGTCTATTTAATATTTTCGACCTGCTCTGAGGATGGAGGGTGTCAACACCTTAGAATACCATGATGGGCTTTAAAACTGGGTAAAGAATCATCCCTAGGGTTAGGGCAAATGTAACTTCACTTATTGCTTACACACAGGAAAAAATCTGTTTCCTTTTCCAAGATATTCTTTTAAGGATTACTTGACAGTGGTTCTTTTAAAGGTATCAAAAGATGTCCTAAAAAAAAAAAAAAAAACCCTCTTTGGAATTCTCTCGGAATTCCAGAAAGATTATCTGGCAATTCATTCCTCCACCCCATCAAAATTTTTCCTTTGAAAAATTACAACTGGCAACTCACATAAGATTTAATCAACTTACTTAAAATAAGGGAGGGCTTCTCAATAATGTTTCCCCACTAGAAAACTAAGAAATTCAGTGATACTCAGTGCCAGTAATTAAGTGGTACATATCATAAAAATTCAAACTTGGACGCAGGTGCGTCACACCCAGAAAAGATTTTATACATTTATAAGCTTGTGCTTTCACACTTTATAAGCAACACAGGTTAGTTTCCACTTCAGTTTTCATTTTTAGTGAGTACCGTGCATGTTGCATGAGGGACGGTCATCAAACAGTCTCTCTTACGCAGACTTCAGTGTTTCGTCAGAGCCGAAAAAGAAACAGCCTTCTCTTTTTCTCTATGAAGATTCTCTCCACTTTGGGAAAACAATCTTCTATGCAATGAAGGTCTTGTGGAACTATGTAAACAAATCATACAACTGAATAGAATTTTAGAGGTCAATCAGGAACTAGAAGAAAACCATGGTGTGGATGAGCCCAGCAGTTCCCTTCCCCACAACGTCTGCCTCCAGGTGACCCTTCAACAGCACACAGGCAGCACGAACTTCACACTCAGCAATCTGCTCTTCCTATTTCCCCCTTTCAAACAGGAGACTTATTTTTCTCTGTAATAAAGCAAGTAGTATTTCAGGGGATCTGGCAGAGGGAGGCTCAGGACCTTCTGGCGTAGGAAGTTCACTGGGGGGTCTGGCTTTGTTTCCGGCGGGGTCTTCTCTTCTTCTTCCCTCCGTTCCTCTTCCAAGTCTTCACAGCTGTTGTCATCTGAGGGGTTGGAAATCCGACTGGCAAAGACTTCTTTGTCCAAAAAGACAATCGTTTCCATTCGACGGCGGCGAACTCTCCTTCGTTTAAACCTGGGGGTGTTCTTTAGTCCGTTTCCGTTTTTGCTCACAGTTTCCTGATGAATAATCTTTTTAATGGTGCCCCGGATGGCGATGCGAGCCAAGTCCTGGAGGCTGCGAACTGCCACTGGTGCTGCAGCACAGAAGAGTGAGACACAGTCAAATGCATCGGAGTGACACCACCACAACGCCTACACACCTAAGACCCGTAGCATCATTTCAATTAACTGGCAAATTTATGAATATGTTACAAGAATATGAGAGCATGCTAAGCAAATGTCAATTAGTGCTCTAATTTACAATCATATGGTACTTTTCAAAAGATATTTCCAAATGCATCAATTCTTAACTTTGAAAGGGAAAGGAAGCAATATTGCTTGGCTATATTAATCAGTGGTGGAATCAACACCTGGGTCACAATTTGTCTTCCTGACACAGCCCAGTTTCATTATTCTATTATTTGCTGTGTTCATGTGTATATTAATACCCACCTACTAGTAATACAGTGAATATGTCTCCAACATTCTTTTTTTGGAGACAGAGTCTTACTCTGTCACCCAGGCTGGGGTGCAAGGGTGTGATCTCGACTTACTGCAACCTCCGTCTCCTGGGTTCAAGTGATCCTCCCGCCTCAACCTCCCCAGTAGCTGGGATTACAGGCATGCGCCACCACGCCCAGCTAATTTTTGTATTTTTAGTAGAGACGGGGTTTCAACCACGTTGGCCAGGATGGTCTCAAACTCCTAACATCAAGTGATCCGCCCACCTCAGCCTCCCAAAGCGCTGGGATTAGAGGCGTGAGCCACTGTGCCCGGCCTAATATTCTTTTATCTGTTAATATTTTCATAGTTATTTACACAATGAACATTTGCTCCATTTTTATTAAAGTAGGGAAATGCAAATCCAAACATTTTTCAGGAAAAACAAAAACTCCAAAGCACACCAAGGAGAAAGAACATTTGACAATTAAAGCTCACGATTTCATGCAGGCAACATTTCTCAAAGGGAAAATTACATTAAACTGAAAATCAGCATCACTTTTCCCCTCCAGTACTCAACTTCTCCAAATAATAACAGTCTGCACTATAGGGAGAGCTCTTGTGTTGTGCACAACGTTTATTACCAAAGTCAGAAAGGCCTGCACAGAATCTCAGCATCTCCACTGTTCTTCAGAAACCCTCAAACAGGCTTGTGTCCCAGGCCCCTGGTAGTGAGTAAGTAGCACCTTCTCCCTTCAACCTTTCCTGCTTTTCTGACTCCACAGACAAGAGGTCCCTTCTCCTTTCTCCAGGACAGGCTCCGGCACTTCCTTTGTCTTCAGTCCTTTCTCTTCACTCAACACCACGATCGTGCCTCTTGCCCCATCTGTGACCCGGCTCCCTCCTCAAGTACAGCCATCCTTCCTTCCTTCATCATCTCACATCTAGACAGATTACTTCCAGAGCCACTGGGATCTGGCTGTTGCCCCAAGAGGCTGAAACAACTCCTTCCGAGGCCCTCGGGGTCCCGGCCCTCAGCTCCGGCCTCTCCAGATCTCCAAGGAGTCTGCTTGGGATAAGGAACGTGGCTCACTGCTCCCCTGGCCCAAGGCACAGCCGCTCCCTCTGACCTCCGCAGCTCTTTTCTCTTGCAGGCTCTTCCTCTTCCATCCAGCCCAGTGCTGCTCCCTAAGGTTCCAATTTCCACCATTTCACCGTCTCAGTATGACTGCTAGTCCTTGGTTTTACATCCATTCTGTGGCTTTAAATAACAGAGGCCAGCCAATAGCTCCCCAGGTTCTACTCCAGTCCGGACCAGAATCCTGAGCCTCCCACAGACCCAGGTCTACCACAGACAACGAACACCTCACATGCCCTTCCTCAGAAGGACTGTACCATTGTACGTCTCACAACGAACACCTCACATGCCCTTCCTCAGAAGGACTGTACCATTGTACGTCTCACAACGAACACCTCACATGCCCTTCCTCAGAAGGACTGTACCATTGTACGTCTCACAACGAACACCTCACATGCCCTTCCTCAGAAGGACTGTACCATTGTACGTCTCACAACGAACACCTCACATGCCCTTCCTCAGAAGGACTGTACCATTGTACGTATCACAACGAACACCTCACATGCCCTTCCTCAGAAGGACTGTACCATTGTACGTATCACAACGAACACCTCACATGCCCTTCCTCAGAAGGACTGTACCATTGTACGTATCACAACGAACACCTCACATGCCCTTCCTCAGAAGGACTGTACCATTGTACGTATCACAACGAACACCTCACATGCCCTTCCTCAGAAGGACTGTACCATTGTACGTATCACAACGAACACCTCACATGCCCTTCCTCAGAAGGACTGTACCATTGTACGTATCACAACGAACACCTCACGTGCCCTTCCTCAGAAGGACTGTACCATTGTACGTATCACAACGAACACCTCACATGCCCTTCCTCAGAAGGACTGTACCATTGTACGTATCACAACGAACACCTCACGTGCCCTTCCTCAGAAGGACTGTACCATTGTACGTATCACAACGAACACCTCACGTGCCCTTCCTCAGAAGGACTGTACCATTGTACGTATCACAACGAACACCTCACGTGCCCTTCCTCAGAAGGACTGTACCATTTTATGTATCACTGAATCTTCTCCACTGTAGCAGCCAGTGTCTTAGTTTTTATCTTTATCTCTCGCCTGGAAAATTTCAACAGCTTTCCACTTGTTCCTGCTTCCATTCAATCTGAAAGCTAACCCGTCCACCCCACACCACACATATCTTCACTCACACGATCCCACACCATGCACGCCCGCACTCACAAGACCCCACATCGTGCACGCCGGAACTCACGACTGCACACCATGCACGCCCGCATTCACACGACCTCACACTGTGCACATCCGCAGTCACATGACACATCACGTGTGCCCACACTCACCCCACACCGTGCAGGCCCGCATTCACACGACCCCACACCCTGCATGCCTGAACTCACGACGCCACACCGTGCACGTCCACACAACCCACTGTGCACTCACACGATCCCACACTGTGCACATCCGCACTCACATGACCCCACATCACACGTGCCCACACTCACACGACCCCACACCGTGCACTCACATGACCCCGCACCACGCACGCCCGCACTCACGACCCCACACCGTGCACACCCACACGACCCCACAACGTGCATGCCCGCACTGACGACCCCACACCATGCACTCACACGACCCCATACCGTGCACGCCTGAACTCAAGACCCCACACCGTGCACGCCCGCACTCACAAGACCCCACGCCATGCACTCACACAACCCCATACCGTGCACGCCTGAACTTACGACCCCACACCGTGCACACCCGCACTCACAGGACCCCACACCGTGCACGCCCTCACTCACGGGACCCCACACCGTGCAGGACCACACTCACACCACACACCATGCATGCCCGCACTCACACGACCCCACACGATGCACGCCCACACCCCCCACACGCCAGCACCCATGACCCCACACCACGCGTGCCCACATTCACATGACCCCACACCGCGCACACCCACACACACATTACCCCACACTGCAAATGTCCACACATGACCCCACATTGCGCATGTCCGCACTCTCACGACCCCACACCACACACGTCTACACTCACTTTGACCCCATATTGTGCAGGTCTAAACTTACACACCCCACACCACGCATCTACACTCACATGACCCCATATCACGTATGTCTACACTCACAGAGTTTTCTACTCCACTGTCTTTACCAACATGAATTTACTAGTATAGGAAACTGGCCCAGGAAAAGAAAAGTTGCAAGTAACTCAATGGGTCACTTCAGAAACTCTAAAAGCATCACATTACTGTTGATCATCTAACACTCTCTTCAAAGCCATCTCCTCAAAACAAGCATCCAAACTGCCCACCACATTGTCATGATTCTTCATCGGCCAGACGAACCCCACAGGGAACGGCTCGTTTCAACCAGACCCTCAAAAAGTCTCATAAATACCCCGAAGATGCCCCTGCCTTCCCAAACTCTGCTAAGGCTCTGGAAGCTGGTGCCCTCCCCGCCAAGGGCGGCAGTTACTTAAAAGGTTATTCTGATGAGACTTTCAGAGCACGCATTTGACAGATTCACCCTCCACCCGACGACAACCAGGCTTATCCAGGATACACAGGCACTGTATCTTTTATTTAAAGCATCTGATAGCTCTCCCCAGCCTACATGATAAACCCAATTCTAACCTACATACCAGTAGTTTCTCCCATCAGTCCCAACTCTGACTACACGGGGAACACGCATTTTGATTTATGTCCTGCCACTGCTGGTACTTTTCTCCCCTTTCTTCTCTCTTTAGGGAACTCCTTTTTGCCCTTGAAGGCCAAGCACAGACATCACCCTCTGCCAAACCTTCCCTAATTAACCGTTTTGCATGTCCTATTGTTGCTCATTATCAAATTTCAAGAACCGTGTCTAGTTCTTAGAACCTGTACTTAGTAGAGACCAAAGCAAAGTGTAATCATTTCATAGGTGATTCCTAATAAATCAAAAAACCTTTCTGGAAGAGATTTGCCAAAATGTAAAACTTTTTGCAAAACTTTTTTTTTTTTTTGTAAGACTATGCAAAACTTTTCCCTTCCTATTATTTTTTGCATTTTCCAAATTTTCTAAATGATCAGAGAGCATCCTGATAGTTTTATTTTAAATAAAATCAATTGGAACTCTCATTTCTGTGTGAGCCGTTTAAATTTTAAAACATTAGGAGGTTTTGCTGTCGTGCTGGCCCTGGTATCAGTTCCTTGCTCAGTTTGCATCCTGAAATAGTGAAACACAAAGGCTCGGCTGTGTAAGGTTCCACGGAAAGTCTCCTATCCACACCCCAGCAGATTAGCTGGAATGTGTTCTCTAACCTTGTCTACCCATGAGGCAGCAGGCGCTTGGCGCCCTGGGGAGCAGAAGCCCCATGACTCTGTAGGAGCCCTCTGGCTGATGGCTCTTTCTGTAAGCCCCTCCCAGTGGAGGCGGCAAATAGGCTAAGTCTCCCACATGGCAAAATGAGCTCCCTTTTATGTGCGTCCTCGGCTTTCAATGGTGTGACCGGCAACAGCTCTTTGTAGATTTAAAAGACGGCTAAAATTACCTGAAATAGGTTAAAAATAGATTATAATTTTTATAATGCCTGAAATTGCTTGTAGAATTTTACAGTTTCAGCATGGGAGTGGTGCTTTTTAATATCAAAAGGTTTGTTGTAAATTTTGTTTCCTTTTAAAATCTAACCAGAGAGAAAAGATCTAAAAGATAAAATAAGTAAAGATTGGTATACTTACGTAACTGGACAAGTCTTGATTTTCCTGACTCTGAATGGCAGGGCTGGATCAGAGGAGCAAAAGAAACAGCAAGAATCTTTTTGGTTTCCCAAGCTGAAGGACCTGTGCGTGTTATCTTAGTCAACTATCCCAGAGACAAAATGAGAATATTCAAAAGAATTGGCTACTATTTAGCTCATATTTAATCATTCCTATACATACTATAAAAATACATAGAAATGCTTACAATAAAATGAAATATCTTGACATACGGACCCCTAATGTGATGTGCCATGAAGTACATCTACCTTATGAATATTCCTGCAAAGATGCTAACCTGAATATATTCAGGCCCTAGGCCTAACTTCTGTTTACAGAAACTATATATTATAGAGAAACTAGTTATAGGATAGCAAGAGGAAACAACCACATAGACAGTGTGGGGATTCTTATAAGACAATGCTCTAGCACTCTCCAAAAAAGTCAATATTGAGGGTGAAAAGGGGGTCTGTTCTAAAGCAAAAAGTAATTACAGATACGTTACCAACCAACTGAATCCTGACCTGTTGTTATTGGGAGGGTGGCTAAGTCCTGATAGGCACTGTAGTAACAGATACTGTTACAGAATCCCTGTTACTTTTTTAAATGCAAACTTGTCATCTTGGATGCCTGGGCAATTATCCTCATGCTTTGGAGACAAATACTGAAGTGTTTAAATGAGCCTTGCCCTGATATCACCCCCACGAAAGCACCGGAATCTGGTGGCTTAACACACTCCAGTGTAGGCCATCAAAACATTTCTTTTGAATTAAAGTATTACGAGCACCAGAGACCACAATTAGACATGACCCTCTGTGCACTCTGTGTGGCTGGGTCAGTCTCCAAGTGGCCTACACAGGTCACAAAACTATTTCTGGTCAGTTCTTTCATGCTATGATTATATGCTGGCCTTTTCTAAAAATATCTAAGTCAGTAAATCCTCTAAAAACTAAGATTCTATGTCATGAATCTTATAACTAAAAGGATTAAGTCGCCACGTACTAAGTAAATATCAACAAACATTCTTGTATACCAGCAAAACATATGTTTATTTAAACATTTTTAAAAGAATTTCTAGTTACAATGAAAAACAAGTATTTCAATAGAATCAATAAATGATGTATAAAACCTTAAATAAAACTATATAAACCCCTATTTCATATTCTAGATAAGCAGATGAAACATTGTAAAGATGGCCACAATCCTCAAATTATCGAGATGATACAATTCCAATAAAAAATCCAATGCATTTTGTATAGCAACAAAGATCTGTAATATCACTTGTATAAGCAAAGACATTTAAAACAATATTCTGCCAGGTGTGATGGCTCATGCCAACAACTCTGGAGGCTGAGGTGAGGCAATTGCTTGAGGCCAGGAGTTTGTGATCAGCCCAGGCAACACAGTGAGAGCCCATCACTAAAAAAATAAAATTAGGCCGGGCACGGTGGCTCACACCTGTAATCCCAGCACTTTGGGAGGCCGAGGTGGGCGGATCATGAGGTCAGGAGCTCTGAGACCAGCCTGAACAACATGGTGAAACCCTGTCTCTACTAAAAATACAAAAATTAGCTGGGTGTGGTGGCACGCACCTGTAATCCCAGCTACTCAGGAGGCTGAGGCAGAAGAATCGCTTGAACCCAGGAGGCAGAGGTTGCACTAAGCTGAGATCGCGCCACTGCACTCCAGCCTGGGCGACAGAGCGAGACTCTGTCTCTAAATAAATAAATAAATAAATAAATATTTAAAAAATAAATTTATCTGGGCATGGCAGCACGTGCCTATAGTGCCAGCTACTTGGGATGCTGAGGCGGAAGGGTCACTTGAGCCCATGAGTTTGAAGTTACAGTGAGCTATTATCATGCCACTGTACTCCAGCCTGGATGACAGAGCAAGATCTCATCTCCAAATTTTTATTAAAACAATTAAAACCTCCTAATTTTTATTATTTGTGTTTTCCTAGTTCTTTGTGACTGGGAGACATTCTTCTTGGTGACCAATTCATGTCTGATTAATCTGTTCATTTACTATAAACTATTTTTCCCAGTGACATACAGTAACACAGACAAACAAGCATGACCAAACAGCAAACTTGGACAAGACTCTCACTAGGCAAAGGATTCCTGTCAAATGCATAACATCAAGGCATGTAACAATTAGACTAATGATGAGAATAGAATGACTCTATTTTATATATAATTCTAACAGCAGAACAATTATAATAGATTAACAATTAGAATTAAAACTCAGAACAGCTGGGGGGAAGGAGAAGGGGAAGGAAGAGGGAGGTGAGGGGGAAGGGACAGAAGAAGGAAAAAGAGAGAGACAGAGAAGGAAGGTGGAGAAAAGCGTTTCACGTGCAGGCTCTGAAGCACCCACCTGAGTCAGCTTCTGGCCCCAGCTAGGGCATGTGCGTGACCCTGCATCTCCCTCACCTGTCCCTGCCTCTGTTTCCTCATTTGTGAAATGCAGGAAATTGTTAAAAGAGTAAGTATCCGTACACTGCCCAGAACAGACCTTGGCACACAGTGTGCAGAAATGTCAGTTATGAAGGGAATCTGACCTTCTCTTCCAGTGGCATGACAAGGATCCCTCCCACTTTGAGAAGATTCTTCATGTACTCTTCATGCTCTTTCTGCACGCCAGCCCCACAGTATACACGATCATACTGAGAACAATCCGGAGAAATCTCCAGGCAATTCCCAGTAACAAAGGAAGGTTCACAGAAGTCAAACCTGGAAGTAAAAAATGCTTCCTGCAACTAAAAGTATCACATTGCAACAAGTCTATACAGTAAATCTATGCTAACCACAGGTTAAAATCCCACAGCAATGTAACACAGTTTACAGTGTGAGGAGCTGGAAGAAAAGAATTACAAATGTCCAAGAATTACTTCCAAAAAGAATTATACTATATAACTAGAACTCTAGAAATACCAAACAAAATAGTATGAAAGTGAATATCAAAAGTTTTATCCAAATTTCACACAATCTCCAGTCGCTGCTGTCTCTGTCATCTTCTTATCATCTTATGTAAGATCTATTAATACTACACAATGAGTGAGATGTGGGGGTGGTGAAACTGCACTTGGTGTTTCTAAAAATTTTAATCCCTAAAATAAGAACTTTAATGCCTTCTTTTAAAATGGCAAAAGCTAGTTACATATACTGTTTAGAGACAAATGCAACAATTTTATTTTAGGAAAAACTAGGTGGTAAACAGTTGTCTTCAACAGGAAACATGAATATTGAGCAAATGAACACCTTATGTATGTGTAACAGTTTGAAATACCCTAAAACCCTCAAAACACAGAATCTTTTCTGAAAATTAGAACAGGCACATAGAATCATCCCACCACAGTTTAATTATGTTTCCTACCACATGATTTCTTTCTATCTGATCAAAACTTTGTAAAATTACAGTTCACATCATCTGAGCCAATGGATAGTATTTCATCTTACTTGTCAAAACTATCACTTGTTCTGATGAAGAAGTCCAGTTTCTGCTTTGCATACTCTATCACATCTGAGTGAAGTTCCACCCCATGGTTCACACCAAAAGGACCTAAAAGGTTTAAGAATAAGAAAACATGTAGAACCAGAGTAAGAACTCTTGCTCATCTGTTCACTTCTACCAACTGTAACACGTCTGACTTAACATGTGTAACTACAGACATTCACAAAGTTTTGAAGTCTCATCACAGTATCACGGCTCACCACATCGTAAATACTTGAGGCCTGGGCTTCTCTGCTCACAAACTTTTAAAGAATCATTTGAAAATGGAGACAAACCAAGTGTTCAGGTCTTACTAATGAACTAAAGAAGAAACATGTATTTGCAAATGGAACTGACACAGGCCTCACCTGTTTGTCCAGAGGTAACATTTAAGACGATTCTGTTTTCCCTGAAAAGTTGCCCAGAACACTCAGATGTGAGCATTATAATATTCACAAAACAGGGTTCAATCATCATCATTAAGATAAAACTATGCTTCCAAGTCACAATGAAACATTTTTATATCAAAGGATATTTATCAGTAATTTGAAATACAACTGAGAAATGTTACAAGTCCACTTAATGATGACAGTGCTCCCCCGATATAAAACTGCCCCTACGTTAACTGGGAACACAGTATTGACACTCAACTTAAATGGGTCTCTCTGTTGCGGGAATCCACTTACATGAAGGTAAAAATCGGGCAAAATTCATCTTTGCCGACAAAGGCAAAACGGTCATCACCTTTCTGGAAGATGCAACACTGGTGAACTTTCTAGGAGGAGGAGGGGGCATGGGAGCCTTTTGGGGTGCTGATTCAACTCTGCATCTTGCTGTGGCTGGAGTTTATATGGCGGTGGATGCATATGTAAAAGTCCACCAGAATTCACACTTCACACTTGTTCATTTACTATGGGTAAGTTACACGTCAACTTTTTAAATCTACATGTAAAAATCACAAGGCACGTAGGACTTTACTTGGTAGACAGATATACTACTACAGTGATCATGTAGCACTGGACCCTACAATCTAACAGAAATGCTAAGAAATGGGCAACCTTCTGTGCATCCCACACCTTTGCACCGTGTGGGCCCTCCTAGTACAACAGCCACCAGCCCAGGCCAAGGCTTCCCTGGCCCCCATTTGGACAACTGTACCTGCTGCTCTTTTCTCTCCACGTATTTCATACACAGAGCTGCTGCTAAAACATTACCTCGTCAAAATACACCCTACCTGAGAGTTCCCCTTTTCACTGTTTACAACATCAAATCCTGAATTACTCTGAACGTCAAGACCTTCTGACAACTCCGACTTCAATTCCCGACTCTGCCAGAGACCAAAAATAGCGCTTGATTCTTCCCACTCATCTTATTTTCACTGACCCCTCACCTTCACTATCAAACACTTAATAAGCAGTTAATTCTAGTAACAGATATGAGATATGGTTCCTATTCCCAAGAAGCTTAACACCAAACAGTAGTAACACAAATACCTCGACCCACCTGCTTAATACAAAGATGACTAGCAGGGGAGGAGGACACAGGGTGGCCGGGGGGTGTCAGGAACACGGCACCTGGGACTCAGCACTGGAGCACGGCATGAAACCAGAGCAGCGAGGCCCCCCTGGCAGAGCCGCTCCTAGGTCTGCCCTGCTTCCGAATCACCCAGCACTTTTCAGGTAGGTGACTTATGAGCCACCATCTCTTAGTAGCTACTGTATTCTCCCCTGGTTGATGACAAACAAAGGTAAGGACAGCCCTGAGCAAAGGGGAGAGGAGCCCACAGAGCAAGCACAGGAACAGGGCTGACCCAGGATGCCGCTCAGGCCATGCGAAAGGCAGTCGGGGGTCACAGTAAAGAACTCCGTCAGATGAGAGACCCACATCCACAGGCGCCGGGAAGCCAATGAGGTTTCACTCTGGAGTGCTCTGCACCAAGTGCTATTAAGCTTGAATAAAAGCTGCAGCATCTGGAGACACAGCCAAGACACGCATCCATGACAGCAAACCCTGAAGTCACTTCCTTCAACTGCATCAAAGCAGCATGTTACATCCATTACAGCAGAAAACAGGCCTTTCCTTCCTTCAGACCTCTCTCCTCCCAAAATCCAATGAAATTTCCAGTAAACAGGGGATTCAGGAAAGAAAAGCAACTGTATCAAGTTGGAAGGCCTTTCCTTATAACTTCTAGGGGATGTCAAGTACAGCAAGGCCATTTCAGGCTTACTTTTTTTTTTTCTTTTTGAGATGGAGTCTGGCTCCGTTAGCCAGACTGGAGTGCAGTGGCACCATCTCTGCTCACTGTAACCTTCGCCTCCCAGGTTCAAGTGATTCTCCAGCCTCAGCCTCCTGAGTAGCTGGGATTATAGGTGTGCACCACCACACCCAGGTACTTTCTTATACTTTTGGTAGGGACAGGGTTTCACCACGTTGGCCAGGTTGGTCTTGAACTCCAGACCTCAAGCCATCTGCCTGCCTCGGCCTCCCAAAGTGCTGAGATTACAGGCGTGAGCCACCACGCCCCACCATTTCAGGCTTACTTTAAGTCATCTTTTCCTAAGCATTTTGGCTCTTTCCTATAGTATTTCTAATCTAGTCAGCTTGATCACCTATTTCTCCCCAAGGTTCTACCTTAGCTATAGCCCCTATTTTTCAGCTACGTTGGAGGAAATCACAATTCCCAAATTCAAAAATGATAAATAATCTGGGCACTGTGTTCTCTTCTCAAAGCACAGGGATCACAACAGTCTCAATTGAAGAGAAGTTACGGTCAAAAAGCATTATAAAAATCTACACACTTTTACACCTGAAGGTAGCAATCTATAGCATAAAGCCAAAATAATCGGTCTCAAAACTTCACCAAATTCCAATTTATACAGACTTAGAAAAAAAAAACAAAATTATCATTCCATATCCACAAAAATCAATTATAGACGGAGTCTCACTGTCACCTAGGCTGGAGTGCAGTGGTGCAATCATAGCTCACTGCAATCTTGAAGCGATCAAGCGATCCTCCGACCTCGGCTTCCCAAAGGGCTGGGATTACAGGCATGAACCACCAAGCCAAGCCACATTCCTGACGTTTCTTTCACAAGCATATACAGTCCACCCGTAAATCCTGTCAGTTCTAACAGGATTTAGAAAAAATACAGACTCCAGCTTCTCTGCACTGGTTTCATCCAGCGTCTTCTCAGCCAGCTTTGCCTCAGCAGCCTGGCCCCTGCTTCCTGTTTACAGATCAGCTCCTATCACCCCTCCGGCAAAACTTTTCCACCCTACTGAGTTAAAAACAGATGCCTTCCCCGCCCCTCACAGCATTTGGCACCAAGTGATGTTTTTCCTTAGTTATCTGCTATTATTAAAAATAGCCATATTTCCATGTGCAGTCTCACAACTCATTTGTTTGGAAAATAGGCTAAATAGCTTCATAGTGAAATCCCTTCCATCCCTGAAACTAATTTTAAAATCTACAGGTATTACTCTTAGTATTAAAACAAAAAAGTAGGCCAGGCATGGTGGCTCATGCCTGTAATCCCAGCACTTTGGGAGGCTGAGGCAGGTGGAGAGCTGGCGCCCAGGAGTTTGAGACCAGCCTGGGAAACATGGCGAGACCCCGTCTCTAAAAATCATTTAAACATCAGCCAGGGGTGGTGGTGCGTGCCTGTGGCCCTAGGTACTCAGGAGGATTTGCTGGATCCCAGGAGGTCAAGGCTACAGTGGGCCTTGCTCGTGTCACGGCACTCCAGCCTAGACGATGGGGCACAACTGTCAAAAAAAAAAAAAAAAAAAAACCAACAAAACAAAAACTGCTTAGAAGTACTCCGAAAGGACTTTCAAGTTAATTACCATCGATTTAGAGAAGGAGTGACAAGGAAGAATGAGTGATAAAATTAAATCGAGAAATCACAGTGGGGTCAAGATTTACACAACTGTCTTTATCCTCCGCTGTCCAGAGGGCAGGTGCGCAGTACAGGCTGTGGCAGCACAGGAAGAGGGGACAGAGAACAGGAGAGGTCCCTCTGGAGAATCCGGGGCCCATGAGATGCATGCAGGCCTTCCTCCCTCATCCCTCTATCCACCACCCAGTGATGTGTCAATGTCAGATAACTACTGGGAAGGCTGCGGTCTCGACCCAGGCAGGCCATTAGCAGACTACATTTTCTGTCAAAGGAGATGCCTCCTTCCCTGAGACAGATGAGTTTTCAGACTCTCCTTCCACACTTACCTAGAATGAGGCCCACCATGGAGCTGAGATACCCAGTGCCACTGCCCAGGTTCAGAAACGAGAGTCCAGGCTGCAGATCTAGGGCTTCCATCACCTCCGAGTAGATGCACGGGGCTGAGAGGTGAATGTTTCCATGCTTCCATGCCAAGTCTTTATAAGCATTTTCTTTAAATTCTTCAAGATAATAGTCTGCACGATCGATAGCTCTGAAAGCCTGCTCTACCAGCTCAGTCCGGATATACTGTGCTTCTTTCAAATTATCTATCAGCTCATCATTGTCTTCACCAGCACTCACAGCACCGCCCATGTTCAAGATTACACTTAGGCAATACTATAATTAAAAATGTTTAAAAAGAGCGATTTATGTTAAAGGTAAGAGCAGAACAATAGAAGTTCTAAACAGATACCAATTTGAAATTCTGAATTCTGAAAATAATAGATTATCTTTTGTCAACACCCACCTCATCCCCTGCCCCACCCAGAGATGCCAGATTTAGAAGGAAAAAAAATCCCAGTTCAATTGGAAATTAAGGTAAACAACAATACTAAAAGTTATTTGACGTTTATTTGAAATTCAAATTTAGGCCGGGTGCGGTGGGTCATGACTGTAATCCCAGCACTTTGGGAGGCCGAGGCAGTTGGATCACCTGAGGTCAGGAGTTCAAGAACAGCCTGGCCAACATGGTGAAACCCCGTCTCTACTAAAAAATACAAAAATTAGCCAGGCATGCTGGTGGATGCCTGTAATCCCAGCTACTGGCGAGGCTGAGGGAGAAGAATCACTTGAACCCGGGAGGCAGAGGTTGCAGTGATCAGAGCTCGTACCACTGCACTCCAGCTTGCGGAACAGAGCAAGACTCTGTCTCAAAAAAAAAAAAAAAAAAAAGAGAAAAGAAAAAAAACTTTAGGTGGTGTCCTATATTACATCTGGGAATTCTATATCCCCAACATACACAAAAGTACCCACCCAAGTCAAGCAATCCATCTGACCTGTTGATTTGGATATTTTGATGTTCAAATTTTAGACAAAAACAGCAAGAAAACACTCTTCCCAAATTGAACGTACTGTGACAAATACCTTTTTCTAACAAATGCAAAATCAGCTTCCTGGCTAAAGTTTAAGTGTAGGAGGGGCTGCTACCAGAACTTCCTACAGCCCCTCCTCAATTGCATGATACGCAGCTTTCCCAGCTCTTTAAAAATAACAACTACTTGTCTTACCTTCTCCCAACCTGCCTTCAAGAAGAAAAAGCACAGCATGTGTCACCTCTGAGCCTAACTATTAAAATACAGGGTAGCTTCAGCTAATTCACAAGAAAACACTTTTTCACGCGGAGAAGTCTTACTCTTCTTAAAACTACAAAAATATCCTTTCCAATTTTATACTTACCCCATGTAACTTTTTCAAAGTAACTGCTTTAACTTCATATAAAATGGTAATGCTTTACAAAACACCAGATACAAATTGTCAGGGAAAAAGACCACCAGACCTCATGAAGACATTTTCTGAAATGAACACAACCTTTTTAACAACTTGTTATAATTATGATGAAGTTTATACTTGCTTTCCTCCTCACATTCCTCTGGATTTCTAACAGTAGAATGAGGATCGTAAAGAAATACTGTGGGGTGACAAGGGGCCTGGGGCGGATTTCATACACACCCACGTACACAACTGGAGACAGCGGTGGGAGGTTTTCCCAGGAATGAAAATAATCACATAGTTTCTTACAAGTGAACAAAAAGTGTGAAGGGTATAGCTTAACACAAATTCTCTTCTATTTTTATGGTGGAACACTCAATCTTCACACTCAAGATTTTAGAGCTGAATATTAGGTTTTGCAAATCAATAGGATGGTCCAGTCATTAAATTTTCACACCCTTTTTGAATTTTTTGAATTGTTTCGGAGCCCTTGTTAGATTACGGTCCACAGCCAGCTGACTTAGACTTAGATGGAATTAAGTCCTAATGAGGTCAACTTTAATCCTGGATAAGCCACTCAGTTCTGAGGCTGCACCCTAGCCTACCACAGTCATCTTAAAATTTGGGTCAGTGGTTAAAAGCGGAATCATGTGTTTGGATGCTTAAGGGTCTATTTAGGAAAAGAGCTGGAAAATCGCATACCGTCCTCAGTCAAAGCCACCTCTTCACCCAGAAGCCTGTATATAATGTTCCAACATTGTCTCAATGCCACATCTCTAGAAGGTAACCTCAAACTGTATGTTGGATAGGTTTCATTTTCCACTAAGTAACTATCACTTATTTTGAACTCTGCCTTAATTTGAAAGTTCAGACAGCTTTTTAGTAAAAACAAGCACCTTTTTCCAGGTACCACCTGCCAGTCATGGCCTCATTTACACTTCACAACATTAAGAAGCAAATTGGAGCTGGCCGGTTAATTTGTTCATGATCACATAGCCAGTTTGTGAGGAGGGGGCTGCATTCAAACCCAGGACTGTATGGCAAAAGGCCTGTGTTTTTAATACCACACCAGTGCAGCTTTTAAAAATACTCAAGACAGCAACGTTCTTTACCACACAACACACCGGTAACCTTTTGACGATGGGGTAACCCTATCTATACCTATTGCCACTGGTAGGATCCATGTGAATAGCTGTGGGGTCTGATATTTATTACCATCTTTGTCTGGTAATCTAACACTCCCTCGCACTGAAAACCATCGATATGATCAGTCATGATGTCACCAAAAACACCGACAACAAAGCTCTTCGCCAAACCAAATCCTATCATTTTCACCCAGATTCTACAATCTGGTCAAATCCAATTTTTCAAAGTAAAAGTGTAGAATCATTTTTAGAACGCTGCACTCGATGATACTGTGCACATTGTCTGCTGTAATTAATCCTTAATATAATTCACTACTCTGTGGTAACTAGCAACAGTCCATAACAACCTGGCTGCTCCTTACAATGCGAACTGCCAGGGCACATGAAGAACACTTGCTGAGTGGCGACAGGCATGGGAAGGTCTCAGAACTGACACCTGAGTTGTGATTGTGGCTGTGTCAACACAAGCATGAAGCTATGGTAGTGGGGTTTTGGGAGGCGACATACGGAAGATCACATTCCAACTTGGATGTCACTTCTTTAGGGTAATATGGACAAAGTAATTCATTGTGGAAGATGAGTGGGGAAAAGGACCCAAAGCCACATCTCCTTTGGGCAGAATGATCAAACAAACACACAAACAGATTTCTCACCTTGAAAACCAGAACTCTTACAAGCAATGCAAAGGGACTTTTTTCAAATACAGATGGTCTCCGACTTCGGATGGTTCGACTTCAGGTTTAACGATGTGTTTACTGGGATGCGACCCCACCGTAAGCCGGGGAGCACCTATACTTGAAAGGCTGTCACATGTACACTATTAATGGGCCTAACAAAAGCCAGACCAGTGGTACATGTTGGAGACAATGCCTACTAAATACACAGAGAAGCTTTCTAACAAATGAAGTTGCAATGAATGAAAGGAGCTCTTGATAAGCCCAGCCAAGTTCCACTGGAGGTACGAGCTGGGGTGGCGCAGGGAGCAAGGCCCTGGATCGGTCACCTCTGAGGTCTCCTCTCATCACCTGAGTGTAGGGCTCTATTTCCCCCAAGCGTGGCCACAACAATTTCTGAGTTGCTTATAGGCACCTCAACTTCACTCATTCTTGAATGACAGTCTATCAAACGCCCAGATAGGAGCTGTTTAGCCATTCCCTTGAGAAGAAAAATGAAAACTATTCTAGTCACACGAGTAAAGAGGGGGTGGATAAAGAGGGCGTGGATATTTAGGTGACTTATTTGAGGTGCAACGCTGGAGCAAACATTCATTTAGGAGACACGTCCCTCTCACAAAAACAAAACAAAGGCCCGAAGCTCAGGCAAGTTCTCCTTCCTCCAACTAACAAAGATCTCTTTCCATGCGTGAATTGAAGTCCCAGTGCTCTGCTCCAATTCTTACTATCTCCAAGGCACGGGGCGGGGGGGCGCAATTATTTTTTTAAAAAATCCTGTCATCTTCTGAAAGGGTCCAAGGCAGACTTTGTTCTAAACCTTAGCTCTTGGCTTGCCTTGGAACTGCAAACGTTTCCCACTTGGGAAGTCAAAGACAAGCTGCAGGTCTGGACTAACCAGACCCAAGAGTGTGAGTGAGCAACGGGCACCGGGAGAGACCGACGGGAAACCGCGAGCGCTCGGAGAGAGAAACGCGGGACGCCCTGGAGGCCGCTGGGGGGAGGTGAGGGTGCCCGAGGTGGGGAGGAGCGACGCCCCCAGAGGAGAGCTCCGGGCGCAGGGGTGCCGGGGGTGGGGAAGGAGGAGGGAAGGGGCCGAGGGGACACACCACCCGCTCGCCGCAGGCCGGACCGAGGGGCGGCGGCGGCGGCGGCGGCTCTACCTCCAGGCTCGGCCGGCCGACGGGTTCGGACCGCCTGGGCTGCCACCTGCAGCTCCTCGGGCGCGTCCCTCGTGTGTCCGCGGCCGAGCAGCGCCGCTCCAACCTCGGCCGCCGTAAACATCCGCCGCCGCCGCCGCCGCCGCCGCCTCTGCGCCTGCGCACAACGGCCTGACTGCGCATGCGCCGCGGGCCTGGCACTTAAAGGGGTGATGGCGGCGCAGGGCGGGCCCCACTCCCCTGGGCTGCCTGCGTCCGCCCGCCCCGCTGAGAGCTCGCTGAGCCCTAGGCCGGGTCCGAGTCTCGCGGGCGCGCCGTCCGCGCAGTGCTCAGCCAGGACGGACCCCGCACGGGCTGCCTCAGAAGCCCTCCCTAAGGGTCACCTGAGACGCCTTTGCTGACCCACGGCTGGGGGCGTTCCGCATCTCCAGGGTGCCCTGCGGCTGCTGACTCGGGGCCGGCGCTGCCCTCGGGCGGCCTCCCAGCACCAAGCACAGCCGCCCTGGGACCCCCGCCCTGCCACGCGGACGGCCACCCGGCCCTGGGGCCCTCCTACCCAGCCGGCTTTGTGAAATCAGCTGTGAAAGGAAGATATCCTGGGCCCCCAAGATCACTAAGGAAAACTCCAGCAGGAAACTGCTTAGGGCAGGCCTGCTTCCCATTCCATTCAAAGTCACTCCTCTGCTCACTTAGATAGATACATATCTGATTTGCCTCCTTTGAAAAGGCAAATGAGAAACTCAAAAGAATTTAACCGTTGGTGTCTCACCTATCTGTGGCCTGGACGCTCCCTCCCCGCTTGGAGTCTTCCTGCCTTTGCTTCAAGTTGTCCCGTCTTTCCAGACCGAACCGATGTGCTTCTTACATGTATCGATGGATGTATCCTGTCTCCCTAAATGTATAAAACCAAGCTGTGCCCCGACCACCTTGGGCACATGTCAGGACTTCCTGAGGCTGTGTCACGGGCGCGTCCTCACCCTTGGCAAAATAAACTTTGTAAATTAACTGAGACCTGTCTCCCATTTTCTGGGTTCACACAGCCCATTGCCCAAACTTCGCGTGGGGCTTTGCAGATAGGCTGTAGCTGCAGAACCCTTTCTTCAAGCACAGCCATGCAAGCCGCCTCATATGTGCAAGTGCCAGCGTCGCTGGGGCGGACGAGTGGGCCTGGGTCTCCGGTTCCCGCCTCCCTCCTAACTCGGCATTCCTCCCCAGACCCTGGAGCTCCACTTAGGAGCAGAGTTTGAAAACCAAAGGCCGGTGCCTTCACCACGTTATGTGGTCCCAGGGAGACCTCACTTCTCTTGTTGATCCATGGTCCTGGATCCACGGACCTGAGGTGGCCCACCACCTCATGACCTTCATGGGGCTCTCAGTGTCCTTCCACCTGAGAGCTTGTGGTTATTTGTGACTGTTTCAAATTACAGAAGCCCTGGAGTCATCCTTGACTCTCTTCCTACTGCCAGGGGACACGTCCTCCATACATCCCTCCTTGCCCTGTCCCAGCTCCCCTCACCTCTCCCCACCCCTCCCACCATTCCCCTGGGCTCTGGCGAGTGGTCCTCCTAAAACAGGTGATCACATCACTGCTGTCTTCAGACACTCCCTTTGTTCCTGGACCCAACTGAGGGTCGGGCTACTACTTCTCCTGGCCCAATAACAAGATGCAAATGAGCTGGAGAGTAAGAGAGGTTTTATTTCTGTAACCGGTTACAAGGAGAAGGCCTGGAAATTATCACCATACCAACTCAAAATTACAAAGTTTTCCAAAGCTCGTATACCTTCTAAGCTGTATGTCTACATGTAAGTGTGCATTCATCTACAGACATAAGTGATTAACTTCTTTTAATCTATGACTAAGGTTGAGTCCTGAAGACCCTCTTCTGGAGCCTCAGTAAGTTTACTTAATCTAAATGGGTCTAGGTGCTGGGGTGATTACCCTTATCTTGTCTCCTGCTAAATCATAATGATATGGGGAATTCCTTTAGACCCCCATAAACTTGTTTGTGGAGGCCTGGGGAGTTTCTTCAGATCCCTAATACAACTTGTTTAATCCTAAAAAGGGTCCTGTTAAGAGTTCCTTCGTTATCTTGTCATGCTTCAAGGCCCAGGAAGAGCCTAGGCAAAACTCTTGGTGGGCTCTTTGTTACATTCCAACCTTTGTATAAGGGCATTGGCTCAATCAGCTTTTAATGTTTAACCTGGCTACTCAGTCCGTGCTGGGACAGCTGTAATGGAGGCCTGCGTTAGTGAGACCCGGCCTGCCACAACTTCAGACTCTTGCTTGGTTTTCCAAGGTGTCTCCACCATTCCCCTCCACATCAGCTTCCACTACCATCAGCATTCATAACCCTTCACAGGGTATATACTGAGCACTCTACATGGGTTATTTCCATGAAATAGGTACTAGTATGACCTCCAAGAAGAAAAGTGGACCGTGACATCAGGAGCTGGCCTGGCACTCAGATCGAGGCCATGGGGTCTCCTGTTGGACATAAATAATTTTGTAGAGGAGCACCATCATGATCCAAGGCCACGTCATAATTTTGTCTAAGCACAAACAAAAACAGGGTAACTGTGCCACCCACAAAATCTAAGACATATCATCTCCAAGTTAGTAACAATGACCCCCGCTCCTCTACCAGCTACAGCTGAGCCTCCCTCTGCCCTGGCCTCCTCACAGATAACATCTACTGAGATGCCCAGAGAACCACCCTTTCCCCCCATCCACTCCCCCAATTCCTGACAGCATCTAATCCATGAAAAAAATCACCCAACTCAAGCCCATAACCTTTAGTAACTTTTCCCGACACCTCTTACTGAGATGCCTTGCAGTTCTCCATGATCTGCATCCCTCTCGCTGCAATGAGTGATAATCCCAACTCATTCAATTACAGGCAGGTTCCTGGCAGCCTTTGGCTTGACGACACTGATACCTCCATTTTACAGATGAGGGAACTGAAACTGCAAGAGGTTCGCTGGCTTCTTGTACTTACCAGCTAGTAGTAAGCACAGGAAGGTGGATGGGAATCCAACTGCTGCTGTCACCCTCCTCCAGGCTTCTCCCACACCCAGCCACGGGGAGCTTTCTGAGTATGTCTTCAGTGTCCCCTCGCCTATCCCCTTGCATCTCTCCACTCATCTGTGTTGTATCTGCAGGAGGAGCCTCGGACGGAGGGAAGGTCATGCAAGGGCCTGAGGCAGGGGTGCGGCTGGGTATCTGGGGAGCAAGTAGCTAGAGCCACATGTGGGAGGTTGTGTTGTTGTCTTCGAAATACACTATTCTTACTATGGTAAAGTATACAAAACATTTATCATTTGAACCATTTTTAAGTGTACATGAAGTACATTTACACTATTGTGCAACCTCACTACTATCCAGCTCCACATTTTTTTCATCATGCCTAACTGCAACTCCATACCCATTCGTGTTAAAAATTCTCACCCAGCTGGCTGAGCACAGTGGCTCACACCTGTCATCCCAGCACTTTGGGAGGCCGAGGCGGGCGGATCACGAGGTCAGGAGATTGAGACCATCCTGACCAACATGGCGAAACCCCGTCTCCACTAAAAATACAAACATTAGCCGGTCATGGTGGCACATGCCTGTAATCCCAGCTACTTGGGAGGCTGAGGCAGGAGAATAGTTTAAACCAGGGAGTCGGCGGTTGCAGTGAGCCGAGATCGCACCACTGCACTCCAGCCTGGGCGACAGAGTGAGACTCCATCTCAAAAAAAAAAAAAAAAAAATTCTCACCCAGCTAGTAATAGAGAGAGGGGCATTTCCTCAACTTGATAAAGAACATCTACAGAAAACCAACAGCTAATATCATACTTAATGGTGAGAAAGTGGACCCTTTCTCCTTAAGATCAGGAACAAGGCAGGAATGTCCCCTCTCACTACTTCTGTTCAACATCATATAGAAGTCCTAGCTGATGCAATAAGACTTGAAAATAAGGGTTACAGATTTAGAAGGAAGAAATAAAACTGTCTTTTTGCACAGGTGGTAAGATTAACTGTGTATTATACCCTGAAGAATCTCCAATAAAACTCCAGAAACTAATAACTGACTACAGCAAGGTTGCTGGATACAGCAGTCCCCCCCCTTATCCTTAGGGGATATGTTCTAAGACACTGTTGGGGATATGTACCAAACTCTATAGTACATATAGGAATGCTTGAAACCAGGGATGGAATCAAACCCTATATATACTATGTTTTTTCCTACATATGGATCATCTATGATAAAGTTTAATTTATAAATTAGGCATAGCAAGAGATTAACAACAATAACTAATAATAAAATCGAACAACTATAACAATATATTGTAATAAAAGTTACATGAGTGTGGTCTCTCTGTTAGCTACTAAGTGATTAATGGGCAGGTAGTGTATATGGCATGGATATGCTGAACAGAAAGGTGGCACACGTACTGGGTAGCATGGAGCAGGACGGCACGAGATTTCATCACACTACTCAGAATAGCACATGATTTACAATTTATGAATTATTTCTGTAATTTTCCAATTAATGTTTTTGAATTGTGGTTGACTGCAGGTAACTGAAACCATGGAAAGCAAAACCACAGATGGGGGACTACTATGTAAGGTTATAAACAAAAGCCAGTTGCTTTCCTATATACCAGCAATTAACAATTGGAATTTGAAATTAAAAATACAATACTGTTTACAATAGCACCAAAAAATGGGATGCTTAGGCATAAACCTAACAAAATAGGTACAAGGTCTATATGAGGAAAACTACCAAACTCTCATAAAAGACATCAAATATTTACATAGACAGATATTCCATGTTTATGGAGAGGAAAGCTCAGCAGTGCTATCAGTTATTTCCAACTTAATCTGTAGATTCAATGCAACACCAATCAAAATCTCAGCAAGTTATTTCATGGATATCAACAAACTGATTCTAAAGTGCATATGGAAAGGCAAAATGCCCAGAATGGCCAACACAGTACTGAAGAAGAACGAAGTTGGAGAACTGACACAACCAGATTTCAAGACCTATAACGTTACAGTAATCAAGACAGTGTGGTGTTGGCAAAAGAAGAGACAAACAGATCAATGGAATAGAATAGTAAACCCAGAAATACACCTACACAAATACAGTCAACTGTTCTTTGACAAAGGAGCAAAAGCAATTAAATGGAGAAAGAATAGTCTTTTCAACAAATGATGCTGGGACAACTGAACATCCATATGCAAACAAAAAACCAAAAAACTACACATAGATCTCAAACTTTTTACATAAAAGTTCTACAAAATAATATAGGAGAAAATCCTGGTGGTCTTGGGTTTAGTGATGACTCTTTTGACAAGTCAAACACACAATCCGTGAAAGTAAAAATTGGTAAGGTAGATTTTGTTAAAATTAAAACTTCTGCTCTGTGGAAGACACAAGTCTTACCTTATGATCCAGCATTTGCACTCCTAGGTGCTTACTCAACCACTATGTCCATGCAAAAAGTTGCACATAGATTTTTATAACAGCTGTATTCACAGTTTCCAAAATTTGGAAACAACCAAGATGTCCTTCAACAGGTGAATGAATAAACAAACTCATACATGCTAAGCAATGGAGTATGAATGAATGATAACAAGAATGAGCTCTGAGACATGAAAAGACAAGGAGGAAACTTAAATGCTTATTGCGAAATGAAAGAAACCAGGATAAAAAGGCTACATATTAACACTATATGATTCCAGTGATATGACATTCGGGAAAACTGAAAACTGTAGAAACTGTGAAAAGATCAATGGTTGCCAGGGATTGGGGTTGGAGGGAGAGGGAGAGATGAACTGGCAGAGCAGAGAGGGTTTTTAGGGCACTGAAACTATTCTGTATGATACTGTAATGGTGGATACATGTTATTATGCTTTAGTCAAAACCCATATAACTAGCCAGGTGCTGTGGCTCATGCCTGTAATCCTAGCACTTTGGGAGGCTGAGGCAGGAGGAGTTCAAGACCAGCCTTGGCAACATAGCGAGACCTCGTCACTACAAAAAAAAAAAAAAATTAGCCGGGCATAGTGGCACATGCCTGTAATCCCAGCTACTCTGGAGGCTGAGGTAGGAAGGATCGCTTGAGGCTGGGAGGTGAAATCTGCAGTGAGCAGTGATTGTGCCACTGCACTCCAACAGAGCCTGAGCCTGTCTCCAAAAAAAAAACAAAAAAAAACCCACAAAACAACAACAAAACATGTAACTGCAACACAAAGAGTGAACCCTAATGTGAACTGTAGACTAGACTTTAGTTAATAGTAATGCATCAATATTGGTGTATTAGTTGTTATAACATACCACAGTGATTCCAGATGTTAATAATAAGGAGAGGGGTCTATGGGAACTCTTGGTACTATCTGCTCAAATTTTGTGTAAACCCAAACTGCTCTCAAAAATAAACTTTGTCATTTATTTTAAACAATGAAAGATTTTTCTCAGACATACAAAGCTAAAAGAATTCATTAGCAGACCAACACAATGTGAAATGTTAAAGGGAATTTTTCAGGCAGATAGCAAATGAAGCAGATGGAAGAGTAGCTCTACATTTAAAAAGGGACTCTGGAAATGAGACTCCATGGGTAAATATGTAAGGTTAATTTCTTAGCATGTCTCAGCTCTGGCTAAGGACACAACTTCTCATTTAATTTACTTCTGTGATGTTTGTTTGTATGATGGACAATGTCGCTTTTGCAATGACAATTAAAAATTTTTTTTTTATCCTCTAAGGGTTTTACAACAAGTGCCCCATTCTTTGTTTGTTTGTTTGTTTTAATGGAGTCTCACTCTGTGACCCAGGCTGGAGTGCAGTAGTGCGATCTCTGCAACCTCTGCCTCCCGGGTTCAAGCGATTCTCCTGCCCCAGCCTCCCGAGCAGCTGGGATTACAGGTGCCCGCCACCATGCCTGGCTAATTTTTTTTGTATTTTCAGTAGAGACAGGGTTTCACCATGTTGACTAGGCTGGTCTCAAACTCCTGACCTCAGGTGATCCACCGGCCTTGGCCTCCCAAAGTGCTGGGATTACAGGCGTGAGCCACTGTGCCCGGACAGCACCCTGTTCCTGAGGAGGAGCTCCGCTCCTGAGTACCAGACAGTGGCTGCCTCGCCATTTCCCTGCTCAGTACTTGGTGGTGGTCAGGGGTGGCTGAGACAGGAGTGGCTGGATGAAGGCGAATCAGAACAAGACGCTCGGATGGACGCTGTGCCAGGGGTTCTCCCCCCATGCTGAGCAGAAAGCTTTCACAAGGGAAGTGGGTGGATGTGTGGATAGGCCCCTGCAGCAGCCGCCCTACGTCCTCAGCCCCTTCCCTGCCACTCTTCCAACGTCTCCTGGGTGCTTTTTGCAGTCCAGTGAAGGGGCAAGGTCTCATGCCCGCTCTAGGTGTCCTGGGCCTCTGAGATACTTGCCCTCGGTCTTATGAAATGCAGGCCGGCTCTGTCAGGGCCTCAGGGGCAGGGGACCGGCACTGCTAAGGAATGGCCTTACGCCTGGTCTCTCTCGCCTCCGGGTGGGCGGGGGGTGCTCACATGAGGAATTTACCTTTACGCCTGGTCTCTCGCACCTCTGGGTGGCTGGGGTGGGCGGGGGGCGGGGGGGGGGCTCATATGAGGAATTTACCGCAAGGTGTCACCGCTGAACAGCTGCTGTCTTGGGAGGAGACAAACGGGGTCATCTGGAAGGGGAAGTCCTTCTTCCTCATCTTAAGCCCCGTAGCCAGAGTGGAACAAGCCAGTCTGTTTTCCGACATCCGTCAAAGCTTCTGTGCTATTCATGCCACACAGGTGACAGCAGCTTGATGCTGATCTGAAAATACCGGTGAACTCGAATGTATTCACGTACATAAAACGGTTGGGCATTCCCAACTGTCTTAAAAATTATTTCTCATCTTAAAACAAACCACTTTACGTGGGCATAGGGAAGAGGTCTGCAGCAGCCAATTTTATATCAACTTTGCTGGGCCTATGTAAGAGATACATATGTATCCCCTATTGGTTCTGTTTCTCTGGGGACCCTGGCTAATACAGGGTCCTCACAAAGAAGTGGTGTCAGACCCAGGGCCCAGAGCCCTGTCCACAGCACACCTGAGGTGGGAGTGCCTTGAGCTGACACCCACACTTCTTAGGATGTGGGACCCAGGGTTCCTGGTGACATTGTCCCCTGTGCCAGCTCTTCCACCACTCCTCACTCCTCACTGCCTCTTGTGAATTGTGAAAGGAAAACCCGGAGGGGAACATGTGAGTGGGTATCGGCCTTGAAGAAGGAGGGGCCGCCCCAGAAACGTCTTACTGCAACAGGTGGTGGACCAGACTAGTCGTGAGGACGAGGTGGTAGCAGAGGATGTTTCCACTCCCTGGGCACCAGGTGAGTGGCAGCTGGACCTGGAGGTGCAAACAGGAGGGCCTTGGGTAGCACTTCCGAACCAGGCTGGCAGCTGTTGTCAGACATCCGGTAGCCAGCAACCCACCAGGGGCAGATCTCGAAGCCAAGAGGAGCGGCTGGTATAGATGGGAGATGCAGGGATGTCCCTGAAGTGTCATAGGTGGGTGAGCTGGGACCACAGTGCACCTTTGCAGGATGGCTTTATGTGGCAGGCAGGGGTGCCAGGCACAGGGAGAGGTACCCAATTGCCAGCTGTCTGGAGAGCGAGCTCCAAGTCAGCTTCTCCCGGGCAGCCCAGTCCTGGGATCTGGGTGAGGAAATGCAATGTGGAGCCCCCTGCCCTGTCTCAGCACTCATCCAGATGTCCCCAGTGACTTGAGGCCGGCCCTGGACTTCCCCTCCCTCCCTCCACTCAGCACTGTTTGCCTCAAGGGCAGATTGCTCTCTTGACCCTGGGCATCCAGGGTTAGTATGACAAGACCCTCATCTCAGGGATCTTGTGCAGACAAATAAACCAGAAAACACATCAGCAAGATCACTCCACTGCCCCAGACCCGCAGTGTTTGCATCTCACACAGCGTCAAAGTCTGGCCGTGGCTGAACTCCCTTATCCCTCATGCCTCCCGCTGCCCCTGCCCCTTGGCCAGCCTCACTGGCTGGCACCCTTCCTCCCTCCCACCAGGGTCCCTGCCCCTGCCTCAGACACCCCCAGGGCTGGCCCGCGCCTCCCTCAGGTCAAGTGCAAACTCCCTCAGGGGGGCACCCGTGACCACCATTGTGCCCCATTTTCTCCCCATGCTTTCTGTGTAGCTCTCTTCACCAAATATGGAGGCAGATGAGGCTGGAGAATCTGCCTCCATTTCGAGGAGCCTTCGTGGTCTCCAGCCAGTCCCACCTGCTCTGGGGAATTATCAGATTGTCCCCAGAGGCAATGACATCTACCTGGCCTCCCCTGGCCTCTTCTTTAGGCATCCTGACTGGGGACCCAGATGGTTCCCAACTCTCCTGAGGCTGGAGCAACCCAGCAATGAGCTCCCATCTTTCCCTGCCCTGCCAGGCAGATTCTTCCTGGTGCCTCCTGCCCTTCCCACTGGACTAGGGACCACAGCAGCCCCTTCTCCTCTGGCCCCTTGGATACCCACTGGATCCTACTGCTCTGTGCAGATCCGCTCTTCTCCTCCTGAATATGCTGCAGACACCATCATGTGGTTCCGAAGGCGCCAGCTCTGGAGTCAGGGGCCTGCGGCAAACCCCGGCTGCACAGCCAAGCCCTGTGTGACTCTGAGTGGCCTTCTGGGCCTCCCTGGGCCTTGGTTTCTTCATCTGCATGATGGGGACAATCCTATTGCTTGTATCACAGGTGGTTGAGAGGTGGAAGGAGCCCAAATGTGTAGAAAGGGATAAGATTCAATAATGGTCAGTCTTTATTTCTCCTTATCTGCTCAGAGCTGAGCCAAGTAGGACTTCTATGTGGGGTGGGAGTTAGGGCAGCCATAATGGAACCCTTCTAGATTTGGTGCCTGATGGGTTCTGAGATTATCCACCCATCAGGGGTCCCAAGCAGTGGCCCAGGGGATATGGGGTGGAACCCGCAGCACTTCTCGTTGGTCTTTCCTAGGCAGCAGGTTGGTTCTCACATGGCTCCTCGCCATCTTTAGTCATAAATATTACCAGATTTGACTTCTGCTATTTTGACAACTTCTACAGAGAGAGCTGTGACCGAATTAAAGACAAGGAAAACACTTTTGACAGTGTATGAAATAAATAGGCAAAAGTGTGTCTAATTTGGCAAAAGGTGCCCCATGAGCAGAGATGAATGGGTCCCATGAAGAGGGTTCGCTGGGTGCTGGAGTGGTGGCTGCAGTTTGCTGCTCACCCTCCTGCCCCTGGGCTCCTGTGGGTCAGGGGACAAGGCTTCACAGGCACCCCCTGCCCCCCCAGCAAGGTTTCTCACCGTGGGAGTGGTGGGTGCTCAGGGATGGCTCTGCAGGGCTGAGACTGTACCACTTCCTCCAACCTCGTGGGGCTCCCAATGTGCCCCTCAAGACCTACACTGGCTCACGAGGCTGCCAGGGGTGTGGCCAGTTCTCAGGAGCTACAATCAGCCCAAGTAGACAGCTCAGGAAACTGTGATGCCAGTTACTGGGAGGGGCTCTCTAGGAGCTCAGGGGAGTCACTGTGTCCACATGCTGGGCAGGGCACAGACTGTGCTGTTGTGCACGTATCCCTGCGTGGCTTTCCCCAGGATCCAAAATAACCATCCATTCTTCCCCCACATCATACACCTGCCCTAGTCAGGGCTGCTCTATGGTTGGCCCCATGGGGTGGCACATAGCACAAGCTGGGTGCTCCACAGGGGCATTCACATTCATGTGGCACATCAGGCAGTTGTGGCCCCTGTTGGCAACTCCCGTATGGCCATGTGACCTTCAGCTGGGTGAGTGAAGACCAGGGGCTGATGGGGGTTGGTATCTTGCTGGGCCCAGAGAGGACCAGGTGGGCGTAGCGAGCAGGCTGTTGTGGTCACCCAGGCATGTGTCCTGATGCCTCTGGGGCATCCAAGTGCATACCCAGAAGGTACTAGAGCCAGGGAAGAAAGGATTGGGGGACAGTATGGGAGTTCTCTGCACACAGCAGACATCAGCCTTGGGAATGAGAAGAAAGGGGCTGGGACATAGGCTGGGACAGCCCTGAGGCAGCTGCAGGGTAGGGTGGAAATCAGGAAGGAGGAGAGGCCAGGAGCACATAAGCAGGTGGGAGGAAGATACAGTAGAGGGAGAGGAGGAGGCAGCCATAGCAGGTGCTGGAAGAGGAGAGGCCAGGCTTTAGAAAAGTCAGCACACACGGAGACCTGCATGCTGCAGACACTGAGAGGAAAGAAAGAGAGGCAGAGACAATGGGAGCAGCCAGGAGGGATGGTAGGGTTGGGGTGCAGTGAGGGCCAGAGTGGCTCAGAGCATAGCTCTGCCAAAGGTCAGCTGCCTGGCACCAGCCCAGGCCACCCACGATCATGGATAAGGGTGCCCTTGTGAAGACTTAAGACTCCATTAGAGAAGTCCACACTCCACCTCCATATTTTAAGAAGGACAGAGGGAATGGCACAGATGCTATAACCCCTGGGAGCATGGATGGCCTGTGTTGCAGGATTCACAATCAGCTGACAGTTAGGAAACCCTCCACATCCATGTCTTTAGCAGCCTCTGAGAGGCTACTGGCTTCAGGGAGACAGAGTGGTTAATAGGAAAAATCTCACCTGAACTTGAGGCTTCCCTTACTCATGGGGTGATGTCGACCCAGCACTAAGCTGACTTCCCGTCTGTTCAGGGAGACAGTCGTGTGCTCATCAACTGGAAGCATACCCATTCAGGTAAGGAAAGCAGGTGCACATGTGTATTTACCTTTGTTCTCTCTTACACCTGCCTAAAATGACAGATTTTAAGGCATACATTGGCAGGAGTGAGGAGATGAAAGAGGGGACAACAATGCAATTTAGAAGCCAGAAAATTCACAGATGCAAAATAAATGGCCTAGGAGACACAAAACACTGAATTCTAGCCAGAGTGTAGAAAGTTCAGAGCCAACACCGTCCATACCTCAGAACCCCCAATAACTGGTAGCACCAGATTCTGTTGGAGATGGGAGAAGACAACTGGTAGAAAGTGTTTCGGGAGCCAGTAGCCCCCTTCCCCAGAACTCCACCCCGACTCTGAGAGCCTGGCAAACACTCCCCTCCCTCTGGATGAAACCTTGAGCTTTATCCTCTGGATACAGTAAACAGGAGGGTCTGCAGGCTGGTAGAGAAGGCCTAGCTGTGGGGTCCCATACCAAAAATAAATCCTAAGAGAGCACATGCCTGTGACTTTAGACGCTCTTTCTCTCAGCTCCCAGTAGGCTGGTGGCCCAGCCAGTGCCTCTAAGCGAAAAGTGAGAGAATCTTCTTGGGGGTGACCAGCTCGTGCCATTATCAAACTATGGGATTGTGCAGCTTTCTAACATCATGGTAACAGCCTGTGTCCCCTAGCAGGAACATCATAGTCCCCACCTCTCCAGCCAACTCTCATACCCCCCAGAATGACTTTACCTCAGCTTGCTGAGGGGACACTTCAGAATCGGTCTTGCTCACACCCACCCCAGCATCTGCTGTGCTGACGTGAAGGGGTACAACTCCAGGCCACTGGTCTCCCCATCACAAATGGGGCCTCACCAAAGGGGACCCCCAGGAACCCTTCCTCACAGTTGAACATGTTCTGCATAACCCACCAGTGGGCACTGGCACCTGCTTGGGCCCCCACAACCAGCAGTTGGAGCCTTGAAGGCAGATCAAATGTCCTCCACAGGTGTTGTGGACCCTGTCTGACTACAGCAGAGGGTGGAAACTCAGTCCAGAATTTCTAAGAATTTGTCAGTGAAGATGGATCCTTTGTTTGCATATCAGATGGACGCTCCAGGACTACCACCAGGGCCAGATTCCAGGGAGGTCAAAAGCATGTTGACAGTTTAGGCTGAATGTGACTAGAAGTCCCAAGTCCAGGTCTTACTCTAGGAGCACTAGAGCTCCACCTGACACAAAAGTACGAAAATGAAAAAGGGGAGAAGTCTCTTTTTTTTTTTAAAGCTGGTATGCATTGGCTTTTTGGCCTTGTATACCAGCTTAAAAAAAAAAATAAACCATTGCCTTATATAACTGGGCAGTTCAAGGGTGGAGTGCCTTCAGACATGGCTGGGTCCATGAGCTCTAAAAAGATCATCAGAGAGCTCCCTTTTCCTTCACATCTACCTCCATTGTCAGCTTTGCCCCCCTCCAGAATGTCTGAACTCTCTCCTACTACTGATGGCTTCATCCTGTGGCCAGGAGAGATAGCCCAGGGCAACCCCAGTTCCACACCCCCAAGTCTAACAACCTCAGCAGGAAAAGTTATTCTCCCTGACCCTAAGAGAAGACTCCTGGGAAAAACTTCAATTTGCATATGACTGGTCATGTGGGAAGGGGCAAGATACAATGATTTACACCTTCTAGAAACACACGTGGAGGCGGTGAGGTAGGGTAGTTTCAAAAGGAGATACTGGCTAAGCTGACACCAGAGGGGACCCACGTGTGGTATCAAGGGGAGACCAGAGATGGAAGATTCCCCTCCTGGGCATGTGCTCCCAGGAGGGTGCATGATAGAGCTCACCAAGAATGGAGACAATGTCCTCCCCACAGACCACAGCACCGATTCACAGTCAGAGTGGACTTTTATTAGGAAATCACCCTGCAAACACACCACGGAGTGCTGTGGGTTCAACGCGCTTCCTGAGGAAGGAGGGTCACAGTATTGGAGCTGTCGGAGGGACGGGTGGCACAGCCTGTGAGCCTGGCGGTGACTCGAGGCTGCCTGCGGCCAGCACTCCCTCACAGCAACAGGACTCCACCGCAAGAGCCGACACGCAAACGCGACACGAGAAACACGCCCAAGCACACACATCTGCGCTACACTTAAATAATAATAAATACAGAATTCCATTTGCTGTTATCCGTGCCTGAAACAAAAGGAACCCAAAATGGAAAAAGAAAACCAAAATGTCTTTCTCTCCATTAGACCAAGGGAAAACAAAATCCCCAAATTATCAAAATTCCTCAGTTACAAAATACTTTTTAAAAAAATTCCATTATTAAAAGAATAAATAACAAAATATATAAAAAATAACTTGGTTGCATCAAAATTATAACTAGGAGTTATATCAAGATTTTTTGTGGCCTATATTATAGTCAAATAGTTATTTTTGCTTTGAATTCACTTTTTTCCCCTCTTAGGGTGCCCTGGTGTGGGGTCTAGTTGAAATAGTATAAAATTAATAAATAAAAATGTTAAATAAATAGCAAACGTTAACATAAGAGGCTGTGAATATAAATACTTACATCTTGACAAAATTAAATAATTTACAGAATAATTAAACTAACTACTTTTTAATTTTTTCCAGGAAGTGCAATTTCTCTATTTTTAAATACTAACTTGGAATTGCAGTCACAATTGACTTGGATTCTATTTACACGGTAGGGACATTGTGTTTTTAACACATTAAATTAAAATGTACCCTTTTTTCGCATATTGGATGGATCTAAAAGAAGTGAAACCTTTGTGGTCTCCTGTTAGGAATTTACCCTCTGACCTTGATGATGTCATTGCCACCTCCGTCACCATGGATGCAGAGGTCAAGCTCGGCCATGACCCGGAGAATGTGGCAGTGATGGGTCGGGGGCCTGGGTGGATGCACAGAAGCCAGAGTGGTCCCTAGACGTGGATCCCAGACCCAGGGTCTAAAGGCTGCAGCCCCAGTAGGGAGCTGTGACCCAAGGCCATACACATCTGCACAGCCTCAGCGCCAGCTGCCCCCAGACATTAGGCTGATTTTCAGGAGTCTCCCAGGTTAAAATTCCTTGACCTGACAGGGGCTGCGATGCTTGTCAACTGTCTGGAGTATCCTCTGGGAGGCCTATTCCTAACTTTCCCTCTAGAACAGAGCTTTGTTCCACCCTTAACACAAAACTGAATTAAATGAAAACAGAAAACGCACTTTCTTCATCGGCCCTCACTGAGCACAGACACGCTGCCCCAGGCGTGTCCTCCAGGCCAAGATGCCACTCACACCACCCACCCACCACGCTCACGGCTACCCTCCCAGCCTCGACAGACAAAGGAATACTGTGGTTGCAAACTCCAAAACTTCCCTGAGAACCTTGTCCATGAGCTTCCACTGGAGACTTTGAGCTGCTCTTCAGATTTCTTTCAGAAAACAAAAATAAATCACTTTGTAATTCTTCAGTGCCCCTATGCACACAGATAGGGCCACCACGGCCCCAAGCCTGGAGGGAGCCTCGTGGGAGCGGCCAATTTCCAGCCATCCCTTTGGATAAACCCGCCCGCGGCCACACCGGGCCCCAAACGGGAAGTCACTGTGAGTTGGGCATCCCCACGGTGCGGGGCAGGGCGAGGGAGGTAAACGGTGTGGTGGGCTGGGACACTTCTGGGTACCACACGGCCTAGACCTGGATGCCCCTCACAGCCTGCTTGATGCTCTCCAGGAGGTCCTTGTTCTCCGGGTCCTGGTTGGAGTACATGTCGGTGAGGGTGCTCACATAGGCATCGAAATTCTGTTCGCATATTGGCTCCTAGAGAACAGAACCAGGTTAGCAAGCTCCGTCCATGCAGTGGGCCCCACACCGCAGAGCCTGATGTGGGAGCATCAAACCTATGTCCCCACGTGACCTGAGACAAGCCCACACCAACCAGAGGCAGCACTGGGCGTTCCTCTCTGCAGCCATCCCAGCAGTAGCCTCTCTGCTCATGGAATCACCATTTTGCTTTGGATTCATTAGCTACTCTTTATGGCAGCTACTCATTATGGTGGCTAAACCCACCACAGCCAACAGCCCGGGCCATTCGGGGTGGAGAGAATCTCCACAAGGGCACAGGGCCCCTAGGGCAGGACCCAGAGGCAGAGGGGGTGGGAGATGCCCTGCCCTCCTGCTTTCCGAAGAGACCCTGGGGGGTAGCTGTGGTGCCGGCAGGCCCGCGTGCTGCCTACCATGTGCGGAAGGCGGATATTGGCGAGACTTTGGATGAGGGCCTGGCTCAGGCCGGACAGCTCCAGAAACAGGGCTTCATTCTGCTCCTCAATGAGCTTGTTCTCCTCCTCGATGTTCTTCAGGTTCTTCTCCATGGAGGAGATCTGTGCCAGAGAGAGATTCGAAGTGCCGCCTGCCCTTGGCCCCCATCCTCCTGGGGGTCCTCTCTGGGCTGCCTCTCACAACCCTCTGGGAGAATGCAGAACCCTGGGGTGGGGGAAGAGGCAGGGACCCTGCCTTCCTGTAGGGGGTTCTGCCACAGGTGAGGGGCTGGCAGAGGAGAGAAAGGCAAGGGCCCTCTGGAGACATGGGCTGACTCCAGGGAAGCCAGGAAGGGGGCTCGTGTGGCACGTCCCTCTGTGCCATGCTTTCTAGATGGAACTGAAACCCGCCGTGCAGGAGAAGTCCCCACTCCTGGTTTTCTGAGCCCCTCTGTCCTGAGGGGATGGGGTGGGAGCACAGACTTCACAGCGCCCTGTCTCAATCTCAGACTCCACCTGCTGTGGTCTTAGCTTCACCATGTTTCCTGCTTCTATCTGTAAGATGGAAATCACTGCACCCCCCCGTGGAGTGTCAGACTGCCTTTGGGTCTTCCCCTCACCAGAAATCCCCACAAAGAGCCTCCTCAGGGCCTCCCAAGCACGACTTCCCCAGGCCAACTACAGGCAAGTCTTCTCACTTCCCCACCATGGCGGTGAACCTGCCCAGGGTTGTGTTGGCCCTGAGGCCTTTGGTGTCCAGGAATAGCCCCCAGCCTGACTGCACATCTGCAGGGAGCCACGGGGGCAGAGGCTAAACTCACAGAAAGACAGTGTGGGTGACACACGAGGCAGGAGTGGGGAGCTCATTCCTGGGAGGCTGTGGATGGGGTCAAGCACGCTTCTTCTGCCACCTGGTGACAAGCATGTGGCTTTGAAAGGGTTGCATGGGGGATAGGGACCTGCCTTCCCTTTGCCTTTGCCCTTCCGCAGAGGGCACCAGTCACCAAACTCCCTCAGATGGACAGGGGTTTCTGAGTCCTTCCAAAGGGATGCTAGTAAAAGGTAATAATCTGTCTTTAAAAAGATTGGTTTTGGCAAATAAAAAGAAATCAGAGGTGCTACCCCAACGACACTGACACTGATGAAGGCCCTGGGGACTCTGAGAAGGGGAGGAGCAGGGAGCACAAAATGGACACCCACACAACAGTGCATCTCCACACTCAGAGACACCAGGAGGGGACGGGGATGGCTCCGCCGGGAGGGCCATCACTCCTTCTCTGTCGTCACTGCCTATGAACCTGGGGGGATGCAACATCGACATGTGCATGACAGCGAAAATCCTTCCTGATCCCTGTGGGGTGATGCTATTTTTATACAGGCTCTTGAGTAACAAGCGGTCAACGTGAGCCTGTTTGCCAGTAGAGACCAGAGCAGAGTCAACATGAGCCTGTTTGCCAGTAGAGACCAGAGCAGAGTCAACATGAGCCTGTTTGCCAGTAGAGACAAGAGCAGAGTAATGAGACACGTGGGGCTGGAGGATGTTACTCATTTTTTGCTGCCTTGGTGGAGGCCACCATCTCCCCATCTGTCCCTGCCCAGAGGGGCTCTGCCCAAATTCTCTGTGGGACCTGGTCACTTCCTTGTCCCTTTGTCCCTCTAGCTGTTAGGGGCACAGTTATGTCTCCCCCAGCACGGCTGCAGACTCCACTCAGCAGCCACAGGTGGGGCATGCTCTTATTTTCAAAATAAGATCTTTACTGCTTTTTTTTTTCTGATTACAAATGCTCATTTTAGGGAAATCAGGAAATATGACACAAACATTTAAAATAATTTGTAATCCTAACCCTCAGCAACAGCAGCTCTCATCGACGGCACTTACTCTGGATCAGGTGCTTATGCTGAATGTTTTCCTCATAGAAATGCGTTCATTGTACAATAACTGGCTGGAGTAGAATCCTATTCTTACCTCCATTTTATGGAGGAATTGACTGAGGAAGAGGCTGAAAGGTTTGTCAGGTCCCTCAGCTGTGACAAACATGTGGCTGTGCTGGGTGCTGGGAAGGAAACCCGGCTCCAGAGACCTGGCTCTACCGCACCACGCTCATGGACCACTGGTACTCACAAGACTGGTAATCCTAATGGGACCGCTGGTCTTGACAGGACTACTCATTCTAATGAGAGTAAGAGAAACAGTGCTGCTAATCTTAATGGGACTAGTATTATTAATAGTGTTATTAACACTAATGAGACCACAGCCCTGGCGGGACAACCAGCTCCGGCGGCCCACTGGCACTCACAGTGTGACTTCACGGACTCCGCATTGTGAGCGGCCAGCACGTCCTAAGTGTGCCTGTGTGCCAGCCACTGCGCTGTCCGTCAGCTCAGCCCTGACAGCAACCTTGATGAGTGCCGACGGATGCCTCACTGTCCCCAAGACGAATGTTTGGGTTGGGTGGGCAAAGAGCCCAGGAGCGGGGGGCGGCACCACCTACCTGGGACTGCAGCTGCACCATGGCAGCCTCCATCTCCGAGTTGGACTCGTTCAGGTCTCGGATCTCCTGGTTCAGCTGCTTGATCTCCTCATCATTCTCCAACACTGACCCAGAGAGAAACCTCAGTTGTGGCTTTGGGCCTCAGGCAGGCCTGGGCCAAAGTGCTGTGGGGAAGCCTGCTTTCTAGAACTGAAACCCCCTGTGCAGCAGAGGTCTCCCCTCCTGGTTTTCCGAGCTCATCTCTCTCTGGGGCTCATACCCCACATTATGCGCTGGAGAAATCTGTCTTGAAAATTGTGAGATGAGTGTTTATAGTTTGCCTTCCGAGCTGGCTGGCAGGTGGAAAGGCTTAAATCTCTTTGGGAGGTATTAAATGCTACATTAAAGATGGAAGTTTGTTCAGGCAATGCTGAATTTCCTCACCTAAGGGGGAATGAGCCACACCTCTCCACAAACTCACAGCACATGGGCTCCACTGGACTCTGATCCCAGTGGTCACCAAAGCCGCAGGTTACAGCAGGCATGACCTCCTCAGGGCCAGGGACCCCAGACACAGGTGTCAAGAGCTTCAGAGCCAAGGTCCGAAAGGCTGTCAGCTTAGGTGAAGGGATCTGCCTCTGCCGTGACTCATTCCAGGAGGGGCTTCATCTCCCTAACCTTCTTCCCACCAGCACAAAAGGTGCACAGCTCTCACTTACCCTGGCACCCAGCCATGAGCAGGGAAATCCAGGAAGCCATCCTTACCGTCGCTAGTCTTGAACTTTGGACTGAGGACCTCATCCCCTGACAGTTTTCCCTTCTTTCCAGCAAAGGTTGCTCTGGGACAGCCTGACAAACTGGAAGCAGAGGCCACATATCATTCACCAGCCCAGGGTCACCCACCACGACCATCCCAGGGTCACATACCACGGCCAGCCCAGGGTCACATACCACGGCCAGCCCCGGGTCACCCACCACGACCATCCCAGGGTCACCCACCACGGCCAGCCCAGGGTCACCCACCACGGCCATCCCAGGGTCACCCACCGCGGCCATCCCAGGGTCACCCACCGCGGCCAGCCCAGGGTCACCCACCGCGGCCATCCCAGGGTCACCCACCGCGGCCAGCCCCGGGTCACCCACCACCGCCATCCCAGGGTCACCCACCACAGCCATCCCAGGGTCACCCACCACAGCCAGCCCAGGGTCACCCACCACGGCCATCCCAGGGTCACCCACCACGGCCAGCCCAGGGTCACCCACCGCGACCATCCCAGGGTCACCCACCACAGCCAGCCCAGGGTCACCCACCACGGCCATCCCAGGGTCACCCACCACGGCCAGCCCAGGGTCACCCACCGCGACCATCCCAGGGTCACCCACCGCGGCCAGCCCAGGGTCACCCACCGCGGCCAGCCCAGGGTCACCCACCGCGGCCATCCCAGGGTCACCCACCACGTCCAGCCCAGGGTCACCCACCGCGGCCAGCCCAGGGTCACCCACCGCGGCCATCCCAGGGTCACCCACCATGACCATCCCAGCGTCACCCACCACGGCCAGCCCAGGGTCACCCACCACAGCCAGCCCAGTGTCACCCACCACAGCCAGCCCAGTGTCACCCACCACAGCCATCCCAGGGTCACCCACCACAGCCATCCAAGGGTCACCCACCACAGCCAGCCAAGGGTCACCCACCACGGCCAGCCAAGGGTCACCCACCACCACCAGCCCAGTGTCACCCACCACGGCCATCCCAGGGTCACCCACCACGGCCAGCCCAGGGTCACCCACCACAGCCAGCTCGGGGTCACCCACCATGGCCAGCCCCGGGTCACACACCATGACCATCCCGGGGTCACATACCACGGCCAGCCCCGGGTCACATACCATGGCCAGCCCAGGGTCACTCAGCCAGCCCAGGGTCACCCATCATGACCATTCCAGGGTCACCCACCGCGGCCATCCCAGGGTCACCCACCATGACCATCCCAGCATCACCCACCATGGCCAGCCAAGGGTCACCCACCACCACCAGCCCAGTGTCACCCACAACGGCCATCCCAGGGTCACCCACCACGGCCAGCCCAGGGTCACCCACCACAGCCAGCTCGGGGTCACCCACCATGGCCAGCCCCGGGTCACACACCATGACCATCCCGGGGTCACATACCACGGCCAGCCCCGGGTCACACACCATGACCATCCCGGGGTCACATACCACGGCCAGCCCCGGGTCACATACCACGGCCAGCCCAGGGTCACTCAGCCAGCCCAGGGTCACCCATCATGACCATCCCAGGGTCACCCACCACGGCCATCCCAGGGTCACCCACCATGACCATCCCAGCATCAACCACCATGGCCAGCCCAGGGTCACCCACCATGACCATCCCAGGGTCACCCACCACAGCCAGCCCAGTGTCACCCACCACAGCCATCCCAGGGTCACCCACCACAGCCATCCCAGGGTCACCCACCATGGCCAGCCAAGGGTCACCCACCACCACCAGCCCAGTGTCACCCACCACGGCCATCCCAGGGTCACCCACCACGGCCAGCCCAGGGTCACCCACCACAGCCAGCTCGGGGTCACCCACCATGGCCAGCCCCGGGTCACACACCATGACCATCCCAGGGTCACATACCACGGCCAGCCCCGGGTCACATACCACGGCCAGCCCAGGGTCACTCAGCCAGCTCAGGGTCACCCACCACGGCCAGCCCAGGGTCACATACCACAGCCAGCCCAGGGTCACCCACCACGGCCAGCCCAGGGTCACCCACCACGGCCAGCCCAGGGTCACCCACCACGGCCAGCCCAGGGTCACACATTACGGGTTAACAGAAGGCATGTTCCACCTCACCTAGATGACCTGGAGGGCCTCCCTATGGCCAAACTGTGTTCTATGGGGAAAAAGAAGCTACATCTAGGCAGGGCAGAGGCTGGGAAGGGGACACTCCAGAGCTCACCTCATCTGGCACAGCCATAGCTGACCCTGCCTGATACTCGGGGGGCCAGGGCACCGTTGCTCTCAGCAGGGCTCCCTCTGGGGTCTGAGGTCCACATGACCCACTTGCCGGTACTTTGCAGCCCTGACCTCCCAGAGGAGCCCATCCTAGCTGCGTCTGCCTCTGAGATACCCTCTAGGCTGTGGTGATAATGACAGTCACAGATCACTCCTCGGATATAGACACTCAAGCAGAAAAATGCATTACAATTGTGCATTCTCAAGCATGATTTCATTTATGAAGTGATTGTATCCACACCATAAGTAAAGGTTGATTGAGGCAAGGTAAGATGTCCTTAGGAAGCCCAGCATAAGTCTCTGCCCAACTGACCCCGGCTGCAGTAGTCTCCTTTAGTGGCCTTCCCGGCTTCTGCAGCTGTGTCCATGCCAGCTGCCCATGCCAGATCTAGTCTCTCCTCTGCCTTCTGCCAGGGCCCTCACTCACAGTGAAAGCTGAGTCCTTGCCAGCGGGCAGCCAGATAAGCCCTGGCTTAGAACTTTCTACCTCATCTCTTTTGCTCCCTCTCCCTGGCTCCAGGCCCTCAGCACCTCCAACCTTGTCCAGCGGGCCAGGCTGTTCCCAGCTCCAGCCACTTCGCTGAGGGCTTGTGCCCCAGACACCTCAGGCCAAGCTGCTACTTCCTTCTCAAAGAGGACTTCCTTGTCCTCTTCCCTGCTTCTTTTTTGCCCAGCACACGCACCACCATTCACCATACTAAGTAATTTACGTATTTATTTGTTTACAGGCTGTCCCACCTACTCTGCCCAAAATGCACTCTACAAGGATAAGGGGTAGTTGTCCTTTTTTTCTCTGCTCTCTCTCCAAGGCTTGGTACATGGTGCAAATGCTTTTGTTGAATGAGTGAGTTAATTAATCTTGTAGATGGAGGAAGGAAGGGAAAAGGGAGGGGAGGGGAAGAAAAAGAAGAGAAGGGGAGGAAGGTGGGGGAAGGGAAGGGGAAGGTGAGGGGGGAGGGGAGGGGAGAGGAAGAAGGGGAGGAGAGGGGGTGGGGAGGGAGTGGGGGAGGTGGGGGGTGGGCAGAGGGAAGGGAGGGGAGGGGTAGGAGAGGGGAGGGGAAGGGGAGGGGAGGGGAAGGGGAGGGGAGAGGAGGCAAAAGGGAAGGGAGAGGGGAGAGGAAGGAAGGAGAGGGGAGGGGAAGGGGAAGGGAGGGGAAAGAAGGAAAGGGGGAGGGATAGGGGAAGGGAGAGGGGAGGAAAGGGGAGAGGGGAGGGAAAGGGAAGGAGGAAGGGAGGGAGAAGAGGAAAGGAGGGAGAAGGGAGGGGAAGGAGGAGGGAAGAAGGGGAGGGGAGGGACAGGGGAGGGAATGAAGAGTCAGCATTGGCCCTAGGCCCAGACACAGGGTTTCTGATGGGACCAGGCACTCATTGTCACCATAGGACACAGACAGGAAGTGGGGCTGGTGAAGCAAGGTCCTTCGGCTCTGGAGCAGGTGTTGGAGGGCAGGCGAGAGTTGGTGAATGCTGCCCAGGCCCACTGCCTGACAGAGAGGGGTTACCAGCTCCCTTGCAAGGCAGGCAGGGGTCTCTGCCCAGAGTTCAAAGAAGAGGCATGAATGGGACGGACAGGGCATAAGGTGTAGGAGACAAACTTTTCCTGAGAAGGTATGAATGGGAGGGACAGGGCATAAGGTGTAGGAGACAAACTTTTCCTGAGAAGTTGTCAGCCTGTTAAGAGAACGTAAGTGTCAGACCCAGGGCTCTGCTCATGTGTGGCCTCTGTGTCCAGCATAACACCCAGCCAGGAAGGACTCCATCAGGATGTGGAAGGGTGGCGTATGAGGGGAGACGCATGGCGAAGACATAACCCACAGCATCACCTGGCACCAACAGACCCGCTAGCCTCCCCCATCCGCTACCCATGTGGCCTGGCCTTTCCCTTGAGCAACTCTGGTCACACGGAGCCCTGGTCTGGCCCTCCCTCAGGAGCTTCAGCCCCAGGCCCCAGGCGAGGGTCCCTACTGACTGCACAGAGGGGCAGGACCTGCAGGCACAGTTACCTCCGGTGGGTGAGGAAACTCCCATTGGCGTGGCCAGAGCCGTCACAGCCCGGGGTGGGGCAGGTCGGTCCTTCATTCTTCAGGGACTTCCAGGAGAATGACGAGCCATTGAGGGACCCTTCCTTCTGCCTGCGGGCGGCCAGTGGGCAGCCGGATGCGCTCCTGTGAGAGGCGTATTTCCCGCTGATGTGACCGAGCCCCACACAGCCTGGAACTGGGCACCTGGGTACAGAGAGGCCGGGGTGAGTACAGGGGCGAAGGGTTGGGAGGAGAAGCCTGGAGACTCTCTCAAGCCAGACACAAGGGGAGCCCAACTCAGAGCCGTTAAAGGGCTTCTGAGTGAGGCAGGGAGGGCCGCTGAGGTCCTGGAGCCTCAGGGAAGAACTGGCCCTTCCGGGCTGAGTGTGAAGACCCGGGCCACGCTCCCTCTTCCGCTTTGGCCTCACAGCCCCTGCATGACTGGGGTCTCCACAGCCACCTTCTTTCCGTGCCCTCCAGCAGCCGTGACCCTGGGCCTGGGGGCTGCTCTCAGGTTCCCTCCAAGCCTTGCTGCTGGAGTCACTTGTGTGTCACTCAGCAATGTGGAGCCATGTTGTCAGCTGAGACCACCTAGAGGCCACTCCCTGGGAGCTTGCATCAAGCATAGGCCTGGGGGCCTATGGATCACAAAAGAATGACAAGGTCCCCTAAGCAGGGGAGCTCAGGGACAGCAGAGGCCTGTCACCCCACAGCCTCCCAGACTGAGGCCAGTGCAATCAGGGGGCAATGCCCATAGATGTTGCAGCTTTGCCACCACTGAGATCTATGTTCTAGAAGGAAGAACGCAGACCTCATGTGGGGGAGACTCGCTACCCATAATCACTCGTGCCTGAGGCTGGCCTTAAATGGTGTTTTCCTTTCCTTCGTTCTGGGTGTTCCAGGAGAGGGATAGAGGCCCTTATGAAAATAACATAAATTCAGATTGGCAAATGCCTTGGGCTCAGTGTGGGTCAGAGACAAACAGGACAGCGCAGAGGGCCCAGGCCCATGACCTCTCTGAGTGTCTGTCCCCACTGCCTCAGGGAAGGACCTGGACCAGGACTTGGGGAGCTGAGGGACCACGTCATCCAGGAACCCACGCCAAACCCAGGACAAGATCTTCAATCTGCAAGGCTCATTCTTATCTCTTCATAAATGAAACTCATCCAAATTACCGTTTGTCACACACTCCCTGTGTGCTGATTACCTGGCAACACAAGACCCCGAGAGGTCACCATGGCTCCATTTACGAGGAGATTCATGGGCATACAGGGAAGTCACTGTCAGCGCAGGAAGCGCTCGGGAGGACGGTAGCAGGGGGCGGGGGCGGGGGCAGAGGCTCCCGCCGTAGGGGTGAGAGGCGGCTCAGGGCTGCGCTGCCCAGTGGAAGGTCAACAAGGCCTGGACAGGGAGGGCAGCGTCCGGCTCCTTGCCCCCACACTCTGGCCTCGTCTCTGAAGCTGCCGTTTCAGACCCTTCCCAGCCAACTCGGCCAGGACCCTGCTTTCTCTCTCTCCACAGGCCCCTCTCTTGGTTCTTTTCCCTTTGTTACTCATCCCACCCACCTGGCCCTCAGAAACTTTTAGGACATTCCCTGAGCCAGTCCGAGGTCACCTCATCCCCGTCCAGAGCAGAGACACTGCCAGGGGCCCCTATGGGAGCTTTGGGAAGTTCACATTCAATGTCCAGCCCCCCTCTGATGGGGATGGCCCAGCCATGGGACCCTGGGGGACACCTGCACCAGGCACAGACTGGCTGGGAAGAGGCTCTGTGGCCAAATGGGGGGTGGCTGGCTCTTCAGCTACTCTACACAGTCGAATCTGAATTATTATTAGTAGTAGTAGTAGTATTTTTGAGATGGAGTCTCGCTCTTGTTGCCCAGGCCGGAGTGCAGTGGCACAATCTTGGCTCACTGCAACCTCCGCCTCCCGGCTTCAAGCGATTCTCCTGCCTCAGCCTCCCGAGTAGCTGGGATTACAGGCGCCCGCCACCACGCCCGGCTGATTTTTGTATTTTTAGTAGAGATGAGGTTTCACCATGTTGGCCGGGCTGGTCTCGAACTCCTGACCTCAGGTGATCCACCCGCCTCAGCCTCCTAAAGTGCTGGGATTACAGGCATGAGCCACAGTGCCCGGCCCAAATCTGAGTTATTTTCACTCCCTTTCTTGCAAAACACTACTCCCCTTCATCAAGGGAAACTGTTTTTGTTCCCTTGAATCGCATACATGGAGAGGATTTCAGATTTCAGGTATGTTCTCTTTCTCACAAAACCTGGTGTGGAGACTTTCAAGCTGTCAGGGACATCATGTTGAGAGGTGCTGGGGCGGTGGGGGCAGGCACTGAGCTGGTGAGGCCTCTGTGCTTCTTGGGTGAGCTAGTGTTTCCTATCACGTGTTGGGGGGCAGAAGCCGTGTGTGCCAGTGACATGAGAAACATGGCCAGGACCAGAAGTCCCCTCCAGGGACAGTGGGCAGGGCAAGGGGAGCATTCACCTCTTGACTCCCATGCTGGAACCTCCGCAAGACTTTTATGACCAGTTATAAAGCTGTGGCAAAGGGATTTACCACCAAGCGCCTGATGTGACTTAATTTTAAATAGCGCAGGCAGGAGATATCATAAAAAGGACTCCTGTTCCACCAGGCTCCCCAAATCACAGCTCATGCATGCTGACGAAATCCCATCCCTCAGCATGACCTGACACATCCATTCCAGTTTCTGCTTTGATATGCATCTGTTTAAATATGCTAGGCAATTACAAGTGCAGTTAAAGTTTATGGCTGGGAAGGAACCCTGTAAAACGGAGGGTTCAGTAGTCAGGTTCCCTCTGCCATGGAGCCTCTAGGACCTTCCTCTATCCTGCAAATGCTGAAGTGTTTCTGAAAGTCACAGTCTCCACTCGGCTGCAGAACTCTTGTTTTTTTTTAAAGCTCAGTTGACAGCACATTAGAAAGGAAAACCATTTTTCCTGGTTAATTTGAAAAATGCTGATCTTGATTTTAATCATTTGCAAATGCAGCACGATTCACTTATAATATCCCTGCCAGCAGGATCCTTGCCAAATCCATAAAGGTGTTGCACTTATATGATCATAGGCAAATTCCTGGATTCTCAGGGGCAAAATGCTTTTTATCCACCTCAGCATTTAGTGTGCGACCTTCATAGTACTAACAACCAAAATTTTGCATTGTTAATTTAGCATTCATTACAGTTTTATTGTAAAAATTAAATAAATAAACAAGCCACAGCCTATTACACCAAACAGCTGGTGGGCCCATCCCCGTCTGAAGGATGTGATGTTGGTCAATTAGGCTCCTCCAGTGTGGCCGGGTGTTTGGGCACAGCTGGAGCAAACTACCAGGAGGAGCAACCCAATCTCAGGCCAAGTTGCCCCTCCCCGGGCGTGAGGTCTGGCTGCTCTTGGCCCAGCAGGTAACACAACGAGGGCAACCTGCTTCCTGCGGGCATAGTAGGGCCCCGTCCCGACCGAGCCGGCCCCTAACCCTGGGCAACAAGGTGTCCAGAGCCATCATTTCCACTCTGCTCACCTGCTGGGGAACCCACTGCCCATTTTGCCAGATGTCAGCTCTGAAAGTACCTCGGTCCTGGGCAAAATGGCCAGTGGGTCACCTGGTCTGAGTCTGTAGCAAAGCATTCCCCCCACCTAAAAGTGGGCAGTGCAGGGGACCCGTTCCCTATTGGGAGAATAAGCTTGTAAGGACACAAACCCCCACCAAGTAGGATAACACACAGAGTCAGGGTTCACCTATAAGCCCCACAAAGACACACGAGCCCCCACCCTGCCCCAGTGAGAAGAGCAATAGAGGAGAATCTTTTCTCCTCAAGGACTTGGGTCACTTAAGGCCCAAGATGTCCTCTTTCCTTCACCCAACAGTGTCTGGCTCCCAGTTTAGATCCTCCTGGCTCTCTCAATCTACCAGCTCTCTGCACAGGTGTGTGGGTGGATGGACACATGGGATTTGGAGCTTCAACATTGTTCTAACCACCTTCTCCTCCTTGACTCCTGCATCTCACCTTTCCTGCCAGACAAATTCTGCAGGTTGCAAGGCCCTGGGGCCCACTCCCAGGTGGCCCTAAGACATAGGTAGAAGGGTGCTCTGCCTCTCCCAGCCCCGTCAAATACTCCAGACCTGAAAAGCCCAGAAAATCTGGCACCCATGCCCTCCACGCGACATCCAGGGCTCCTATCTTCACAGGTATCAACGTGTAGCGTATGAGAGCTTCCATAAAAATGAAAGAAACGAAAGTTGGCGTTGGTCAGTTAGGTGACCCGTTGTATTAATGAAAAGGGAATCTAGTAGGAGTTTTTTTACATTATAAAACACACGAAAATCTCAATTCCGCAATGCAATGAAAGAGCCAGCATGGCCCAACGTACTTCATCAGCTCGGGGTCCTCCTTGTCGTCCTTGGTGGGTGCCACCTTGACTCCACTTTTCTTTGCACGAGGGCAGCCGGACAAGCTGATTTCGAAAGAGGAAAAAAGGCCACCTTAGTGCTGGAACCGCAGCTTCTCACACCCGTTCATCTCACCCTCTCCCCTCAAGCTCTGTGACCCCAGGGTGGGGTGGGAGGGAGTGAGGGCAACCGATGGGTCAGTTGTAAGAAGCAGAATCCACAGACACAGCCTTCACACGAGGCAGCAGGGTCGGGAAGGAGAAGCATTACCACGAGCCCCTAGCCCTGACCCCTTGTCTTTTTATCTTACTGCAGAGGACAACTTAATCAGGTTCTGGAAATGGCAACAATTCAGATTAAAGAGATGGGAATGGACTCTAGCTGTCAGCAACATTAGTGTCTTCTAATCTTCATATAAGGAAGAGACTCCCTGCCCACCCCTGGGGCCCAGGACCTGAGGGTGTGGCAGGCTCACCTCCGGTGTGAAGCGTAGTTCCCTGTGATGTGGCCAGAGCCGTCACAGCCGGGCGTGGGGCACCTGCAGAGGGAAGCAGAACTGGAACGGGAGCCCGTGAAGGCGTTTAGCCCCGGCCCAGAGCCCTGGGACCCCCAGAGGAAAGCCTTCTGGGCTCAGCCCTTGAGTGCGCCCACCCACATTCCCTTGTCCGCAGAGGAGCATCGCCGATGTTCACCCCGGCTGCCGACTGCCAGCAACAGGGGTCTGATGCGATCATCTCAGGGGTTCAGTGCTTTGCTCCCCCGTCTCCCCGAGGGAGACCAGGAAGTCTGAGAGGAGAGCAGCCAACTGCTGCTCCAGCATCGGTTTACACCCAGACACCAAACCTGGGCACTGGGACAGGCCTACAGGGTCCACTGCAGCCAAGGACACGAAGGGCTCCCAGCTTGGACTTCTGTAGGGTCCGGTCTGGACTAAAGGCATTCAGAGCATATCTGAGCCATAACTTGAAGCACAGCCTAAGACCAGTTCATCTTCTTGGATGGGCTGGGAGCTTGCCCTCACAAAGCGTGGCCACCATGGGCTGGTAAATGAACAGAGGCCTTTTTGCACACCTGCTGCAGAGCAGATGGCGCTGGCCATGCCAGGCCTGGCTGTTGTATAGCATGACTGCAGAGTTCACACAGCCAGTGGCTTACAGCAGAGAGTAAGGAGGAGAAACACAAAAGTCCAACTTTACACACCCAAAACTATTTGACGAATGTATCACATAAGGTGGTACAAAATTCCACTTTAATATTACAAGCACGGATGTTATTTTCTTCCGAATGTCCACTGAGGAAAAAATATGTGAGTTCCTGCTGATGTTAGAGAGTGGGAGGAGGTGACCTGATTCTGCGGGTAGATCCATCCCCCGTCAGGCCTGCTCTCTGTGCCTCACCCCTCCTGACCCCTGACCCTGCAGGAGCCAGGCAAGAGTTCAGTGCTTGTGTCCAGATCACCTGCTGCTCAAAGGCACTTTGCAGTGGTGCTCAGACCCCAGGGAGGACGTCTCACTTTCCATGCTGCTGGCCCTTCCTCACCGGAGTCTTCCACCAGCACATGTGACATCCGGCCACTGGGACAGGACATCTCCTCGCTTGGAGGAAGATGAAGCCGGGCACAGCCTGGCACCCAAAGGGCTGTGGCGGCACAGCAGGGCTGGCCCCACCTCTTGCAACCTTCTCTTCGGCCCCTAGGAGTTTTTTTGGGGTGCCCTCCTGGGGAGCCTCACATTCCTTCATCCTTGCCCTGTGGGCCACACATTGGATACCTTGCTGGCCAGCCAAGAGAACTGAAGATGGCCTGCCTCTCCTTCCTGGGTTGGCAGCTGTTCAAGTGGCCACTTGGGGCTCCAGCTCCTTGTCTCAGTGGCAGCAAAGCATCAGGTAGAGCTCAGGTTCAGTGCGGTGGGCAAGTGGCCACTCAGGTGGCCAGAGTGACAGACCCACAGCAGCTCTAGGCCTCAACGGGGATAAGCACAGCATTGGACTGTGAGTGGCATCAACAGCAGAGGAGATACTTCCCGATGGCATCTGTGAGTGAGTCTCAGGTGGGGGTATAACTCCCAAGGGGCCGGCAGTACCTAACACACAGGGGGGGCCATCCTGCAGTCCTCACTAAGGCCCGATTCAATGGCTTTTCTCAAGAGTTGTGTCCCAGAGAGGAAAGTACTCACATAGTCAGAGGAGCAGGTGTCCCCTCTGCATGCCCCTCATGGCTCTGTGGACCCCCAGGGTCAGCTGCAGGAATCTGGAGCCACATCCACCCCTCCCACCACCTGCTTCTGAGTGCCCCATCTGGGCAGAAGGGAACACCGTGTCTGAGGGGCACCCTCTACCTTGGCAATACACACCAGGTCTCACCTCTCTAAGCCCCATCCCCGTGCTGTGGACAGGCATTCTTCACCCTGCACAAAGCCTGTCATGCCCTGGCAGGTGTGTGTGGTTGCAGCTCAACTCCCAACACAAGATGAGCTGAGTGGCCCGAGGCGGCCATGTCCTCACAGCCCTTGACCACATCAGACACATGGGAGGGAAGAGTGAACGCCCTTGGGATTCACTTAAAACACAGAACACACATCATCTGACTGTCGCTGCAGCCAGGTGCGGACAGGGAAGTCATGAAAGGAACCTCGTTTGTCCCAAGGCCACCGTCACCCATGGCTGCCACGAGGCTGATCAGGAGGGGCCAGTGCCCGATGCCGCCTCACACAGGAGGTGGCAGAGAGCAAGGAGGTTGGTACACCAGGACACGTGGCGGGGGGAGACCACCATCGTCCCAAGCTCATGCAGTGGTCGGAGGGAGGAAAGGAAGTGGCCTCCCATGGAAAGGCCCCTGGGGGAGAGTGGAGTTTCTGAAGGAGCCTGGAGGCCGTGGCTGCCTGCCCAAACCCTGCTGATGCTGATGAGCGGTTCACTTTCACACAGGGGAGGCTTTTGGTCGTTATTTCTAAAGAAGTTTGGCGTTAAGGTTCTTCACAGGCTCTTAGTCTTAAAAAAGCACTAACTCTCCCAGACGGCCATGTCTCCAGGCCCGAACTGTGCCAAGCTCCTTTCATCCGCCCAAGCATCCACTTCACAGGACAGAAAGGACATGGTGACATTTGGGGCCACTGAGTGCCTGCAGCCACATTTCTCCTCTTAAATTATTCAGGCCCAAATGGGAAAAACCATGGAGACTAATCACGGAAAAGAAAGCAGAATTGGAAAAGGAAAAAGGAATGCAAGAAAGATGGCAAGAGAAGAAGGAAAGAGGGAGAGAGGACAGTCCCAGAAGCTGCAGGACTGAGTGTTTCCTGGGTTTCTAGGACTAGACAAAGTGGGCGGCAGAATGAATGAATAAGTCAATGTGTGCAGCTGCTGTGGTGATCTCAGCCTCAGAAAATGCTTATGTTGAAGCTATTAACTTCCAGGAAGGAAACTTAGATGCTGCACCCCACTCTGTGGGAACTGAAGGGCCTCATGACACACTCCTCCTGGCTGCTGGGGCCAGACCAGCCTCCAGAGGGGAACAGAGACAAGGCTGCTGGTGGGGGCTCTGGGAGACCTAGAGCTTTCTGTCCAGGTCTGAGCCAGCCAAGGTCCCTAGAAGCCTTCAGCAAGTTCATTTCCTCATCTTAGAGGCACCAGTGCCCAGGATCCTGTCTGGCCCCAGAATGGAATAAGCCAGGGTGTGTTGACCTGGATTCAGGGCCCCCAACACAGAGGCCTATGGGAGGGAGGGACACCCCTGGAGAGAGGTGACCTGAGGAGACAAGAATGGGACCCCCTTCCTCCAAGGCCTCAGCTCGGCCCCGGTGCCCAGGAGGAGCTCCCCATGGCTCAGGGTCACACAGGCTGAGGAGTCACAGCACAACTGGAGGCATGAAAACCAAAGGCAGTAACAGTCCCTGACTCCAGCCCCAGGAGGACACTGACCCCTGGAAACCTCTGGGTGCTTGCGCCTGGTTGTGCAGGACTGTCCAGCAAGCTATAGCTGGTGCCTGCAGGGCCTGCCCTGCCCATGTGTTAGGTAGGGGCAGGGAGGTACAGAAGCAGAAACGGGTGAGCCCAGCAAAGAGAAGGCATGAGCATGGGGGGAGGGCATCAGGGCCAAGGCAGAAGCAGCTGGAGCGTGACAGGAGAGGGGAGGGGAAGGAGCTTTCTCTTCATTATCAGCGTTCAGTTCATTTAGCAAGAGCCGCACAGCCTGTGGCCTGCCGAGCCACGGCAGGGCTTACGTTCCCTGGTCGGTTCTGGGCTTTTCCCAAATCTCTAGGGCAGTAAGAAAGCAGGCCCAGACAGCCCTGTCGGGGATCTTCAGGAGAGGCTGGAGGGTGGGGGATGGGTCAAGAGCAGCGCAGGAGCCTGCAGCGACCCCTAGCCCCCAGCGGAGAGGCAAACAGCAGAGCTCAGAGCAGGTGCACACAGGCAGAGCAGCCCCAGCCAAGCAGAATCGGCCCCTCCACGGCCCTGCCCCTCTGCCCATCTCAGGAGAGCTGGGGCCAGCTGAGGCTTGGCACCTTGGAGAAGGCTGATTTTGGCAGGAGCCTCATGGAAGGAGAGCAAAGCGAGGGTGCCGCCCAAGAGACAGGAGGTCAGGGAGCGCAAACATACTTGAGGTCAGCAGAGTGGGCAGCCATGAGGTTTCTGAGGCTCTTGTCAGCAAGAGGGCAACCAGAGAGGCTGAAAGAGAAGAGATGGGATATTGGGGTAAGCCAAAGAGGGAGAGCAGAGGAGGAGGAGAGGAGGAAGACCCACCACGAAGCACCCAGGCCAGACGGACCCGAGCAGGAGACAAACCTGCGGTGGGAGGCGTAGTTCCCGGTGATGTGGCCGCTGCCGTCACAGCCAGGGGTGGGACAGCTGGACAAAGGAAAAAGAGTGTCAGACCGGAGAGTGGTGTGTACCTGCCCCCCAGGCTGAGCCTGCTCTGCGAGGGAGACTGGTGCCCACTCCTGGCTCACCCGCGAGCCAAGCGGTGGCCCCTCCTCCACTCAGTCCTTGGAGGACAGCCGGTGCCTCTCAGGCTGGAAGTTTCTCCCACACAACTTAACTCAAGAAGAAAAAGTAACCAAATTAAAGTTGAGCTTAAAGTTAGGATGCCTCTGACGCACATGTGCTGTGTGTGCACGTGTATGTGCCCACGAATATTTAGGCAGAGGAGCTCCTTCCCTTCTCCAGGCCCTGAAGCAAGGCCTTCCCTGGATCCAGCCACTCCCAGGAGGGCAAGCTACAAGTGTGAGGGTACAAGAGGGGTTCAGGTTGGGGAGAAGAGGGACCCCAGAAATGTACTCTGAGCACATGTGAGAGCTGGATCACCTGTGGAGCAGGTGCCAGGCACAGCCTCTCACAGTCCCCTAGGACAGGTGGCTGGCAATGAAGGCTGACCAGAAGGTCATTGACATCTGATTCATATCCATCAGCAACTCTGTCTGTTCCAACCCCATGCGGACCAGCTCAGACACGCAGCCTCTGGGCCAGCCAGGCTGACAGAGTTGAGGGTGGTGAGCCCTAAGGCAGTACATTCCAGGCCTTGGCCATGGAGCCCAGGGCAGAACGTGCCCAGCTGCGGCCTCAGGGAGAGGGCCAGGCCTCTGGGTGCCCCGAGGGCTTCCTGCAGAGCTCTCTGAGGAGCTCTCCTCCACTCTGCCCCTGCCCTGCTCTGTCCTGCTTGGTGAGCTTGGCCAGGGGATTTCTTTGTTCTTAATCACTTTTAGAAGATTGCAGTAAAGCCCAGCACAACACAAAGGTGTTGGGAAACCTCTGAATACCCTGGCTCCTGTCACAGGCTGCCTGGCTCGAGGTGGTCAGGACAGGTCGGGGAAAGCCTGAGCAGACCCGGTCGTCATGGGTTGGGACCAGGGCCTGTTCCTCCCCAGGCCACAGAGGGTCCCCTAGGAGCTGTGCCAGCCAAACAGGGACTTACGTGAGCAGCTCCTTCTTTATGTCCTTGGAGAGAAACTTCAGCTTAAAGTTGGTCAGGGTGACTTCCCCCGGATACTTCCGCTCCTCAAAATTCTCTTCCGACACTTCCTGGTCATCTGCTTCAGAAGAAGCAAAAGAATGGGCTGCTGGCTCTGACTGCAAAAAACCAGCAGGAAGATGTTTTAACCGGCTGGCGGGGAGGCCTGGGCGCCCAACCCAGTGGGCGAGGGAGAGGGACCCTTCAGGACAGTGTCCACAGAAGCATCTCCCGGAGTCTCCTATCTTCTGGATAAGGGAGGAAGACTTAACTCCCCCCAGCAAAACACAGAAGACAACACCCCTGAGGGGCTGGATCCCTCCCCTGCTTCAGCCAGAGGTCCTGCGTTGCCCTAGAAATGAGGCCTGGTGCTGCCCAGTGTGGCAGGCTCCTGACACCCTCCCTGGCCTCCCTCCGCCACATCACTCCGCAGCGTAAACATCAGGATACAGTTCCCTTCAGAGCCAGGGATGGCACTCAATAGACAGTAGGCACTAAATAAGTGTTACCGAAATGCCATGAAGATGAGATGGCACAACGAGGGTAATAACATACAAATTACAACAATCGCAGTAACCTCGAAACCACCTGGCCCGACACGCCCACCAGTGCGATGCCTTGACCACAGCAGGTGCTTGATAAAGGCTTCGAACTGAATGCTGGGTATGGAGGCTCAGAGCTGTGGACACAGATAAGCAGGGCGTAGTCCCTCCCACGGAGGGGCCAGGGGTCCAGGAAGGGTCAGAAGGCCAACATTCTGCAGGATGCTGTAACCAGAGCTCAAAATCCTGTCCTGACAGGCACTCGCATGTGTCCCAGGCAAGTGGCTCAGGCTCTTGGGGCCCAGGTGCCACTCTGTCCAACTTGAGATAACAGCAGCCCCTCAAAGGTTTTTGGGGGTCAAATGAGGAAATGCCCGTGAAGCCCACAGCCCAGCATAATAACAGTCTTCGGATAATTGGACCTCGTTGTGGGTTCCCAGGCTGCTCGTCTATGAAATGGGGTGACCTGAGGGTGGTGTGAGGGCCGGTAAGGAAGTCTGCCTCCCACTGAGGCCGGATTGTGGAGGGGGCCTGATCCAGCCCCCACCCTTCATAGGGGCCTGATCCAGCCCCCACCCTTCATAGGGGCCTGATCCAGCCCCCACCCTTCATAGGGGCCTGATCCAGCCCCTACCCTTCATAGGGGCCTGATCCAGCCCCCACCCTTCATAGGGGCCTAGCCCCACCCCCCTCATTCCTCCTTGAGGGTCTGGCCCTGCTCCTTCCACAGGGACCCCTTCCACCTCCTGAGGGGCTTTGGGGGAGGGGAAGGAGAGGGAGAGGGGCCTGCTAGTCTCACACACGCGGCTGCTGCCGCCTGGACCCTGGGCTGCCCTCACAGCTGGACTTTGCTCTTCAGGACACACACCTCCTTGGGAAAAAGCCCAGAACCGGCTGTGGCCTCGGAGGATTCTTCTTTCACATGTTTTAAGGAACTAAAAAGGGAAGGATCCCCTGCTTCCCAGACCACAGTTCCAGCACCCATGCCAGGTTGGTCCTGGTCTCGGGGACGTAGAACTGCCCACCATGGGCGATCCTAAGCCCAGGTCCTAAGCTCTCTCACTGGCTCTGCCCCTACCCGGACAGCAGGTTAGCTCTGCAGGGTGGTGGGAGGCTCAAAACCCAAGAAACCTGAGCTTTTCCCCAATCAACTCCTGGGATCTGAACGATGCCTTTCTCCTCCCCATGCCTCCACAGTGCCCACGTTGGTGCTGGCCACCATGCTCCACAGGGGTGAGAAGACCACCTCCTTCTTGACAGACAAGGGCACAGCATGACCCTGCTGCTGAAAATCCCACCCAGAGGGTGAGCCCCTGAGTCCCAGCTGCTCAGAAGATGAAGGACCCTTCACGAAAAGGGATGGCTCCCCGAGGCTCTTCCAGAAGCCTGTGAGGAGAAGCTTCCTTGAAAAGCCAATATCACAACAGCCTCAGGCAGGGCAAGCTGGCTGCAGCCGCCTGACTGCTTGCCCAGGCGCCTGCACCCACCTCCTCAGGTTCCTCCTCTCTCAGGCGGCTAGGCTTGGTGTAGTCCAGGGGCCGGTCCCACTCGTCCTGGCGGGAGGCCTGGCTGGACTGGGGAGAGGTCATGGAGCTGCTGGGGGCGCTGGTGCTGCTGTGGCGCTGGGAGGCGTCGGGAGACTTCACACCGGGGCTGCTGCTGCAGCTGCTGCTGCTGGGGAAAGCATTTTCTCGTTTGCGGTGTTTGTGCATGCTCAAGTCCAGGGTTCCATTTTCGTCTACCTCGATATCCACAGACTGCAATGGCAAAGGTGAGATCTGTTAGCGATTCCATCCCTTCCCATGTGTGCCTTCTGGTCCATTTGAATCAAACGTACAGAGTCCAGAACACTGGTTCCCATAGAAGGAAGCAGGACAACGGGGACAGACAGGCAGCGAGAGGGAAAAAATCCAGCTGCCATTTCCTGATTTCCCATGAAGGGGGCCCTACAATTCCTCTTGCCTCCCAACAGCACAAAAACCAGTCCCTCAGGACATGTCATAAACACGGGTAAGACTAGGTCCTCTGAGCAAGGAGAGTGTGTCAGCAACCACAAGACTGCGGGAAACACGTGTGAACAGGGCACGTGCACCGCCCTGGAGTCAGAAGGAAACACATGGGCATGTGTGTGCACCACCCTCAGGCTCAGAGGGAGACACGCGGGCGCATGGTGTGCACACAACCTAACACGTGGGAACTTGTGTTCGCAGCCCTTGGTCCCCCTTCACTCAGCACACCAGGTTCTCCTGGTGGACCCATCCAAGCTCTGCGGTCCTTGGGGCCATGGCCAGGAGGGAGAAAAAGTTAAGAATGAGAATTGCCAGCTAGGCACAAGCCATTCCTAGGGACATTTTGTGCAGAGAGCAGGTGGGCCTGACTGCAAATTCCACCAACTCACCTCTCCCAAGAAAGGCTCTGTGGCAGATGTACTAACCTTGCTGGGGAGGTCCTGTGGCTTCGTGCTGAGGTTCTCAGGCATCTCCCAGCAGCGCGTGGAGAGGTTCAGGATGGCAGTGGCAGCCATGTGTGCAGCCTCGGCGTCCTGCGAGTAGTCAAAGCCTGCAGAAGAGGATGAAGTGCTCCTCACATAACTACTGGAGGGGCTGTGCCTGGGGGAAGAGGCCTTTGGGAAAGGTTTGGCTGCAAAAAGGGAACAACACCAGGCTGATATACAACTTGAAAAGAGGCAGCAATGCAGACAAGTCAGTGGGGAGGGGGCACTTTGGGAGGGATGGGAGGGCCCAGGGCACAGCTATATCGAAGTGGGCCAGGGGCTTGGCCACCCGTCCCAGTCCCAAGTCCTCACACACCTCACTCCCACCCACCCTCCTCTAGGGGACTGAGGAGACAATCTTGTTTCTGGCTCAGTGAAAATTTGGGCAAAAGGAGTAAAAGCCTCCAAGACATTCCAGCAGCCCTGATATTTCAAACAAAAATAACTTGTCTATCAGAAACTGAAGCATTCTGTGAATAGGATGAGTGTTTGCCATATCGCCCAAATAGGAAAATTTTGTCCCATGATCTCAAAAGGGTGTACCCATATTTAGGCTGACTTGGTGTCCCCGGTAACCATCACTGCCTTAAAAAAGTAACATTATTGCTCAAATGAACATGACAAATGAAGGCACAGAATGTTATCTTTTCTAGCAATTGTACTGTAGCTGCAAAATCACTCTCATGCACGATGTTCTCAGCAATCACGATGTCACCAGTATATCCAGAAAGGTCTAGATATATTGGAAAGCTTATCGTGAGGTCCCCCTCTCCACTGGCACCATTGCATTCCCTCATCCAAGTAGGCATGTGTGCCTGGAGGCAGGAAGTCCTCCATCCTAAAGAGCAGGTTCTGTCAAAGTTAGGAAGAGAGGCTCACACCCCACTGGCAGCCGCATCAATCAGTACTTTTATTATTCTCATGTAGGAAACTCGTCACGTCATGTTTGGGGCTGACAACATCTGCCCCGCGATGCCACTCCCAATCTCATGTGTACACTGAATGCTTTTCCATTTCGCATGCACTTCCAGGGCTAATGGGCTTATTCCACAAATTAGGGCAGTAAGTGACAAGACAAGACAGAAAGGATTGTTCTTAAAGATTTGTAGGAATGATTTTTGTCAGTACAATTACCCAGAAAATTTGTTACTAATGTCACAGATAACACATTGTATCCAGTAAGATGGTCCCCACCAGGAGAGCAATGGCTTCCTGCCAGGGCACTGGGCCCAGCCCCGCAGTCATCTGGCCCCACCCAGCCCACAGTCTGACCCTCCCCAGAGGCAGGGCTGGGAAATGGACAGCCGGCTGCACTGGGATTAAACAGGTAGCAGGAGGACAGTGGGGAGAGTGGCGTCTCCCAGTGTGAACCATGCTGGTGGGGTTGCTCTGAAGTCTTTGGACACACACGCCCGTAACGGATCTGGGTTTTGTTTCACAAATAACTAGGAGACACATAAATGTTAATGGTGAACATGAAGGTGGCAGCAGGAGTGAGATGCAGGCCCCAAGAAAGCCACCACAGTGCCCACTGGGACAGCTGAGACCTCCAGCCTGCATCGTGGTCCTCCCATGAGGGTAGAGTTTCCCTCCCTAGTAGCTCCTCGAGAGGGTCCCTCCTCCACTGCCCCTTGAATCCTGCCCCTCCCAGGAGCAACACAGAAGAGAAACAAGAACAATTCTCCCCAACTTACATTGAAAGGCTTTAGGTGAGGTTTCGCTGGTCTGAATCTTTGGGGCAAGCATGCGTTTGCCAAAAACCTGAGCATCGAAACTTGCGTAGTCAAAGGTGACCTTGGAGAACTTCTCCAGCTCCTTGGCCAAGTTGGCCCTGGGTGTGGCGGGGGCCACGTTGGGCCGGTAGCTCCCATATGGAGGGACCTCGAGCTGCTTCACGAAGCACATGGGCCTGGGGTGCAGTACAGGGATGCACAGCCAGTGAGATGGGACCTGGGGATCCCGTGCCACCCTCCCCAACCCCAATCTGCAGCCCAGGCAGGGGCCTCACAGCGTCTGGTGAGGAAGGAGACTCAGGAAGACACTACCCCTGCATATTCCACCACTAAAGCTGGGCAGAGTTCCACCTCCCAGGGTCAAGGGCTCCCAGAGCAGGCCGGTGAAGAATGGCCTGCAGGGAGGAAGCAATAGGACCCTCAAATAATCAATGGCCTGTCCTGCTGACAGCATCAGATAGAGGAGGGCCTAAGATTTTCCCCAGAACTTAGGAGAGCAGGTTTCAAACAGCTCAGCTGCAACTGGAGTGAGTATCAGGCAGGGCCAAAGAGTAGCATAGCCCAGGACAATAGCAAGACACTCCAAGGCAGCATAACCTAGAACTCCCCAGCAAGGAGGAAGCTGAGGAATCTACAGGAGACGCTAGTTGTATCAGGTGCATTTCTGAGGAGTGGCCTCAGGGCCAGGCCTGACCCTTCTTCATTCAGCCAGGGACTCAGCCCTCAGCTGCCCTCTTCTTAAAGCTGTGTTGAGGTGGACCCTCAAGGAACTGTTGGAAGGGTCAGCAACAGCCACGAAAAAGCTACTGCAAGCATTCAGTTCACTGCCACTAATGCTCTTGGAATACTTCAGGATTTTACATGCACAAAAGATGGCACGAAGAAACTGGCATAGAAGGCACAGGGGCAGGAAGACTGGTGGTAGATGCTGGTGACCACACAGGCACAGAGGAGCTTCTGAACCTGGCAGCTCAGAGAAGAGGAGATCCTGGCAAGCAGCCATGGCTTTCTTTGTTCCTGTCTGGACCAAGCAATGACTTCAGTCTGGAAAGTGTACAATCAGTGGAATTAAGAAGGAGCTGACAATGACAGCCTCCAAGGTGCTGGGTGCTACGAGAACTTAAGTGTGGACTAAGAACAGAGCCCAGCACAGAGGACCACCAGGCCAGCCCTGCAACCACGGCCAGCTCTGATGGGCCTGGAAGAACTGAACACTACCAGGACGTGGGTGTTTTCTCCTTCTCCAGGAAGGGTGGGAGCCCCAGGATGGATCCTGACCCCAGTGGCAGATAGAAAAGTTGCAAGAGTGAGGCCAGGAGGGAAAAAACTAACTTTAAACTTAACATTGGGTCAGGTATGGTGGCTTATGTCTATAATCCAAGCACTTTTGGAGGCCAAGGCAGGTCTGTTGAAGCCAGGAGTAAGAAACCGGCTTGGGCAACCTAGTGAGACCCTCTCTACAAAAAAAAGAAAAAAAAAAAAACGCAAAAAAAATAGGCAGGTATGATGGCACATCTGTATTCCTAGGTACTCGGGAGGCTGAGGTGGGAGGATCACTTGAGACCAGGAGTTTGAGGTTATAGTGAGTTATGATTGAAACCACTGCACTCCAGCCTGAGCAACAGAGTGACACTCTGTCACTAAAAATAATAATAATAATAATAAGCTTAACATTGGTACCACCGTTGATGGCTTCCTTGACCAAGGCTTCAGTCAGAATCTGTACACTTATTGTCCACAATGCCAACGAAGCTTTGCAAAGCCCGTCCTCACACCCCAAAGTTCGATAGCCAGAAATGTGGGCTGGATAGAATCAAAAGGGCCTAACGGGAGGCCTCCTCCACCCTAGCCACAATCTCTCTAGCGTTCAGTGAGTATTCACCATGGGCTGAGGGCGGCAGAGTGTCACTTGAGCCTCATGAGCGACTTAGTTTGTTGTCCTACTTTTATAAGTGAACAAACTGAGGTCATAGTCCCAGGGAGTGCAGTCTCCAAAGTTGGAGCCTGTTTGACACCCCTGCCTGGCCTCACACGGGGGCCAAATCTGCGGTTTGACATTTTATCGGTGATTTAGATCAAAGAGGGAAAGGATTGAATTAGCAACTGACAGGAAGCTGGAGGGAACAGCAAATAAGATAGAGGAAAAAAGCAGCTTCAAACCATTGTGAGAGCCAGCTGGTGGAAAGCAGCCTGCTGGGACCTGCAGGGCTGAAGGTGCCTGTGTGTGGGATGGCAAGCATGCCCACAGAGCAGGAAGGCAAGTCTCTGTGCTCTGCCCAGAGATCCCACGTGTGGGAATTGCACCTTCAGAGGAACACTCTGGAGCAGACCAGGGAAGGGCCTGGGCATGACACAGCCAAGGTGAGCAGCGAAGATCATCTGGCTGGAACTTTGCCAATTATGTGCCAGGAAGGGCCGGGGTCAGGTGGGCCCCGAAAGGAGGCGGACAGTGGAAGGGGCTATGCAGTCATTCACGCTCACCCCAGCCGGGGTCTCCTACACTCTTGTCTGGTGAGACAGATATGGAACAGGGGTCTGAGAGCTGGGGAGGAGGAGCTGTGTGTGAGTTCTAGTTCCTCACGGGAGTGGGGAGCAGGGTGTCTGCAGGTGAAGACAGGAGCAGTGGAAGTGTCCTCTTCGACAGTGGGTACCGTGGTCCAAGGACTCAGCTCCATAGAGGAGAGACTTTGAAGCCAGGCAGGATGGGCAGGGTGGCCTTGGGCAACTCTCTGAGCCTCTGGCCTTATTTGTGGCACTTACTTCTTAGAGCCACATGGAAGGAGGGGACACTAATGGGACACATTCTGAAAGATCCTTATTGATTAGAGCCAAATTTACACATGCACACACACATGGACTTGCACGCACATGTAAACATACTCGCACATATGCGAACACAAACAGGCGTGTGAACATGCACACACACGCTCCCACGTGTTCACATACACATGGACTTGCACGCACATGTAAACATACCCGCACATATGCAAACACAAACAGGCGTGTGAACATGCACACACACGCTCCCACATGTTCACACACACCTACTGTGATCTCAGAACCTCAGGGGCCACAAAGCACTCTGGGGAGCAAAGCCTGCACCCACCCTCTTCCTTGACTTGGGGTCTATCCCTGGGGTCGGGGAGGGACAGGCAGGACGGCCAAGGATTAGTGGCTCATGGTGCTTCCTGGACGTCCGTGGTCCTTGGCTGGTGCAGTCTGCTCTTTCCAGACAGGACCAGCATCTCCACAAATGAATCCCCAAGGGGCCTCAAGTGGTCACATCAGACGACTCCAAGGAGGCAGAGCCCCATGTCGGAGGCAGAGGCAACTGTGCAGGAGTTTGCGCTTTGGCTGAGGCACTGGCGAATGTGGTAGACATGAGACTCTGTCCTGTGTGGCTCCAAAACTGCCCCGCAGTTCTGCTCCTGGGGGGCCCGGGGCATGTGCACACTCACATGCACGTACACTCACATGCACGTACACTCACACACATGCACTCACACACATGCACATACAGCCTGCGGGAGACTGAGAAGCCCTCTGCAGGCATTTGGGAGGCAGCCTCTTCAGTTCTGTGGCTCATCTCACTCACCTGAGGATCCGATCGGAATTGGAGCTACTCTTGGAAGGATCTCCTGTCTGCGGCTGCTGCTTCTCATGGGATTTGGCTAATTTTTCGGCGGCAGCAATGGGACACCCAGACAAACTAGAGGAAGGAAGAGGAGGGGTTTCTGAGCCTTCCCCTCCATGCCTGTCCTGTCCTGGGTGTCTGTGTGTGTGGGTGTCTCACGGCAAGGTCATTCAGATGTGAGAACTCCAGGTGAACTCCAGAGAAGCCCAGAGCCGGGAATAACCCTGTCATTCTGCAGGACAGGGGTTTTCTCTCTGGCTCTGTTCTTGAGCCCTCACAGTACAAGCTGCCCAGTCAGTTTCTGTTTTGGAACATTCTATGCCAAGGACACACAAAGATGAAATATATCCTAAAGGCCTTGAAAGCTCTGGGCAAAGATGCCTCCTCTGCATGGGTCTGGGAGACAGGCTTGCCCTCACCCCCTTCCTCTCCCTTCCCAGCTTGCAGGGCTGGATTCTGCAGCCCTCTCTGGCGCTTGTTCTGTTAGCTGCTCTGGGGCAGCCCAGGGCCCCACTTGGACCACAGCCTGGGCACTGACCCTGGATGACACAGGCCCAGGAAAGTACTCAGTCTAAGACACGGAGGCAGCAGCTTCATCTGTCAGAATAAAGTTAACTGTGAGCTCCAGCGCCAGTCCCTCAGCCAGCCCAGGGAGGTGACGTAATGGGGAACTGGCCTCTTTTCAAATGAAGTGACCTCAAAAGCTCTGGCAGTCCTTTCAGCTGAGCATAAGCCTGCTGGGGGAAAGCATATCCCACCGAGGCCACGGCCACCCATGGCACTTAGGGTAAGGCTGGAGGAGTAGTCCCCCCTCACCATAGAAGACCAGTCAACAACTACACCTCGAGGGTGGTCGGGAAGCTTCACTTCCACCTGGGCCTCAGAACTCCCACAAAGCAGCCCAGAGCACAGTCCTGGCCTGCCGAGGTTACTGTTCATGTCTGCCCTTCCCACTCAGGAGCAAGAGCCAGTGTGCAGAGGTTTTCTGAATGTGGGTAGGACACAAAGTATTCACCTGGCTCTCACATGGTTGTTGTACCTCTCTTCACAGAGGGTGCATTGCTCCCTCCTCTGCAGGCCGCCCCCTGCTCTCTCGGGAGCTCGTAGGGTTAAGGCAGCAACACCACTGGGTGACTGCACCTCCAGTTGCCACTCTGCCCTCACAAAGGCCCCTCACCGCCCAGGTGTGCCCTGACCTTGTACCCACTCCTCAGGGCGGCAGGCTGGGAGAAGGGTAGCACACAGGGAGCCCCAGGCAGGCCAGAGCCCCGTCCCAGGTCACGGGCTCACGGCCCAGGCAGGGACACACAGGCCCAACCCAGGTGCCCTACCCCACGTGGAGCCCCCCACCACGGCCCCCACCCTGGCCCCCACCACGGCCCCCACCCTGGCCCCCACCACGGCCCCCACCCTGGCCCCCACCACGGCCCCCACCCTGGCCCCCACTACGGCCCAGCTCAGTCCAAGTACCTTCTGTGCGTGTTGCGGTTGCTGTTCACGTGACCCTGGCCTGTGCAGCCAGGAGTGGGGCACTTCAGCACGTTCTCATGCATGGCTAAGACTGTAAGAGAACAGGGGGTGGAGGGAGCCGAGGCTGTCAGAGAATCTGGGGAGCGCCAGCTGTGTGGGGAGCACAGGCTGAGGAGGGTGCAGGAGCCTTGTCCAAAGGCTGCTGCTTGGTAGGCAGGTGGGGGACACAGCAACGCAGGGCAGCTCCAGCCCCCAAGAGCCTGCAGACACAACTCCCCACCCTCAGCCTGGTCAGGGCATGCCCCCCACCGCCACCACCACTGTGGTCCCTCCCTCCTGCGGCAGAAACCAGACTCAGCTTTAAAACCTCTCATTCTGTGGTTTGCTCCTTTAAATTTAATTTTCACAATTACTGCTTCTAGCCTAAACATAAGAACAAGTATTTGCTTCCTAAGCTTTCAGGGCACAGAGGTTGCTGCAAGAAGACCTCTCCCTTCCCAGCTTGGATGGCACTAGCCTGTCCCCCTCCCATCGATCTGTTACTGTGGGCTCTGACCCGGACTGGCGTCTCTAGGTAGACAAATGGGCTGGTTGCAGGGCCCCAGCCTCAAAGGGCTCAAGTTTGGGCTGAGGGAGTTTGTGGGGGAAAGCGGGGAGATGTAAGGATGAGCATCTGGACAAACCAAAGGGGAAGGTTATGGCCCTGGGCAGGCCACGCCTCCCCATAGACACCACCCAAACACCACAGAGGCAGCGTGAGCTTCACAGTTAGGGCTAACGCTGCACAGAGCTACTCACTCTCTGGGGGGATCCTATCCTTGTGGGGACAGCCAGAAAGGCTGCGGTGGTGAGGGTACAACCCGGTAACGTGGCCAGTGCCATCACAGCCTGGTGTTGGACACTTGATCTCACGCTTCTCAGCTCTTGAAGGATCTAAAACACACAAGTCACATCAGTTAGAGCCAGGAAGCTGGGTGGTGAGCAGAGAGGGGGCAGGGGTAGCTCAGGAACCCTCTCTCTGGCTGTCCAGAGAGAAGGGAGGCGAGACTGCCCATGAGCTTGAACAGGGACTGGGGCTGGACAGTCAGGAGACCCTGAAGAAACCAGCCCACACTGGCTGCCTGTGCGGAAGCCCTGAGGCTGCCCTGACAATCCCAAATAGCAGTTTGTGCAGCGTTTTAAGGAGAACAACCCAGACGGCCGCTGGAGTCCTCTTTCCTCTCTCCTCTGACAGTGTGGAGGCCTCATGGGTCAGCCTTCTGCCTAGAGAGGTCAAGGCGTTTGGCAATATTCCTGCCAGGAGATATCCTTGGGATTTGACAAAACGAGGAAGACAAAGGAGTTGAGTAACTTATCCAAGGCTGCATGACTAATCTATGCCTGGGCAGAAATGTAAACCCAAATCTCAGTTATCGACCTCTTCTAGCCTCTGCAGGTCCAGGCCGGTCACTATAGAGTATAGGGACCAGCAGGAACACGGAGGACCCTCAGAGCAGAGCTGACATCTCAGTGAAACACCTTTGGACGAGAGCTGTCCCCTTTGGGAGGGTGCAGAGGTCACAGAGCCAAACTCAGAACTCCCACCTCAGAGCAGGAGGGTCCCAGGAGGGGGCTCCAAAGGGAAGGAGCTCTTGCTCTGCTGCCCCAAGTTCAAAGGAGTCAGACTTCCACCCATGTGGACAGGCAGGGGTGTCCTGAGGGGCTTCCAAACCCGTGCCCAACACCGGCCTCCTGGGCTTGCCACCCCTGTCCCACGGCCTCTGTCCAGAATTCTCGCAGCATCTGTGCCCCAACATCAGTCCCTCAGAACCAGAACCGCACGTTCACGTTGCACAGACACTCACAGCCCAGCTGGGCACTGCCTGGTGTTCTCAGCTTGGCCACCTGTGTCACCCGGGGCCGTGTCCCTTTGGGTCCATGCACTGAAAATCTATCCCTGAAGGCAGGATGCCTTGCATCTGGGTCCTCCTATGTCTGTCCCACAGGTCTGAGACCCTCAAAAACCTGGGCCTAGGGCTGTCACTTGGTGTCTGTGTTCCTCATATGTGTCCCACCAAATTCTGCGCTGATCTGTGCGGCCCAAGCACACCACAGCCAGGCTAGTAACCACCCCGGGCCCTTGACACCTGTCCCTAAGTCTCACCTTCAGCCTGTGTCTCTTTGTGCCCATGGCCCCACAAGGCCGGAGCATGACACTGCCGACCTAAATCTGGGTCCCCAAAGAGCTGTCCCGCCATCTGGGTTGCCCTAAAGGGTGTCCCCGCAAAGCCATTCTTTGGGTCCATCTCACCCTGAAACCATGTCCCCACCTGTGTCCCCTTAGCATCTTTCCCCTGAGCTTGTCTCATATGCCTGGTGTTCCCGGAAAACATGTCCCTCGTGTCTCCACTGACCTGCCTATCATGCCCCTTGAATTATGTCTCACTCAGGTCTGTCTCTCCCATGACCCAAGTGCATCTTCCCAGGGTTGGCAATTCCGTGTCTCCTGCATTTTTGGTTCGTGGCTCCAGCACCTGAGTCATCTCCCATCCCAGTTCTCTCTCCTTATCTGCTCCCTCCCTGGTCTCAGCTAACTCTTCCTGGGGGCACTCATTGGAAGAGCACCAAGAACTCCCACTGCCCCCGTCCACCTGGAGAAGAGATGCAGGACTAGACATGGGGAAAAAAGAGGCCGAGATCAGGGCAGGTCCCTAGTCTTAGGAGAATAGAGGCCAAGTGCCCAGGTGCAGGAGGCCCTCCGCACCAGGCCGGCTGGGTCAAAGCTGACCTGTCCAAGGCCTGGCCTCCCTGGCATGGCTCACTGAGGGAGCAGCCCCTGGCCAGCCCTGCTCCCCAGACCCCTGTCCCAGGAGGAATCTGAGATGGGCAGTCAGCAGAGCAGAGCCAGCCTGTTGTCCAGACCCTGACACCCCAGTAACAATGAAGGCCGTAACCGTTTACTCAGGATTCGTCCTCAGACCTCAGCACTCCAGGCTCCCAGCTGCTCCCCAACCACATCAGCTGCTTCCCAGCTGCTCCCCAACCACGTCAGCCCAGCCCCAGGCCCCTCCAAGCAGCCCTCCTTGTCTATCCTCACCTCAACATCAGCCACTCCGTGCGATCAGGGGATGGCTCCCCTGTACCCTGCACACTTTAGAGCCAAATCCAGAGACAGATGCAGAGCCAGCGGCAGGCTGCTCCCTCTGAGGAGCAAGGGCACCCCTCACATCTGCCTGCTGGTCTCCACCCCACGAGAGGATCAGGATGACCCAGCATGGCTGTAGGAAACAGCGGGTTCTGTCATAGCACAATCCCTGCCACGAGTGTGAGTTGGGGTGGAAGGGACAGGACGGTCCCCACCCTCTCCAGACCCCAGATGCTGCTGTGACCAGTCACTGTGGGTGGGTCACTGTCCCTCCCACCTCCTCTCTCCCACCTGGTTCTTTCTCACACGTCTCCGCTGTGTCTCGCTCCAGATCGCTCTATGTAAAGCAGTGTGGGAACCCATTTGCTCAGTATCTGACCACAGTCTGTGTCATGTATTTGTCCTTTTGTCTGCTTTTCTGCCATCCCCCAGCCCCCTGTCCTAGAAGGGCTCTCAGCCTGCATCTGCACACCTGGGGCAGGGGTGAAAGGATGAGTCTGCAGGGCCAGGCCACCCCTGAGCCCTACCTTTACTGTAGTAACTCTTCCGCACAGTGTCCAGGGGCTTTGCTGCCTTCCCTGGCTCTCCCAGGCCCAGCTGGCTCTGCTCGGCAGGCGGGCAGCCCGGCTCGCAGACTGTGCGCACCTGTTCAGCCTTCAGGGCGATGGCCTGCTCCAGGAGGCCCAGGTTTCCCCGGGTCATCATGTCCTGCATCTCCGACTCGTCAGTGACTGTTGACTTCCGGGAGTGGGTGTCCTCGTCCTTGTCATCATCCGAGCGGACCTCCACAATAACAGAGTACTCAGGCTTGGGACTGGGTGATTCTGGGCCCCGGAGCTCAGGGGCCTTCTGGGCAGAGGTGTGAGAGGTGTCTTCCTGAAAGATCACATCAGGAGCTGCCTCCTCCTCCTCCTCTTCCTCTTCCTCTTCCTCCTCCTCTTCCTCTTCCTCCTCCTCCTCTTCCTCTTCCTCCTCCTCTTCCTCTTCCTCTTCTTCATCCTCCTCCTCCTCCTCTTCCTCCTCCTCCTCCTCCTCGTCCTCCTCTTCGTGACTCAGGATGCCTTTCTGCTTGCTGGACTCCTCACTGGCTGCATCCTCCAGGGACTGGGGACACAGGTCCTGGGAGCGCTCGGTGGTGACTTCGACGACCTCCTCGGCATCCTCTGGCTGGATGAAGAGGCCCTTTTCACCCTCCTCGCTGGCAGCTCCCTCTGCAGCCTCCTGAAGCAGGTGCACAATGCCAGGACCTGGCTTGGCCGCCTGGCCCAAGTCCTCTTCCACCAGGGTCTCTTCAGCAATTTGACCCAAGTTCAGGAGAGAAGTTGCGATGATTCCCTGGTAGCTGCTGTAGCTGCCCTTGGAGGAGGCAGTGGCGCTGCCGATGGGGTTGGATCCAAAATGGGACTTGACGGGGCTCCTTCCTGCACAAAATCAAAATCAACGTGGGGGCCAGAGAGCACGTGGGAAGACTCCAGGTCTCCAGTCCCCAACACACCCACCACCCCTCCACCTGACCTACCACTCACTCTTTATACGGGAGCCAAGGGGAAACATGAAACTCCAGAAGTGGGGATTTGGTATGGACCTTTCTGTCAACCCTTCTGCCTGAATCCAGAAATCACGGTGAATATATTTTAGGAGGCAGGTCATGGGCCACTGATGTATTTTTTAAACTAAGAATTACTTTGATACTTTTTCTTAATGTTCCTCTCCCATCACGTTTACTTTCCCAAATCAGATAAACCTGCATTGTATACAATGGAGCTTAAGCAGCAAGTCAGATTTTAAAAAAATAATAATAATTGTTTCATAATTGAAAATCAGTAAATAAGAATGGGCTCGGTGGCTCATGCCTGTAATCCCAGGACTTTGGGAGGCCGAGGCGGGCGGATCACCTGAGGTCACGAGTTCAAGACCAGCCTGGTCAACATGGCGAAACCCTGTCTCTACTAAAAATACAAAAATGAGCTGGGCGTGGTGGTGCACACCTGTAGTCCCAGCTATTCCTTGAACCAAGGAGGAGGAGATTGCAGTAAATCAAGATCGTGCCCCTGCACTCCAGCCTGGGCAACAGAGTGAGACTCTCTCAAAACAAAAACAAAACGAAACTAAGATATGGTAGGTGCTCACCACATGCAGGCCCCGTAGGGTTGTCAGCAAGGACACCTGGGCCAGCACGTCCCACAGTGGTAGGAATGGGCCCTGCCATCCACCTACTTCGGAGGGGAAAGTCCAAGCCCAGGTTGACAGCTGAACCCCAGACGCCCTTCTTGATAAGAAAGCAGGAAAATGTGTGTCTTTTCTACCTGGGATCTAGGACTATGTTGATTCCACGGGACAGCGCACTCACTCCAGAGCCCCCCAAGGGAGCTGGGGTTGAGGACCCTCTCTGGCTTTGCTTCTGAAATCCATCTCAGACCCTTCCCCACTGCAGAAGCTTGGGGAGTGCTGGGTGAGTGGTGGGGATGGTGGGGGGAGTGGACCTTGGGCCTCATCTGACCCCAGGTCTCTACAGATCTGCCAGGGCTCTCAGGGGCACAGACCCCTCCCTCCGGGACCCAGGGGCCAAAGCACCTGCTTCATGCACTTTTGCCAAGGGCTAGGAGCTCCAACATGGCAGTCCTGGTAGACCCCACAAGGAAGTGGGGGACTCGTCTGCTTTCCTCCTTCCCCTCTTGGCCTCCCCGGGCACCCCGTCTTCAGAGGCTCCATCTGGTCCTCAATCACCTGAAGCTCAACCTGAGGTGTTTCCTCAGCATCTGCCTGTGAGTACCTCAGGGGAACGCAGACCTCTCACCCATGCCCCCAGGCAGGTCTCCCAGAGGGCCAGGCAGAACAGAGGGCCAGTCTAAGATCCTCCCTTCCCCACTTACAGACACACAGAGACACAGCCTTGTCTGTCTCTCTCATATACATGCAGACACACCTGCCAAAACACACTACAACTGCACACACACACACCAGCCCCGTGTCTCTGTCTGTCCTGCCTCTCTCCTACGCACACAGTGTTCACACACAAACACACCACAGGCCCCATAAACACCATGGGCAGACCTCTCTCCCAGGAAGCCCAGCACATGTTGGGACAAGACATGCCTTGTTCTCAGGAAGGGCTTTCTCTTGCCCGGAGTGAGCCCCTCCCCGCTCACAGGCTGCAATTCTCCAGGGCCACACTAAGCGCCCTTTATTCGGGGAAGAAAGAGCGACAAAGCACCTTCAGCTGTCTCGGGGCGATGAATCTCGTCCTGTCCTGACGTCTCAGCCTCGGCCCCCTCCAGAGTTCCTTCCGATTCATCCGAAACAGAGGCGTCCTTCACCTCAGTGTCCTCACTGCCGTCGCTGTCCACACCATAGCCCTCGTCCAGAGCCAGCTTCAGGGGGTGTGACTTCCTCTTGGACACCAGGTGCTCAGCCTCAGCGCCCTCCAGCTTCCTCTTCTTGGCCAGGGGGCAGCTCTGTAAACTGGGAGGGAGGAGTAGGCAGTGGAGAGGACCAGGCTAGGGCCACGAGAGGCCTCAGACACCCCATGAGCCCCTCCCGAGGGTCCTCCCTCCCTCCCTTCCCCACAGACTCATCCAGTCCTTGCAGGGAACCCGGACAAAAAAAGCAAAGTGCAGCACTAGGGGGTCAGATGGTCTGTCTTCGCCCACATGGCACGCCCATGGCCACACGGACCTCCATGCTAGAGTGGGAAGTCGCTGCCTCGCGGGAGGTCAGATGGTCTGTCTTCCCCCACATGGCACGCCCATGGCCACACAGATCTCCACGCTAGAGTGGGAGGTCGCTGCCTCGCAGAAGGGTCAGCAGCCTGGCCTTGGGAGCCATGGAAAAAGATGGAAAGTTCTCCATCTGCAGAGTGGGCAGGGGCTCCAAATCTACCGCCCAGGAATCTCCGTGAGATCCAAGGGTCCTCTTACCTTCGGTGCCTGGAGTACTTGCCCCGGACGTGCCCTGAGCCTGTGCATCCTGGGGTGGGGCAGCTGAGGGGAAATAAAAAGGCAAGGCCACATCAGGCGATGGGCTCAGATCTCAGAGCCTGTCGCAGACCTTCACCCTGGGGAGCAGAATGTCTCCAGACGATTCACCTCAGAATGGCTGCCTGCAGTTTGCTGAAAATTAATAACTCGCCCCATTCAAATAAATAAATGGCTCATTACAGTTTTACGAGTGTTCAATTAAAGACTGTGTATACATAAGAGCAAGACTTCTAGCGCCAGAGTCTCCCAGACCGCTCCCCACGGCAGGCATTCCACTAGCTGCCACCAGGTTTCCAGGAGCTTGGACACGAGACGCTCTGAGGTGCCCTGAACACGGCACCCCTCTCTAAAGAGGTCCCAAGTCCAAAGCACAGAAGTTGGCATTCTCTGTGGCCATCACTAATGCCATAAGGCCTATGGCCCTCGAGGGTAACAGTCTCTGCATTCCCTGCCAGCTGTGACCTTCGTGCCCCAGCAAACGGAGCCAGGACTGACAGGCAGAAAGGAATCTGTGGCCCAAGCCACAGACAGTGGTGAAGATCCCACCAGTGCCTGTAGCTGGTGTGGGTCCCAGCTTCCACGCAGGGAAAAGAAGCCGGGAGGGCCCGTGAACCAGGAACCAACAGCATCTGCCTCGTGGAAGACTTTTGGGCTGTGCTAAGAAGGGCAGTTTGGGGAGGGGGTGACACTGACCCTCCTGCATCTCTCACCCTAGAAGCACAAGGCAGGACACCCAGGAGTTCCTCTTCCTTAACCATCATCTGTCTCCCTATATAACCAAACCAGCAGGAAGCTCTGGAAACTTCTGAGCATGAGTACTGACTATGCCAACCAACGTGGCGGCAGGACCACAGCTCCCACAGCAGCCTCAGGCACAAAGGGGCCAGTGTGGAGTGTAAGGCCAGAGTTCACCATGTATCAGGCTCCTGTGGGCTGTCGGATGCATCCACGGCTCAAGGACTACAAGGAGCTGCCATTGTAAGACCCAGACGCCTGTGCCAGGTCACCTAAGGCAGGTGGGAGGGGCAGGCCTGCGCTCCTTGTGGGAAGAGAGAGGCTTTCCTGGCCAAGATGGGAAGACCTTGCTTTTAACAGGACTGGCATTGTGAGTCTGAGCTCTTTCCAAAACCCAAGCACATCTTCCGGAGCCTGTGAAGGGAGGAAGGTAAGGGCTGGTGCCCCCATACCTGGGACCCGGGGAAAAGAACGCCATCCCCAGTCTCTATCCAGACACCTCTGATCGTTTCTAATTCGACTGATCACAGGCCTGACTGCAGACAACTGTGGGGCCCAGTGGGCTTGCAGGCCACCCTCCCCGACTACCTCTGGGAGAACCGTCAGCAGAATCCAGGCCTTACCCTATCCCCTGGCTCAACAGCAGCCATGGGGTGGGGGAGGGGGATGTTCTCTGCAGCCTTCCAGGGTGGGGTTTTCAGTGTGTTAACAAGAAGACAGAGAGGGAGGGAAGGAGGGAGGGAGGAGGGAAGAGGGAACCCAGACGGGAAGGGAGGGGAAGAGGGAGGAAGAGGGAGAGAGCGAGAGAGGGAGGGCACACCACACTCGACTGGGGGCTCCCTTTCCAAACTGAGGGAGTTGCCGCCGCTGCCACCCACCTCTCCCTGCCTCTAGTCTCTTCTAAAATCCAGGCCCACACTTGCTTTCACTCTTTGGAGAACTAGCTTTGGGACTTTTCACAAAAAAGCTCCTTGTTAATGGGGATTTGAAGCTAAGGTCCCAATTAGCCGATGACATCACTGAGTGAATCAGGCAATTAGGTGACAGCTGCTGTGGAGGCCTGTGGGGACCGGACTGCCCTGAACACGTCACCCTCAGCTCAGAAGAGTCCTGGTCCCCAGGAAGGTGGGCCTGCACCTTCCGGCCCCAGCCTCAGAGGGTGTGAGACACGGCTGTGAGCCCAAGTGCGTGGAGCGGACAAGGCCGCTCGGGGACAGGAAGCTGGAAACCCCTTAGATGCCTGCTCCCCACCCCACAGCCGAGTGGACAAGAGACCCAGCCAGGGCCTCCAAGGGTGTCGTGCCAGCAGATGCCAGCCCTGCAGTTCACCTGCAAGCACACTCAGCTCTTATTTCCTGATGTCCTCTGGGTGCTCAGGGCCAGAGTTGTAGGGAGAGGAAGACGGCCAGGGCTCCAGGACTCCCGAGCCTCTTTTCTCCGGGAGGAGGGAATTCCCCAGCCTTGACTCCCCAGCTCTGACTAGGGCTGGTGTCAGAGATGTGAGGAAAGGATGCACGTGAGGCTGGGAAGAGGGTGTGGCCCACAGTCACCCCTCAGCTGGCATCCTGCATGACAGCTCTGAGGGACCCAAACTTGAAAAGTAGGCGTCAAAGGAGACAAGTCAGGAGAGGAACTGAATCCCAGCCTGGAGCCCCATGCTTCAGCTACTAGCCTTTGAAGACACTGCCTTCCCTGCCTTCCCTCCCTCTCCTGGGGCAGTCATCTGGGTGGGAGTTGGCCAGTGGCTCAAGGAGGAAGGCGCCAGAAGAAGAAGGGTGAGCTACAGACGTGTTCTCTCTCTGAACTTGGAGATGGTCCTGAACTCGGTGTTGTCAGCGCCTCGCTGTCTCAAAGATGCTAACCCCAACCCTAACCTTCCCTAGTCTTCGCCTCTGGCAGAGCCAGTCTGAGGCCATGTGACAACAGATGGACCCAGGCAAAAATACAAGCTGAAACGTCATCAGTTCTCCCGATGGGGTGAAAGGAAAAACCATCAAACTGCTTCTTCGCTCAGGCACTCCCAGTGGGCTCCGAGGTCGGAAATAGCAGCTCAGGGTCCTGCTCGATCCAAGTCCAACCTCTCCTCAGCTCACCTGGTAAACAACCAATGGACTGTCTTCCTGGGAGCTCTGCCTGAGCTGGTGGGGAGGCGAGCTGGGGTTAGGGGCACTGCAGGCTGTGAAGTTCTGAGCCAATGCAGTGTTAAGTCATCCACAGAGAAAGTCCTGCACACAGGGGTTCCCGACACGCAGAGGTTCCCGACACGCGGGGGTTCCCGACACGCGAGGGGTTCCCGACACGCGGGGGTTCCCGACACGCGGGGGTTCCCGACACGCGGGGGTTCCCGACACGCAGAGGTTCCCGACACGCGGGGGTTCCCGACACGCGGGGGTTCCCGACACACGGGGGTTCCCGACAGGTGACTCTGTGTCTGTGAGCTCATCCAGTGCCATGGTCTGCACACAGGACGCGATGCTCCTCTCACAGACCACAACGGTGCGTTTTCTGCGTGGGTCATGCTTCCTGTTCTGGTACCCACGGTGTGGCCCCCACCAGGACAGAGGTCTCGTCTGCTTGTCCGGTCAGAGCCCAGCGTGTGCTGGTAAACAGGTCTCTGGGAGGGGGAACATCATCAGTCCATTTCTGTGGTGTAAATGCTCCCACGATGGCTGGGGCACGCAGTCAGCCAGCACGAGCCACAGGCATGCCCACGTGAAGCGTGTGGCCAACAGATGTTTGAGAATACAGGAATGAATGGTACCTTCCGTGCAGAATGTATTTGATTCCTTGGAACATAATCTTTGTCCTATTTTACTCTAAGCATCACATTGCATGTTAGCAATGAAGAATTGCTGAAGAAATTATTGTTGGAACACTAGATGTCAACACATTTCCCCTAGTTTCTCCATTAAAAAGTTTAAGGGTCTCACTATTACCAAATATGTCAGTTGAGACCACAAGGCTCATGATGAGGGCGTCAAAATCCAAATGCTCACAGAACCCCTCACTTAGACTGGACAGGTCCTCTCAGAATGTTTAAAAACGAACAAATCTATTTGAGAGTCACTTTTCCTTCTGCTGTTTCAAAGCTACAAGAGAGCACCCTGCCATTTGTATTTGCCTTTTCGACTTCCTCCACACTCCATCTGTTACCAAAAAAGCCTGGAGTTTCCTCAACTCCTGTGCCTCACTCACTGCACCCTCGCCTGGGATTCTCCTCCGTCTTTGTCTCCACCGTGTCCCTGGGCGACTCCACGTGGCACCTCCTCTTCCCTTTACTCGGGGTCCTTCTGAGCATCTCTCGCCGTCGCAATCACCGCTTCTTCAGCAGGCTGGCCAAGCAGGCAATGTCTCCCTTCCAGGGAGCCGACCCCTGTGCTTCCGGGGACTGTGTTCTGGGGAGCACCCGGTGTGATGCTGAGGACCCCAGACCGGAAGTGCTGGCACACGACCTGTTTGGCTGAGCTTCCACCCCACCCCTCCCACCTGTTACCCAGGGTGGGGCTTCCAGCAAGTAGCACATGCGATTCAGCTCTTCTGGTTAGATGAAGGTTAACCCCTGAGTCCGTTTCCCCACTTCACAAACAGGATAATAACATCACCAGGCAGTGCTTCCATGACCTTCCCAGAGATCAAGACTGTGATGTGTGACTGACGCAGAGCCTGGGGCTTGCAGCACCCCAACTCCCTCCCGTAGTCCTCCCCCTTCATCTCCAAGTTACGGGGCCTCAAGTGTCAGAGGGACACTGTCTTCCTGTCCCACCTCTGCAAAAGGTTTACAAAGTGAACTTTGCAGTCCTCTCATTTTCCTGATTGGCAGAAGCCATCCACTCTTCAATTGTATGCTGAACAGTAAGATGGTCCCTGCCCTGAGAATCTGTATCCCTGAGAAGCAGGAAGGAAACGGTCACAGAGCTCAGCCAGCCGGGTCATCAGCACACAGAACTGCTGTTTGCATCCCGAGCCAATGGAAGACTCAGGATGTAGAAGACCCCTTCTCTCATCTCATCCCCGAACTGGGCCTCCAACCATCTGACACAGAAGCACTTGTGAGGGTCCGGTAAGAGAGCGGCTTGTTTTCGGTTTGGGGGACCGCAGTGACAGTCCAGGTCCTCGTGGTGACCAGGTGTAGGCACATCCGTGTCCTTGCCATGATGCTGGTGCGCCACATGATGGGGCCAGGACAGAGGTGAGAACAGATAGAGATGGGGCCAAGATAGCTGGACACGTGGCCAGGAGAAAGGCAGTCTCCTTAGGGAAAGCAGGGGCTCACCAGGGGTGTTTGGTCAATCCAAGAAGACCCCGTTTGGGACATTTAGGATATCTCCAGGGTCACAGGCACATAGACGATGCTTGGTGCTAACAGGAAGACTTCCTTACCTGAGGTCTGCAGCTGTGGTCTCTGGGGGTCCTGGGAAAAAGACAGAAACAGGGAAAACATGTGGGAATTGTGATTTTAAAGGCTCATTGCCCTAACAGCATAAACTAAGTTAAACAGCCGAGAGGTTTGCCAAGGACGAGTGGAGGCAAATCTCAGTGAGACCTGAGCCGTTTCCCCAGGGCGCTCACCCTTTCCTGACCTCCCAGAGAGTCCTCCAAGGTCAACAGAGTGAGCTGCTCCCCCAAGCCTGGTGCTCGCCGCAGAAGCTCCCCTGAGCAGCCTGGCAGTTTTACAAAGTGGGACAGATGCTCCACCTCAGACAGGATCTCTGGGACCTCAGGGCCAGGGATGGTATCTCTTTCTCTAATTGCAGATAGAAGTCAGCTTTTGGCAGGAAACACAAACCACCAGATCAAGCTGGACAGAGAAGAGAACAACTGGACCGAGTTACTGGTCCTTCAGTGATGGCTGCCAAGATGCACGGGGCTCTGACCGGGGCAGGCACACCTGAGATGCTTGGGCACAAGAGGAAGCCCCCGCCCGTATCAGGGAGGTAAGTCTGGCCAGGGGTTGGGGCTCAGATCCTAACAGAGTCAGCCTCCTCTCCTCCCACTGCACTTCCAGCTCAACCCAACAACCTCCTATGCCCCATTAGCACCAAGACTGATCGCCTGGGAAGGAAGGGGGCTGGCGGTGGAAGGCTGGCGGCCTCTCATTTCCAAACAGAATGGTCTCGTAACTGAGCCTTGCTACTCCCACTCCATGGAGCTGGGTCTACCTCAACATTTCTGCCCTCAAGGCAGGTTCATCTGGGCCAAAGGCCCCTCAGCAGCCCTCTTAGATGCCAGCTTCAAAGCTCAGCAGCCCTGAGGATGAATGAGGCTGAAGAGGCCTGAGGTCCCCAGGGCATCTCTGCACATGTGTGGTTAGGGGTTTGTGCTCCTGAGGAAGACCGCGGAGGAAAGTGGCATTTACAGCCCTGGAGGAGGGGAGGGCGGCACTCACCTCGCAGGGCCTTGGATCGGGTGCGAGCTCGCTTGTCTTCATTTTCTAAGCTCATCTGCAAGCAAAAAACCACGACGTTAACAAGAAAACCCAGCCAGTGCCTCTGGAGTACAGAGCCATCAGGAATGTCTGGCCATTTTCTGGCTCAAGCTTTGACAGCAAAGGTGATTTTGGGCACAGAATGACAAGGATGGGCTCACAGGACAAGAAAGGCCTGGGGCCAGGAGCAGCAGGTGGGAGGGTGTAGAGAAAGGACCTTCTACAAGGCTTGGAAGTGTCCCATCAGCATGTCCCCGGCCTTGGCAAGGAGGGTACAGTGCACCGTGCCCCCAGGTTTGCACCTGCCAACAAGTGCTGAGGCATGGGCCCTGCGCCACTGAAGCCTGATGAATGTCCGTATGTTATCCAAGAGGGTCTCCTGGCCCGACACAGAGCAGCACCCACTGCTCACCTGGTCAGGCAGGTGCTGAGGCATCAGGGCAGGTCGCTCACCACAGACTCAGCCACCAGCGGCAGTGCTGGGTCGTCCAGTGGCTTCTGACCCCAACGTGTCCCCAGAGCACAGCTTCCCATGGGCCCTTTCTTCCCACTACAGCAGAAGGCTTTTTTTTTTTTTTTTTTTTTTTTTTTGAGACGGAGTCTCGCTCTGTCGCCCAGGCTGGAGTGCAGTGGCGCGATCTCGGCTCACTGCAAGCTCCGCCTCCCGGGTTCACGCCATTCTCCTGCCTCAGCCTCCCGAGTAGCTGGGACTACAGGCGCCCGCTACCACGCCCGGCTAATTTTTTGTATTTTTTTAGTAGAGACGGGGTTTCACCGTGTTAGCCAGGACGGTCTCGATCTCCTGACCTCGTGATCCGCCCGTCTCGGCCTCCCAAAGTGCTGGGATTACAGGCGTGAGCCACCGCGCCCGGCCCAGCAGAAGGCTTTAATGCCCCTCACGCACCAGGGTCATCCCGTGAGAAACAGGCAACCTGGAGCGGCCCCAGCCCATATGTTCTCCAGGCCTCGAGGGCCTGGCTGCCTTGCCTGAGCCTATCGGTGTCCCTCCCCACCTGTGATCCTTGAATCTGACCACCCTCTGTGGGGACACTGCCCACAGCATTGTCCGGCGAGGGAGTCATGGGGGAGCCCCCAGGAGGGTGACAATCACAGAAAGGACATGTGGGGCAGTGGTGAGGGTCACACACAGCATCCTTGTCCTGTGTCACTCATGACAAATCTGGGCAGGCAAGTAAATCCTACACACTCCATGCTATGCAAAACATCCTTCCCGGGGAGCCACACCAGGCGGGGGAGGGCACCTCTAGCCGGACAGGGGAGGCCCAAGAGGAGAGCACTGGACTCCACCACCATCACCTGTGGTCAGGAAGGGGAGGCAGCAAATCCACACCTGTCCCAGGCCACAGACACCAGAGCTGCCAGGGCTCTATGCGTGAGGTAGTCAAAGGGAAAGCAGGGGAGTGGAAAGAAGTAGCAGAAGAAAGGAAGAGAGGCAGCAGGAGGGGGCTCAGAAGCCCCCACGTCTTAAATGGGGCTTTTGCTCCTGAAAGCCAGAAAAAGAGACAAATGTCTACAGAACCACCTGGGAAGAAAGAAAAAGGAATTCCCCCAATTAGTAAGATGAAATTTGCAAATTGAACCTCCCCCATGCAGCAGCACTAACATACAATGATGTATGTGATTTGTTAAGGAAGAAAAATCAAAACCTGGGTAATTTATGCAACCTGCCGACTCCAGGCTGTGGAGCACAGTGCTGTGAGCCGTGCGTTTATTACAGCCTTCCAATAGAACGGAAGACAATTACTACAATTTCTATTTTTAAAGCGGAGGTTCCCCATGGACAAATGGCTCACATTTAAAGTGAATAGAGGAGCAGGTGTCACAGGGACTTCATTACATTTATGAGCCTTCAAATGTCGTCTGCTCTGAGCCCGTGTGCAATGCCTTCCGATGCAGGACGTACAATGGGACTTGTGCGGTGCCTGCACTCAGCTGAAATGCAATCTACGGCTTTATTTATTTATTTATTTATTGCCAGTTTTCCCAAGGATATTGGCAAGCATTCTGCTAGGTTAAAGCGTGCCTTGGCAATTTGGATTTCCTGCAGATAAATTATTCAAAGAGCAGAGAATAGAGAGGGTTGCAGGGATGTGTAATGGGCACTGCTTGAAAACTGTGAGCTCCCGTTGATGAAGCTGACAGCTCTGCCGCTCCTTCTGCTGAGCACCTTTTTACCATTTGCAATTTATCTGCATTGACTGGTCAATAAGCGAGAAGTTCTCTTAGGAGCGTGTAGCTTTGATTTTTAAAGGGAAAAAAACTGAACTACCGAAGAAAAAATAAACCAGGCTCTTTAATACGAGAATGAACCCGTAAGAGCTGGGTGACTTGGGACACTGGTTTCTGAGCTATTTGAAATCAGCAGTGCCGGCTGACGCGAAAGCATCTGGACAAAACCAGCACTGCTTGATTTACATCACTTTTCTTTTCGAAAGAAGTCAAAGCACTTCAGAGGTGAGTTCTCTGCTCTCCTCCTGCCGCAAGATCGGCACCACGATGTGGTAGATGGAGAGCGGGTGCTGGGGGCGGCCCTGTGCCCAGCACCACCCAGGCTCACCTTGGTGATCCCTGGACGGCAGCCCCCCAGACCTTCTGCCCCCACCACACAATGACAGCTGGGCCCTAAAGGGCAGCTCAATGATGCAAAGAAAATTAAACACTTCTCAATTTTTCATTGATTTTTAAAACACACTTTACTTGTTCCAAACACAAGCCAACCAGGTCCCTTTTTTGCGCAACCCACAGATAGCCCGGTGACCTCTCCCCTTGAGAGTGAAAAGGCAGAACGACCCCATCACCCACTCTTACTGCTGGGCCGGCAACCTTTCTCAAGAACGTCTGCTCTGTTTCTCCAAATGCCAGCTTCATTCTGCCACTGCGAGCATGTCTTGAGGCTCTAATTAATATTTCAATAGTTCTGCCTTCGATAGGAAAACCATGAAAACTGTGGGGAGGAGAATAATTCATAAATGCAAATACATTGTATATTGCCAAATTAACCCAAGAGAACTGTCTCTTTGTCCATCCATTTAACTTGCTTTCTTAGTGCCATATAAAAGCAGTCTCCTCAAAAGTGTGTTTTTGCTTTGTTCTGTTTTATATTTCTGTTTAGTAAAGTCAGGATTAATCATGTAAGCTCTTTTGAAAATATACATGGTTCTGGCTGGGCACGGTGGCTCACGTCTGTAATCCCAGCACTTTAAGAGGCTGAGGCGGGTGGATCACTTGAGGTCAGGAGTTCATGACAAGCCTGGCCAACAGGGTGAAACCCCATCTCTACTGAAAATACAAAAATTAGTTGGGTGTGGTGGTGCACGCCTGTAGTCTCAGCTACTTGGGAGGCTGAGGCAGGAGGATCACTTGAACCCAGGAGGTGGAGGTTGCAGTGAGCTGAGATTGCACCACTGCACTCCAGCCTAGGCGACAGAGTGAGACTCCGTCTCAAAAAAAAAAAAGTATACACACACACACACACACACACACACACACACACACACACACAGTTCTCACCATGACATGGTACGAAGACCAGCCCCTTTTCCAGACTCATCTGCATGCTGGCCTGGCCAAAACAGAGTGCCCTGAGTTGGGTGTTTACAAACTCAGGAACCAAAACAAGCCAATGCAGTAAGCAATCTTGAAACCTAGAGGGATCTGCGCTGAGGCTGCAGCTGTAACAAATCCACTCAGAACCCAGAAACAGGGCCGGGCATGGTGGCTCACGCCTGTAATCCCAGCACTTTGGGAGGCCGAGGCAGGCATGGTGAAACCTGACTCTACTAAAAATACAAAAATTAGCCGGGTGTGGTGGCGGCCGCCTGTAGTCCCAGCTACCTGGGAGGCTGAGGCAGGAGAATCACCTGAACCCCCGAGGCAAAGGTTGAGGTGAGCTGAGAACACGCCACTGCACTCCAGCCTGGGTGACAGAGCAAGACTCCGTCTCAAAAAAAATAAAAAATGAAAAGAACCCAGACACATAGCCAGTAACAAACCACTCGTGTCTAACCTCTAAGGGGAAATGGTAGACTCAGCTTCCAAAGATATCAGGGTTGGAGATTTTCCATGAAGCCCAACGGGCTTTGTGCCAACTTCCACCTTTGCCCCCAGAGGCTGCGTCTCCCCACTCCTTCCCGGGCCCCAGCTCAGGGTTACCCATTTCTCCTCACTCACTCACGGACTCCCTCTCTGTCTCTCTCTGCCTCTTTCATTCCTTTTTCATGCTTCCTCCCAGGACAGGGCCCTCAGAGCTGAACAGCTTCCTCCCTCAACCCCCATCACATCCCTTCTGCACCAATGGCCCAGGGCCAGTCAAAGGACAGAATCCTGGCTGAAGCCTGGCCCCAGCAGGAGGGTGTCCTGGCCCCAGCAGGAGCTGTTCTGGCCCTGAGGGGCACCAGCCTGGCATTCCAAGATTTGTACATCACCCCAGGGAGGCAGGGAGTGCTCAGGGGAGAGTTCAAGAAACAGAGAGCTCTGCTAAGGGTTGAGAGCCAGGTAGGGATGGGGAGGGTGAATGGATCAGTGACCTGAGGACATCTGGGGTGGGAGGCACTCCAGAGGTAGAGCTGGGAGCATTCTTAGGTGGCCAGCACCCTGCCTCTTCCCAGCTCCTCTCAGTCTCCACCTTGTGCCTGTTTGTTTCCCTCACAGTCCTCATCTCAATCTGAAATGAGCTCATTCATTCATGGTTGTAAGGTCATTGTCTCTCCTCCAGACAGCTGCTTAGTGCATGTCATTTAAGGATGGGTGGATGGACAGGTGGATGAATGAATAAATGGGGACAGTCAGAAACATCTCTGAAACCCTGGGGCTGGGGTGTGTGGAGAGCCGTGGTCAGAGGGGCTGCAGAGAGGCCATATGTGGGAACGCTGAGCTGGGGGGTTCCGGGCATTCTGACACCACGGGGGCCATTCACCCCAGCGCTGGGCCAGAGAAGGAGACACGGTAGTGTTTTATTTTATTTAAAATGTGTTCTGACAGCCAGCAAATCTGGAGAATTAGAATGGACTTACAACTATTCTTTAAAAATCCATAAAATTACATAGGTTATAGTGTCTCGGTGGGACGGTTGAGCCTCTTGCATAATGGTTTTCCTCCCAGAGACCTAGAAGAAGAGGAAGAGCACCTGCTGAGTCCCAGCGGACCATAGGCAGCCACTTCCCAGAAGGAAGGGGCCAGTGAAGAGTGGGGGGTGAGGAGGTGGCCAGAAACTGGCTGTCCCCTACCCTGCCTGGCTCCAGCAGTACCTCACACCACATTCAGTCTCACTTCTCTGCAGTGAGGGGAGGGGAGAAAGACAGAGCCATGGTCTGGCCTGTTTTCTTCTCTCATTTATGTACTGAGGGCAGCATCAACTTCCCTGTCACTGCTGTGAAGCCATTACAGCAGACAGTATTGTGGAAGATCCAAGCTCCCACTCAACGATCTAAGAGCAGCATTCAAGCATTTGTGTTGCTCCCCTCCCGAGTATCCCAGGAGGATCTTCTGCTGCATCCACAGCCCTCCCCTTCCCTTTCTTTGGTGCATGGACCTGCCTGCCAGCTCAGCCCACAGAACAGATATAGAAAGTCGGTGACCTCAGCACACATCCTGCTTTCCACTCTCTTGATCTCTGAGGCTAAACCATATGCCCTCACCCCTGATCCCCACTGGCAGCCATCACAGTACCCTTGGTTCCTTGCAGAGATAGTTCTGTCCTCACATTGGGTGATGTCCTGTTGCATGTCTGAAATTCTGAAATTCTCCCAACAAATTCAGCAGAATAGACCAGCCTCCTCCTTGGGGTATAGAAAGGACACCTCCATGGGGCATTATTTAACACATGTCTGAGAAGGGGTTCTCTTGACAGCTCTAAGCATGGGATACTGGCTCACTTCATTCCCAAATCAAAAATTAGAGCTACATAATGGATACCCTGATGAAGCAGCCATATCTGCAACCGTCTGTTAAAAACTCCAGCATAAATGGAATTTATACCCACCCAGGGTAGAATCCAACAACATAAAGAGAGGCCAGAAGGGCCATACCCAGTGGCAGCTCCTTCCCTTGCAGGAGCCTCTGTCCAGTAGTCCTTGCCAGAGGCACCTCCTGCCCTGGGTGGCAGGAAGAAGGGTTGGCTGAATGGCCATGCAACTGATCTTTTCCTTGATTCCATATCTCTGAATATTTGGCAAGAAGGGGGTTGAGGAGCTACCATCAGCTCCTGCATACCCCGACACACGACCACCTGACTTCTGGCAGCCCCTTCCAACCGGTCCTGAGCTGTCCACATGCCTGGTGCTGAACTCAGAGGCACGCCGCAGGCTGTGACGGTCCCATGCACAGGGTTTGTGTGTTCACTGCCCTCCCATGCTGGCTCCTCACCACCCATCTCCTGTCCGAAGCCAGCCTCTGGAAGGCTGACCCCGATGCTGCTGTGGCTGTGTGACATTCTCACACTGTGACCACGGCTTATGCCCTCTGCTGCCACCCTCCTCAGCCTCTTAGTCAGGAGATTCTACTTGCACCTGCTGCCCCACTGTCCTCTAGGCAGTCGACCCTTTCTCATCCTCTCGCCTTCTCTGGCACACTTTTCATCTTAGCTTCTCTATTCAGAGCAGTCACTCGGCCCTATCTGCAAGAAAAGAAGGGAAATGACCCTCAAACAGAGCAGTGATGAAAGAGCTGGTGATGCCACGAGAACCTGGGCACGGGTCCCTGGCTTTGTTCACAGAAGCAGCACTTTGAACAGCCATGGGTTGTCATGGTAGGTCCCAAACTCTCTGAGTTTGTCATGTCTGGGCCAGGGGGAGACAAAAGTCTTCCGACCCACCCCTGACATGGCACCAGACATTTGTAGATAACGCTGCATGCAGAGCCCCTGGCCTCAAGTCAAGTAACGTTCATGCTCACATGATCTCATGCCAGTACAGCGCTATGTGAATCCTCAGGATCTGGGGTAGGGTGAGGGGAATGAGGCCAAAAACTCAATGATCAAGATAAATAATATTTTAATTCAATATTTAGAAACATCAACATGATGCAAAAAACCCCTAATAAACAAGATACCAAAACCTTAAATAAAGACAGGATCCATATTACTGACTCTTCCTTGTGCCCCAGGCTCCAACATGGATCAGCAGAGCACTGATAATCCTGCGGGAGCCAAAATATGAGCGGAGGTGCTCAGCAAGTTGTCTATAACAGACCCATTAAAATGTACATTCTCGCCACCAGATTCAAAAGAAAAAGGTTGGGTTTTGAGAGTAAAACACAAGCACCCCCAAATGAAGTTCCCACTACAACTGCATAGCCCTCCTTGCCTACACCCTACGCCATCACTGTCCTTGAGCCATGCCCTGAGTCACAGCTGGATCCTTGCTGGAGAGCATCTACATGCAAAAAAGAAAAAAGAGAGGTCAGAATCGGATCTCTGGGAAGGGCTTCAGCCTAAGCCTATTGTCAGCCTCTACTTCCAGCTGTGAGGGTCACCTGACCCTGGGGACCTGGCCTCATCCAGAGAGTATTGGTGGGAAGTTCTAGAATTAGAGGGTTGGTGGTGGAGAACAGTGGCTGTAAGCACATGTGATGTCACAGTTCGGGAGTGTCCCCGAAGGGAGATCTTATACCCTGGGAAGGTATAAGAAGGGCTTGCACCATCTGCCTCCCCTTAGGAAGATCGAAATAAAACAAGGCCAACAGACTTCATAAGCTCCTGCCAGCAATCTCTGCTGTCAGATCCTGTAGGGATTCTCAGCCTGGCCAGGTAAAAGCAGGGTGAATAGAGAACAGTTGCTCAGGCCTATCACAGAGCCCAGACGTGGTCACACCTCAAAGCAAGGAAGTGAGACTCTGGGGTCACATTTTCATTTTGGTGGGTTTTTTTTGTTTGCTTGCTTGCTTGTTTTCTGAGATGGAGTCTTGCTCTGTCACCCAGGCTGGAGTGCAGTGGCACAATCTTGGGTCACTGCAACCTCTGCCTCCCAGGTTCAAGTGATTCTCCTGCCTCAGCCTCCCCAGTAGCTGGGATTACAGGCGCATGCCACCATGCCCGGCTAATTTTTGTGTTTTTAGTAAAGACGGGGTTTCACCATGTTGGCCAGGCTGGTCTTGAACTCTTGACCTCAAGTGATCCACCTGCCTCAGCCTCCCAAAGTGCTGGGATTAGAGATAAAAGCCACCATTCCTAGTCCCTTTACTTCTGAGATAAGATCTGCACCCAGGCTGGAGTGCAGTGGCACAATCTCAGCTCACTGCAGCCTTGACTTCCCAGGCTCAAGTGATCCTCCCACCTTAGCTGGGATCCTCCCCCAAATAGCTGGGATTACAGGCGCATGCCACCATGCCCGGCTAATTTTTGTGTTTTTAGTAAAGACGGGGTTTCACCATGTTGGCCAGGCTGGTCTTGAACTCTTGACCTCAAGTGATCCACCTGCCTCAGCCTCCCAAAGTGCTGGGATTACAGGTGTGAGCCACCGGGCCCAGCCTGGGGTCACATTTTAGTTTTGATCTACTCAGAGTCATTTTTCTTCCCTTAATTTTAAAGTGACCGGATCATTGCTGATCCTAGTCCCCATTTACCCTTCACCTAACCCGGACTCTGGTGAGGATCAGACCAAAAGTCGCCTCCATGCTTCATGCCTGCAGCTGAAGAGAGGCTTTGTGCAGGCAGCCATGGGGTGGGGCCCTACGACAGGGGCTGCCCTCTCACGTCTCACCTTGCAGTGTCTGCCCAGGTGTCTTGAGGTCCTGCAGCTGCTGGCCTTGCCTCCGTGTGTCCACCTCTGATTTAACAGCTCACCTCGGAACTCATTTTCTGAGGGTTTAAAAAGGTTCAAGGTCAGAAAAGGAAAGCTTGGTGGGTGCCAGCCGTGCTGGCTCAAGGGGAGAAAGTGAGAAACTTGAGGCACTTTTTTAACATCATATATTCAATGCCTATTTCCTGGAATCCACCGGAGAAACAGACAAGGTCATGGCTCCATGGCTGCTTCAGGAACAAGAGACAATTTCTCTCTGACTTGGGGCCTCCCTGGAGTCTTCCTGCAGTCCCCTGCACTGTTGTCCCAGCTCTAGGTGTTGGTTCCCACTGACAACCACGGCCAGCAGAGTGCTGGGACAAGGCAGCTGAGAGCCACCTTGAGAAAACTTGGCATGTCACCCCTCCAACTTTGAAAATGAGCTGACTAATGAGTAATTATTCGCATTACAACCAGATCCTTCTGCCCCTCAAAAGAATGCACAGTACATATGCATTTGAAAAAGAAGATTGTTTTGCACGACTTCTCTGGAGCCCATTGATTGAAGAAAGTGAGATCCACCCATGGTCTCAAATCAGCTTTGCCTCCCGCAGGATCCCGGGGGCCCCAGCATGCTCTTTGCCCTGGTTTCCAGCATCTTTTGTCACCCTGTGTTTCTGCCTCTCTCCAGGGCAATGCCTCCAGTTAATATTTAATTCCTCACATAAATTCCCATGTCTGAGCAGAGGCTGAACGCATCAGCTGGACATGACAAAGAAACGCATTGTGTACCTATTCCCTGCACGTCACTCCCCGTTTCCATGACAACCTGCTTTCTACATAACTGCAGCATTTCAAAGGAAGGTCATTAAGTAACCAACAATGAAACAGGAAATGAATATTCTCGTGTTGGGCCCTGGCTTTGCCTTGGAAGTGAGTTTGGATTCTGCCGAAGGCACGCTATTCCCACCCACTTTCTTTCTTTTCCTCGTGTTTTTGATGTGCATCCCCAAATGCAATTCTTCTCTAGGGTTCTGGCCACTCCTGGCCCCAGGCAGCCCTGTGCCTCTGGCCACAGCACCCTCTTCTTATCTGGAAATGCTTCCATCCCATTAAAGGGCTTCGGATTACCTTCCAGAGCATAAACACAGAGGAAAGCAGATTTGGTAGTCAAGGAGACAGCCTAATACGAGGTCTACAGAGGAACGAATAAAACCACTCAGATTCGGCACCTACTGTGTGCACCTACTCTGTGCCTCCCCTCATTGAGCTGTAAGTCACCCGCAGGCCGTCGCTGAGATGACAGGGCTCCCACCGCAGGCTCCGGTGCCTGGACTAGTGAGGAGGGAGCTGCGGGAGCTTCCCTATCACCCAAGATCTCTAGGCCTCCTGGGTTCCCATCTGCCACTGGTCATCTGCACTGAGCCGGTGTGAGCGGCCTCTAACTGGGGCCCACCTGCCCACCAGGTAATCCAATTCTCAACTCTGTGACAGGGATGTGGGGTATAGGGAGGAAAAGCATATTGGAAGATTCCGTAAGTGAATCGACAAGAATCGTATCAGCCGGGGAGTGTGCTTCACACTTTGAAGATGGGGCGTGGGGTCCTCTGTGTGTCTCTTTTCTTATGTGTCAACAGAAGCTGAGAGACAAGGCCCCAAAGTGCACAGGGTTCACTTTCTGAGTATCTATCCCAGGAGACAAGATGCTGCAGAAACCTGCTCACTGGGCTGATTGGCAAGGCTCAAGCAGAATTCCTTGTTACCATTACATATGTATATATGCAAGACAACTGGGGCATGTCTGGCTGACAGCTGGAGGGAAGGACATAAGGTCTGTGTGCTCCAGAGGAGACGCTGCCTCTCCCGAGTGCGACTCCCCTGAGTTCTGCGCTGAGTCTCTCCTGCTTCTCAGAGAAGTCATGTGGACATGAACTGCAAGAGTCTCTGCAAAGGGACCTCCAGTTTTGTTTGGTGGGAGATAACCAGCTCACTGGGGCTTCTCCACCCACACCCACCCATGGGAGTCTGGAAATACAGCCCTGTGGAATTCTTCGTTGCCCACATCCCTTACACTCCTGTCCCTAGGTCAGTCAGCCCTGGGCTCTGAAGTCCTGAGGCCCTGAGGCCCCACATCTGCTCAGGCAGAGCACTAGCATCCCGGGGATCAACTGCTCCTCCAAAGAGCCACTCCTGCCTCCCTGAGGCAGCAAAGCCGCTGAGCTTCTCTGGGCAAAAGAGCAGAATGGCACCCGGTGAAACCTGTGCACCATACCCCTGGGTACAGAGCACACAAGTAACCACAAACCCCCAAGCGTAGACCCTCCTTTACAAGGGCCTGAGGACCCGGCTCAACCTTGACATGATAGCCTCCCTCTCCTAGGAAATGTCTTGGCAGCAAACGGCTATCACTACTAGAAGCCCAGTAAGGTATGCCAGTTCTTCTCCTGTGGCCCTCTTGGTCCCCTACTGGGGCCTGTGTATGGCCAAACCCTGCCCCATGGGCTCAGTAGGCTCCACCCCAGACAAAGCTCTCCTGTCTGTAGGCTCTGCTCAATCAGCATCTCTAGCAGCACATTAAGTCCCCATGCACCCAAACAACATGCCGGGGCCACGTGCCACAGGAAAACTCTCCACGGAAACGTGGATGCCGGGGCCACAGGCTACAGGAAAAGTCTCCACGGAAACGTGGATGCCGGGGCCACGTGCCACAGGAAAACTCTCCACAGAAACGTGGATGCCGGGGCCACGTGCCACAGGAAAACTCTCCACGGAAACGTGGATGCCGGGGCCACAGGCTACAGGAAAACTCTCCACGGAAACGTGGATGCCGGAGCCACGTGCTACAGGAAAACTCTCCACGGAAACATGGATGCCGGGGCCACAGGCTACAGGAAAAGTCTCCATGGAAACGTGGATGCCGGGGCCACGGGCTACAGGAAAAGTCTCCACGGAAACGTGGATGCCGGGGCCATGGGCTACAGGAAAACTCTCCACGGAAACGTGGATGCCGGGGCCACGTGCCACAGGAAAACTCTCCACGGAAACATGGATGCCGGGGCCACGGGCTACAGGAAAAGTCTCCACGGAAACGTGGATGCCGGGGCCACGGGCTACAGGAAATCTCTCCACGGAAACGTGGATGCCGGGGCCACAGGCTACAGGAAAACTCTCCACGGAAACGTGGATGCCGGAGCCACGTGCTACAGGAAAACTCTCCACGGAAACATGGATGCCGGGGCCACGGGCTACAGGAAAAGTCTCCACGGAAACGTGGATGCCGGAGCCACGTGCTACAGGAAACTCTCCACGGAAACGTGGATGCCGGGGCCACAGGCTACAGGAAAAGTCTCCACGGAAACGTGGATGCCGGGGCCACGGGCTACAGGAAATCTCTCCACGGAAACGTGGAGGTGTTCCATAAAGACGCCCTTCCAGAAGTCATGCTGCTCCATGGACACTCTGTGGTGGGAACAAGGGTCCCCAAAGCTCACACAGGGCACTGCCACCAACTCAGACCTGAGCAGCAGGTCACTACCCTCTCTGAGACTTAAGTCCTTCACCCACAAAGTGGGAGGGGAAGAATTATTTGGAGATGGAGAGACATGTGTGGACGGAGCCTGGAAGTGAACCCATGAGGACGTCAGTGCTGTTGTCATCACCATGGCCTTTCTTGTCAGGAATCTGAAGTGAAGTGGAGGTTTTCATCCAGACGAGCCTGTTCTCTTGGGTTATTGAGTTTCTAGTGAGTTAATCTGAATCCCTGCTCGTGGATGCGAATGGGAAACGGAACATCAGAGACCGCTCCATCCTGAGCACGTCTCCTGGAAAACAAGCCTCTCGGGATCAGCTCCCGGCACCCAGAGGGCGGCGCTGGCTGGGACCCCTCTCTAGGGACCCGGCATCTTTGCACCTGGAGTCCTGCCTGCTCAAGGTAACCCCCACATCTGTCCCCATGGTGGCCCCACACTCACTTTTATGGGGCTCTTGTGGGCAGAAAAACTCAGGAAACAAACAGGGCCTCCTCAGCTGAGATTGATGCACAAAGGTCCAGAGGAGAGGGAACCACCCCTCACTGGCCAGAGACTCCAACACAGGCCAGGGAGATGTGCAGTGCTGAGCTGTAGCCCCCCGTCTGTCTTCTCCTAATGAAGCCCTCTTTTTCCAACTCAGCAGCACTGCAAACTGGAGACCAGCCTGACCCAGGCCCCAGACAGGACGCTTCCACTGAGAGCCAGTGCTCTGCTGGGCTCTTCCCAGGAAGTGCTGCTGGCCTACCCCAAGGTTTCCTTCTGTCGTCATGGCAAGGAGAGCCCCCTTGTCCCAGAGCTAACACCCCAGCTGCCGGCTGACCCACTGCCAGCACACACTTCCTCCTTGCACTGGCACTGTGGCCACTCCACGCACAACCCCATGGGGGACCCCCTGCGGGCGACCGTGGCTGTTTTCATGCTGGCTCGGTAGCCTGGAATCTGGCCTGAGCCCACCTGCCCCCATGGTGCATCCCCTGGGCCTCCGGATGGGAGTCCCTGTGGCAGTTAGCTCTGATCCACTCCAGCCCTGGCAACCTGACCCCCTTCCACTGTGTAAAACCTCCCCACTCTGAAAACAAGAACAAAATAACAGGAAGACTGAGTGAGAGGCCAGGTGGTAAGTGTGGAAAGCCACATGTTTTCAGTCTTCACTAGGTTTTGCATCTCTGGTAACTAGGGCTGCCTTTGGGGCCAGGAGCTGTTACCACCTGCCCCTCAGCAAAGAGGGGAAGGGTAGTCACTTGAGAGGAGCCCACACCTCCATTCTCCCATGCACCCCCTCAGCCCTCCTCCGTCTCCAGCACAGGAGATGGGGTCTTGCCTCCCTGCTGAGCCAGCTTGTCCATCTGGACTTTATACCCACCTCCTTCCCACTGTCAATGAAAGTTCCCAGGAATATCAACTCTTCCCTCCATTCTTCTGGAATATTGAACTACTCTTCCCAACTCTTCAACTGGCTTGAGGCATCCATGTTTAAAAACACAGTCTCTTTGGACCTCACGCCCCTGCCCAGCCCCCTCTCCATCTCCTCCTGCTTCATAACTACGCTTCACTCCCCACCACAGTTGGCCTCCACCCACATCCCTCTACTGGAACAACAGGCGGCTTCATGTTCACAGGGCACGTGAGGGCCCACTAGACATCACTGCGGTGCGTGTCTGTTCACCCCCTTCTGTGGCAAACACTCGCCCCTGACCTTGTCGGTCACCTGTACAGGCTCCTCCTGGCCACCCGGCCACCCCATGTCAGATGGCTTCTCCTTTTTGCTTCCTCGCTGCCCACAATATCTGCTTCTTACGTGACGTGGGGTTTTCCTCTTCCCCTCTTCAGTCATCAGCTCCTCAAGCCAGAACCCTGAGGGTCATCCTTGGCCCCAAATCCTGCCAATGTTATTTTCTAAATCTCACCAGAATCTGACCATTTCTGACCTCTCTGGCTGTGTTGTTTTGTTCTGTTTGCAAAAACTGACAAACTCATTCTAAAAATTTGTATGGCAATTCAAGGAATATAGACTAGTCAAAACAATTCTGAAAAAGAGCAAAGTTGGACGACACACTTCTCAGTTTCCAAACTTACTACAAAGCTGCAGTAATCAAGGCAATGTGTTACTAGCATCAGGACGGGCATATGGATAAGTGGGACATAATTGAGAGTCCAGAAGTAACCCCCTCTATTAATGATCAATTGATTTTTGACAATGGCACAAAAACAATTTAATGGGAAAAAAACTGTCTTTTCAACAAACGTGCCAGGACAACTAGATATCAAAAAAAAAAATGAAGTTGGACCTCTCTCAAAAATTAGCTCGCACTGGATCACATATGTAAATGTAAGAACCAAAACTCCTAGAAAACACCGCGGTAAATCTTTCCGACTCTGGGTTCAGCAATGGTTTCTTAGCTATGACAACAACACTACAAGCCATTAAAGAAAAAAAGTAATATATTGGACTTCAACAAGGTTTAAAACTTTCGGAGTTAAAATAACACTGTCGGCCGGGAGCAGTGGCTCACGGCTGTAATCCCAACACTTTGGGAGACTGAGGCAAGCAGATCACTTGAGGTCAGGGGTTCGAGACCAGCCTGGCCAGCATGGTGAAGCCCCGTCTCTACTGAAAATACAAAATTAGCTGGGTATGGCGGTGCGTGTCTGTAATCCCAGCTACTTAGGAGGCTGAGGCAGGAGAATCACTTGAACCTGGGAGGTGGAGGTTGCAGTGAGCCAAGATCATGCGACTGCACTCTAGCCTGCGTGACAGAGCAAGACTCTGTCTCAAAAATAAATAAATGAATAACACTATCAATATGGTGAAAAGACAACCCAAAGACTGGGAGAAAATATTTGCAAATCGTAAATCTGATAAAGAGCTTGTATTTGGAAAAAAGAACTCTCATAACTCATAATAAGACAAATAACCCAATTTTAGAATGAGCAGAGGACTTGAACAGACATTTCTCCAAAGATAACACGGGAATGGCCAATAAGCACATGAAGAGATGCCCAACAGCTAGTAATCCAGGAAATGCAAATCAAAACCACACTCAGATACCATTGCACTAAAATGGCTGTAATGTTAAAGATAAACAGATAGTAACAAGTGTTGGCAAGAACCCTCATAGAATGCTGATGCGAATGTAAAATAGCACAATCACTTGGAAAATGGCATGGCAGTTACTCAAAATGTTCAACATAGAGTTACATGACTCAGGAATTCCACTCTAGATATTTGCCCAAGAGAAATAAAAACATATGTCACATAAAGGCTTGTACACAACTATTCATAGCAGCTTTATTCATACTAGCCAAAAAGTGGAAAAACCCAAATGTCCATCAACTGCTGAATGGGTGATACGAAATACAGTGGCACAGTCTTTGGCAATAAAAAGGAATGAAGTTGCTTATACATGCAACAATGTGGGTGAATCTCAAAAACTTCGTGTTCAGTGAAAGAGGCCAGGGACAAAAGACCACATATTGAACAATTCCATATTTGTGAAATGGCCAGAACAGGCAAATTCGTAGAGATAGAAAGTAGATTCGTGGTTGCCTAGGACTGGTGGAGGAGAAAATGGAGAACGACTGTGAACGGGCATGGGGTTTCTTTCTGGGGTGATCAAAACGGTCTAAACTTGGGCTGTGGTGATAGATGTACAACCCTACACGTACGCTAAAACCACTGAATTGTATATTTTTAATAGGTGAATTCTGTGATGTGCACATTACATTCCAATAACGCTGTTTTTAAACAGTGGCATGTGGATGGTCAGTGAGACACTCTGGGGACTCTTGCCTAGGGCAGGAGGTCCCAGCAAGTCCCCTTTGGTTCTCCAGACTGGGTTCTGTGAGCCTGTGTCCTGGGCCAGCCTCTGGACCGCTGCGCCTCAACCCCAAACTGGACCACCTTGATGCCTATCACTCCCTGCTCCTGGAGGCCAGGGAGGGCTGGGTCCAGGGATACAACAGGAGGATGGGTCATGCGAGTGACACGAGACAGGCCACGGAGGTCAGAGTGAGAGCTCTTGGGTCCACTTCACCCTCCCACTCCCCAGAGCAGTTAGAGCTGTACTCATTCAACAGGGCCAAAGGAAGGCGACCTGCCTCTGCACAGCCAGGAGGCATCGGGACCCAGAACGGCCCAAGCTCACCTCCCACCTCGGCCAGTGCTATGTCAGGATGTGTCCACAGCTATCCATGCAGCTGAGCCGATGGCCAGGGCCAATCCCACCTGGTAGCTAACCCAGCAGCAACAGCCCCCCATTCTGCCTGTGCGTGCGTATTGGCTGGGCCTGCCACGCCCTGGGACACCGTGGCTGCTCCAGCCGCCACTTCCCTGGAGAGGGCAGGCCTTCTTAGCTTTCATCATACCTCATGCAGAGTGAAACTGAAAAGCTGGGCCCAGGGTTGAGTATAAACTTACATCTTGCCATTCGAAAGGAAAAAAAACAAAAAACAAAAAACTTTTTTCCTGCTTCTCCTCTCAATCCCTCATTTATCCCCTTCTTGCTGCTACTTGGGTTTAAATCAGAGCCTGGCAAGGCAGCAAGAAAACGGTTAGAATAAAAATTTAGAAACAATTTAAGGCCCACACGAAACCAGTCACAGGTCACAGTAGACTCCTGGGGGACCACAGCCCAGGATTCCTCCCTCTAGTCCCAAAGAGCCTCTGACACCCAAGGGGACACCCCTGAGGTCCAGGCTACACCCCCAGACATAGGAAGGTAAGGCCCTAGGAGGCAAACAGACTCACATCCATGTCACATGGCTCCTGGAGGAGGCAGCAGAAATACTAGGTCCAGCATCTGCCTCTCAAAGTTCAAAGCGAGGTCCCCACCGCAGTCTGAGAACTGCCAGGGTGCTCAATAATGGCTGTTCCTGGGACCTTTCCTGGCCTGTGGGAGGAACCTGCACTGGATGAGCAAATGAGTGTTTCAGGAGGCTCCTTCAGGCTCCCTCGACTAACAGTGTGGGCAGCGGTTAGAGCAGGAACAAGGACAAACCAGGAGGCAGGACACAGACTCTCCAGACGCATGTGGACAGGGCAGATATGGCCCAGCCCAGACAGTGACAGGAGGACTTGTTTGGGAAGGCTTAATACCATTGTGTCCATCCTCCCCAACTTGGAAATAAATTGTAAAACCAAAATGAAAAATTCAACAGAAGACTTGGGAGATAGAGTCAAAGAAATATACTAGGAAAGTGAACAAAAGGACGAAGAGATAGCAGAGACGGAGGAAACGCTGAGTGAGGACTGACACCCGATTTGGGAGTTCCAGAAAGAGAGAATTAAGAAAATGGGAAGGAAAAGTGTAAGTTAAATAATAAAAAAAATTTTCCGAGAACTAAAGGAAATTATATTTTTAGATTAAAAAGCCCATTAAGTGCCCATAATCGTGAATAAAAAGAGACCCACATCCAACCAAGCCCGGCACTATAAAATTTTAAAACACCAGGAATAGAAAAAAGACCCTAAAAGCTTTTGAAGTGGGAAAAAGTCACAAACAAAACCGATAACTAGAATAGGATCACATTGCTCCAGAGCAGCATTCACAGACAGTAGAGAAAGCCTCTTCCCAATTTCAAGGGAGTTGACATTCAACTTCAGGGCATGTCCTCTATGCCCAGGCAAAACACTGATCACAGGAAGTAGAAGAATAAAAAAATCCAGATATGCACAGCCTCAAAAACTGAGCATTGAACCGCGAGTAAGGGAAGCGAGGGCAGGGAGGTGCATGTGGCAGGGGTGGTGATCACTGTCTACAAGAAAAACAAACCACAAAATCTTGTATGAGACATAACACTGGTAAACTGTTTGGTCCACCAGCGAAACACTGAAGATAAAGAAAGATAACGCTCAACGCTACAAAGGAAGCTAGCTGGTCACTGTGAGCACAAGTGTCCGAAAAGGTCCAGTTCTGGAGCCACAGGGAGGCCAATCAGCCCATTATACTTGGATTGTCCTGGCCCACACCCTGTGAACCCCAAAGTCCTGGGCAACTGGCCAGTGAGGCTCCCCAGCACCAGAGCCCTTGCAGGGGAGAAGGTGTCCCCACCAAGGCCTAGAACAGAGGGTGGGGCTGTCCTGTGGCGACCCAGAGGTTGGCCTGCAGAGAGGGGCTCAGCAAGGGGTCAGCACTTGTGTGGAGTAAGGAGGGTGCTGGTATGGGGAAAGAGGTGGATCAAAGAAGTAAACACATTAAAGATAATGGAAACCAGCTTTCTCACTGTTGGAAGAGGACGTTATGCCTACGGAAAGGCAGAACCTTAGAATGAACCCTGTGTGGGAATTGGAATCAGAGGTTATCAATATGAACTTGTGTTTTTCAATAAACATCGATAGATGGAGAAGTAAATACAGACCTAGGTGAAAAAGGGTGTGTGTGTGGCGTGTGTCTGTAACTGTGTGTGTGTAGCATGTGTGTATAACTGTATAGAGCATGCATGTAACTGTGTAGCATGTAACTGTGTGTAGCGTGTGTGTAGCATGTATAACTGTGTGTAGCGTGTGTGTAGCATGTACCTGTGTGTAGCATGTGTGTGTAACTGCGTGTGGTGTGTAACTGTGTGTGACTGTGTGGCATGTAACTGCATGTAGCATGTGTGTAGCGTGTGTGGCGTATGTGTGTAACTGTGTGTAGCATGTGAGTGTGTAACTGTGTGCAAATGTGTAACTGTGTGTGTAGCATGTGTGTATAACTGTATAGAGCATGCATGTAACTGTGTAGCGTGTGTGTAACTGTGTGTAGCCTGTGTGTAGTATGTGTGTGTAACTGTGTGTGTGTAGCATTGTGTAACTGTGTGTAGCATGTGAGTATGTGTGTGTACACACATACGTCTTCCCAGCCATGTCCACTAGAGGCCCAACACCCAGGTCTCAGGCTAACACCATTTTCTAATAAAAGGAACCAGAGTTCCAGGCCCCAAGCAGGAAAGGCAAGAACAAGAAAGGACAGGGGAGCTGGACCGAGGCTGCAGGAGCCTCTGTACTGGGCTTCCACTGGTCAATCAGGGACAATCTGAGCATCCAAAGAAGGCTTTCAGCCCATGGGGTAAAACAGGAAACAACGAGTCTATAGAGATATCCATCAAAGTTAAGTGATGGTTTGTTGAGGATGGAGATATTTCCATAGTTTCAAAGTACCTTCCCCCCAAATATTTATTAATTGCAAAGGGAAAATGACTGGCATTTCCCTCTGGCATAGAGGTGCTGGGATGCCCCATCTAATCCAGTGACCAAGTCAACATTATGAGTTAAGGGACAAATCAGCATCAGGTGAAGGGAGAACCTCCCACTCAGGTGTTCCTGCATCACGGGCAACACTGGACAAACCCACGTTGAAGGGCATCCCACCGAATAACGGCTCAGTGCTCCCACGTTGAAGGGCATCCCACCGAATAATGGCTCAGTGCTCCCACGTTGAAGGGTATCTCACCGAATAACGGCTCAGTGCTCCCACGTTGAAGGGTATCCCACTGAATAACAGCTCAGTGCTCCCACCTTGAAGGGTATCTCACCAAATAACGGCTCAGTGCTCCCACGTTGAAGGGTATCCCACTGAATAACGGCTCAGTGCTCCCACCTTGAAGGGTATCTCACCGAATAACGGCTCAGTGCTCCCACGTTGAAGGGTATCTCACCGAATAACGGCTCAGTGCTCCCACGTTGAAGGGTATCCCACTGAATAACGGCTCAGTGCTCCCACGTTGAAGGGCATCCCACTGAATAACGGCTTAGTGCTCCCACGTTGAAGGGTATCCCACCGAATAACGGCTCAGTGCTCCCACGTTGAAGGGCATCCCACCAAATAACGGCTCAGTGCTCCCACGTTGAAGGGCATCCCACCGAATAACGGCTCAGTGCTCCCACGTTGAAGGGTATCTCACCGAATAACGGCTCAGTGCTCCCACGTTGAAGGGTATCCCACCGAATAACGGCTCAGTGCTCCCACGTTGAAGGGCATCCCACCGAATAACGGCTCAGTGCTCCCACGTTGAAGGGTATCTCACCGAATAACGGCTCAGTGCTGCCACGTTGAAGGGTATCCCACCGAATAACGGCTCAGTGCTCCCACGTTGAAGGGTATCCCACCGAATAACGGCTCAGTGCTCCCACGTTGAAGGGTATCCCACTGAATAACGGCTCAGCGCTCTTCCAAAAGCACAAGGTCACGAAAGGCGAGGAGTGCTAAAAACGACTTCAGACGAACGAGACACCAGGACCACGCACAGCACGTGGTTCTGAACCCACCCCTGAATGGGTCTGAGGACCAGATGGCCGAGAAGGTGAGGGTGGAGCAGTGGGAGAGCGGCCTCTCTGCTGGAAACACCCATGCAAGTGTCCTTGGTGATGGCATCGCATCAGCAACACGCTCTCAAACGCTCAGGAGAAACAGCTTGGCCCTTTACTTGAAACGTTTCTGTGGCTTTGAGATTGTTTCAAAATGTATTTTTGAAAATAATGAGGATGGGGGACTGTGATTTAAGTAACCAGTGGTCAGTGGAGGCCTCTGTGAAGAGAGAAGCTGGGACCAAGGAGGATCCTGAGGTGCCTCCTCCGGGCAGGACGCTCCACCTCCCTCTGTCCCAGGACTGCTCCTGGAAGACCCTGAAGTCCATGATGTGCTCAGCCAAGTCTGCTTCCAAAGCTGGCTGGGCAGGTGCCGGCCCCAGCCCCACCCAGGGTTTCTCTCAGGGATGGCTGGCTTTGTTCCTGGGGGCATCCTGGAAAGCCCAGGGGACCAGGCACCTGAGAAAGTCTGACAAGCTTGGAAATTTCCATGAAGAAGGTGGAACCCATGCCCTAGAAACTGCGGGTCCCATGGGGCTGAGGGGAAGGTGGAACAGGACTCCCTCAGCCCACACAGGACCCCCCACATTTGCCCCTGCCCCCAGCCTTTCCCAGCAGCGGGTCCAAAACAGGCCCACTAGCTCCGGAGAGGGGTACCCTCTTGTCCCTGCCCTGGAGAGGGGTGCCCTCTTGTCCCCGCCCCCGGAGAGGGGTGCCCTCATGTCCCCACCCCTGGAGAGGGGTGCCCTCTTGTCCCCACCCTGGAGAGGGGTGCCCTCTTGTCCCCGCCCCGAGGGCCTCTTCCTCTCCACACCCTGGGGGGCCACAGTCACAGGGGCTTCTGCTCCGGGGTTTGGGGCATCTGGAGGAAACACTGGCAGGAAACACAAATGGGACCGAGGGGAAAATGAGGGCAAGTTTTGCTCTTTTTCTTTCCTTTTTTTTTTTCCTCTCTGGAATCCAGAGAGAAGTAAAATGAAGACTTGCTGAGTGGCGCAAAGGCAGACCAGCTTTTGCTGAGTTTAGGTGAAAATGAGAGAAGGGAGAGGTGGGGGCAGGGAGTTGGCAATTCTATAGCTTTGCACATTTCTCTCATTATTTTGCTTCTAAATCAGCCTCGCTGGTACTTTCTCTATTCAATAAAAGCCAAATGCAAGCCATGTCCTCTAATCTCTCCAACAGCAGCTCACTGCTGAGAAAATAATACAGATGTAACTTCCAGCATCATACACTTTCTTTTCCATTTATATGCAAATAGTGACCTTTCACCCAGGCTGTCTCAAAGAAGTGTTTCCTTAAAAATGCAAATAGCATGTTGCAGGCAGTTACTGTGGCTGAGTCTTTCTTATATTATTATCATTATTTCTTTTAACCTTACCAACGCTGTAAAAACAACAGCTAAACTGCTCTGCAGTAATAATGACTTTCCAAACCAAATCACAGGACGGGCTCTCCAGGCGGCCTGTCATCCCCGGCTGCCAACAGGGGAGGAGTGTGCCCAGCCCAGGGCAGGCAGTGTGCTGGGAGGGACACCAATAGTGTCACATTCATCCCTCCCGGGGTGCCTGGGAGAGCAGTTCAGCCATGTGACCAGGCCTCACACCCAGGCCGGGTGCCCGGAACCCAGGCGGCACCAAGGAAACCACTCCACACTGCTCCACGCAGACACACACAGCTTTTCCTTCTGGGGCGAGAACATCCTCAGCTCCAAGTGGGGTTCAATGCTGTGACCCCAGTCCAGCACATTCGCCCCACACCCAGGACAAGGAACCCAGAGTGGGGACCTCCAGAAATAGGTGGCTCCCAAGAGGCTACCAGGGAGCAGGAAAGATGCTAGAAGAGGAGAAGCCAGGGAGGGGAAATGGACACAACTACAGGGAAAGATGCTGCAGGAGAAGCCAGGGAGGGGAAATGGACACAACTACAGGGAAAGATGCTGCAGGAGAAGCCAGGGAGGGGAAATGGACACAACTACAGGGAAAGATGCTGCAGGAGGAGAAGCCAGGGAGGGGGAATGGACACAACTACAGGGAAAGATGCTGCAGGAGGAGAAGCCAGGGAGGGGAAATGGACACAACTACAGGGAAAGATGCTGCAGGAGGAGACGCCAGGGAGGGGGAATGGACACAACTACAGGGAAAGATGCTACAGGAGAAGCCAGGGAGGGGAAATGGACACAACTACAGGGAAAGATGCTGCAGGAGAAGCCAGGGAGGGGAAATGGACACAACTACAGGGAAAGATGCTGCAGGAGGAGACGCCAGGGAGGGGGAATGGACACAACTACAGGGAAAGATGCTACAGGAGAAGCCAGGGAGGGGAAATGGACACAACTACAGGGAAAGATGCTGCAGGAGAAGCCAGGGAGGGGAAATGGACACAACTAGGAAAGATGCTGCAGGAGAAGCCAGGGAGGGGAAATGGACACAACTACAGGGAAAGATGCTACAGGAGAAGCCAGGGAGGGGAAATGGACACAACTACAGGGAAAGATGCTGCAGGAGAAGCCAGGGAGGGGAAATGGACACAACTACAGGGAAAGATGCTGCAGGAGAAGCCAGGGAGGGGAAATGGACACAACTAGGAAAGATGCTACAGGAGAAGCCAGGGAGGGGAAATGGACACAACTAGGAAAGATGCTACAGGAGAAGCCAGGGAGGGGGAATGGACACAACTACAGGGAAAGATGCTGCAGGAGGAGAAGCCAGGGAGGGGAAATGGACACAACTAGGAAAGATGCTACAGGAGAAGCCAGGGAGGGGAAATGGACACAACTACAGGGAAAGATGCTGCAGGAGGAGACGCCAGGGAGGGGAAATGGACACAACTACAGGGAAAGATGCTGCAGGAGGAGAAGTCAGGGAGGGGGAATGGACACAACTACAGGGAAAGATGCTACAGGAGAAGCCAGGGAGGGGAAATGGACACAACTACAGGGAAAGATGCTGCAGGAGAAGCCAGGGAGGGGAAATGGACACAACTAGGAAAGATGCTACAGGAGAAGCCAGGGAGGGGAAATGGACACAACTACAGGGAAAGATGCTGCAGGAGAAGCCAGGGAGGGGAAATGGACACAACTACAGGGAAAGATGCTGCAGGAGAAGCCAGGGAGGGGGAATGGACACAACTACAGGGAAAGATGCTGCAGGAGGAGACGCCAGGGAGGGGGAATGGACACAACTACAGGGAAAGATGCTACAGGAGAAGCCAGGGAGGGGAAATGGACACAACTACAGGGAAAGATGCTGCAGGAGAAGCCAGGGAGGGGAAATGGACACAACTACAGGGAAAGATGCTACAGGAGAAGCCAGGGAGGGGAAATGGACACAACTACAGGGAAAGATGCTGCAGGAGAAGCCAGGGAGGGGAAATGGACACAACTACAGGGAAAGATGCTGCAGGAGAAGCCAGGGAGGGGAAATGGACACAACTACAGGGAAAGATGCTACAGGAGAAGCCAGGGAGGGGAAATGGACACAACTACAGGGAAAGATGCTGCAGGAGAAGCCAGGGAGGGGAAATGGACACAACTACAGGGAAAGATGCTGCAGGAGAAGCCAGGGAGGGGAAATGGACACAACTAGGAAAGATGCTACAGGAGAAGCCAGGGAGGGGAAATGGACACAACTAGGAAAGATGCTACAGGAGAAGCCAGGGAGGGGGAATGGACACAACTACAGGGAAAGATGCTGCAGGAGGAGAAGCCAGGGAGGGGAAATGGACACAACTAGGAAAGATGCTACAGGAGAAGCCAGGGAGGGGAAATGGACACAACTACAGGGAAAGATGCTGCAGGAGGAGACGCCAGGGAGGGGAAATGGACACAACTACAGGGAAAGATGCTGCAGGAGGAGAAGTCAGGGAGGGGGAATGGACACAACTACAGGGAAAGATGCTACAGGAGAAGCCAGGGAGGGGAAATGGACACAACTACAGGGAAAGATGCTGCAGGAGAAGCCAGGGAGGGGAAATGGACACAACTACAGGGAAAGATGCTGCAGGAGAAGCCAGGGAGGGGAAATGGACACAACTACAGGGAAAGATGCTGCAGGAGAAGCCAGGGAGGGGAAATGGACACAACTAGGAAAGATGCTACAGGAGAAGCCAGGGAGGGGAAATGGACACAACTAGGAAAGATGCTACAGGAGAAGCCAGGGAGGGGGAATGGACACAACTACAGGGAAAGATGCTGCAGGAGGAGAAGCCAGGGAGGGGAAATGGACACAACTAGGAAAGATGCTACAGGAGAAGCCAGGGAGGGGAAATGGACACAACTACAGGGAAAGATGCTGCAGGAGAAGCCAGGGAGGGGAAATGGACACAACTAGGAAAGATGCTACAGGAGAAGCCAGGGAGGGGGAATGGACACAACTACAGGGAAAGATGCTACAGGAGAAGCCAGGGAGGGGAAATGGACACAACTACAGGGAAAGATGCTGCAGGAGAAGCCAGGGAGGGGAAATGGACACAACTACAGGGAAAGATGCTGCAGGAGAAGCCAGGGAGGGGAAATGGACACAACTACAGGGAAAGATGCTGCAGGAGAAGCCAGGGAGGGGAAATGGACACAACTACAGGGAAGGATGCTGCAGGAGGAGAAGTCAGGGAGGGGAAATGGACACAACTACAAGGAAAGATGCTGCAGGAGGAGAAGCCAGGGAGGGGAAATGGACACAACTACAAGGAAAGATGCTGCAGGAGGAGAAGTCAGGGAGGGGAAATGGACACAACTAGGAAAGATGCTGCAGGAGGAGAAGTCAGGGAGGGGAAATGGACACAACTAAAGGGAAGGATGCTGCAGGAGGAGAAGTCAGGGAGGGGAAATGGACACAACTAAAGGGAAGGATGCTGCAGGAGGAGAAGTCAGGGAGGGGAAATGGACACAACTACAGGCACTGGGGTATGGGCTCCCTCCTGCTCCCCTGACCATCTCTACTGACTAGGCCAGGCCACAGGCTGGGGAGAAGCCCACAAAAGACACCCACTCTATCAGCCGCACCTGTCCAACAGCCCACCTCTGTCTGTGACTGCTGCCTCCGAGGGCTGCTTGAGGCCTGACCCTCCCACGGTGCTCAGGAGGGGAGGGAAATTGGCCAGGCTGACCCATGGGCCTTGCCTCACTGGGCCACCATCAGAGACACTTTTTCCAATCAGGCACAACTGGACTCGCCTGCCTGAATCCTGGGGTATGGGAAGGGGTAGAACACAGAGAACACAAAGGCAATAAGAAGGGGCTGTGATGGAAACAGGCCTGGTCCAACAGGTATTCCAGATGCAAGATAAGAATTAAGAGGGTATGAGGCCAGGAATGGTGGCTCAAGCCTGTAATCCTAACACTTTGGGAGGCCGAGGTGGGTGGATCACTTGAGGGCAGGAGTTAAAGACCAGCCTGACCAACATGGTGAAACCCTGTCTCTACTAAAGATACAAAAATTAGCCAGGTGTGGTGGCACATGCAGGAGGCCGAGGCAGGAGAATTGCTGAACCCAGTAGGCGGAGGTTGCAGTGAGCCAAGATCACGCCACTGCACTCCAGCCTGGGCAACAGAGTGAGACTCCATCTTCAAAAAAAAAAAAAAAAAAAAAAAGAGGGTATGGCCAGAGCCAGCAGCACTGGGTTTGGGGGCGTCTTCCCCATGGATCTTTGGGAACTCCCCAGAAGACACGTCGGCTTCGCGGGATCAAGAGGTCCTGCTCTGGAATTCTGCTCCAGCATTTTCGTTCCTTGGTCCCAGAAATTTTTCTTAGAACCGTTCAGCTTTCCAGCCCAAAAAGAAAGGAAATGGCCATCTCCTTCTGCCTTAAAACCACATTTTACTGAGGCCTTGAAGACAAAATTCCACTAGGAGGGGCATCTCACATTCCCTTTAGGGTCAGGATGAGCCCACACGCTGGCTCATCCCCAGTTCAGAAGGGAGAGAGCTCGAGGGAAGATCCCCAGGCCTCAAAGCCCTTGGGGATTTTGGCTTTCACAACAGTTCTGTTTTCCTTCTCCAATCCCAGGCTCTCCAACTGCAGGACCCCTGCCCAAATCCCTGCTTGGGTAGGGTAAGCCCAGGCAGCTGCTCTCTGATGGGTCCAACTGCAGCCCTAGCTCCAGGGCTCAGAGCAGCCCCCTCTGCTGCTCTACAGGCTTAGAAAAATTGTGGGGGGCGGGGGGATGTGTATGGTAATTTCCCAGCCTGGATGGACAGTGGTCAGTACACGAGAGCCAACACAGAACACATTTGGGGAAAACACAAACGCTTTACCCACACCAGAGGTGGCCTGGCCTCTGGGTGACTGGGCAGGAAGTGGGTGGCCAGTAGGAGGGGCTGGCAGGGGGAGAGCTCACCAGGTCCAGGGTCCCAAGGCCATCAGAGGGCTCTCCAGGAAGAGGAATTGGACTCTAACTCTTATATTGAAGTGGGTTTGGGTTCCTCCAGATGCCAGAGGTGTAGGGGGTTAGGGTTTGGGTTCCTCCAGATGCCAGAGGTGTAGGGGGTTAGGGTTTGGGTTCCTCCAGATGCCAGAGGTTAGGGGTTAGGGTTTGGCTTCCTCCAGATGCCAGAGGTTAGGGGTTAGGGTTTGGGTTCCTCCAGATGCCAGAGGTGTAGGGAGTTAGGGTTTGGGTTCCTCCAGATGCCAGAGGTTAGGGGTTAGGGTTTGGGTTCCTCCAGATGCCAGAGGTGTAGGGAGTTAGGGTTTGGGTTCCTCCAGATGCCAGAGGTTAGGGGTTAGGGTTTGGGTTCCTCCAGATGCCAGAGGATAGGGGTCAGCCAAGGACAAAGGCTCAGACCCTGGGGATGAAGGGAGCTCCACATCCAGCAGCAGGTTCTGACTTAGAAGCCGCATGTGCGATTTGCAGCCAGACAAAGCCCAGGCCACCGGTGTGGGTGACACTCCACAGGGAAGAGGTGCAGGGCCCAGAGTCCTGGAACGGATTCCCCGAGACAGGCTCCAGGCAGCCTTCTAGGGATTGCTTCCCTGAATGCCATTCAGTAACAAATCCCTTTGTTTTCCCTATCTGGCTGATGCACCTAGGAAGCAGACTCCTTACAGGACTTACCGCTGGATGAGGGAAGGCAGCAAGCTTGCAGCACGTCATAACTCTTAAAAATTGGGTAAATTTGGCCGGGCACAGTGGCTCACACCTGTAATACCAGCACTTTGGGAGGCGGAGGCAGGCAGATCACCTGAGGTCAGGAGTTCAAGACCAGCCTCGCCAACATGGCAAAACCCCATCTCTGTTAAAAAAAAAAAAAATACAAAAATTAGCCAGACTTGGTGGCACGCATCTGCAGTCCCAGCTACTTGGGAGACTGAGGCAGACGGAATTGCTTGAACCCGGAGGCGGAGGTTGCAGCCAAGAAGGCGCCACTGCACTCCAGCCAGGCCAACAGAGCAAGACTCCGTCTCTCTCTCTCTCTCTCTCTCTCTCTCTCTCTCTCTCTCTCTCTCTCTCTATATATATATATATATATATATATATATATATATATGACCAATTTGTCTATCTGTGTCATGGGGAGAGAATGAATGCCTCACAGCCAACCCACTTTGACGCATCGGTGACATGGCTGGGTCACGGCTCACCGAGGCTAAGGTTGGGCACAGCCTTCGTGGAAATAAAATGAGGAAGCACAAAACTCTAAATAAGCCAGCCAAAACAAAATCAGACCACTTAAAAAAAAATGACTGTAAGAGGTACCTCTTTAATGTGCAGTAATAGTCTAACATTTTATCTAGGCGGACTTGATCTCAAATAACCAGAAGGCAGGGCTCAACCTCAAGAAGGAACAGAGTGGAGGAATAATTCAGAACTGCTCAACTGAGCATTTAAGTAGCTTTTCTTCCCAACACAAGTGTCCTTCCAACCTCAAAGCTAAAATGTGGATCCTTCCCTGGTCCAGACTTGCAGTGCCCCATTGGGTCCAGCAGCCCCTTGACTTGGGATGCTTTCCTCAGGCCCAGCAGCCCCCAGAGCTGGTTGCCTGCAGGCTCTCCCGGAAAGCAAGCAGGGATACCCATCAGTCTGATGCAATGTCACAGCAGAGACATTGCATCCCGAGAGCGGGATTTCAAATGTGAGACACGTGAGAGTAAAGGTAAGTAAAGGAGGGCCCGGGGTGGCATCTGTAAGAAGCCTTGAAAGAGAAGCAAAAATTCAGCTGCAGGAGATGAAGGGAGATAGGGAGGCATGTTTGGGAATCGTGGGTAACAACCCAGTTTGGGACGGAGAATAAGGTTGGAGGGTATGCTGGGGACAGGCTCTAGATATGTCCCAGGCTGTGAGGAAGAGACACGAGGGCAGTGAGGGTCATACTGTGGCCTGCGGGCAGCCTCCATGGCAGCCTGGGGCACTCGGCAGGAAGGCTGGGTGGGGCTGGGTGGGACTGTGAGGGAGGCTGTGCTGGAAAGATCTTAGATTCGAGCTACACCACTCACCTGGGAAGCTAATTTGCCTCCCAGCCTCAGTGTCCAGTACAGAACACGTTCATGAGAACTGAACAAGTTAGCACGGTCTCAACGATTAAAATAACAGCGTCAAACGTGTTTCTCTGCCCCTTACGACCTAAGTCAGATTTTTTGTTCCATTCGAAGATTAAGGCCCAGTCTCAATGAAAATAATGTTAACCATAGTAAGTCGTCCCAATTTCAAATCTCTGTTTTTCCCTAAACAAAACTTTGGTAAGGGCAGGGTGAGCACAATCCCACATGCTGACGAGCGACTGACAACCAAGTATTCAGTCAGCAGTAACTGGGAGGCTGCTCTGAACCATCCCCGGGCTCCCTGGGACGGCAGTTATCCTGGGAAACTCAGAGCCAAGAGGGAACTTGTCCCCCAGCTCTAAGTCTTGTAAAGAATGGGCAGCACCTTCAGTTAGGAGCCACTTTGGCTGCCCACAGAGCAGGACTGCTAAAGCCATTTGATTTTCAGAACCCAAAAACCCTGTAGGTGTAAAGACCCAAGCGCTTTGACAAGCTAGCTCAGCGAGGCGCACACCGGGATTGGGGACGCGCCTCGGGTCTGTGGCTCTGGCTCACTGGGAGGCCACCCCAGGCACCTGCTGCTGTCAGTTTGCGGTCCGAGAGTCTCAGGGACCTTCTAGGGCCTTCTAAAGCAGGCCTTGGTGCACCATGGAGCATCCAAACTCCCACTCTCCTCCCACTCAGGCAGGACAGGTCAGCCACTGGCAGCTCTGTGGGTCCCTGAGGGAGACATGGAGGGTCCCCCAGGACCAGGTGAGAGGCTCCAACCGCCTTGACCCAGGGCCCCCTCTTCTCACGCTCCTCCTCTGATGTGTGGATTGCAGGCAGCAAAATGGAAAAAAAGAAGAGGACCCAGATGGCTTCTGCCCCAGCCCTCAGACCAGTGTTGAACACGATGGAGGTGTGAAGCCAGGCGTGAGAGAGAGGTGGGGCCAGCAGGCTCATCTGTCAGCAGCTCAGGCCATATGGTGCCTCCACCTTTCCTCCCGAGCATCCAGATCCCCAGTGCTCACCCCCACCTTGCCTGGCCACCCTGACTCCTGCAGAGCGCTGCAGCCTACTTCCTGAGGACCATCCAACCTGCACCCTCCTGGCACAGGCCGTGCTCCCAGGCCACAGTCCCAAATAAACCCCAAGGCACAGGGAACATATCCAATCAACTCCAAGCAACCCCAGGGCAAACCACACACTCAGTTGCCAGAGCACAAAGTCACTCTCTTGAAGGTTGGGGCTGCTGAGTGGAGGCTTCCGGTGCTGCAGGACAAGGGGTGGCAGGAGGACCACAGACACCCACAGCTGTGTCGACATCCTCTCTCCTCTGCAAGGCCTGGACTCCAATCCTGGCCAAGGCAGATGTACTCAGCCAGGGCAGATTAAAGCACGCTGAGTTACTTTCGTTCCCGATTAAAATAACATTGCATTTTTAAGTGCAAATTGTAAAATAAAAAAAAGGATGAAGTGATGGGTGAAACCAATCTTCCCACAAGGAACGCTCCTAATGGCATTAACCCTGGGGAGAAAAGACTCCACACTTGTATCTGGTTAGTTCCAGTAACACTGAAGAGAAACAGGAAGACATTTTCAAACTACACTTTCCACTTGCAAGTATCCATTAATCTCTTCTCTCTGAAGCTGGCTCCGTGGAAGCCTGAGATCAAAAACATTTTAATTCCGGTGAAATTCCTCTTGCTCATTTTTGTTTTGAGTTTTTTAAAGTGATGTTTGGGGAAATTTGGTCTGAAAGACAGAAAAATGCCGGGAACCTCAAGAGGCCGTGAAAGCACATTCCACCCCCCAGGCCTCCAGCAGACACTCCGGGCTGGGCAGTGGGCTCCCCAGTGGGGCTGTCCTGGAGCGGGGATGGGTCCCGCAGTCCCCAAAGAGCAGGAAGCCCACGGGGGAGCAGCACGGCAGCCACTGCTCTCTTCCCTTCTGGGAAACACGGCGTTTCTCGGTCTGACTAATCTAATGATGCTGGTTCCCAAAGACCATTTTCCTGTAAACTCACACCACAACATTCCTGTTAAAATTACATCTGTAGACAACTAACTTCTGGTTTATTCATGAGGGAGTTCACACGGAAAATGCAGAGGGGGAGGATCTAAGATGAGGAAGATGGGAGAGAGGAAGAAAGAGAAGAGCCCCCCCAGCCCCTGCGGGCACCCTGCTCCACTCTCCCGCCCAGGTTCCTACAAGAGAACAGGCAACAAAAGAGGGGCTCTGAGATGTGTCTTCCAGCATTGGGACAGGCAGAGCATCCACTCTTCAAGATGCCTGAGTAACATGAAAGTCTGGCTGACCGTCCAGTACCCTGCCTGCTCGCAGATCAGGTGACCGCCAGCAGCCCCCACCCACCCCACAGCTAACCTCCTGACCCCTGTTCCACCAGCTGGGTCAGTTCTCTACCTCCTCATCTACTCCAGGCCCGGTGCTGACCAAAGTGTTCTGGTTGTTCCCGGTCTCATCCCCACCCTGAGCCCCGACAGAGGGACTGGGTGGACACAAGCCTTGCTCAGTCTTTTCCAAAGTAGACGCACCTTTTGCACTGAGTCCGTCCAGGAAGAGCTCAGCCCCCACCAGCCCGCCCACTGCCACCGAGCAGCGGCTGGAGGCCCCGGGTTTCTCTCTGGCACTTTGTCAGTCTTCAGGAACCTCTCCTGCTCTCTCTGCACAGTACTGGGTTGTGCAAACTGGCATTCCAAGCGGCCCAGACATCACCAGACTGAGCAGCACCAGGAAGACAGTTAGTCAGGCTCTGACCCCTGTCTCCCCAGTGCAGAGTGGTGTGGGTCTCCTCTACCCACCACACCACCACAAATGTCATTGTCTGCACATTCAGTGACCCCAGGCCAGAGAGGAAGGGAGTGAGTCTCTGAGCAGCACCAGGGAGAGCGCCCACCACATCCACAGCAGGGACAGGCCAAGCTCCAGCCACCATCCAGGCTGCCGTTGGTCAGCTGCCAGAGCTGCCCAGCATGCACCCCCGTGGCCGCATACCCTCTGCCAGCCTCTCCCTGACATCTCCGGCACTAACAGAGCTTCCAAGTAGAGGCTGCTGCAACCCCCAGACCAGAGCAACTTTGCATCCCACATGGCTAGAAGGGGTCATCTCAGAGAGTGTTTCCCCACTCATGCACCAGGGGCATTCAAGGGAGTAGGTGACCACTGCCTTTGCCAGAATCTTCCAAGAGGGGCCAGAGCATTAGCTCTGAACAACTGAGGCTACCTCCAGATCTGTGGGCAATGGCTGAGGGTCACAAAAACCCTCGAGTGGCACTTTGGACAGAAGCAGCCCCCCTGCCTCGGGTCTCTGAAGAGGGCTACCAGGCCCTCTTCAGGGATTCATGGCCCAAGGAGGTCAGAGCCGAGGCTGTTCCAGAGCAGAAAGGCCTCTTTGTCCAACTCTCTGTGGCTCCTGCTCAAGCTCCTGGATCAGCAAGTACCCCTGGGAAGTTCGGCAAACGTCCAGGTGCCCAGGGGGTCGGGGGGACCCTGTAGGAGTCTCAGTCTCTACGGGACAGAAGAATCCATAAGACTGCCTCCTTCTCTTTGAAAACAAACTGCCCTCTAAGCCCTGACCCAGCCTCCTCTGCACAAGGAACAGCTACCGAGGGAGACAGGGCAGGGTCCTGCCTCTACTGATAGCAGCACCCTGGCTGGTACCACAGGACTCCAATCCCTGCTCTCTTACTCTTTTGTTTACCGTTAATTAACAGGGCCATATGGAAGGAGGCGATAATCACAGCCAAGGACCAATGGGAGGGGAGCCCGGGGTGGCAGGGAGGCTGGGGGCCGAGGGGAGCCTCCCTCAGTCAGCCCTGTAGAGGATACAGCACCCCCACTCCCCAGGCCAGAGTGAGGCCAGGACAGGCTCTGCTGGCACCTCAGAGGAGACAGAGGCAGAGCATACCCCTCAGCACCGAGTGGGCCCCCCCAGGTCTGCCCCACATCCCTCCCACCTTTTGTGCACTCAGCCACTGGCGTTAGAGGTGTCCTCAGTTTTCTGTGATTTAAAAGAAAAAAAAAAACTGCAAGGGCAAAATTCTCCACCGACCTCTCCCAAAAGGATAATTATAATCATCGCTGCCATTATCATCATCGTGACAGAGTCCATGCCCAGGACCAAACCCACCTGCAGCCACGGAACCCCCCGCACCACCGCAAATGTTTGGTTTCCAAAATTAAACACCCAACTTTACCAGCCAATGGTGTCCACTGATTCAAAGGTGATGCTGAGACAAGCAAAGCCCTTGGTGACTCAGGAGGAGCAGTGAGAACCCACCACTCCAACACAAAGCCACCAGCACTTGTTTATTTTCCTGGTTTATAGAGAAGAAAGTGAATTCAATAGACAGAACCAAAGTCCACGGCCCCAGAACTACAGACAATGGCATTAGGGTGTTCAACTTCTTAGCTAACCCTGATTTTTAGTTTTAAATACAAAAATCCAGTTACACTACCACCATAAACAACCACACTCCACAGCTGCACGGACACGTAGCGAAAAAAGGGGCTGAGAGGAGCGGCCGATATTTACTTCTGCACATCTATCCCACAGACGCATGCACCCTAGATATTGATCCTTAAGTTGAGAAATGCATGACATGCAGACAAAACGTTCACGTGAGCACCTCTCCTCAGTACCTTGGGTGGGGGTCACACATGACACACCCCAGACTCTGAGACCCTGCTTCAGAGAGGTCTTCTGCTTAAGCGGCCAGTGCTCTCCCCAGGTACGGGGCTGCTGGGTCCCACGGCCACAGACATATCCGTTGTTCCTCTTCCAGAAATGCGCATAAAGTTTCTGGTTTTGATATGCGCTCCCCTTCCCCTAATGTCTCCTCTGTCAGACGCACAACATGTCCCCTGGAATCTCAGAGGAGCATGAACAACAGAGAGACAGGAGAAAAACAGCACACGGCAGGCCAGGGAGGAGAAGAAAGCCCCCGTCCTCCAGAGCAGTTTCAAAAAGCCATCCTCAGACCTGCTTTTCCTGCAAACAGAGCCTTCATCTTAGAAATTAACTCTGCCCGCGCGCCCTCTCCCTGTCTCTGTCCAAGAGGAAAAGCCAAGCGTTGGGTATCTGCCTTTGTCAGAAAGAACGTAACGTTGACTTACCTTTCCCCACAGCTATTGTCTGTCCTCTTTCAAAATGACATCACGGAAAGCAATCATGAAATTTACATGGGGGGTGCAGGGTGGACTGGGGGAGGAGAGGGAAGGCAGCTGCCTCCCGTACAGCGGTCACATGTGGGGAAGCCTGCGTGCGGGTTTCAATTAAATATCTTCTCCCCTTAGTGTGCGAACTCCTAAGCCAGCTAAAGGCGACGTCTCATTTACTTAATGACTGCTCTCATTAGCAGCGGTGGCACGGGCTGGCGGAGGAGGCTCCTTTGTAAATACGCTACCCATGAACCCTTGGGGCTCCAATATATCTGTTTACTCTCTGAGGTGAAATAAATTTACAGTATAGCATCAGAAAGATGGATCTGCTGAATTGGGGGTGAGAGGTGTCCCAGTCCGGTGGAGTCCTGTGTCCTGCTCTGAGCCTCGGCCAACAGAAGGTGCCTATGTTTGTCCACACTGATTCATACTCAATGTGCAGCATGATTGAGTTTTTTTAAAAAGCAAAACACACAAAAGGGCAGAGAGCATCACAACCACCACATTCACCCCCCTCTGCTTTCTCTGCCAGTGGTTCAGTCCAATAATTCCTAATAGCAGCAACCGGAATGACAGATGCCCCGGGTTAGCATGGCTACAGCGAAAGTACTTTACAATATTTATTGGTGGTGAGGAATATGATCTACCATCATAAAGAGCGGGCTGCAGAATTTATTACTCAAATGAACCAGGAATATTACATATCGGCTCATCTGCATATTCAAGTACCCCTGACTTAAATGGATATGTATTTTTTAACGGCATAAAAGGTAACTATAGCCACAGACCAAAAAATAGAGTCATGCACACAAAGAATAGATCAGGAAAAGACATTTTTCTGTTCTCACACTTTCCCTTTTCACTTTAATTTTTACAATAATAAAAACCTTCCCAAAGAGAACTCAGGGATTCCTGGGCATGGGAACCCCCCCACAAAAAGACTAAGTTTATTGCAACCAGAGCGAAGCACACTGCCCAAGTTTTCTGCTCTTTTCCTGATTCTTTTATAAACGGCCTGAAAGGAGCTATCCAGTGAAAATCAAGAAGAGAAAAATCCATAACACACACAATAGAAGTGCTCACCCACTCTCTATGCAGCCTGACTGTCTGCCTTCTCATCTGCCAGTTTGTGATATTTTCCCCCACATTCAGGGATAAAGTGGGAATTTCTTCAGTAAGAGAACTCAAGAGCCAGAGTATTCTTGTTTGCGGCCCAAATCTCCTTCTTGTACTGATAAATCAGGCAAACGATTGTCCATTATCATAATCAGGATGTTAGAAATGAAACTGTGAAACACAAGGGTGAAAACTCAATGTGAGACGCCTGCAAAGATGCCGCCGTCCAAGGGCAGCTGGAGAAGCAGAAAACTCACATCTCAGAAGTTCAGTGCAGAGATTTCAACAGACAGTAAACATCATTTCTTGGTAAATTATGCAAGAGCACAATACCCCAACTTAATTAGCGCTAAAGGGCTCGGGCCACCAAAAGTGTGACTGAGGCAGAACTGAACACAGCTTTCTCTAAGAGAGCATGTTTTGAAAATCTTAGTGGCTTATTTTTAACATACAGTTTGTGCTTTACACGTTACATACAAACCAAAAGCTTCACCCCAAAGGCAAGTATCTTAGATTCTTATACGCACACATTATCCTCAACAAATAAAACACAAAATGCACACAGAGCAATTGTTCAGATTGAGCACAAGGACATAAATGCAAGCCTGCACTGGTCAAACTGAGGATGAAATATTAATTAGTCAAATGAGAACAGTTCGAGGTTTCCACAATGACTGCCTACCATTTTTAATTTCTGTCATAAACTTATATCCATTAGTATAAAAGGACACATTCAGCTGAGAGCACTCCTGAAAAGCCGTTTCTGTCTCCTCTGGACATGCTGTGAGTGCTAGGATGTCTTACACCCCAAACCTTCGGCATTCAGAAATTCTATTAAACTCTTATCGGCAGGCTGCAGGCTCCGGGCAGGCTTGCGGGCCATTGTTCCATGATGAATACAGAATCAAAGGGAGGGCCGTTGCTGAATCAGCCTTATTTCCCAACGACACCCAAGGTTTCATGAAAGCGACTTAATTCAGATATGCAACAGTCACACCTAAGAAACCACAGCGAAGCGGAGGTGGCAGCAGGAGAGATGAACCTGCGCAACACGGGCTTCGTGGGGCACAACAGTTTTTTCAGGTAATAGAAATTGTATTTGTGAAAACGTAAGTCTTTCGGCATTTCTCACTTCCCCTTTTGAACAATCACAGGCCTCCTGAGGTGTGGCGCTCCGGGGGTCGGGAATGGGCCCCCAGACCCTCTGTGGCGCTGCCAGGAGGAGCATTCAGAATGTGCCTGGAAACTTGAAATCGGTGCCTGCTGGCAGGACCTAGGGCGCCCTGGGAGCTCCCACCGGGAGGTTAAAGTGCTATGAGCAGTTTCCGAAGATGAGCTTTGATGAGTAAAGGTTCGAAGTCTTTAGCTGACCCCGTCAAGACAAAGGAGTCCAGGGAAAAGAGCAGGACAGAAGAGCGGCCGCCGGCACGTCTCTCCGGTTCGGCTGCCGCCCTTCAGCCCCTGGGAGGCGGCCTGAGCGGTGGGTGGATCCGAAGTCTGATCAGCACTTCGGACAGCGCTCTCCCCCCAGAGCGCCTCAGTCTTTGTTCTCCGCACACGGAAGCTTCTGAGCTCGCACCAGTATTCAGCTATCGCTGAACTCTGGGCTCCGGGCTGAGACAGAGAATTCCAAACCCCAACAGATCCCTGCTTGTAAGTGACAACAGCAAGGTATAGTCTTAAGCTTCCTTTCTTAGAGAGGGTGAAAATTTGTCAGGACTTTTTGAAATCATAAAATATTTTCTCTTCCATAACTGAGCATGTTGCACGCTGTTCCTTTGGGTTTTATTTCATAAAAGTCTGTGGGAAAGTCACATGTGACTTTTTAATAATATGTTTGGAAAGATCCACCAGGAAATAACTCCTGTCTGACTGGCGGGTCCTCAGACTCCACACGGGGAGGGAAACGGGAGATTTGCAAAACCAAACTTACGCCGCAGCCGCACTCGCTGAGAAAGCGCTTTGTGTGAGTGGGGGAGCAGGCTTAATGATCGCTTAGCTGGTAAGATCATTTCAAATAAAGTGTAATTACTTGTGCAAATCTGCACACAGACATTCCAAGTGTCAGTTCATTTGCTTCATAAAAACTCTTTCAAGTAATTTTGGTCTAAACTTTCTGCATCTGTAATTGGCACCACCTTCTCCGGTGACCAGCTGGGGGTGAGGGTTTTCTTGTTTCCTTCTGAAAGCTTCCCCGCAGATGGGCGCCTGCCTTAATGCTGCAGACGACAATTAGGGCCGTTGTGTGAGGCCGAGATGGTGAGCATTAATATTGTATAGAACAGCTGAGGGCGGGGGTGCTGCCCCAGGCCGGCCCTGGCAGATGGAGCAAACAAAACCGGGATCCACTCTCCGCCACACTCGGGGCTGACTTTGTGTTTCTGTCTCACACTCACGCAGACGCTCACAAACATTTGGCATCCAGTTTGTGAGACCCTCACATACATATGCACACTCACACACGTGCACTCACACACACAGCAACTTTGAGTGTGATGAGGACGCAAGCAGCAGCGGCCCTGGCCAAAGCCCCTTAGCTACAGTTAAGTCCCAGGGGACATCTGTCGCGCGCACGCGCGCGCGCACACACATTCTCTCTGCCACCTTCTCACAGAGTCTCACAGAGCCTTGCTCCAGGCCAAGGGCTCCTGACACCCACCAGCTATATGGCCTGCCAGGCAGATCCAGGCAGGTAAATCAACAGAAAGAAGGCCCAGCTGGCCTCTGCACACACCCTGCCCACCGCCCTCCCACCTCCAACCTTCTGCAGGGCAGCGTTCACAGGGCTCTGTGCCGTCAGCACTTCTGCAAGCCACGGGATCCGCTAGAAGGGGAGGTGGCTGTTTCCCCAGGGGCCCTGGCCATTGTTCAGGAGGGAGCATGTCTGTCACCTCCTTGGCTGCCCAGAAAAGAGCACTGAGCTCTGAGGGGGGGACACACACAGCTAATTAGTCCCTTTGGCATCTTCGCAGAAACTTGTGAACAGACCAGGGAGGGACGCGAGGGGCTGGGGGTGGTACGCACCCAGGAAGGTCCCGCAGAGCGTCATCCTGGCCAGGGGGTGCACCTTCTCTCTGGGAACACACGTCACTTCATGCTGGAAAAAGTTGCTGCACAAACTTGTGTCCCAGGGCCCTGGGGAGACCCCACTGCATCCAGCCAATCAAGACCAGGGAGCAGATAATCACAAATTGATGCCCCGGCTGCCTGCCAATGAGGCTCTCTTCTCCACACAATGGGCTCAGGCCCCAGACAATCTCTCCCCCACCCCGCAGGGCCAGGGAAGGGGAGTGAGGGGAGGCAGAGACACAGCCCTTCCCACACAGTAATGGACTCACAGTGAGTGAGGGGAGGGGGCCCTTCCTGAAGATGCATCCCTTCCCCCGCTTCCTCTCTCGGAACTGCCACACTAGGTCCAGCCTGAAACCTGGTGGGGAACCAGCCAGGATGCATGAGTGGGGTCAGGTCTCGCTCCCTACAACCCAATCACTGCCTGTTGAGACAAGGCCCCTGAGGGCCCTCAGCTGGTGTGGTTGACTCCCCACCACCAGATCCCAGGCACAAGGTATGGTGGGAGGTGCCAGGGGGAGGCAAACTGTAGAAGTCAAGAATCCCTCGACAACCTCAGGCCCTGCAGGCAGAGGGTGGGGTGTGCAGGAAGGAAAGGGCAGGGAGAGAGGGCTGCCCAGAAGGACCTGGACCTTCCAGCAGCTACAGCCGCGCCAGGGCCAGGGAGGGGCAGGGTGTGTGGATGGGAGTGAAGGTGGGCACTGCAGAGGCCTCTTCCAGAATGATTCCTAGTCCCTCGAACTGGGCCCACGACCTTTCACTGCCCACAGGGGCCCTTTGAAACGATGAACTTGGCCTCACCATGGAGCCCGGCTGTCCTCTGGGCCAGCTTCCCCTGATGCCGAGGGAAGCTCCCATCACCCCAGGCAGCTCAGGGTCACCTCCTGGTCCTCAGGTTCTGCAGGTGTCTGTCCCTGCAGGGGACAGGTGGAGGCCCAGGTGATGCTGGCTTACCTCTACCAACACGTGGCCAAGTCCAGGCTAGTCTCTCCCATCCAGGGCAGCACTGAGGGGGAGGCCCGGAGTATGGAGGGTTCAAACCTTTGGAGGAGGCAGATCTGGACTGACCCCTGACCGGCCCCTCCCAGCTGGGTGACCAAGAGCAAAATGTTTAACATTTACATCTTCAGTGAGGTCTATGGTGAGTGCTACTGGGCGGCAATAGACGGTAAAGGGTGTCCCAAGAGAAGTGACGAATTGCATTCGAGTTGGGACACCCCCTCAGGAATGAATCGGGTTGCTGAGGGTCTGGATGTGGTAGGGACAGAGAGGCCACAGGAGACTCCAGGGCTGGCCAGAGCCATGAGGTGGGCGGCAGCACCCCCTGAGAGGGAGACGCTGAAGGAGGGCAGATTTGTGGGAGTTGCTGGCTCTGCTGGGATGTCTGAGCGCCTGTTAGTCACCAGGTGACACCGTCAACAAGGGTGACAGTATGGAGGCTGAGGCTGGGGGCAGAGATTAGGCTGGAAATAAATGGTGAGTCATCTTGTTTAGAGGAGAGAACATCGAGGGGTGAAGGTGCTCAGAGGCTGGTGAGCGTGCAGGAGAAGCAGGAGGAAGCAGGTGGGTGCAGGGGGGACAAGTGGGAGGCCAAGAGGGGCAGGTAGGGGTGGGGAGACAGGTGGGGCAGGTGGAGGTAGGAGGGGGGAGGGGGGACATGTGGGGGGCAAAAGAGGGGCAGGTTGGAGGCAGGGGAGACAGGTAGGACAGGTGGGGCCAGGAGGGGCATATGGCAGTGGTGAGACAGGTGGAGCAAGTAGGGGGAGGGGAGGGGATGGGGTCAGGAAGGTAGAAGAGGGGCGGGGTCAGGTGGGGCAGGTGGTGGCAGGGACCAGTGGGGCAGGTGGGGGACACAGACAGGTTGGGCAGGTGAGGACAGGGGCAGGTGGGGCAGGTGGGGACAGGGACAGGTGGGGCAGGTCGGGGAAAGGGGTAGGTGGGGCAGGTGGTGGCAGGGGCCAGTGGAGCAGGTGGGGGACACAGACAAGTGGGGCAGGTGGGGGACACAGACAAGTGGGGCAGGTGGAGCAGGTGGGGGACACAGGTGGGGCATGTGGGGCAGGTAGGGGAAAGGGGTAGGTGGGGCAGGTGGTGGCAGGGACCAGAGGGGCAGGTGGGGGACACAGACAGGTTGGGCAGGTGGGGACAGGGGCAGGTGGGACAGGTGAGGACAGGGGCAGGTGGGGCAGGTGGGGATGGGGCAGGTGGAGACAAAGACAGGTGGGGACAGGGACAGGTGGGATGGAGCAGGTGGGGCAGGTGAGGACAGGGGCAGGTGGGGGACAGGAACAGGTGAGGACATGAACAGGTGGGCAGGACAAGGATAGGCAGGGACAGGGGCAGGTGGGGGCAGGGGTAGGTGGGGCAGGTGAGGACAGGGACAAGTGGGGCAGGTAGGGACAGGAACAGGTGGGGACAGGGGCAGGTGGGGCAGGTTGGGCACAGGGATGGGTGGGGCAGGTGGGGCAGGTGGGGACAGGATGGGGACAGGGGCAGATGGGAAAGGTGGGGACAGGAGCAGGTGGGGACGGGGACAGGTGGGGCAGGTTGGGGACAGGGACAGGTGGGGACAGGGGCAGGTGGGGGCAGCTGGCCACAGCAGATGCTGTGTGGAAGAAGGGTTTTCCCCTGTGAGTTCTGCCTCTTCTCCTCGTCCACAAGGACGTCTGTGCTTAGGGGAAGTGACCTGGGGCAGATTGCCAAACCTTTCTGTGACTCAGTTTCCCGATCTATCAAATGAGGGCAACAGAAATGTCAGAAAGTGCCAGCAGGGGTTGGTGCTGATCCATCTGCCCGCCCATCACGGAGACACCCCTCGCAGTAGCCAGGGGGCTCCTCCCAACACCACAGCTATCAAATGCAGTTTGCAGTTCCAACTTGCTCCACCTGACTGGGACTCCCTACCCTTGGGGAAAATATGTTCTTCGGATGGAGTTAATTAAGACTGATTATTTAAAGGAACAATGGTGAGAAATCCAGGAAAAGCTTGTGCTGCTGCCTTTCGGTAGAACCAACCAGCCTGGTAATCCATCACGTGATGAAACGACTTGGACACGTTCAGAATCAGGAAAGACAGGGCCAGCGCTCCTCTCTGAAGTTCTGCTCGAGAAAGGCCCTCCAGCTCCCCCACCCCAACTCAACACGTGCTCAGGGGGCCAGCTCCAGGGGAACCTGGCCAGGCTGAGTCAGAACTCACCAGGTTGACCGTGGATGCATTAGGGTTTGAGGGGCATTTGCCATAGGCCATGCGGCCCAGCCTCACCCCACAGCCGGGAGAGTCCAGCCCCGTGTGTGGGATGCAGCTCTGGCTATTGAAGGTGGCAATACCTCAGCCTCCCTCAGGGCTGCGTGTAGCCACTGTACCTCCCTGCCCTCAACAGGAAGCCGGGCTGCAGCTGACCCAAGGGAAGCCGTCTGGACATCACCCACCATAGCTGGGTTCCCAGCACTCAGCGCCACCTGGGCTGACGTGATATGTCCGGACACATCCCGGGCTCCAGAGGTCACAGGCTGCTGGTCATCGCTGTCTAGGCTGGCACTGGTTTCTGCTTTAGTAGGGCACCCAATACAGGGGCACCTATGAAGCCCCTCTGGTCTGCCCATACGGCTCCTCTGCCTGCTCTGCCCTGACCCAGGGCCATGACCTTGGAAGGCGGCATCCTAGGGGGTTGGCTGGGCTGTGGGGATGCTGAAACAGCAGAGTGACCTGGAGGACAGAAGCTGCTCAGAGGACCCAGGTCACCAGGCCCTCAAGCCTCTGAGGGGGCCAGCCCAAGGGTCCTGGGGATCTGTGCATCTCACAGCAGCCTCAGCAACAGCCCAGCCCAGGAGACAAAGGATGTGGGGACAGAGGAAAGACAGAGGAGAGACAGCTGAGGGCTGGGGGCACCGGCAGGAGAAGGCAAAGTCACCGTGACTGCTGTGGCACCAGAGGAGACAGCTCCCTGCAGCAGGGGCAGCCTAGGCCAGGCCTCAGGAAGAACTGGAAGCAGCTGCAGAGGGGCTTCCTTCCCATCCCCCTGGAAGTCAGACTGGTGTCAACGCTCTGTGGAGCTCAGAGGGGCCTGCAGGGCAGGGTCAGCTGAACAAGGCTGCAAGCTCAGCCATGCGTGGTTTGGGGAAGCCAGGAGGCTCCATGCTGAGCCCAGGATGCTGCATCTGTCCAGCCCTGTGGAGAGAGAGACAGAAGCTCCTGACAGGGAGGCCTGACCAGGAAAGGGTGAGGGCACAGCATGAGTGAAGGCCGCAGGGCGGGAAACGGAAGCACATTCAATGAACAGCGGGACTGGGCTCAGAGGGAGGAGCTCAGAGTGAAGGGCTTGGAGAGTAAGAAGCTCAGGCTGAAGGCACTACCCTGGGCACTGGGCCCAGGAAGCTAAGAGCAGTACGAGAAAGTACCCCCGCCCCCCCACCCGCCTCATGACCTGGCCACCCTGAGGCAGAGGAAAGTGGGGAGGAGAGACAGGTGCGCCCAGAGTGGACCAGGAGAACAGTGAGGGACAGGCCCCTGCCTGACTGTTCTAGGAGCATCCAAGAGGGTGAGGCAGGGGTGGAAACCCCCTGATGTCCTGGTCCTACCAGCACAGAACGATAGCCAAAGGCAAAAAGCAGCTGAACCAGTAGGAGAGATACGAGCTGGAGACAAAGGCCAAAGAAACAGAGGCAATGGCCAGGGAGGGGGTCCAGGGACCAGGGTCAAGGCGATTAAACACAGAGACGGACACAGACAGGGGCAGGAAAGGAGACAAAGGATGGAGAGGGAGAGGTGGCCCACAGGCAGAGAGGTGAGGCAGAAACCAGGCCGGCTCAGACACACAGATGGACAGAGAGGTGAGGAACACAGAGAAAGAGAGGAGGACACAGACTGGCCGACCACCAGGGTGCCCAGGAACCGGCTCGGTGACAGCAGGAAAAGGGAGCAGCCGGTGGGGCACCCTGACTGTCCCTGTCATCACCTTCCACCCTGCAGGGGTCACACCACATCAGCATGTGCATGTGCGTGTGTGTGCCTGAGTGTGTGCACAGACACGTGTGAGGACAGAGGGCCCAGCGCCTTGCCCTGCTCCAGGCTCTGTTTAAATGGCTTTGGAATTGTGCTCCCAGAACAGATGGCCTCGGAGATAAAGCTACCGGGTGCCTGGACAGAGAGCGAGGCTGCGGGCGGTTGCCATGGCAGGCTGGACTGGTGAAGATCGCTCATTAGCAGACAGAGCAGGGCTCACAAATGTCAAGATGGGCTCATGGGGAGGGGCACCCCCAGCAGAGCCCCGGGAGGGAAAGTCTCTGGACTGAATGTCCGGGCCCTGCATTCCCAAGAATGGAGCTTGGTGGAACCGGTAGGCACTGGCCAGCTGCTGACTGATGTCCAAGGATGACAGCCACGCTGGCCTGGCCATGTTGGGAGAAACACCCCTCCAGTCTCTGTCCCAAGATGCCCAAGCTGGAGCCTGAGACACACTGACCCTGGGATGGTTCCAGCCATGCCCCACATGGGAGATCAAGAGCCAGTTCGAGGCCAACACCACACTCTGGGATGACAGGATGGCTTCCTGAGTGAGGCAGTCCCCATCCTCACATGCAGCACTCTGGGGAGGGGTGGGAGCCGACCACAGGGGCTCTACAGCCTGTGCCCAAGGCCCTCCCATCCCAGCTGGGAGCCCAGAGAGGGAAGGGGCAGCTGGAGCCCTGGACAGGGTCTAGGAGACAGATCCCAGAGCGAGATCCCCCATCATTCCAACAAGCACACCCTGAGCACCTCCATGGCCAAACCCCACTGAGGAAGCCAGGTTGGATGTCCCCACTGCCACTCAAGCTATGGGTCCAGCCCCTGAGGAGGAGGAACGAGGATGCTCCTATTGGTGCCGGGCACAGGGCAGCTTCATCCTTTAGTCCCCTGAGGGTCCACAATGTTGTTCCCAACTTGTAGGTGGGCTCAGAAGGGTCGAGGGCCCGCAGCTCCCAGACAAAGCTGGGACTGACGCCCTGGACCGTCTGGCACCAAAGGCTGGATCTGAGCCAAAGAAGGGCCTCACTGGTGCCTTCCTCAAATGAGAGCTCAGGAGGGACAGACCCAGGGCCAGAGGGGTCCCCTGCTAGGCTTCAAAGGGAGGCAGAGCCAGGACAGGAGGTTTCTGCCCTGGAGTGAGCAGGAGGCATGCGGAGGTCCAGGAGCAGAGCCGGGGCACGCGGCGTGGGGTCCAGGAGCAGAGCCAGGGCACACGGCGTGGGGTCCAGGAGCAGAGCCGGGGCACGCGGCGTGGGGTCCAGGAGCAGAGCCGGGGCACACAGTGTTGGGGCAGCTGGGATGGCACAGGGGACCCTGGGCAGGTGCCTAAAGGGCACACCCACCAGAACAACAGGGAACACGGGCCATGGAGCCTGGAAGGCCTGGGACTGCCCAACAAGCCCATGTGCCTGCACCCGACCAGGAGCTCTGCCTAGAGCCCCAGAACCTTCCCCAGGACCCCAGCCTAATATACCCTCCAGATAACCCCACCTTCCCAGGCCAGAGCAGCGTGGGCCCTCCAAATCCAAGAGCCCCGGGAGGCCCTTCCATCCACCACACACAACAGACCCTACACACACCCCACAAATGCACAGACACACAGACATACAGACATACACACCATATACACACCACACACACATACACACATACCACATACACACAACAGACCCCACACACACACCCCACACATGCAGGCACACACACAGACATACACACCATATAGACACCACACACACACACAGACACACACAAACACACACACACCACATACCTCAGACCCCACAGACCCACAGACACACACACCACACACAGACATACACACAATATACACACCACACACACACACAGACACACACATACACACACCACATACATCAAACAGACCCCACAGACCCACAGACACACACACACACCACACACAGACATACACACCATATACATACCACACACACACAGACACACAAATACACGCACACCTCAAACACACCACACACATACACACAACACAAACACACATACACACCATATACACATCACACGCATATATACAGACACACAAACACACTACATAAACACACACACTGCACATACACACATGCAGTGTTTGTGCAGTGGATCTGCAGAGACCCGCCGGGATGACACCGCCTCCTCTGCCAGCACACACAGGCCATCAGTTCCTCCTCATATGAGGCCCCAAGCCCCGCACAGCCCAGTTATGACCAGGAACTAAGGCTCAGACAGCGACTAAACCGAGCAAGGTGTGAGCCCCAAGGAGGCGGCAGGGGAGCGCAGCCGTGTTCTGAGTGGCCATTGTCCCACCACCTGTGCCAAGAGCCACTGGCCCTCTCGGGCGTGGGTTTGCTGGCCCTGCCCCAACACTTCAGCTGCAAGGGCACCTGTATGCAAATGCCACCAAGGGCACAGGGGGAGGGGGCTGCCCAGGCCAGAGCATGCAGGGTGCTGGGAGAAAGGCAGAGGAGGTGACCTGGGGTGACAGCTGTGTGCTTGGGGTTGGGAGGACACAGGTCCCCCCCCCACCCCAAGGGATAAGCAAGATCATGAGAGGAGGGGTGTGAGCCCCACCCCGAGCCTGGGAGCCCGAGGCACCGGCTCTAAAGAAGGGGCTGTCAGGCTGGGTATGGTGGCTCACGCCTGTAATCGCAGCACTTTGGGAGGCCAAGGCGGGCGGATCACAAGGTCAGGAGTTCAAGACCATCCTGGCAAACATGGTGAAACCCTGTATCTACTAATAATATAAAAACTAGGACATGGCATTGTGCATCTGTAGTCCCAGCTACTCGGGAGGCTGAGGCAGGAGAATTGCTTGAACCCGGGAGGCAGAGGCTGCAGTGAGCCGAGATCACACCACTGCATTCAAGCCTGGGCAACAGAGTGAAATTCGATCTCAAAAAAAAAAAAAGGAAAAAGAAGATGAGGCTGTCCCACCTGAGGAACAGGGTGCTTGGAGCACGGGCCTGCCTGGGCCCAGGCACATCAGTCTCTGTATGAAGCAGGTGCGCTGACCCCTCCTCTCATCCAGCTGCAAAGTCTGCTTGGAAACCCTGCCTTGGACCCTCTGAGTCTGCAGGAAGCCGTCCCGCCTGGCAGTCCCGGCAGGAGGAAGTACCCTTACACACTGGGATGATTCCAGTGAATCATCACCGTGCCTCACAGGAAGACTGAATTTACTTGTTTTACAGGATCAAAGAAATGATAGATCTTTTCTGAGGGCCATGACAGCATGGCTGAGTCAGGAACGGGGCCTCAGTGGGGCCACGTCACTGGTACACAAAGTCCCAGGCCCCGACCTGCAGCAGCCAACACAGACTTGGAGGCTCAAAGACCAGTAGATGTCCGACAGCACCACATGAAGAACCGACGGGCAAGAGCTTCCAACAGAGACCCACGTGACAGGCAATGTGTGCACACCAGGTACACAGCGGACCAAACACACACACACAAGCCCTGAGACCACACAAAGCCCGTGGGTCAGATTCAAGGTAGCTGAGACCCAGCTGGACCACCGAGATGTGTACCCATCCTGCACCCTCGCTGCAGCCACAAGCTCGTCTTGGGCTCCCCTCAACCTACCTGACTGATGAGGACCAGAAACGCGGGAACATTCTGCCACCGGTTTCCAAATCACAGACGATCCCAGACATTCCACTGGCTCCAAGTTAATGAAGCAGCTTGCAAACTCCTGCTACTCCGCCGTCTCCCTTTGTGCAAATGCGTTCATCAGCCCCATGCTTGCAAAAAGCTGATCTCTTCTAGTGCCACACAAAAGCCAGATGCAAATGGAAACCTGCAGGAGGGAGACTTGTCTGTAATTTGTGCTTTTAGGTTGGAATTGCCACCTCTGTTTCTGACTTCAGTGCCTCTGACCCGGGCCTGGAAAGATGAGGAGTGGGAACCTCCTGGCAGCCAAGAGCATCCTGTGGACAAAGGAGACAGGGGAACGCAGGAGCCAAACGCACACCCACACTTTGTCCTGAGGTTGGAGGGCGGCTGGGGAGGGCTGTGTACCTCTGGAAGATACAAAGGATACACAGCCGATGTTCTCTTCTGAACCCATCCTCTGCCCAGGACAAGTTGACCTGGGCACTCCTGATGCCACCACTGAGAACCTTGAGGACCTCGTGCTCCTCTGCGCCCCGCTCCCTGCCAGGAGCCCCCCAGGCCTCCTCCACACAGATACTCCTGTGTTTCAACACCCACAACGAGGCTGGTCCTGACTGACCTCCTCCAAGTCCCACTCATCTCAGGACCTTTGGATGGCCCTGACACAGCACTCAGCACCCTTGACTTTGCCAGAAAGCTCAAAGAGGTGAGCCGTCTCTTCCACTGGGATATAAGCTCCCCGAGAGTTCCTGGCACACTGACATTGCTCCTTAAATACCTGAATGGTCCAGCTAGTCTCCTGAGTTCTCCACAGGGAAGACCAAGTCACATCCTGTTCAGGGCTCTCCAACACCACCCATGAAGGCCTGATCCCCACTCTTCTTGGGGCCTAGGCCCAGATGTCTAGACTGAGCTTTTCTCATCAAGCACCAGCCTCACGACCCTGTCCTTGCCTCTGTGTACCCAGCCTGACCTAGTCCCTGCAGTTCCTGTACTGACACCCTCCCCTTCCCTTAGCCAGACCCCTAGGTGTGCACCTCTTCTCTGAGAGGTCACACTGATCATCCAGACACTCCAGTCTTAGGACCTCAGGACTAGTCCGCCCATCACTGACCACCAGCTTCTTCCACTGGGTGCCCATAGGGGCAGAGGGGAAACTAGACCACTTTCCACAGTAGTAGCACCTCACCTAGGGAAGGCCTGTCCTTCTCCACAGTCCTCCACTCCCACAACTTACCATGCACCAGTTCCCAGCTCCTGATTTAGGGCCCTCATCCCTCCAGTAACGTGAGTAAAACTCCAATATCCTAGTCTACAGACCAGAAACCTGAGGCCCAGAGAAGAGCCAAGATTTGAACCCACGTCTTCTGCCTCCAGAGAGCAGTTCACATCCTCTTGTCTTCATAGCCTCAAGGCAGGAGCTTATAGACAGGGAGAAATGACAGTTTCACCCAGCATGGCCCCCACCTGAGGCAGACAGCAGAGCTGCAGAGGGGCTGTGTTTGCGTGCATGTGTGTGTGTGTGAACATCCATGTGTGTACATCTGTGTGCATGTGCATGCCCATTTCTGTGTGCATGTGTGCATCTCTGTGTACACATCTGTGTGCATGTGCGCGTGCCTCTCTGTGTACATGTGTGTGCATGTGCACGTGCCTCTGTGTACACATCTGTGTGCGTGTGTGCGTGCCTCTGTGTACACATCTGTGTGTGTGTGTGCGTGCCTCTCTGTGTACACATCTGTGTGTGCATGTGTGCGTGCCTCTCTGTGTACACATCTGTGTGTACGTGTGCGTACCTCTCTGTGTACACATCTGTGTGTGCGTGTGCGTGCCTCTGTGTACACATCTGTGTGTACGTGTGTGCGTGCATCTGTGTACACATCTGTGTGTACGTGTGCGCGTGCCTCTCTGTGTACACATCTGTGTGCATGTGCGCGTGCCTCTCTGTGTACACGTGTGTGCATGTGCGCGTGCCTCTCTGTGTACACATCTGTGTGTGTATGTGCGTGTGCCTCTCTGTGTACACATCTGTGTGTGAATGTGCGTGCCTCTCTGCGTACACATCTGTGTGTACGTGTGTGTGCATCTCTGTGTACACACCTGTGTGCATGTGCCTGTCTGCTGTGTGGGCCTATGCATGCACATTTCTGTGTGCATGTCTGTGTACAAATGTACATGCCTGTATGTGTGCATGCACATCTATGAATGCACCATCACACACCATTCCTGTCCCCATGAAGGGGACTAGGGCTGAGGAAGCACAAGAGCTTCAGGTCTAGCCCCTCACCTAGGAGAGAGCCCTCTAGACCAGCCCCCATCAGTTGCCATCTAGGGAGTTGAGTCAAGGTGGAGCCCCTCACCCCGCTGGTCTCCACCTCCTTCTCAACCCAGGGTCCATGATGCTGCCCTTCAACCCCCTCCTCAAACCAAGAAGGCTTCCTCAAAGTGGGCTGTATGCAGTCCCCAGACTCTAAGGTCCCGGCTCCCTCGGGCCTTTGCAGGGGCTCCAGCAGGGACACCCTCACTTTGACCATGATAAGGGGGAAGTCTCAGGTCAAGCGTCCTTCCTCGGAGGCCTGCCTGGGCCCCTTGGCTGGTTGGAATTCTCCACGCTGCACCTGTGAGCTGTGTCTGTGGATGCTTTCCGTGCCTGGCCAGTACCATTACTGAGTGTCTCAACCACAAGCTGCCTGCAGCTATTTTGCCTTCTGCAAATGATGATCCAAAGTGTCTTTATATTTCTGCCTCTATTTGGTGGTTTTCCACATTTAGCCTGCCATGTGGGGCCATTATATAGGAAATTGCTTCATCAAGAAGTGAATACCTGTAATGGGAACAGCACACATCAGGGAGAGAACATCCTGGCCATTAAGCACCGTTCCGGTGGCCACCTTCCTCTCATTTCATCCTGTGTTTGTGTAGAAGCCCTTAGCGGATGTGGGGAGGTAGGGGACAAGAAGTAGACCCTTCTTTGGGGAGCCCCCTCCAGGAAGGCTGGCACAAAGGGTCAGAAAAGAGGTTTTGATTAAGCTGAATGTCTTCAAGGTGAAGAGTCACCTGAGATCTGAAACAGAGGTCCCCCGAGGTGGGGGGTGTCTGATACTTTCTACTTTGAGCTGCCAGTGACACGAGCTTGTAGTCCACAGCAACGGTGTGGGTGGTCCCATGGTTTCTAACAGAATGTTACTTGGGGTTGTGAGATCTCCAAGTTTGAAGCCTGCTACTTTGTAATAAGTACTTGGGAAAGGAAAATAAATCTAGGGACCCCAAAATCACTAAGCCAAAGCACGTCAGGCCAACCTGCCTCCCATTTTATTCCCGAATAAGATAGTGACAAGGATTGTGTGGAAGTCTACATCCTCCCTCACAATTTCCCCACAGAGAAACTCTTCTTGGGCTTCAAGATCTTTGCCCTAAAACTGTTCTGCTGAATTTCACCCTGGCAACGTAAATGGATAGCTTCCCTTCACAGGTGCGGGACAATGGACAGGCAGAACTCATCAAAGTCATCCCACTGCCCACCTGAGACAAATGCACATCTGATGGCTTCCTCTGCCCTACTGCTTATGTAAAAATGCAGATTCACTGAGTCAGCCTAAGGCATAAGTGACTATTTCTCTACCCCCTCTCACATGTAAATTGTGTGTTCAGTGAAACACTGATCAAAGACCCAAAAGAATGCAGCTGTTTGTGTCTTATCTACCTATGGCCTGGAAGCCCACACTTTGAGTTGTCCTGCCTTTCCAGACCAAACCAATGTACATCTTGTACATATTGATTGATGTCTCATGTCACCCTTCAAATGTATAAAACCAGGCTGTGTCCCGACCACCTCGGGCACATGTCACCAGGACCTCCTGAGGCCGAGTCATGGGCCATGGTCACTCGTATTTGGTTCAGGATAAATCTCTTCAAATACTTTACAGAGTTTGACTCTTTTCATGGACACCCTTGGCTTCCCCTCCTCAGGGGAAGCCCCTGGGCCCAGACTTGCACTGCTCAGCGAAGGCACAGAGCACAGACACCTTCGTGTGCTTGGGCCACCATCATGGGCCCACTGAAGGTTCCCTACGCGGTTAGGGTTAGGGTCACAGGTGGAGCCGCCCCTCCTTGCCCCACTGGCAGCACTCACTCCCTCCTGTGCCTCTAGGGCACCATCACTTCCGTATAAAGACTCAGCCTCTAATCAGCCTCTCTGCTCCACCCACTATCTCCTTCCCCAGGGTCATCCCGCTAAGCCAGTCTCTGGGAAGCTTTCAGACCGGGTCACAGCCCTTCTCCGAGCTGTTCTGGTGACCCTTGTTGAAGCTGGGATTGCACAGAGCAATTCTGGTGACCCTTGTTGAAGCTGGAATTGCTCAGAGCTGTTCTGGTGACCCTTGTTGAAGCTGGAATTGCACAAGTACATGTCATCATCTGTTCAGTGTTCGGCCAAGGTGAGGGGCTGCATGGATCTGCCTTACCCGGTGCTGAGCCCAGAGCCTGCTCAGAGAAAGTGCCAGATACACGTGGACACATGCAGAAAAGACATTGGTTAGGACCGCGGACACCCCCCACACATCTGAGGGAGGCTGCGGCTGGTGGGGGCATCACAGAGGAGGCTCAGAAAACAGACCTTCTTTGAGAAGCTGGGGGAGTAGGGAGGGGCAAGGCCGGAAGACAGGGTCCCCGCACAAAGGGCTCCATCTGCGAAGTCAGCCCTGCACCTGCCCTGGTGCCCCATCCACGCAAGCAAGCACCTGGAGCTCTCCCCACAGAGCAGCCCAAGGGGCACCAGGGAGGGCCCAGGGTCTGCAGCACCCACGGGGCCACCTCCTTCACTACCAGGCAGAGAAGGTGGTGTGGCTCCAGCACTGGCTCAGAAGCAGGGCCTCGCTGCCACCCCACACCTAGTGGGAGAGGCCCAGCCTCTCAGAGGCCTCCCACTGAAGAACAGCCCCCAGCCCCACCAAAGGGTGCCCTCACCAGAGCTGGGGGCTCCTGGAGGCCACAGGGCCAGAGGCTGGGCCACAATCCTGGTCAGTCCTCCCAATCCGCGCTGAGTACCCTCACCCTCACTCAGGGGCTGAGCCTCCAACCAGCACCCATCCCTTCTCTCCTTAGAGCAGGCCCAGGCCTGGGGTCTTGAGGGGAAGTTGGCCCATTTCCCCGGGCCTGCCCCACCCTCCCAGTCCCAGGGCCCCTGTCTCTGGGTCTGTCCCCTAGACTGCCCACCCTCCCCTCCTCAGACCCTTGAGAGAAGGAGAGATGGGGGCTGGATCTCTGGGAGAAAGGACAGAGCCAGCAGAGAAAGGCACTCCCCGCAGCAGCTGTCAGGTTCGGTGAGGGAGGTTGGGGGAGGGGGCATGAGTGTATTCAGCATCTGCCTGCAGCAGCCTGGCCACTAATTCTCCCTAATTGCTTTAAAGTTGTACTAATTGAACTGACTGAAAACAGAGTCTTGAGGGGCTGGGGAGGGCGTTGTCCGAGAAAACAGCAGCCCATCTCCCAACCCAAGAGCTGCCCAAAGCTGGCTGAAGTTCCTCAGCTGCCCAGGGCCTCAGCCAGGGTGGCTGTTTGTCCCCTGACCCCAGGCCCAGCCAAGCCCCCTCTCAGATTTAGGGTCAGGGCTGGTGGCCCAGCAAGAAGGGGCCAAGCTCAAACAAGGGCATGTCCAACCCCAAGATGGGACCCAGGATGGGACCCAGGAGGGGCTGCTCTGAGACAGGAAGGGCTGTCAGTCTCTCTTACACACGTGGAATCCACGGGCCTGCCAGTCCACTGACACACTCCACAAACACCAGCCCCACCAGTGCTGACACTGGGGGTCCTGGGGCTAACAGCGGTGCGCACAGTGCTTGGTGCACCTGCTGCATCTCGACGTGATTACGCCACATCTGTTCCCCCACCAGCCAGGAGACCCAAAGAGCAGGCCTGGGCAGGACATGGAGGGAGACATTTCGGAAGAAGGAATGGGTACGAGGGCAGGACATGGAAGGAGACATTTCGGAAGAAGGAATGGGTATGAATGAGTCCTTCCCCATTTAGTGTGTGAGCCTCCAAATCCTCTATTAGCACCCAGCCCATTATTTCCTTCTCAAGTACTCTCCTCCAACATGCATGCCAACTGTCCAAAAATGCTGGAGGCTTAGTCCAAAGCCTGGTAGGGAGGAGCTGCAGGAGAGCCTTGTCCTTCCACAGGCAGTGCTGCTGCCATTGCAACCACAAGGTGTCGCCGTGGAACACCGGTCTTGTACAGTCCTGTTGGTCTTGCTGGTTTTGCAGCACCTTTGCTGCCCTGATCCCTGCAGGCTGCTGTAGGGCCTCGGGGACCATGACTGACCAGCTCGAGCATGGCAGAGGAAGGCAGAGGCTGAGAGCTTCTAGCATTCTTCCCACGGTGTTCAGAATGCAGTCTCCCTAACCACAGGCCCACGTTGCACCTCAGTCTTCCCTTTCTCTAGAAATAAGGCCCCTGTGCAGGAGGGGCCCAGTGTCTTTTCCTCCCAGCTGACATCTGTCACGACACACACAATCCATTGGCAGGGCTCTAATAATGCTTGACCCCAAAAGTGAAGGGGCTGGTGGGACAGGCATGGTGTCTCTTCCACTGCAAGTATGTCCTCCTCCCAAGCTTATCACTGGACATTGCTGGATTCCCAGCATGGAGGGAGGCTTCAAAGGAATGTTAGCAGAGGCTCTGCCCAGAGGAACTGCTCAGCTAATTTCACTGTACTGAAGAAGCCAAGAGCAGACCCCAGAAGATTACTCGGTTCCTCTCAAATAGATCAAAAACCAAGGGCTGGGCCCTCTCACCATCCTTGGGCTCCTAGGGACCTAAGGGACAGAGAAGGGCTCCCAAATATTCCTCTCCCTTTCACCTCACTTCCATGTAGAAAATCTAGGCTGACCCAGGCAGAAAGTCAAGTCTGAGCTCAGACTCCTGGACACCTGCTTTGCCACTGCATCTTCAATGCCCCCAGTGAGTACCCTGACACCCAAAAATACCCCAAAATGCTGCCTATGATCACATCCAGACACAGTGCACACCACACACATGCAACACATGAGCACATGTGTTCACATACAAAAGCACACACAGCCACTGCAACTCAATACTCCCCACAAGCCGGATGTCCAGGTCTGTGACTGACCTCAGAAGAGAAGCAGGAGAGCGGGAGAGCACTGAGCGCACGCCAGGCAGACTCATTCAGCTGAAGACAAGGGCCTCAGCCCTGCTACCACATTCTCTCCAGAGCTAGCAGGGACCCCCATCAGACTCAGTCTGAGGCCTCTGTGCACATACACTTAATCTCACCACTCACACACATATGTTCATGAAAGCACACATGTGTAGCATATGCACACACAAATCACTTGAACACATGCACACACACATGCATTACTTACATGTACACAACTTTTACACATATGCACATCCTGAAATATACACATGTACACACAATGTGCATGTACACACAATGTGCATAGCTGTATGCACACATGCATGTGCACATATATACATGTACCCCTCACATGTGCACACACATGCACATATGCACATGTGAACACACTGCCCACATGCATATACACACGTGAGTACATGCACATATATACATGCACCCCTCGCATGTGCACACGCATGCACATATACACATGTGAACACACTGCCCACATGCATATACATGCATATATACACGCACCCCTCACATGTGCACACACATGCACACATGCACATATACACATGTGAACACACTGCCCACATGCATATACATGCATATATATATGCACACCCCTCACATGTGCAAACACATGCACACATACACACTGCTTATGTGCACATATACACTTGTATATTCACAAAAACCTACATGTACACACATGCATATACCACTTACACATACACACATGCACGCATGTACATACACATTAGCGTATCTGCATGAGCATATACATGTCATTCACATATGCACACGTTTACACATACATACTTTTGTGCATGTGTGTACATGCAGACACCATTCACACGTAGATGTACATGCCCACTCACCTAAACATGCATGCACTCACATGAGCATTCTCACTCACACACATGTCCGCTAACGCTGATGTCTGCAAAGTGGGTGCTGCAGAGCACACAGAGCACACACCCTAAGACTCTGGTCCCCACCCACCTGGGGGCCTGTTAGCTCATAGGGGGGCAGGTGTCACAGTAACTGGATACAGGGTGGAACTTCCTTCCATCCAGAGGATCTCCCAGCTCAGGCTCATCCTGGAGCCAGCTCTGCAGAGGGAACATGGGGGGAGGCGACTCACACCATGACCTGTGTGGAGGTGGCCATGGTCGGGTGAACCAATGAACCAAGGTATGAGTAAGTGTAAGCTCTGTCTCAGTGCTCTGCGAGGTAATGGTGAGCGAGGGGCCACACTGAACCCAGCAAACAAGCGGCAGGAGTTGAGTATTCGGAACACGCTCCCTCTTAAGGAAAGGAAGGACCCTCAGGAACACTGGCTTAAGTTTTATGTAACCCCTGGTCTAGGAGAGAGATGGGTGGGGAGACCTCTGGGCATGCTGAGTGGGGCTGGGATAAACGCAGGAAAAGAGGGAGGCGAGGATCCCCAGGGGCCGTGAGGTTTGGGAGCCAGAGAAAAGAGTGGTCAGGAGAGCCCAGCAGGGGCATTGTTCAGGGCCTCAAACACTAGGATGCTGGACAGTCGGGGCTGGCCATGGTCAGCAGCAGAACAGAGCCTAGCCTGGGCAGGCACACCTACCAAAGCCTGGGCGGACTGGAGAGGGGGCCTACCTGCCAGGAGTCAGGCCAGGCAGTTGGGTGGGGGTACAGTTGCAGAGGGACGCCCTAGAAGCAGTAGGATTTGGGAAGTGGGAAGGCAGGAACAAGGAGAGGTAGCTGGATAATGAGCTGATTGGCAAATGAGTAAACAGCAATTGCCTGATGAAAAGTGTTTATGGTGCAATTAGCAGCTGTGCCATAAATAAAAGTTTAACTGTGTTTATTATAAACTTGTTGAGCCACAGGAAACAGCTCTCCGCGAGTGAGCCAGCCTTTAGTGCTCTATTTACTCCATGAGCCGTCTTTGGCGATGCATGACTAAGCTTCCTCTCAGCATCCATTCAATTCAGATCTTCATCCCTCTCCCGACCCCTCCCTCGGCACACACGGCCTCTTCTGCCCAAGTTCTCACCCCCACGGTGGCATGGCACAAGCACCTGTCCTCACCTGGGCTTCAGGTTCCTGGAAGTACCACCCCGCTTCCAGCCCCTGTGGCTCTCCCACCCTTCTGCCTGGCTCCTTTTCCTACAGAATTCTTCCTGGAATCCTCGAAGCCCTCCCTCTGCCCAGCCCACTGCCCCAACTCACTCTCTTCGCCACCTAGAAATGGACCCTTTTCAGCACGCTGCCTCCTCATCCTATCTCCCATCATCTTTTGTTGTTTACTTTTTAAGCATGAAAATATTCAAACACGCATTCAAAACACACTGTCAGACAGACAATGAAGAATGCTTGTCCTGTGCCCTCCTCCCCAGCGGGGGCATCTCTGAAATTGGTTTGTATCATCTCCCTGCATGTTTTCACAGTTTTTGTATCTACATACACATCCAATAACAACACATACTATTTTTTTCAGTTTACATTGATGTGATCATACAGAACAAAACCCTTTACAACTTGTTTTTATAGCTCAACTTTTTTTAAAGAGATGGAGTCTCGCTCTGTCACCCAGGCTGGAGTGCAGTGACACAGTCATAGCTCACTGCAGCCTCAACCTCCCAGACTTAAGCAATCCTCCCGCCTCAGCCTCCCAAGTAGCTGGGACTAAATCTAGGCACGCACCCTGCGCCCTACCAGCTTCAGCCTTATTCTTTTTTTTTTTTTTTTGAGACGAAGTCTCACTGTCACCCAGGCTGGAGTGCAGTGGCACGATCTCGGCTCACGGCAAGCTCCGCCTGCCAGGTTCACGCCATTCTCCTGCCTCAGCCTCGCGAGTAGCTGGGACTACAGACACCCGCCATCACGCCCAGCTAATTTTTTTGCATTTTTAGTAGAGACGGGGGTTTCACCATGTTAGCCAGGATGGTCTCCATCTCCTGACCTTGTGATCGGCCCGCCTCCGCCTCCCAAAGTGCTGGGATTACAGGCGTGAGCCACCGCGCCCCGCCTCAGCCTTATTCTTAAGGTTTATTCAAGTTGACTGATTTTAATCCCTGTGTAGCATTACCGTCAATGAATAATCAGCTATGGCTCCTCTCCTTCCTTCAGCTATAACCCTTTGCACCTGCTCCCAGAGCCACGTGTCCCGAAGTCTCTCCACCTGCAGCACCTTCCCTGCCCTCCCCGAGGGTCCCCTGGCCTCCTCCTGGGACCCGGGGCCCTCCCTGCAGCACCTTCCCTGCCCTCCCCGAGGGTCCCCTGGCCTCCTCCTGGGACCCGGGGCCCTCCCTGCAACAGCTTCACAGCACTTTAAGTGGCGGGGGGGGCATAGCTGATTTTTCACTGGAGGTAATCTATGCAGGGATGAAAACACTTCTTACACACACTTTTTAAATGTTTTGAATGCTTTTAGAGTTCCTTTTCATCATAGAAGAAATAGGGTAGCGCTGCCAACTTGGAAAACAGGAGAGGAAAGCACCTCTCAGGGCCTGGGCCGGTTCCACACAGCTGTGTCTCGCCCCGCAGTGAAGGCAACTATGTGCGGCCCGTGAGCCGTTCATGTTTGTGCTGTCTCTCCCACCAGCCAAGGGTGCCTGGGGGTCTCTGTCTCTCCGGGACACGCAGAAGTGGAGAGGGAGGAGGAGGGGGAGACAAGAGGAGATGGAGCAGAGAGCTCTCCAGAACTTGGCTGTGATGGGGTCGAGGCTAAGAGAGCCTTTGGTTTGTTTTTTAACAACAGACTCCTGAGTGTGTTAAGTCCAAAGAGCAGGACTCCGTGAAGGAAAGAGGGAAGAGCTGCAGCGGGGAGGCTGAACAGGTAGGAGCGGGGCTGGTACTGCCCCCAGCCAAGCCACGAGGCCTCCAGGCCTCATGCCCGTTGCCTTGGCCTCCCACCTGCTCCCTTCATTTGGGAAGACATTCCCTGCCTCCTTTCCACCTTGCACCAACCCACTCACACACCCCAGAGCCCCTTAGTCGCTCTCACTTTCTTCTTTCCTCTTCCAGGGCGGCTGTCTGCCCACACCCCTGCTATCAGCCTGTGAGCTCAGGGACTGACTCTGCTTCTGAGTACATAAAACCTCCAGTCCCAAGTGGCTACCTGGTCCACAGGCACACCCACCTTCCCCCTCAGTGGGATTTTCTGTGGGGCCTGCAGCAGGGACAGTCTCAGGTGTGGGGAGAGCCACTGCCTTGAAATCCAGCTAGCATCTTGACCCAGCCCGTGAGTCACAGGTGGGCCCCCAGCCCTGGGTCAGAGGGTGGCTAGTCATGGCGCCCACCCGGCCTGAGAACGGTGGCAGAAAGGTGAGCTGCCCCTTTCATTTCTTCCCAGGCAAAGCCTCCAGACAACAAGAGCAACATTTTAATTTAAATTCTGATTCCACATTCATTCACAGAGCAGCTCTGAGCAGGGATTTCATTAAAGGCTTTAACAGGTTTTATAGGACTTGTCACCTCAGGGAAGGTGATGGAGCAAATGCATTTTCTCTGCCTCCAGGATTTTAACAACGGCTTGAAGAAACAAACTTACCATGAAAATGCAGGGCAGTCCAGCCTTGTGCAGACAAAGGAGAAATGAGCCTCACTCGGGCAAACAGTGCTGGCGACCTCCTCTCCCTCCCTCCACCAAGGAAAACAAAAGAAGGGCAAGGCCCAGAGTGGACAGAGGCTTCTTCCCTGGGTCAGAGAAACACGAGGTCTCGGGGCCCAAATCCCAGCGCTGCCTGGAGGAAAGGACCCAGCACCTCCCAGCAAAGGCCTCTGTCCACAGCTCCCTTAGTCTGGGGCAGGGAAATCTGTCTGCACCTTGCCTTGGCTTCTTTCCCTGGGCCCTGGGGGACAACTGCCTATCCGCTTTCCCCCTCAGGAACAGGGACACATTAGCAAGGTGACCAGTGTGTCCCAGTTGGCCCAGATTGTGCTGGTTTTAAAACGGAGAGTCCTGGAAACCCCTTCACCTGGGCAAACCAGGACGGTGGAGCACGGGGCAGGACGAGCAGCAGGACGAGCAGCAGGTCAGCCCTGGGGCCCACAGCTGCCGGAGGCTTCCTGGTCACTGTCTGTTCCCAAGCGCCTGAACTTAACCCTAACCCTACCCCTAACCCAAATTCCACTCACCACTGGCAAAACTGTCCTCTGTCCTGGACTACCTCCGCCCTGGCCAGGGTGCTCAAGGCCCTGTTGGTGGTCGAGGGGTTCCTATGGATCCCGGACCCTGGCCTGGGCCTAATCGGAGCCCGCCTGGGCCTCTGACCACCATCTCTCTCTGCTCTGCTGTCAAGGACCACCCCCCGCACCCCCCCCACCCGCCTTCTGCCAGGTACCTCAAGAGAAACATGGATGGCCCCCCTGGGCTCCCTACCCCAGCCACAGGGCTGTGGAGGCCACTCCCTCTGAATGCCACACCCCACACTGCACATGCCCTGCCCGCTCCCCCAACAGCAGAGTCCCTGCAGGACAATGGCCAAGCCTCTCTCACTGGGCGAGCTGCTCCCTCTCCACGGGGGCCCCAGCTACCCAGGTACAGAATTTCTAATAGTCAGAGCAAGTGTTTAGGGAACCATCAAAGCAGGACACCAAAAACAATTGTTTTAAGAATTTGGCTTTTTTTTTTAAGTGTTTAAGTTGACCTCAGGAAAATCTGCAATGTTTTAGACTTTCTTATACTGATTTTATGATTTAATATTGTTTTAATGCTTAAAGATTTTATGTCAAGAAGCATCATAACTTGGCTGGGCACGGTGGCTCATGCCTGTAATCCCAGCATTTTGGGAGGCCGAGGCGGGCCGATCACGAGGTCAGGAGATCAAAACCATCCTGGCTAACATGGTGAAACACTGTCTCTCCTAAAAATACAAAAAAAAATTAGCCAGGCATGATGGCAGGTGCCTGTAGTCCCAGCTACTCGGGAGGCTGAGGCAGGATAATGGCGTGAACCCGGGAGGCAGAGTTTGCAGTAAGCCGAGACTGCACCACTGCACTCCAGCCTGGGCAACAGAGCAAGAATGCGTCTCAAAAAGAAAAAAAAAAAAAAGAAGCATCATAACTTTTTGGCAGGAGCTCAACATACGTGCTCAGTTCCCGTGCCGCAAGAATGGGTGAGTGCAGGACAGCGCATGTGGCTCAGCACGAATCTCTCCGCTGTCCTTATTTGATAATGAGGCCTCTGCCCACCCAATGGAGGGTGAATTCCCCAAAAGTGGAGACAGGCTGGCCTTCATCTCTGTGAGACTTCCCAGAGGCAGCAGCACAGCTTAGCAGAACACAGCTTGAGGCCTGGAGTCAGCCAGTCCCGCGTTCGAATCCCAGCTCGGTGTGACCACGGGCAGGTTACTTAACCTTTCTGAAACTCAGTCTCCTCACTTAGACGGCAGGGTTGTTGTGAGTAGTAAATGAGCTCCTGAAGGTCAACACAAGGAACCTGCATACAGTAGGTGCTCGTTAAAAGTAACCGCTAGTGTCTGATTCCTCATGGCCTTGTTCCAGGGCGTGGCTAGAGCAGGGCTTCACCCGTGTGCACTGGATGAATGAATGACAACAGCCTCCCCGGCCCTCCCCACCCCCACAGACCCTGCCCCATCTATCCCAGCATCACCTGACCCCCACCCTTACCCCAAAACGCTGACATTGAGAGGTCCATAGAGCTCCCCATGGACAGCCCTGGGGTCACAAAGGCAGATTACAGCCTTGTCTAGAACAGCTTGTGGTCAGCTCATTCCACACTGGCCCTACCCTTTGGCCTCCACTAGGCCCAGACCTGAGGCCTCCAACACCCAACCGCACACTGCACCCCTGGGGGCTGAGTCCAGGTGCCCTGGGGAGCTTCTGGAAGTGCCCATCCCCCAAGTCGGTTGTTGTTGGTTCAGTAATGGAGCCACATCTGGCAAAGCTCATCCCAGCGTCCTGTGCTGCACCTGTCCAGCATCTGGCCCACCCCACTTTCCACCTCTGTGACCTGCAGGGCCACCTGCGGCTGCCTGACTCCGGGCTGCTGGGTGGGACTGGCCTGCAGGGAGCCAACTGGGAGTGGGTGTTTGCTTCCCCAGCCCTCCCTGTAGGGTCCTGCACTCGAGTCTCCCCACACCCAGGTCTCTGCTCCTGCAGGACCACCTCCCTTGCAGCCTCCCTGTGTCCTCCGAGGCCTGAGGGGTCCCACCCAGCATTAGCCTTAGTGGTTTCTCTACATGCCAACCACATCTTAGTCCCTTTATTCATCTCTCCTCAAATTTCCCAAGTTGAGGGTGACATCTGTCTCCTCCATGGATGCTAACTGACACCAATCAATCACGACCTTGGCTCTTATACCAAAATAAAGCCTGGATAGATTTAAAAAGATTTAAAAGTTTTTAATTTAAATAGTACTAGAAGAAAGCATGGGGGAAGGGGGATATTATGAAAAAGATTAATTACCTCATGTAATAAAAAGAAAATTCTCTATGGCAAAACTCCTTAAGCAAAGACAAAAGTCAAATAACAAACCAGGGGAGGTGGTGCCACATACCTGTGGACCCAGCTGCTTGAGAGGCTGAGATGGGAGGATCCCTTGAGCTCAGGAGTTTGAGACCAGCCTGGGCAACACAGTGAGACCTCTGTCTCTCAAAAGAAAATTTTTTAAGAAAAAAATGAAAAAAATATCTGCAAGTATGTAGGTGTAAGTTCCTTAATATGTAAACGCCCCGTACAAATCAATAAGACAAAATCCAACAACACAATAAGAAAAATGGGTCAAGGGCCTGTAATCCCAGTATTCTGGGAGGCCGAGCCAGGCGGATCACTTGAGGTCAGGAGTTCGAGACCACCCTGGCCAATATGGCAAAACCTTGTCTCTACTAAAAATACAAAAATTAGAGCCCAAGAGTTCGAGACCAGCCTGAGCAACATAGTGAGGCCCTGTCTCTACATTTTAAAAAATTAAAGATAATAAATTTTTAAAAAGAAAGAACGAGAGACTTCACAACACACACATTAGGAAGGCATGGGCAGCAAGACACTGCCACCACCTCCGTGGTACAAGCTCTGTGGAGGGCAGTGTGACAATACGCCCTTCAAAGTTAAAACTTCAGACCCCCTCTGCCTGGCACATCTTCCTTCAGAAATCTGCCCTAAGATGTGCTCACCCACTGGGAGACGACTCATGTCCAAGGACGCCTTTGGCACCACTGTCTGTGAAAAAGAAAACGTTGAAAGCAACCTGGCTGTCTCTCAATAACGGCTAAATCGGTCAGGGGCCGCCACACCAAGCAACCTCGATGTCCCTCAATAACGGCTAAATCGGTCAGGGGACGCCACACCATGGGCAAGGGGGCCCTAACGATGCGGGACCTCTTCAAGCCATGGTGTTTCATGCAAAGGCACAGTGCAAAGTCCCCTGACAACTGAGGGAGCGTGTGTGTTTGTGATGCGCAAAACTGAGGGAGCGTGTGTGTTTGTGACACACAAAACTGAGGGAGCGTGTGTGTGATGCGCAAAACTGAGGGAGCGTCTGTGTTTGTGACGCACATAACTGAGGGAGCGCGCGTTTGTGACGCACAAAACTGAGGGAGCATATGTGTTTGTGATGCACAAAACTGAGGAATCGTCTTTGGGATGCACGAAACTGAGGGAGCGTGTGTGTTTGTAACACACAAAACTGAGGGAGCGTGTGTGTTTGTGAAGCACAAAGCTGAGGGAGCGTGTGTGTGATGCGCAAAACTGAGGGAGCGTCTGTGTTTGTGACGCACATAACTGAGAGAGCACGCGTGTTTGTGACGCACAAAACTGAGGGAATGTGTGTGTTTGTGATGCACAAAACTGAGGGAGCGTGTGTGTTTGTGACACACAAAACTGAGGGAGCGTGTTTGTGACGCACATAACTGAGGGAGCATGTTTGGGATGCACGAAACTGAGGGAGCGTGTGTGTTTGTAACACACAAAACTGAGGTAGCGTGTGTGTTTGTGACGCACAAAACTGAGGGAGCGTGTGCGTTTGTGATGCACAAAACTGAGGGAATGTGTTTGTGATGCCCAAAACTGAGGGAGCATGTGCGTTTGTGATGCACAAAACTGAGGGAGCGCGCGTGTTTGTGGCGCACAAAACTGAGGGAATGTGTGTGTGATGCACAAAACTGAGGGAGCGTGTGTGTTTGTGAAGCACAAAACTGAAGGAGCGTGTGTGTTTGTGACACACAAAACTGAGGGAGCGTGTGTGTGATGCGCAAAACTGAGGGAGCGTCTGTGTTTGTGACGCACAAAACTGAGGGAGCGTGTGTGTTTGTGATGTCCATAACTGAGGGAGCGTGTGTGTTTGTGAAGCACAAAACTGAGGGAGCGTGTGTGTTTGTGATGTCCATAACTGAGGGAGCGTGTGTGTTTGTGAAGCACAAAACTGAGGGAGCGTGTGTGTTTGTGATGTCCATAACTGAGGGAGCGTGTGTGTTTGTGAAGCACAAAACTGAGGGAGCGTGTGTGTTTGTGATGTCCATAACTGAGGGAGCGTGTGTGTTTGTGAAGCACAAAACTGAGGGAGCGTGTGTGTTTGTGATGTCCATAACTGAGGGAGCGTGTGTGTTTGTGAAGCACAAAACTGAGGGAGCGTGTGTGTTTGTGATGTCCATAACTGAGGGAGCGTGTGTGTTTGTGATGCGCAAAACTGAGGGAGCGTCTGTGTTTGTGACGCACATAACTGAGGGAGTGCGCGTGTTTGTGGCGCACAAAACTGAGGGAGCGTGTGTGTGACGCACAAAACTGAGGGAGCGTGTGCGTTTGTGATGCACAAAACTGAGGGAGCGTGTGTTTGTGATTCGTGTAACTGAGGGAGCGTGTGTGTTTGTGATGCACGGAATCACTGTCAAGGACCGGAAAGAGGAGAAGCAGAAACGCCTCCTTTTCAAGGGGAACATCACACACCGGGGACTTTTGTGGGGTGCGGGGAGAGGGGAGGGATAGCATTAGGAGATACACCTAATGCTAAATGATGAGTTAATGGGTGCAGCACACCAACACGGCACATGTATACATATGTAACAAACCTGCATGTTGTGCACATGTACCCTAGAACTTAAAGTATAATAATAATAAAATTTTTTAAAAAAAGAAATGCTTCCTTTTCACTGTATGCAGTTTTTTTGTTTTGCGCATTTTTTAAACTATTATTTATTTTTAAACTTTTACTTTTTGAATCATCTGGATGTATAACCAATTTCCCCCAAAAAAAGGAAAATAATTTTTTTTAAACGTTTTAAAATTCCTAATCCTAGGATGGTCCCAGAGTGATCCTGAAGTGCTGTGGGGAAGGGCACACTTTAAGACTCAGGCAATGGGCTGCAACCTCCTGTTCCAGGCCGACCCCCTCAGGTGCTCTCCCCACTCCCCAGAAAGGATGAGGTACCCCTGGTAAAAACCCCTGGATGGGGCAAACATGAACAGTTACTGCCACCCTCTGGTGCACGAGGAGGCAGACGCAGTCTGGAGACCCCGGGGACTCATCCCGAAACTTTAGGAAGCACCAAGGTCCCCCAAAACCCTGTTAAAACCTCATAGGGGTGCTCCAGGGCCATGTTCTGTGTGGCCCAGGGCTCACTGTGAGGGTCCACTGGGCCACCCCCACATGGTCATGTTTGCTGTGCTTTGATTTAAAAATAAGTAAATACATAAATAACCGAGTGTCCAGCCCCTCCCTGAGCTGCCTTGGGGGAGGGCCGGGTCTGAAAGTTAACTGCTCCCCAGCTGCTGAAGCAAAAAGCAGCCGAGGGCCCTTCCCAAAGCTGCTGTGGACCAAGACCCAAGCTCAAGTTCCGGGAACCCAAGGAGCAAATGCAGAGGGTCCTGAGGGTGGACAGTGAGGGGGTCTCTACAGGCCATATGGGTGGACAGTGAGGGGGTCTCTACAGGCCATGAGGGTGGACAGTGAGGGGGTCTCTACAGGCCATGAGGGTGGACAGTGAGGGGGTCTCTACAGGCCATGAGGGTGGACAGTGAGGGGGTCTCTACAGGCCATGAGGGTGGACAGTGAGGGGGTCTCTATAGGACATGAGGGTGGACAGTGAGGGGGTCTCTACAGGCCATATGGGTGGACAGTGAGGGGGTCTCTACAGGCCATGAGGGTGGACAGTGAGGGGGTCTCTTTGGACATGAGGGTGGACAGTGAGGGGGTCTCTATAGGACATGAGGGTGGACAGTGAGGGGGTCTCTACAGGCCATGAGGGTGGACAGTGAGGGGGTCTCTACAGGCCATGAGGGTGGACAGTGAGGGGGTCTCTTTGGACATGAGGGTGGACAGTGAGGGGGTCTCTATAGGCCATGAGGGTGGACAGTGAGGGGGTCTCTACAGGCCATGAGGGTGGACAGTGAGGGGGTCTCTACAGGCCATGAGGGTGGACAGTGAGGGGGTCTCTTTGGACATGAGGGTGGACAGTGAGGGGGTCTCTATAGGACATGAGGGTGGACAGTGAGGGGGTCTCATAGGACATGAGAGTTGACAGTGAGGGGGTCTCTACAGGCCATGAGGGTGGACAGTGAGGGGGTCTCTATAGGACATGAGGGTGGACAGTGAGGGGTCTCATAGGACATGAGAGTGGACAGTGAGGGGGTCTCATAGGACATGAGGGTGGACAGTGAGGGGGTCTCATAGGACATGAGGGTGGACAGTGAGGGGTCTCATAGGACATGAGGGTGGACAGTGAGGGGGTCTCATAGGACATGAGGGTGGACAGTGAGGGGGTCTCATAGGACATGAGGGTGGACAGTGAGGGGGTCTCTATAGGACATGAGGGTGGACAGTGAGGGGGTCTCTACAGGACATGAGGGTGGACAGTGAGGGGGTCTCATAGGACATGAGGGCGGACAGTGAGGGGGTCTCTACAGGCCATGAGGGTGGACAGTGAGGGGGTCTCTATAGGACATGAGGGTGGACAGTGAGGGGGTCTCATAGGACATGAGGGCGGACAGTGAGGGGGTCTCTATAGGACATGAGGGTGGACAGTGAGGGGGTCTCTATAGGACACGAGGGTGGACAGTGAGGGGGTCTCTATAGGACATGAGGGTGGACAGTGAGGGGGTCTCATAGGACATGAGGGTGGACAGTGAGGGGGTCTCATAGGCCATGAGGGTGGACAGTGAGGGGGTCTCTACAGGCCATGAGGGTGGACAGTGAGGGGGTCTCTATAGGACATGAGGGTGGACAGTGAGGGGGTCTCTACAGGCCATGAGGGTGGACAGTGAGGGGGTCTCTATAGGCCATGAGGGTGGACAGTGAGGGGGTCTCTATAGGCCATGAGAGTGGACAGTGAGGGGGTCTCATAGGCCATGAGGGTGGACAGTGAGGGGGTCTCTATAGGACATGAGAGTGGACAGTGAGGGGGTCTCTATAGGACATGAGGGTGGACAGTGAGGGGGTCTCATAGGACATGAGGGTGGACAGTGAGGGGGTCTCTATAGGACATGAGGGTGGACAGTGAGGGGGTCTCTATAGGACACGAGGGTGGACAGTGAGGGGGTCTCATAGGACATGAGGGTGGACAGTGAGGGGGTCTCTACAGGACATGAGGGTGGACAGTGAGGGGGTCTCTATAGGACATGAGGGTGGACAGTGAGGGGGTCTCTATAGGACATGAGGGTGGACAGTGAGGGGGTCTCTATAGGACACGAGGGTGGACAGTGAGGGGGTCTCATAGGACATGAGGGTGGACAGTGAGGGGGTCTCTACAGGCCATGAGGGTGGACAGTGAGGGGGTCTCTATAGGACATGAGGGTGGACAGTGAGGGGGTCTCTATAGGACATGAGGGTGGACAGTGAGGGGGTCTCTACAGGCCATGAGGGTGGACAGTGAGGGGGTCTCTATAGGCCATGAGAGTGGACAGTGAGGGGGTCTCTACAGGACATGAGGGTGGACAGTGAGGGGGTCTCATAGGACATGAGAGAGGCCAGGAGAAGTCTGGGACAGGGGAGGCTGTGACCCCCACCAGGTCCCCTAAACCTGGGCTCAGTGTGGAGTCTCAGCCTCACCCTCATGGGCTGCCCAGCCCCTCCTGGCCCACCTACAACAGCCTGCACCCCTGTGAACAACTATCCACAGCCCAGCAGCTATCCTCATTTTGTCTCATGCCCAGCCCAGAGCACATGCCCAGCTAAACACAGAGCAGCACAGTACCAGTGTGGCCACCAGATGGCCCAGATCATCTGCTTCCCAGGGTAGCACTGCAGGGCATCCACACTGGGCATGTCCACCCCTAGCGTGTCAATACTCCAGTGCCTCTACGTACACACGCACACGCCTGGATACTCCAGTGCCTCTATGCACACACATGAACATGCCTGGATACTCCAGTGTGTCTACTCACACACATGAACACGCCTGGATACTCCAGTGCCTCTACTCACACACGCACACGACTAGATACTCCAGTGCCTCTACTCACACACATGAACACGCCTGGATACTCCAGTGCCTCTACTCACACACACACACGACTAGATACTCCAGTGCCTCTACTCACACACGCACACGCCTGGATACTCCAGTGCCTCTACTCACACACGCACACGCCTGGATACTCCAGTGTACTCCAGTGCCTCTACTCACACACATGAACATGCCTGGATACTCCAGTGCCTCTACGCACACACATGCACACACCTGGAGCCCAGGATTGCCAGTGGCCATTGCCATCGCCCTTGTGCTGAACAAGAAAGCGTCAGTGGTCCAGGACAAATGCACCAAAATTCCACCTTTAACATCCAGCATAGTCTTCCACTCGACCTCTTGTTCTTCCTGAGTGACCCCTGCCAGGAGGCGCAGAGGCCCCACTGGCCTCCCCAGAAGCGGGCATGCCTCTGTCACACTCACCCTGTTCTCTGTTCTCAGGCCCAGGGGTTAAAACCAACACAAGTTAAATAAAACCTCTGGCCTGAGGGTCATAGTTTCGTCTTCAAAATGTGTGCTTTAACCTTTTCCAGAATTAGGCTTTTTAAAGAAGCCTCCCATTGCCTTTAGGAAAACAGTTCAAAGGTTCTCCATGACCCAGCACCTCCTTCCCCTACCCCCCATTCCTGGGACATCTGCGTGTGTGGTTTCCTCTGTCTGGAGCAGCCCCTTCCACGCACACTGCATGGTCTCTTAGGGCTCCATAATAAAGGACCACAGACTGGCTTAAACAATAGAAAATTATTCTCTTAGTTCTGGAGGCCGGAAGTCTGGAATCCAGTATTGTCAGGGCTGCATTCCCTCCGAAGACTCCAGGGATGACCGTTCCTCACCTCCTCTAGTTTCTGGCAATCCTGGATGCTCCCTGGCTCACAGACGCATCCCTCCAGCCTCCACCACTTCTGTCTTCACACAGCACTGTCCTCTGCATCTTCTGTGTCCAAATTTCCCTCTTCTTGTAAGGACACCCAAGTCCACCATGGCCTCAAATGGACTAATTAAATCTGCAAAGACCCCACTTCCAAACAAGGTCACACTCACAGGTGCTGGGGGTTGAGACTCCAACTTTTTTTTTTTTTTTTTTTTGACGGAGTCTCACTCTGTCGCCAGGCTGCAGTGCAGTGGCACAATCACGGTTCACTGCAACCCCCGCCTCCCGTGTTCAAGTGATTCTTCAGCCTCAGCCTCCCGAGTAGCTGGGACTACAGGCGCCTGCCACCTCACCCGGCTAATTTTTGTATTTTTTTAGTAGAGACGGGGTTTCATTATGTTGGCCACGATGGTCTCGATCTCTTGACCTCGTGATCCACCCGCCTCAGCCTCCCAAAGTGCCGCGATTACAGGCGTGAGCCACCGCGCCCGGCTGAGGCTCCAACATATCTTTTAGGAGACACAACTCAACCCCCAACAATAATGAATGAAGAAGCCTGTTGAGCGTTAGGAGCCCAGTTCCAAGGAGGACCCAAACCACGATCGACAATCCAGGGTGTGAAATAGACATCCACAAAACACTCATCTACTTCATTCCTCTGGACAAAACTCCTTTGCAGTTCTAGAACAAGAATTGTTTGCGTTACTATCAGTTTTCTGCAATTGTCCCACCAAAGGGGCTGCTCCGGCTCTGGCTGAGCATCCTCCACCCTCTCCAACCTTTGGCCACCAAGTGTCCCCAAGCCCCTGGGATGCTCCCCATCACCAGTTTGGCCAGGTCCCACTGGCCTGGATCTTCCCACATGTGTGGTGATGGAGGAGGCTCAGAGGGGTCTGTGGAACGGGACTTAACAGGTCTCAAGTGTCTCAAACTAATCTGGGCCCCCAAGGTGGCTGACTGAGGTCTCAGCTGCTTCCCAGTGGGGCAGACGGAGCATGAAGCTCTAAGAGCAGCACCCGTGGTCATGCCCTGCATCTCAGACAGGAGGGGAGACGGTGGAGTGGCATCTGGGCAGGTGCCTGGAGCCAGGAGGGACAGTAGATGCGGGAGGTGTGACACACCAGGCAGGAGCCTGAGGGTGGCCAGACAGACCAGGACCAAGCAGGGGCCAACGCAGCACAAGGGGCTCCAGGAACGAACAGCCAGAGGGGCTGTGATTTGAGTGAAGGTGTCATCCCTGGAGTGTGGGGAGTTCAAGACCAGCCTGGGCAACATGGCGAGACCCCGTCTCTACTAAAAATTAAAAATTAGCCAGGTGTGGTGGCTCACACTTCTGGTCCAGCTACTTGGAAGGCTGAGATGGGAGGATCACTTTGCCAGACGTTGAGGCTACAATGAGCCCTGATGTGACCCACGCCACTCCTGCCTGGGCAACAGAGCAAGACTCTGTCTCCAAAAAGAAAAGAATGCCAATTTCACAGAACTCTTTGAGGAAACTGAAGAAGAGGGACTGTCTCCCAACTCATTCATTGAGGCCAAGATTACTCTGATACCAAAAGCACCACAAGAAAAAAAATTACAGACCAATATCCCTCATAAACACAGATGCAAAAATTATTAACAACATTTTAGTAAATCAAAATCCATCAATATTTGAAAAAATACTATAATATGACCAAGCAGAGTTTATTCCAGAATGCAAGGTTAGTTTAACAAAATCAGTGTGATTCGTTATATTAACAAACTAAAAAAGGAAACACATGATTATCATAATAGACGCAGAAAAAGCATTTGACAAAATCTAAAATCCATCCCTCATAAAGACTCTCAGCAAACTAGGAATAGGAGAATGTGTCAGCCTGATATGAAAAACCCAAGTTAAATCTTAATCCATGTCTCTCCTCAGAGCAAGACGGAGGCAAGGATGTTCAATTCTACTCAACATTGTACTGGACACTCTAACCAAACCAATAAGGCAAGAAAAAGAAATAAAAGGTGTCCAGGTTAGAAATAAAAAATTGTCTAATTCACAGACATGATCATCTGTGTAGAAAGTTGGGTATAATCCACAAAAAAGCTACTAGAACTAATAAGCAACTTCAGCAAAGTTTCAGGATACAAAATCAATACACAAAAATCTATGGGATTTCTATATCCTAGAAACGAATAATCAAATGAACATTTTTAAAAACAATGCTATTTATAATAGCATCAAAAAATGAAATACCTAGAAATACAACTGACAGAAGCCATACATTAAAAACCGTAAAACTGCTGAGAGAAATTAAAGATGTAAATAGGAGTTATGCTGTGTTCATGCATCAGAAAACTCCATATGCCGATTCTACCCAAACTCATCTATAGATTTAATGCAATTAAAATTGCAAGAGGCTTTTTTCTGGAAATTAACAAACTGATTCCAAAATTTGCATAGAAATTTGCAAAGAACCTATAATCCCCTAACAACTTTGAAAAATGAAGTTAGAGGGACTGACACTACCTGACCTCAAAACAGAGTATAAAGCTATAGTAATCAAGACAGTGTGGTATTTGAGTATAAAGCTATAGTAATCAAGACAGTGTAGTATTTGAGTATAAAGCTGTGGTAATCAAGACAGTGTAGTATTTGAGTATAAAGCTGTGTTAATCAAGACAGTGTAGTATTTGAGTATAAAGCTGTAGTAATCAAGACAGTGTGGTATTTGAGTATAAAGCTGTAGTAATCAAGACAGTGTGGTATTTGAGTATAAAGCTATAGTAATCAAGACAGTGTGGTATTTGAGTATAAAGCTGTGGTAATCAAGACAGTGTGGTATTTGAGTATAAAGCTGTGGTAATCAAGACAGTGTGGTATTTGAGTACAAAGCTATAGTAATCAAGACAGTGTAGTATTTGAGTATAAAGCTGTGGTAATCAAGACAGTGTAGTATTTGAGTATAAAGCTATAGTAATCAAGACAGTGTGGTATTTGAGTATAAAGCTATAGTAATCAAGACAGTGTAGTATTTGAGTATAAAGCTGTGGTAATCAAGACAGTGTAGTATTTGAGTATAAAGCTGTGTTAATCAAGACAGTGTGGTATTTGAGTATAAAGCTGTAGTAATCAAGACAGTGTGGTATTTGAGTATAAAGCTATAGTAATCAAGACAGTGTGGTATTTGAGTATAAAGCTGTGGTAATCAAGACAGTGTGGTATTTGAGTATAAAGCTGTGGTAATCAAGACAGTGTGGTATTTGAGTATAAAGCTGTGGTAATCAAGACAGTGTGGTATTTGAGTATAAAGCTATAGTAATCAAGACAGTGTAGTATTTGAGTATAAAGCTGTGGTAATCAAGACAGTGTAGTATTTGAGTATAAAGCTATAGTAATCAAGACAGTGTGGTATTTGAGTATAAAGCTATAGTAATCAAGACAGTGTAGTATTTGAGTATAAAGCTGTGGTAATCAAGACAGTGTAGTATTTGAGTATAAAGCTGTGTTAATCAAGACAGTGTAGTATTTGAGTATAAAGCTGTAGTAATCAAGACAGTGTGGTATTTGAGTATAAAGCTGTAGTAATCAAGACAGTGTGGTATTTGAGTATAAAGCTATAGTAATCAAGACAGTGTGGTATTTGCGTATAAAGCTGTGGTAATCAAGACAGTGTGGTATTTGAGTATAAAGCTATAGTAATCAAGACAGTGTGGTATTTGAGTATAAAGCTGTGGTAATCAAGACAGTGTGGTATTTGAGTATACAGCTGTGGTAATCAAGACAGTGTGGTATTTGAGTATACAGCTGTGGTAATCAAGACGGTGTGGTATTTGAGTATAAAGCTGTGGTAATCAAGACAGTGTAGTATTTGAGTATAAAGCTGTGGTAATCAAGACAGTGTGGTATTTGAGTATAAAGCTGTAGTAATCAGACAGTGTAGTATTTGAGTATAAAGCTGTGGTAATCAAGACAGTGTGGTATTTGAGTATAAAGCTGTAGTAATCAGACAGTGTAGTATTTGAGTATAAAGCTATAGTAATCAAGACAGTGTGTTATTTGAGTATAAAGCTGTGGTAATCAAGACGGTGTAGTATTTGAGTATAAAGCTGTGGTAATCAAGACGGTGTAGTATTTGAGTATACAGCTGTGGTAATCAAGACGGTGTGGTATTTGAGTATAAAGCTGTAGTAATCAAGACAGTGTAGTATTTGAGTATAAAGCTGTGGTAATCAAGACGGTGTGGTATTTGAGTATAAAGCTGTAGTAATCAGACAGTGTAGTATTTGAGTATAAAGCTGTAGTAATCAAGATAGTGTGGTATTTGAGTATAAAGCTGTAGTAATCAGACAGTGTAGTATTTGAGTATAAAGCTATAGTAATCAAGACAGTGTAGTATTTGAGTATAAAGCTGTGGTAATCAAGACAGTGTGGTATTTGAGTATAAAGCTGTAGTAATCAGACAGTGTAGTATTTGAGTATAAAGCTATAGTAATCAAGACAGTGTGGTATTTGAGTATAAAGCTGTGGTAATCAAGACGGTGTAGTATTTGAGTATAAAGCTGTGGTAATCAAGACGGTGTAGTATTTGAGTATACAGCTGTGGTAATCAAGACGGTGTGGTATTTGAGTATAAAGCTGTAGTAATCAGGACAGTAGTATTTGAGTATACAGCTGTGGTAATCAAGACGGTGTGGTATTTGAGTATAAAGCTGTGGTAATCAAGACAGGGTGGTATTTGAGTATAAAGCTGTAGTAATCAGACAGTGTAGTATTTGAGTATAAAGCTATAGTAATCAAGACAGTGTAGTATTTGAGTATAAAGCTATAGTAATCAAGACAGTGTAGTATTTGAGTATAAAGCTGTGGTAATCAAGACAGTGTGGTATTTGAGTATAAAGCTATAGGAATCAAGACAGTGTAGTATTTGAGTATAAAGCTGTGGTAATCAAGACAGTGTGGTATTTGAGTATAAAGCTGTGGTAATCAAGACGGTGTAGTATTTGAGTATAAAGCTGTGGTAATCAAGACGGTGTGTTATTTGAGTATAAAGCTGTGGTAATCAAGACAGTGTGGTATTTGAGTATAAAGCTTTGGTAATCAAGACGGTGTGGTATTTGAGTATACAGCTGTGGTAATCAAGACGGTGTGGTATTTGAGTATAAAGCTGTAGTAATCAAGATGGTGTAGTATTTGAGTATAAAGCTGTAGTAATCAAGACAGTGTAGTATTTGAGCCAGGCATGGTGGCTGACACCTGTAATCCCAGCACTGCTACTAAAAAAACAAAACAAAAAAAAAAAACTAGCAAAGTGTGTCCGGGCGCAGTGGCTCACACCTGTAATCCCAGCACTTTGGGAGGCCAAGGTGGGTGGATCATGAGGTCAGGAAATCGAGACCATCCTGGCTAACACAGTGAAACCTCATCTCTACTGAAAATACAAAAAAATTAGCTGGGTGTGGTGGTGCACACCTGTAATCCCAGCTACTTGGGAGGCTGAGGCAGGAGAATCGCTTGAACCCAGGAGACAGAGGTTGCAGTGAGCCGAGATAGCGCCACTGCACTCCATCCTGGGCAATAGAGGGAGACTCTGTTTCAAAAAAAAAAAAAATGAAATCCTAAGGCCCCCACCAACTCAACAGACCCCCTCTTGGCCAAGGGAACCCCAGAAAACCTTAAAAACTGAATCCCTGGCCATGATGGGAAGGGAAGTTGGACACATCTCATCATACATCTCAGGCATTAATGTTAAAATAGATTTCATAAGACCAACAAAACAAACTATTTGTGACAATAAGATATCAAATTATAAACAGGACCTAAGGCTGTGCCAGACAGGAGTTAAGTCACACACCCCTATGGGTTAAGAAGCTTATATCTTAACTCAAAACATTCCTTTCTGCTGACTCCAATTTTTTAATTAAACTTTATACCTTTAACCAGTTGCAAATTAAAGAATCTCTGAATCAACATATAACCTGTACACCCTGCTTCAAGATACCCTGCCATTTGGGGCCAAACCAATGTCTACCTTCTATGTATTGATTTCTGTCTTTGCCTGTAACTCCTGCCTCTCTGAAAACTATGAAACCAAAGTATAATCTGACTGCTGGGGGCACACTTTCTCAGGACCTCTCAAAACTGTGTTCTCCAGGCTTTCTCAGGAAACTCGAAACTGTGTTCTCCAGGCTTTCTCAGGACCTCTCGAAACTATGTTCTCCAGGCTTTCTCAGGAAACTCAAAACTGTGTTCTCCAGGCTTTCCCAGGACCTCTCGAAACTGTGTTCTCCAGGCTTTCTCAGGAAACTCGAAACTGTGTTCTCCAGGCTTTCCCAGGACCTCTTGAAACTGTGTTCTCCAGGCTTTCCCAGGACCTCTCGAAACTGTGTTCTCCAGGCTTTCCCAGGACCTCTCGAAACTATGTTCTCCAGGCTTTCCCAGGACCTCTCGAAACTGTGTTCTCCAGGCTTTCTCAGGAAACTCGAAACCATGTTCTCCAGGCTTTCTCAGGAAACTCGAAACTGTGTTCTCCAGGCTTTCCCAGGACCTCTTGAAACTGTGTTCTCCAGGCTTTCCCAGGACCTCTCGAAACTGTGTTCTCCAGGCTTTCTCAGGACCTCTCGAAACTATGTTCTCCAGGCTTTCCCAGGAAACTCGAAACTGTGTTCTCCAGGCTTTCTCAGGACCTCTCGAAACTGTGTTCTCCAGGCTTTCTCAGGACCTCTCGAAACTGTTCTCCAGGCTTTCTCAGGAAACTTGAAACTGTGTTCTCCAGGCTTTCCCAGAACCTCTCGAAACCATGTTCTCCAGGCTTTCTCAGGACCTCTCAAAACCGTGTTCTCCAGGCTTTCTCAGGACCTCTCGAAACCGTGTTCTCCAGGCTTTCCCAGGACCTCTCGAAACTGTGTTCTCCAGGCTTTCTCAGGAAACTCAAAACTGTGTTCTCCAGGCTTTCTCAGGACCTCTCGAAACCGTGTTCTCCAGGCTTTCCCAGGACCTCTCGAAACTGTGTTCTCCAGGCTTTCTCAGGACCTCTCGAAACTGTTCTCCAGGCTTTCTCAGGAAACTCGAAACTGTGTTCTCCAGGCTTTCCCAGGACCTCTCGAAACCATGTTCTCCAGGCTTTCTCAGGACCTCTCGAAACCGTGTTCTCCAGGCTTTCTCAGGACCTCTCGAAATCGTGTTCTCCAGGCTTTCTCAGGACCTCTCGAAACCGTGTTCTCCAGGCTTTCCCAGGAGCTCTCGAAACCGTGTTCTCCAGGCTTTCTCAGCACCTCTCGAAACTGTGTTCTCCAGGCTTTCTAAGGAAACTCAAAACTGTGTTCTCCAGGCTTTCTCAGGACCTCTCGAAACTGTTCTCCAGGCTTTCTCAGGAAACTCGAAACTGTGTTCTCCAGGCTTTCTCAGAACCTCTCGAAACTGTTTTCTCCAGGCCATGGTCATTCATATTGACTCAGAATAAACCTCTTTAAAATATTTTACAGAATCTGTTTTTTTCCATTAACGTTATTGAGTTTTGAGAGTTCTTGATATACTCTGGATACAAGTCCTTTATCAAATATGTGATTTGCAAAAATTGTCTTACAGCCTTGGGCTTGTCTTTTCATTTTCTTAGCAGTGTCTTTGGAATAGCAGAAGTTCTTAGTTTTGATGAAACATCTTATTTATTTGATGGATTATGTTTTGATATCCTATCTAATAATGTTTTGCCTGATCTAAGTTTGCAAAGGTTTTCTTCTATGTCCTCTTATAGAAGTTTTATAATTTTAGCTTTTACATTTAGGTTTATGATCCATATTGACAATATTTTAATATAGTACAAGGTATGGATCAAAGTTCATTTTTTTGCATATGGATATCCAACTGTTTAGCATCATTTACTGAGAACAAAACTTGCCTTTATTGAATTGCCTTTGCAGCTTTGTTGAAAATCACTTGCTCATATTTGTGGGTCTATTTCTGGTATCTCTAATTTGTTCTATTGATCTGTCTATCTTGATGCAAATACCACACTGTCTTTTTTTAAAATATTATTTCTTTTATCATGATACTTCTCTTTCTTCTTTCTTTTTTTTTTTTTTTTTGACAGTGTCTCACTCCGTCACCCAGGCTGGAGTGCAGTAGTGAGATCTCAGCTCACTGCAACCTCCGCCTCCCAGGATCAAGTGATTCTCGTGCCTCAGCCTCCTGAGTAGCTGGAATTACAGGTGTGTGCCACCACGCCTGGCTACATTTTTTGTATTTTTAGTAGAGACGGGGTTTCACCATGTTGGCCAGGCTGATCTCAAACTCCTGACCTCAAGTGATCCACCCACCTCAGCCTCCCCAGGAGCTGAGAACTCTGGCAGGGAGACTCTGTGGTGTAGGAACCCCAGGTCTCCAGCCATGTCTGAAAAACAGTGTTAACCCACGGCTTCACCCCAGCTTTGAAACACCTGGGTGTTCTTCAGAAATACCTGCTATAGTTTGGACGTTTGTCCCCGAACCTCATGTTGAAATTTAATCCCCGATGTTGGAGGCGGGGCCTGGTGGGAGGTGTTCGGGTCATAGGGAAGGATCCAGAATGAATGGTTTAGTGCCCTCCTCATGGTGATGAGTGAGTTCTTGCTCTATTAGTTCCCACACGAGCTGGTTGTTTTAAAAAAATCCTGGCATCGCCCCTCTCTCTCGCCTCTTCTCTTACCATGAGACACCTCCCGCCATGAGTGCACGCTCCCTGAGGCCTCCCCAGAAGCAGGTGCCGGCACCGTGCTTCCCGTACACCCTGCAGAACCGTGAGCCAAACAAACCTCTTTTCTTTATAATGGCCCAGCCTCTATCCTTCTCCTCACCTAGGAAAAAGAAAAAGAAATTACCCAGCCTCAGATATTCCTTCATAGCAACACAAAACTAGGACAACACTGGTGCCCAGGCCCCAGCCCAGACCAAGCACATCAGAGCCTGGGCATGGGGGTGGAACCAGCTCCAGTGAGCTCCTGAAGTCCCCAGGGGATTCTGTGCACATCCAGGGTGGAGAACTTGGCCGTAGACAGTCCAGACAAAAATATTCTTTATACGATTAGCACAGAGTTGTTGTTTAAACTCAGTGGTAAGAACAGAACACAAGAGTTTTAACAGGAGTCATAGTTTTCACCATTAAGAATCTTTACCTACTATTGGAATCCAGGTACACACATTTACCCTGGGGTTTAATTTGCTGTGTAAAATTGACTTGGTTCTTTTACAAATTGCTGGCAAGTTGAGGTTGGGGCCACCACAAAACAAGTCTCTAGCAAGACAAAGAGCATAGTTGTGTGTTTGGGTCTCTCCACACCAGAATGGAGCTCCTTGTGGGCAGAGGCTGGCTTGCCCCTTGTCTTAGTCTGTTTCCTGCTGCTTATAACAGAAACTGGGTAATTTAAAAGAAACAAAATGTATTTCTTACAGTTCTGCGGGCTGGGAAGTCCAAGGTCAATGGGCCACATCTGGTGAGGTTTTCTTGCTGGTGGGAACCCCAGAGTCCCAAGGCAGTGCAGGGCGTCGCATGGTGAGGGGCTGAGCGTGCTGGCTCAGGTCTCTCTCTTCTTATAAAGCTACTAGCCCCACTCCTATGATAACCCATTAATCTATAAATAAATTAATCTATTCATGAGGGCAGAGCTCTTGTGACCCAATCACCTCTTAAAGGCCCCACCTCTCAATACTGCCACATTGGGGATTAAATTCCAACTTGAGTTTTGGAGGTGACAAATATTCAAACCACAGCATCCTTAAATCATCAGAGACTGGCCTGCCTGCCCCCATGTCCACTCGAAAATGAATGCCGCGCAAGCCCCCACCCCCACCCTACTGAATGGTCCCTTTTCCTCTGCAGCAGTTCTCGGAACTGGCCACTGGGGGTCAGGGTTGGTCCGCGTCGCACAGAACCTGGCTCAGCCAGGAGCCACAGGAAGGACCCTGTTCCTCTACCCCAGCCAAGGGAAAACGGCGGCCCCTCTGTGGTTCAGCAGAGCTAGTCCAGGAACAGTGGGGCTTCAAAGTGCTTCCCCTCCATGGCAGAGCCAGCGCTGGCCTGCTGGTCTCCCAATTCTTTGCCCAGGCTAAGAAGGGCGCACACACACACACACACACACACACACACACACACACTCTCTCTCTCTCTCTCTCTCTCTCTCTCTCTACCTCCGGGAAGTTCTCCCTGCCTGTGGCTTGCAGCTTGCTGCCGCTCACCAGCCTCCCGTCCTACTCACAGCTGACTTGAGGTCAGTGCTCCCTCCAAGCATCCACCTGAGCTGCCCAGGCCCAAGGCCGAAACCCCAGACCAGGTCCAGAGCAGCACGGGCAGGTGGGACCTCAGATGGGGCTGGCCCAACACGTGCAAGCCTCCAGCCTGAGGCAGGAAAATTACGATCCCCATTTGACAAGTGAGGAGACAGAGGCTCAGAGAGGTTGGGTAACTCACCCTGGGCCACACAGCAAGGAAAAAGCCAGTCCCAGACCTGTACTCCTGACCTCCACCTGGTCTGCTCCCCTCAGGAGACTATCTAGGCCACAGTGGCACCCTTGACTGGCCTGAGTTGGGAGCACAGGTCCACAGGGCTCTTTACCCGGTTCCACGGCAACAGTCCCCAGGCCACATACCTATGAGCACAGTTTGGACAGTGGAGCAGTCTCTGGCCCGACCACAGGCAGCACCCCAGGAACTCCACGTGCCTTCGGGGTGCACTCAAGTGGGTGGGGAAGAGGGGCCTAGAGCTCCACCTCAGCCTCCTTTGTCCTGAGTGAGCAGGGCCCCACTCACCTCCCCGAGCAGCCAGAGATGTGACGGAGCCTCTGTGGGCAGAAAACATCTCCCAGGTGATAAGCAGCAGGTATGAGGTCTCCCTGGTGAGAGTGTGAGCTCCCCACATTCAACACTGCCGGAGCCCTGAGAGGAAGCCACAGGCTCTGGGAAGCTCCGTGCGGAAGCTGAGTGCCCTGTTGCTCCACGGTTAGCAAGCACGCTCCAGGGAAACTCCATCAGAGCCTCCTGTTCCCATCTGCTAGATGGGATGACAGTAGTACTGCCCCTGGCCATTGTGGAGACAAAATGAAACACGGATGTATCTTTAGCTGTCAGCACCCGGCACATAGGAGGCATTCAGAACCAGAGACAGACCAGGAGGAGGCTCAGATCCCAGGAGTCGGCAAAGGTGGAGATGGAAGGAAGTGAGGTGGGATGGGGCCCAGCCATGCTGGAGGAACTGGGGCTGTCTTCTGGCTGAGCCCAGGCCTGCCCCCCTCCCGACATCAGGGTGCCCTCATGCCCCACACAGCTTTGCCCAGGCCCTCCCCACCACATCAGGGTGCCCTCATGCCCCGCACAGCTTTGCCCAGACACCCCCCCCCACATCAGGGTGCCCTCATGCCCCGCACAGCTTTGCCCAGACACCCCCCCAACATCAGGGTGCCCTCATGCTCCGCACAGCTTTGCCCAGACACCCCCCCCAACATCAGGGTGCCCTCATGCCCCGCACAGCTTTGCCCAGGCCCCCCCGCCACATCAGGGTGCCCTCATGCCCTGCACAGCTTTGCCCAGACACCCCCCACCATATCAGGGTGCCCTCATGACCCGCGCAGCTTTGCCCAGACACCCCCCCCCAACATCAGGGTGCCCTCATGCCCCGCGCAGCTTTGCCCAGACACCCCCCCCAACATCAGGGTGCCCTCATGCCCCGCACAGCTTCGCCCACGCCCCCCCCCGCCACATCAGGGTGCCCTCATGCCCCGCGCAGCTTTGCCCAGACACCCCCCCCAACATCAGGGTACCCTCATGCCCCGCACAGCTTTGCCCAGACACCCCCCCCACATCAGGGTGCCCTCATGCCCCGCACAGCTTTGCCCAGACCCCCCCACATCAGGGTGCCCTCATGCCCCGCACAGCTTTGCCCAGACACCCCCCCCACATCAGGGTGCCCTCATGCCCCGCACAGCTTTGCCCAGACCCCCCAACATCAGGGTGCCCTCATGCCCCGCACAGCTTTGCCCAGACACCCCCCCCAACATCAGGGTACCCTCATGCCCCGCACAGCTTTGCCCAGACACCCCCCCCCACATCAGGGTGCCCTCATGCCCCGCACAGCTTTGCCCAGACACCCCCCCAACATCAGGGTGACCTCATGCCCCGCACAGCTTTGCCCAGACACCCCCCCCAACATCAGGGTGCCCTCATGCCCCGCACAGCTTTGCCCCGACACCCCCCCCACATCAGGGTGTCCTCATGCCCCGCGCAGCTTTGCCCAGACACCCCCCCAACATCAGGGTGACCTCATGCCCCGCACAGCTTTGCCCAGACACCCCCCCCAACATCAGGGTGCCCTCATGCCCTGCGCAGCTTTGCCCAGACACCCCCTGCCACATCAGCGTGCCCTCATGCCCCGCGCAGCTTTGCCCAGACACCCCCCCCCAACATCAGGGTGACCTCGTGCCCCGCACAGCTTTGCCCAGACACCCCCCCCAACATCAGGGTGCCCTCATGCCCCGCACAGCTTCGCCCAGGCCCCCCCCCGCCACATCAGGGTGCCCTCATGCCCCGCACAGCTTTGCCCAGACACCCCCCCCACATCAGGGTGCCCTCATGCCCCGCACAGCTTTGCCCAGACACCCCCCCATCACGGTGCCCTCATGCCCCGCACAGCTTTGCCCAGAGACCCCCCCACATCAGGGTGCCCTCATGCCCCGCACAGCTTTGCCCAGACAACCCCCCCCACATCAGGGTGCCCTCATGCCCCGCACAGCTTTGCCCAGACACCCCCCCAACATCAGGGTGCCCTCATGCCCCGCACAGCTTTGCCCAGAGACCCCCCCCAACATCAGGGTGCCCTCATGCCCCGCACAGCTTTGCCCAGGCACCCCCCCACATCAGGGTGCCCTCATGCCCTGCACAGCTTTGCCCAGACACACCCCCAAAATCAGGGTGCCCTCATGCCCCGCACAGCTTTGCCCAGAGACCGCCCCCAACATCAGGGTGCCCTCATGCCCCACACAGCTTTGCCCAGGCCCCCCCGTCACATCAGGGTGCCCTCATGCCCTGCACAGCTTTGCCCAGACACCCCCCCAACATCAGGGTGCCCTCATGCCCCGCACAGCTTTGCCCAGGCCCCCCCCCACATCAGGGTGCCCTCATGCCCCGCACAGCTTTGCCCAGGCCACCCACACACACATCAGAGTGCCCTCATGCCCAGCACAGCTTCTCCTGGAGGGAACACTTTCTCATATGTCCCCCGGGTAGGCCCTACTGATAAACAGTGTGTCCAGGACCAAGAGATTTCCTGGGATGTGGGGCATTCAGTGCTAAAACCTGGACAGTCCTGGGCCAATCCAGACTGTTGGTCACCCTTCCTGCAGAGGGGACATAAGAGGTCACAAGGTCACCAGGCTGATGCTCCTGAGAGGGCACAGCCAAGATGGACACCAAGTCCTGTGCTCACAGTATCCTCACCCGGCTGCCATGGCTTCTGGAGAGCAAGGCCATGGCTTGCCATACATGTAAGCGGGGTGGGGTCTGGGCCGGGCTGTGACTCCCCTCACCCAGACTAGGCAGGGACACTCAGCCTCCCCCAGCAGAGGGTGGCTCCTCAGGCTTCAGGAAGAGGCCCGAGAAGGAGGAGCCCCAGGGTCCAGGGCTGGAGACAAAGCTCAAAAGACGCACAGCACAGACACAGCGCTGGCCTGGAGTCCGGGGGGAGGCGGAGAGGGGCCATGATGAAGAGTTTAGAGAGGGCCCTGGGCACAAGAAGTGGGGCCCGACCTGGGCGGGAGGCAACCATTCAGCTGAGGCCTGGGGCTGAGCTGGCGTCCCCAAGACCCCCTGTGCAGTGGGCCGTGGCCGGCCTCCCACACCTCTGTCCACCTCTGTCCACCTCCTCTGTCCCGTCCCTAGGCTTGTCTGGACTTTGCTCTCCTCCAAGACTGCAGCCATGAAGATCCTCATGCCACAGCCCCTGCAGACCCTCATCTCCCTTCAGGGGGCCTCCAGCCTGAACCCTGGCTCCCCTTGATCCCCACCCAGCCTTTCATACGGTGCCCTTGCCCAGCCCAGAGCCCTGACTGCCTAGGTCTGGCCCAGACCACGCTTTTGGCTTCTGCATCAAAAGCCATTAAGCTAAACGCCATCACCACTCTTCCAAGACTGCCGTGTTCTTTTAAATCATCCCATAAACACAAGGCGGATGGTGACGTGGCCCACGCCATGCCCCGCTGAGGGTGGGGTCCCGACTCCCTCAGGCTCCCAGAAGCCTCGGCCAGATGAGGGGCGGCATCAACCCGGTGAGCCCGAATTGGCTCAAAATTCCAGAAGCCAAAAAGACGACAGCGCGGCGTGAGAATTGTTGGCACCACAGCTGCAAGCACCAGCCGGGTGTTGGCAGCAGCCCCATGCCCCCACCTCCATCCCCAGCACAGGGTGGCAGCCCGAAGGCCACAGGACCCAGCCGAGGGCACGGCCCGGCTTCCGCTACTGACTTGGCCTCGTCCGTTGATGACTGAGGCCACGGTTGTGGGGGTGGAAGGTGAGGGAGCTGCCCAGTCCTAGATTCAAACCTCTGTCTACCCCCTTGGGTACCGAAAGCTATGGTGACCACAGAGCCTGCACAATTAGACTCATTACAGGCACGTCTGCTGCAGGACCTGCAGGCCGGGCAGAATCTAGGTCAGCACAGGGGAGGGCCAGATCCAGCTCCTGCCCTTCCCCACTGCAGACCACATTTTGGAGCTGGATATAGGCTGAGGTCACAGGCAAGGAAAACTGCCCCGCAAGGCCACGTATACCACCTCACACCTCACCTCACCTGCGCCACCGCACAGCCGTGCCACACCTCACCAACGCCAAGGCACACCTGTGCCACAGCAGCAGCCTGGAGCCACCACGTGGCTTTTGTACATGCCCAGCTCCAGCACATGGACGTCTGCACAGCCACCGAACCTCAGAACCTCAGCAGGGATGCAGTTGCTATGACAACCTCAAGACTTTAAAAACCTGCTCCTGCCAGTGCTGCCTCTCCTGGTAAAAGCCTCCTCCACCTGCCATCCCTGCGACATCCCTGGGGATGGAGGAGGGAGGCCACTGAAGACCTGGTGTGATGTGGCCTACTGCCCTGGGCTGAGCACACTGGGATGGGGACAGGGTGGACCCGGAACCTGGCCCAGGACTCCATGGAGGGCTATGCAGGAGAGACAGATGTGTGTGTCCTGAAGGGCATGTGACAAACAGGGCCAGGACAAATGGAGAAACTGAGGCCCCTTCTGACTTATAAAGGTTTATCTGCTTCTCAGAGCTGAACCATCATTCACAGCTCTTTCTAGCTCAGTTCCTCTGACAAAAAAAAAACCATCACAGACTCTGGAAGTGGAGCCTATCCCCCTGCATGGTCAAACGTTCTGGACTGGGTAGAGCTGCAGTCCTCAGCTGGGCCCCCTCCTGGCTGCTGCCAAGGCAGTAGCAAAAGAGTCCCATCCACAAGCCCTGGACAGAGGTACCACCCCAACCCCTGCCAGGTCCCAGCCCAGTCTGAGCCCCCAGCACTGAGCCCAGGGCCTGGCATGCAGGGCACATTGGTTACATGGACCAGCAGAGGTGCTGGGAGCAAAGGGGTGGAGATAGGAACCAGGGCAGCCCATCAGCAGGAGGTCCAGGGAGGAGTTGGCCCATAGCGGGGTCCCCAGAGCTGAGGGTGACTCCACTCCAGTCCTCGCCGGTGCAGCAAAATGTCTAGCTCTGTGCAGAGAACGGGGATTTGGAGACAGAGGATACAACATGCACCAGCCAGGTGCCACCTCCCAGCACTGCCCCAGCTGCCCGCCCGGCAAAGCTCTTCTTCAGGGTCCTCACAGCTACACAGATTCACCTTCGGCATCCCCCGTGCCACAGCCTGCCTGAGATTTCATCACAGCAGGATCCCTGCTCACTGGCCACAGAAAGGCGTGGGCCATGGCCCTTCCAGCCCTGCAGCTGCTGGCTCCTCCTAGATGCTTGCCCAGTGACCCTCCCGAGGCTCCTCGAGCAGAGAACAGGGTCAGGAACAGGCTCCCCCGAGTGAGAGGTGCCCTCCTGGGCTCTGAACCTTATCAGAGAGACTCAGGGCATGTCCACGGGACGTGTGAGCAGGAATGTGTGCAGCCAGCACATGAAGCCTGAAGTGGGGCCCAAAAGTGCATCGAGTCATGCATGCAGACGTGTGTGGGTACAACGATGTTAGCCTTGCATGAGCAAATGAGACAGGGCATGTGAACATGACACATGGGGGCTGGATGCCATGAACACGGGGAATGAAACATGCGTGTGCACCGACGCCAATGCTGCAAGGATGCAGGGCAGCAAGCATGTGGCTGTGGGACTCTGACCCTGACCCGGCCACTGCCCCTAACTCTAACATTCCACCCCACCCCTGACCCCTCTCCAGCAGGGCCTGGTCCCACACCGCCACCCAGCCTTCCCCAGCCCAGTTCGTCTCACAGCAATCAGCTCAAGAGAGCCCCACCCCACCACCCACAAGCAATGGCTCCTGGCCTGAAGACGACCTGGCAGGCAGGACATGGCAGGTGCTGATCTGGAGAAGGTCATGCAACAATGGAGTGTAAGCGTGTGACCATGTGTGGGAGGGCAGGTGTGTACGTGCTGGCATCTGTGTGCTTGTGTGTATGTGTGTGCTAAGGTCTGTGTGTGCTGGAATCTGTGAGCAGGTGTGTATGTGCGTGTGTGTGTGTGTACTGCAGTCACAGCACGAGGATCAGCCAGTCCCCGGGGGTAGCTGAAGCTTCTGCCACAGGCTCAGGCCACTATCCATCCTTTGAGGTCGGGGTTTGTGCCAGGCAGGTTAGAAGGGGAAGAGAATGGGCAAGGTCAGAAGCTCCCTCACCTCCAACAGGGCCCATCATTCCGACCCTACCAGCTGCCAGCCTGGATCTGTTCTCTCCTGTCTGGATGTCCCCAAGGTGAGAGATCCAGAAAGGGTGGTGGGGGCTGCCTCACCCAGCCTTTCTCCTCCAACCTTCCCACCCCTCCTCATCTGCCCACGACGGAGAGCCCGGTCCAAGGTCAACAAATCTAGCCCCTGGAGCATCCCAGAGCTGCAGCCCATACTCCCCAGGCCCAGAAACCAGCCACGTAGGCACGGTCCTCCTGTGGAGGGACACGGACTGCCGGCCTACAGGGTTGTCTCCAGGCCAGGAGCCAACAGGCGAGTCAAAAGCCTCCAGATCTGGGCATGCATCAGCCTTTCCCATCTGAGGATCCTTCAGCAAGAATTCACGGCCTGACGAGAAAGCCAGACATAGTCCACGTCAGGTCTCGGACACTCCTGGGCCCTCTATGGGGGCTCAGGGCGCTCTGCCACTGCAGGCACCGGTGAAGGATGTCACAGGACATACACACACTCCCGCCCAGCCACATGTGTGTCCACACGCACTGACACACCTGAATAACCCCCTCCCCTGGAGACTCAAAGGCGCCTGCACCTGCCTGCCCACTCTGCCCACGATCTCCGAGTGGCCACAGCTGCTCCCAGCCCTGAGGACAGAGTGAGACCCCCTCCAGCCCTCTCCTACATCTCCAGACACACTGAGATCACCCAGGGACACGGCCCTGAGGCCAGGCACAGTGACACCTCCTCAGTGAAGCCCTCTGGGATTGTGCCTCCAGAGAGCACCTGGAAGCTTCCAAACTCAGGGCGGGCCCATTCCAGGGCCTATGCCTGGTTATTAGGGCCTGGGACTGGACAAGGCAAGGAGAACAGGGAGCAGTCACCACTGGGGAAGACTGTCCTGGGGGCCTGCTGTCCTGTGCTTGGATTCGGGTCTTTGTGAGTGAGCAGGAGGCTGCAAGCGCTTTGATAATTGATTTAAGCAACCCTCCCAGCCCCAAGAGGAGACAGGCCTGGGCCCTAGGGAACAGTCGCCCTCCTTCCTGTCTGCGTGCTTCAGTCACGATGGGATCTTTGCACCAGGCTCCCTGAGCCTGCCGCCTACACGCGCCTGGGGCGGCAGGAGGCATGTGGGTAGGGCAGGCACAGCTTTAGCAGATGAGGTTCAGAGATGAGAGGGAGGCCTCGGTGCCCCAGCCCCAGTAGCCCTGTAAACCCCTACTTGCAGAAGGCCTTGGTCAGGGTGGGGGCTGCCCACAGGCAGGCAGACCTACACGCCACCGTGACCTCCGGCTTCCCTGCAACAGCCACTTCCCCAACCTGCTCAGGCCTCTGCTCCCCCAGCTGTCACCTCCAGAACCTCTGGCTTTAGGACCTGGTCCCAAGGGCCCTCTTTCCCCCAGGGGCCTTGCCCCCACTCGCCCAGCCTCCCCGACCCACTCCGGGTTTCAGCACAAGCGTTGCCTTCTCTGCAAGGCCCAGTGGCCTCCTGCTGCCCCCAGAGCTCCCCTTCCTCCTGCTCCACAGTGCACTGCACTATTTCATCTACCATCTGCTTCCCCCACCAAAGGGCCAGCCCCACGAGAGCAGGAATTGTTCCCTGTGCTCACCGCAGTCCTCCTGGGCAAGTGTTTGTGCAGCAGATGAATGACTCAGGGCCTAAGTTCGGGTATTTGGGAGGTGGCTGAGGACCCAGTCTGGCTACCCTGGCCCCTCTCACCTGCCCTGAGCTAAGGTGCCCGGTGTCTATGGTCCTGTCTAACATGACCTCCCCTGGGGACAGTTCATTGCTGACTGGACGGGGAAAGAGAGAGGCAGCGGGTGCCCCGAGGTATGGTGGGGAATCCTGAATTTAAATGAGAAATGGCCCCTTCCCAGTTTTATAAATAAAGTGTGTTTTCTCCCAGCTTCCCTGGAGAATTCACCTCCCACTCTGAGGGAAACTGGCCCTGAATTACTTATCTCTTTCGAGAGAGCTAAGCTGCCCAATTACCTGCTTAGAGAACACCAGGCCTGGAACTCTCGCTGGTCTTTTTTTTTTCCTTGTGACAGGGCCCCACTCCGTCACCCAGGCTGGAGTGCAGTGGCACGATCTCGGCTCACTGCAGTCTTGACCTCCTGGGCTCAAGCGATTCTCCCACCTCAGCCTTTCAAGCAGCTGGGACTATAGGCATGCACCACCATACCCAGCTAATGTTTGTTTTTCTGTTTTTTTTGAGACAGAGTCTCGCTCTGTCCCCCAGGCTGCAGTGCAGTGGCATGATCTCGGCTCAATGCAACCTCCGCCTCCCAGGTCCAAGAAATTTTCCTGCCTCAGCCTCCCGAGTAGCTGGGATTACAGGCACCCACCATGACGCCCGGCTAATTTTTGTATTTTTAGTACAGACGGGGTTTCGCCATGTTGGCCAGGCTGGTCTTGAACTCCTGACCTCAGGTGATCTGCCCACGTCGGCCTCCCAAAGTCCTGGGATTACAGGCGTGAGCCACCGCACCCGGCCTTTTGTATTTTTTTTGTAGAGATGAGGTTTCACCATGTTGCCTTGACTGGTCTCGAACTCCTGGGCTCAAGCAATCTGCCCACCTTGGTCTCCCAAAGTGCTGGGACTACAGGTATGAGCCACCGCCCCCGGCCCTCTCACTGGTCTTAATGGCCTAGGCCTCTTGGGAGGACTTAACCTGCAGGGCCACAGCTACAGTTGAGGCTCATCTTGGAGAGCTGATGGAGGAGAGAGAGCAGGGCAGACAGGCCTGGACTCTGGCCACAGGGCAGAATCCACCCCTCCTACCAGGGCCTGCCTGGCTGGAGATGAGATGGTCAACAAGCACACTGGAGTCTGTATGAATCTCTGGGTCTGTATGCCTGCTACACATATGCATGCCCGTGTGAAGATCCAAGTCGCAGCACGGACTGAGGGACAGGTGTCCCTGCACACAGGGGGACAGGTGGAGGGCAGCTGCCACACCTATGTGAAGCGGCAACAAGCGTGAAGCCAGCACAGCTATGTTGTGTGTTGCTCAGGCTGTCCCAGGGTCCTGGCGCTTCTCCCTGGCCCCTGCCCTAGGGGTCTCCTTCAGGTCCCTGCAAGACCCCCACACGCAGCCCCACAAAATGCTCAGATGCACACTGACTGGCACCCATCACTCCCTCACCCCACACCCCAGACAGAGGATGTGCCATGTCAGTGGCCTTGCTGTCAGGCCCCCACCACCGTTCTGCCCAACAGAGCTGACCACGGCTCCCTCCCTCCCTGGCCTCTCCTCTCTTCACCCAAAGGGCCTCACAGGTTCATTTGAAAAGGCCAATTTATTTCTGAAAATGGAAACCATTTCCACAGAACGATGCTCTCACAAGCTCACAGCTGGCTGGAACAATGCCCAGCCCACGAACAGAGCAAAGGGCCTTTCTGAGCCCTGAGTGCTGGGGGTACAGACGGGGGAGCACCCCCGGCTCAGGCCCTGGTGTTGCAGCGGGCATCGGTGAGGTGCTTCTGGGAGGAGGAAAAGGCCCCTGGGGCTGCTGCTTTTGTGGCCAGGAGGACCTGACACCTCCAGCCGGCCTCCCCGGGGTCCTGAGCTCAGCACCTGGCAGTCTCCCCCATCCCCACTGCCCTCAGGGTCCCCATCCCTTCCATCATGCGCACCCCACCTCCAATGTGACCGGCGGGCGGTGGTGCCAGACCAGCCTTCAGGACAGGCTCAGGAGAGCAGAGCTAGAGTCTGGGAGGGGCTCCGATTCCCAGACTCACCAGATACCGGTGGAGGGAAGAGGACCCAGACTCGTGGTTGGCTTCAGAGGAAGCCAGACACACAGTGGGATCTTTGCATGGGAAGATTCTGTGCTCTGAGGGATGCCTCTGACACTGGGCTCCCCACTACTGAGGCTTAAGGGAAGACCCTCCTGGAACACCCTGCTCTGAAGAAGGTGTGGGTGGCAGTCGGTATCCTGCAGGGCAAAGACCAGCAGGGGTGCCCAGAGCTCAGGCCACACGGGGGTCACTGGGCAGGCTGCCAGCCAGCCCTGGGGGGCAGAGGAAGGCACCGGCACTAGCCTGGGCCCCTCCCAAAATGCATGGAAGGGAGAGGCCCCCAGCAATGCCCCCAGGGAGGCCCAGAGTCAGGCAGTGTGGCCAGCCCCACCCCAGGACAGCAGCTCGGTGACAGCAGGCCCCCAGGGAGGCCCAGAATCAGGCCAGCGTGGCCAGCCCCACCCCAGGACAGCAGCTCGGTGACAGCAGGCCTGGGACATTCTCCCAGTGCCCGGTGCTGAGGCCATGGTCGGCCGCTCCCCAGCCAAGACCAGTGACCGCCTGGCCCAGCCCACACCCTGGTCAATGCCTGGGCCACCACATGCCAGGCCTGGCCTCTCTGTGTCACGCCTCTGGTTTCCAGGAGCTGTGAACTGACCCCTCCCGACCCCACGAACACCCCAAATCACAAAATTCAGCCCCAATGCACCCTCTCCTCACGGCTGCTAATCACCATCCCCTGACCTTGTGGGCGTCAAGCTCCACTTATGTGACAAACTGTGGCTACAAGCCCCACGCTCCCTCGAGACACACCCACAGATCCCCCCCACCGCCATCCCCAAACTGGCTGAAGAGGAGTGTGAGATATCTCAGCAGGGTTCCCTGACCCCGGACTCAACATCCACATGGCACAGCCCATAGAAGGGTAGCTCGGGGCCCACCCACAGTGTACCCTCAGGCTGGCGACATCAGGGTACTCAGGGCGACTGCCCAGGCTCCTGTCCTAACCAATAGACTTGACAGAGCAACTCTCAGGAAAGAAGGCCGACCATGAGTGTGCGGTGACATCCTTGCAACCCCACAGGCAGCGGGCACAGTCTCGATGGGCAGACACATCTCCCCAGACTGAAAACACACAGTGACCAGGCACGGTGGGTCATGGCTATAACCTGAGCACTTTGGGAGGCTGAGGTAGAGGCTGAAGCTCAGGAGATCGAGACCAGCCTGGGCAACATGGTGAAACCCCGTCTCTACAAAAAAAAACACAAAAATTAGCCAGGCATGGTGGCACATGCCTGTAGTCCCAGCTACTTGAGAGGCTGAGGTGGGAGGATCACCTGAGCCCAGGGAGGTCAGGGCTGCAGTGAGCCATGATAGTGCCACTGCACCCCAGCCTGGGTGACAGGGCAAGACCCTGTCTCAAAAAAGAAGAAAGGAAAGAAAACACAGACCCTCTGACCCAACACGTCTCCGCTGAGGAGCGGCTCTGAGACTGGCGACTGCTCGTGTCAGCTGTGGCGTTGCCTGCAAAGCAGGTCCAGATGCGGCCGAGCTGCACACACACGGGTTGGATAAGCCAGGGTGCGTCCAGCAAGGAAGAAAAGCAGGGAGAAGGGAAGGACTTAAAGACCAACCCAGAGCAGAGTGTGATGCTCACCACCTCTGCAGGACGGCGGGAGAGTTACGTGTCAGCGTGAGAACGTCTTCTCTGCAGCCTTTCACAGCTTGCCTAGGCTGAGTTCCTCTTTTAGCAAAAGACAAAAAAAGAAGGTGGGTTGCCTATGGCCAACAAGTTCTGCTTCCACATGAGGGCATACAGACCCCCCAGATGCCCACACTCAGCCAAGGACATGTAGACCCACTCAGATACAACGCAGAGCTCACCCACAGAGACCCCCATACAGGCAGACACAGGCCCACACACGTACATGTCCTAACTGGCACACACACACAGGAACACACCATGTACACACACAGGGTGGGGCAGGAGACCCACCAAGACACCCATGTTCACAGATAAGGGTGCCCAGGCCCACAGTGACTCCCGGACAGAGGCACAGATGCCTTCAGTGCCCTCTGCCCGAAGACCTGGGCACACCCAGAGGCCCCTGCATGGAGTCCCTTCCTGACACACAGGCGCACACGTGCCTCAGCCGCCCACTGAGGAGTCTGCCTGGGTAAGTGAATGCTGAGGAGACCCTGGGACAGCCGACTGCAGGCGCTACTGCAGCTCAGGGGAAGGTGGGGCCTGCCTTCCGGGCTCCACGTCAGCAAGGGGGATCCGCCTCCCTCCCTCACCAGCATCAGCACTGACACCAGGCTGGGAACCTCGCAGCCGGGGCTGAGGCAGCCAGCAGGGCAGGTCTTGAAACTCCTGAAACCTCAGCTGGAGGTCTGTCAGTGAGGACCACACCTCGCCCTCCATCCCTGCGACTGCCTGTACTGGCCAAAACCAGGAACACACCAAGGCTACCAACTTCTGGACTCGAAGCACTGGACAGGTCAGTGGAGAGAAGAGTAGCTGGACCAGCAGGGTCTGCAGCATCTCTCGGGAGGGTGTGAGGGAGGGTGCAGACTCCAAGACCCCTGAGGGAAGGACCTTCAGATTCAAGGGAGCCAGAGATGAGCTTGGGAGGTGTGTTTCCAAAGGGACCGCTTGATTCTACGCAGCCCGTGCATCTGCGGGTTGCTGGGGCAGGGACGGATCCACATCTCTTCCCAGGAGGGTGGCCAGCAGCTGCTCTCTGCGGGAGGAGGGAACTGATCTGCTGAAGTCTCACCAGGAAGAGGCGGGAGGAGGCCCCCACACACCCCACCAGGCTCCCTCTGGCCCCATGTCCTTGACCTGGCAAAGTGGCCGCAGTCTCTGCCAGAGAACCTGGAGTGGCTGTGCCCTAACAGACGGCCGGATCTCAAAGTCTCTGGTTGTTTTTCTTTCCTAGAATCCAGCCCAAGGAGGCCCCCAACCAGATACCCAACTCCAAGGCACCTCCCACCTGCCCAGGGCGCAAATCGTCAACGGTCCCAGCTACAATGCAGGCCGCTGGGCACCCAGAGCCCCTTGACAGCAGGGGCTCCTTCTCCCTCCCCACGATGGGTGCCAACGTCTCTCAGGACAATGGCACTGGCCACAATGCCACCTTCTCCGAGCCACTGCCGTTCCTCTATGTGCTCCTGCCCGCCGTGTACTCCGGGATCTGTGCTGTGGGGCTGACTGGCAACACGGCCGTCATCCTTGTAATCCTAAGGGCGCCCAAGATGAAGACGGTGACCAACGTGTTCATCCTGAACCTGGCCGTCGCCGACGGGCTCTTCACGCTGGTACTGCCCGTCAACATCGCGGAGCACCTGCTGCAGTACTGGCCCTTCGGGGAGCTGCTCTGCAAGCTGGTGCTGGCCGTCGACCACTACAACATCTTCTCCAGCATCTACTTCCTAGCCGTGATGAGCGTGGACCGATACCTGGTGGTGCTGGCCACCGTGAGGTCCCGCCACATGCCCTGGCGCACCTACCGGGGGGCGAAGGTCGCCAGCCTGTGTGTCTGGCTGGGCGTCACGGTCCTGGTTCTGCCCTTCTTCTCTTTCGCTGGCGTCTACAGCAACGAGCTGCAGGTCCCAAGCTGTGGGCTGAGCTTCCCGTGGCCCGAGCAGGTCTGGTTCAAGGCCAGCCGTGTCTACACGTTGGTCCTGGGCTTCGTGCTGCCCGTGTGCACCATCTGTGTGCTCTACACAGACCTCCTGCGCAGGCTGCGGGCCGTGCGGCTCCGCTCTGGAGCCAAGGCTCTAGGCAAGGCCAGGCGGAAGGTGACCGTCCTGGTCCTCGTCGTGCTGGCCGTGTGCCTCCTCTGCTGGACGCCCTTCCACCTGGCCTCTGTCGTGGCCCTGACCACGGACCTGCCCCAGACCCCACTGGTCATCAGTATGTCCTACGTCATCACCAGCCTCAGCTACGCCAACTCGTGCCTGAACCCCTTCCTCTACGCCTTTCTAGATGACAACTTCCGGAAGAACTTCCGCAGCATATTGCGGTGCTGAAGGGCCTGGGCACCATCACCCCCATCATCATGCCCATCATCACCCCCCATCATCATCACGCCCATCATCATCATGCCCACACCCCCATCAGGCCCACCCCCCCCCACCCCCACCACCACCCCCACCATCACCCCCACCACCACCCCCATCATCACGCCCATCATCATGCCCACCCCCATCACATCCACCATCACGCCCACCCCCATCACCCCCACCCCCACCATCACGCCCACCATCACCCCCACCCCCACCCCCACCCCCATCATCACGCCCACCCCCCCCACCACCCCCACCATCACCCCCATCATCACGCCCACCCCCACCCAGTTCCGGCTGTCTCTTTCAGGGGACGCCCGGCCTGTTCACATCCCAGTGCTGTCCTCTCCACGCAAGGAGACACAGACCCTCACACGCTGGCCACCAGACCTACAGACAGCCGTGGGCATATACCTCCCATGTCTCTGCTTCCTGGACAGCCCCTGGGTGGACAGCAGCAGGGATCCAGGTCCTGGCAGAGGCCCCCACACAGCAAGCATCCCGGGCCCACTTACCCACGAGAGACAGACAGATGGACAAGCCCCTTGGAAGGCTCTGGGACTCAGGATCCCTAATGACAGTGGTCGGGAGGGGAGGGAACCTGAACTGTGATCTTGACCTGGGCCACGTTACATAGTCTCTCCCCAAGATGGGGCCGGGGGGTGGTAAGTGCGGGCACCTCAGGCAGCAGCGATGCTGTGTTGCTGCAAAGGCGGACACCTGCACCGCATGAGACCCAGAAATCCACTCTCGTGGCCTGAAGCCCAAGTGGAGTTCCAGCAGGAGGCCCAGCCCCGCCGTGCCCATGTGCCATGGCCTGTGCTGCTGTGTTCCCCCTGCTGTGGCCGACGGTCCTTGCCATGGCCTGTACCCGCCCTGCTGTGTCCGACAGTCCTCTCCATGGCCTGTGCTCCCCTGTGCCCCCCTGCTGTGTCCGACGGTCCTCTCCATGGCCTGTGCTCCCCTGTACCCCCCTGCTGTGGCCGACAGTCCTCACCATGGCCTGTGCTCCCCTGTGCCCCCCTGCTGTGGCCGACAGTCCTCACCATGGCCTGTGCTCCCCTATACTCCCCTGCTGTGGCCGACGGTCCTCTCCATGGCCTGTGCTCCCCTGTACCCCCCTGCTGTGTCTGACGGTCCTCTCCATGGCCTGTGCTCCCCTATACTCCCCTGCTGTGGCCGACGGTCCTCTCCATGGCCTGTGCTCCCCTGCTGTGGCCGACAGTCCTCACCATGGCCTGTGCTCCCCTGTGCCCCCCTGCTGTGTCTGACGGTCCTCTCCATGGCCTGTGCTCCCCTGTACCCCCCTGCTGTGGCCGACGGTCCTCGCCATGGCCTGTACACCCCTGCTGTGGCCGATGCTCCTCTCATACTTTACTAGAGGCTACAGGGCCCTTTTGCCAGGACCTCTGGGCCACCACAGCCTAGGGACCATCCATCACTTGGACAGGCTGGCACCTGGAACTCTCTCTCCCGGGGTGTGGCCAGGGGCTTGTAATCAGCCAGCAGGAGCTGCATGCTGAAACTCTGGTGGGGGCAGGGTGAGGGGTGGTAATGAAATGCAGGCAGTTCAGAGACCGCTGACTGTCAGGTGGGAGGGGCCAGGGGTTGGTCCCAGGTGTGCTGTGGCCAGGCCCCGACTCTTGGCCCCATGGCTCTCAGCTGGTTCCATGCCTGGCATTCCAGCCTGGCAGTGAGGTGTGAGTGTTCTGGGTTGGTTTCAGTCCTCATGACCCAGAGCTCTGATCAATCTGTCCAGCCGGCACACAGGACCCACCATTCACCGCCCCACGAGGTGTCCCAGGGTGTATGCCCACCTCCACCCATCCACCAAATACTCCAGCGTTCCAGCCCACTCGGCTCAGGCCTGCAGCAGTGCCCCTCCTCCGTGCTAGCCAGCCAAACACGCCACGGCCATCTCCATCCACTTATCCTCCCTGACAACATTGTATTAGATATCTGTTGCTGAATAACAAATTTCTCCAAAACTTAGCCGCTTAAGACAACTTCTACTATTTCACTTCTGTGGTTCAAGAATTAAAGTGGCTTTTTGGGTGGTTCTGGCTCAGGGTCTCTCCTGAGGTTGCAGTCAGGACCTTGGCCCAGGCCCTGACCCTCTGAAGGCTGGGCAGGGGCTGGGGTATCTTCTTCTGAGAAGTCTTCCTTCCATGGCTATGGGCAGGAGGCCTCTGCTCCTCAACACATGGATGCTTCAGGGGCTGAGTGTCCTCGAAACATGGCACTGGGTCCCCCAGAGCCAGCGACCCAGGGAGGAGCCAGCGACCCAGGGAGGAGCCAGCGACCCAGGGGGGAGCCAAGAGGAAGCCTCAATACATTTGAGGCCAAGATTCCGAAGCCACTTGCCTTCCCTTCTACTACATTCTGTGCATTGGAAGCAAGTCACATGTCCAGCCCACACTCGGGGGCTGTAGACGGTTTATTTTTCTTTTGCTTCAATTTTTTTTTTTTTAATTGAGAAGGGATCTCACTCTGCTGCCCAGGCTGGAGTGCTGTGGTGGGGTCACGGCTCACTGCAGCTTCGACTTCCTGAGCTCAAGCAATCCCCCCACATCAGGCTCTGGAGTAGCTGGGACTACATGCGTGCGCCACCACGCCAGGCAAATTTTTCTTTTTTTTGAAAGACGGGGTCTCACTATGTTGCCCAGGCTGGTCTCAAACTCCTGGGCTCAAGTGATCCTCCTGCCTCAGCCTCCCAAAGTGCTGGGATTACAGGCATGAGCCCAGTCTGTGGGCAATTTTTAAGCCACCACCAACACCGACACCGCAGGAAGAACAAGCTGTCCCTGGATTTGTTTCCTGGCTGCGCTGCAGTCACACCTCGCAAAGCAGCAGCACGGCAGCCTGACTGCGCTCTGCACGCTGTTACGGTGCCCCGGAGCCCCTTGAGGAGACAAGTGAGACTGTGTTTCCCAGACACCCGCTCCAAGCCCGCGGCAGAGCCAGGTGTGAGGCGTAATGAGCAAGTGAACAACGAGGGGCGGGCAGGAGAGGCCCGGGCGTGGGAATGTGCGCAAGGCAGGACTGAGAGTGAGCACCGCGGGGTGGGGGGCGGAGGGGGCGGGGGAGCTTAAGGAGCGCCCAGGCAAGAGCCCCTACAGCCCTCAGGGCCGAGGTCTCCCACCCTGCCCCCAGTTTGCCCTCCGGCCCCAGCCGGGCGTCTCTGCTGCAGAGAAGGCGCCAACCAGGATTCCTCCAAAGAACCCGGACCCCTTCTTACCTCGGGCGTCTCCTGTCCCCATCCACAGACCAGCAATGGGATCCTCAGCGTCTTCTCCCCGGGGACCAGGCAGATCCGGCACGGCCAAAGGGTCTGCAGACCGCCCCGCGGCCAGCCGGGAGGGAGGGGCGGGCGAGCTCTCCCCGGGAGGCGGGTCCTCCCGCTCCGCGGACCTCCTGACACGGGGCGGGGTGGGCGCGGGGCAGGGGCCGCACTGAGCGGCTCAGCCCGCCACGTCTCCACGCTCTGGGCTCCTGGTCCCAGGAGAGCCCGGCCCCGCCACCCGCTTTAAGACCCCGCTAGTCACCGCGGTTCCCGCCGCAGCGCCCCGGGGCCCAAGGCTGGGCCCGCGTGAGCCCACAGCGCCCCCTGGAGGGAGGGTCCGAGGCCGCTGCTGAAGCCCCGCCTTCCTGAGGTCGGACGCGACCCGGGACCCTCCCGGGCGCCCCAGCCTTCCCCCACAACCCCACAAAGAGGGTTCTGCGGTCCCCTTTGCACACGGAAGGAAACCGAGGCTCAGAAAAGCCAGGCGACTTGACCAAGCCCGACAGCAGAGGTGGGCTGGGGGAGCCGGGGGCTGGAGAGGAGACCCAGGGTGCGGTCAGAGGAGGGGTGGAGTGGGCCGGGGTGGAACCCAGTCCTGGAGGGCAAGGGAGCTAGTCAGCTTCCAACGCCCCCCAACTCCTCCTACGGCCCTTGGCCCCTGTCTGGCCAGCTCCTTCTGGAAGACACTAGCTGTGGGCTTAGCCCTGGATCCACACCCACCCGAAGACAGGACAGTCCGCACCATGTGTGAGCCTCCTCTACCAAGACCATACCATCTCCCGGGCCCAAGGGCACAGTAACTGCCCCGGTGCAGCCTCTCCCTCCCAAATTGTCCCTTGATGCTATATTTTTGCTTTGATGGCAATGTGTTTGTTATGAACTATTTGTGTTCCTCCAAAATTTGCATTTTGAAATCTCAGCCCCCCAAGCTGATGGTATCAGGAGAGGGGGGCCTTTGGGAGATGACAGGTCATGACGGCAGAGCCCTCCTGAATGGGATGAGTGCCTTTAGGAAAGGCACGCTCTCCAGCTGTCAAACCCATGTCATGACATAGTGAGAAGATGGCCCTCTGCAGCCTGGGAGCGGGTCTTCCCCGGAACCTGACCGTGCCTGCACCTGATCTCAGATCTCCAGCCTCCAGAACCATGAGAAATAAACATCTGATGTCTCTATTGCCACTGAGTCTATGGTACTTTGCTATAGCAGTCCAGGATAAGACAGTGTCTGTCATTCAAACCTACAGAAAATCCTACAGAACTTGCCCATCTGCCCATGCCCTGGAGACGAGTACTTGGACTGGAGTGTGCCCGTGCCCACCCTCCAAAGCTGCTCTGTTTTGCAGGTCGGCCTGGGCTGAACTGGGCCAAACAGGAACCAGGAGGCAGATGTCCATGGCAAGAGTGTACCCAGCCCTAGAGGAGGCCGTCTGCTCATCCTTCACCAAAACTCCCCTCAGATCTGCTCAAGGAAGGGGAAATGAGCAGGAGCAGGGGTTCTTCTGAGATGAAATGGGGGTAAGAAAACCCTGCAACCTGGGTGGGAGCAGCACCCTCCCACTGTATCCTCAGGAAACCTCTCTTTCCAGGGGGCAGGGGAGAGGTGCAGCCATCGGTTGTTTAGAGAGAAACCGTGTGTGCTGAAGAAAAGGTAACAGCCCGGCCAACACACCATTAACTGGCTTCAACTCTCCCCAGGGTTGCAGCCTCCTGGGGGACGTTTCACTGAGGGCAGAGCCCAGCCTGTTGAGCAGCACAGGACAGGTACAAGAATTCAGCCTAAACCCATAGCCTCCTCCCACCCACGTGCCAATCCCAGAAAAGTCACTCCAGAAGCAAATCCCCAGGTGGCAGGAGCCAGAAACACTGGTTACAAAGAATACCCAGCCAGTGAGCAGGTGTTTATTAGGGTCCTTTTTCATTACCCCAGAGACAGACCCAGGGCTGGCTACGTGCACAGGAAGTAACGCTTGCCACATGCATAAATACGTGAAGGTGCACATTACATCAGCACAGATTCACAAAACACCTCGCCTTGGCAAGAAAACTGTAGCTAGGCAGCTCCCGTCCTCAGGGACTCCTGCCACAGACGTCATGGAGACAGCATGAGCCTCCCCAGAACAGTCCCCACGGCCTAGACTCCCCAGAGCAGGAGGAGCAGCCCAGGCTCTGTTGCGAGACAGCCATCACTTCCTGTTCTTTGCAGGTGCCTAAGGTAGGTTACCTGGCCAAGGTTTTGGTGGAAAAAATGAGTTTTTTCAATGTTGCAGGTCTTTTAATAGTTCATCTGTAGGAAGTGCATTTGCAAAGTCACCAACCTGCAGCTTCCATCTGTAGACCAGGAAGGGTGATTCTCTGGGTGACCACAGCGGGGCATCCCCTGAGGTACAGACGCCCCCCCCCCAACCCCCGCAGTGTCCTCACAGCCACCACAGCCTTTGCAGTTTGGCTCAAGCAAGCCCTGCCAGGCCCCACCCCTCATGCTGGCTCTGCTGTGAAGCCATCCTCCCGTTGGGCAGCAAGCTCAGGCCCTACACAGAGCCATCTTGAGGCTTGTAAATGAAGCAGGCGTCCCCAGAGCAGGACTCTGCTGTGGCCACCAGCTTCTCCTTCCACACAGCTTCCCCCGCAACACAGCACGGCCACTGACCTCTGGCTTCAAGCAAAGGAGAGGCTGTGAGGGGAGCCTTGGGAGGATGTGGGGACCCCCAGAGAATCTTCTCCCACCCAAACAGAGCAGTCAAGACCAGGAAAACGAGGCCTCCACTTTGTGAACAGAGCTGCCCATGTGGTCACGCGGCGCCTTCGTCCTGAGACACCTGCCCCACACTGAGAAGCAGGGCTGGGTTGACGGTCCACAGCATGATAGTTCATTGCACCGCTGGAGGGAATGGGCCAGGGCCTCTCGCTGGTCTCCTGAAGGGAAATGGGGGTTGGGCCCAGAGTCAAGCTGCAGTCAGGGATGAGGCCTGCACCGTGCAGCACACAGAAAACCTTCAGAGGTGCGGCTGGCCCAGGGCCAGCTCGGGGTCTGCAGCCAGGGACTGCCAGCCCCCACCTGGACACTTTCTCCTGGGGTGGCCCCGGCTGCACAGGTGGAGTCGGAACAGGCAAGTCCTCCAGGTGGCAGCTCCAAGCTCAGGGCAAGTCCCACCCCAAAGAAAAGCTGCCTGCTGCACTTCCCGGGCAGTGCCAAGCCTGTCCAGCTGCCCTGAGGAGACGTCACAGGGCTGAAGGCAGCTGGAGCCCTGCCATGCAAACAGCACACAGCACATGGGGGGCACAGGATGACACAGCTGCTGCTCCTCCTCCGGGTGCCTGCCCACCCAGGGTTCTGCCAACGCAGCAGCAGAGAGGCCAAGAGTCACATGAAGCACGGGGAGGGAGGGGCACGGGCTCCAGTCACGGCCGTCCACCAGCATGTCAGCTGCTTCCAGGTAGGTCCTTGTGTCCCCTCGGCCCTGCACCAGGAGGGCAGCTTTAGTCTGTCTGGGGCCATGGAGGTGGCCCTAATGCTTTGACCTGTCCCATGATGTCACTAGGTCCTCCTCTGGGACCGAGCATCCCTGGCCCACAGGGAAAAGCCCATCCCAGGCTCTGGATGCTCAGGGCCCAGGGTGTGTCCGCCTAGAGAGCAGTGACCTGTGTGAGCTCTGTGTTGGGCGTAGATGGGCTCTGCGGGCTGACAGGCACCATGGGCAGGTCCACGCCTAGTCATGCGGGCCGCGGTACCGTCTCAGAGGTCTTGCAGGCCAGGGCCACGTCCTTGGCAATGCTGCGCACGCGGTCAGACACCTGCACGTCCCGGCGCAGGGCAGATGCACAGCAGAACTTGCGGAAGCAGGCCTTGAAGTTCTCATCCAGGAAGGCGTAGAGGATGGGGTTGAGGCAGCTGTTGACGTAGCCCAGGGCCGTGCAGAAGCGCAGAATGGCCACGGCAGTCTCGCTGCTCGGCTGAACCCCCAGCCCTTGGGCCAGCACGAAGACCTGGACAGGCGTCCAGCAGCCCACGAACACAGCCACTACCACCAGCACCAGCCGAGTGATGCGCCGCAGGTTCCGGTCCTTCTCTCGGGAGCCCGAGAGCAGGCGGACTCCACGGAGCCGCCGGATCATGAGGCTGTAGCAGACAGAGATGACGAGCACGGGGACGATGAAGGAGAAGAGGAAGATGCAGATGGCAAACACCGGGCCCCAGTAATCCTGAGGGGTAGGGATCTCCACCAGGCACTCGATCTCTGCAGGGAGAGAAACGGGGTCAGAGTGGGCCCAGGAGACGTGGAGGGCACGTGGGCCCAGAGGAGCCACCCGGGAGCCAGGGAGCCTGGTGAGGGGAGGAGGGGACACCCCACTGACCTTCATCCTCGACCTGTGCCGAGCCCATGATGGCAACGGGAACACCGACAACAGAGGCCAGGGCCCAGATGGCCACATTGACAGCCTGGGCTTTGCTGGACGTGCGGACGTCGAGGGCACGGATGGGGTGGCAGATGGCTACATAGCGATCCACACTCATGGCAGTTAGGGTGAAGGTGCTGGTGAACATGTTGTAGTAGTCAATGGCAATGACTGTCTTGCACAGCGCATTCCCAAACGGCCAGAAGCCCAGGAGGATGTCCGTGCCCTGGAAGGGCAGCGTCAGCAGGACCAGAGTGTCGGCCAGGGCCAGGTTAAAGATGTAAATATTGGTGGCTGTCTTCATTTTGGTGTGCCTGCGGAGTAGAGGGAGAAGAAAGGCTTCACTTGGCCATGCTGGCTGGACCAGGCAGCAAAGGGCAAGGGGCTCCTCTTGGCCACCACAAGCTACAGTGGCCCTGAGTCCCTTAACATCAGAGTTCCCATGGGGGCTTGGTAAGTGATAGCTCCTGGACCCAACCTGAGACTCATGAGTCAGTCTCAGGGGGTAGGGCCTGGGGTCAAACGTCTTAACCAGCTCCTCAAGTGACTCTGACACACACAGAAGGATTCCAAGCCTTAAACACAGGTCTACTTTAGAGGAGTCAGGGCATGTAGGCTACCAGAACACACCCCGGATTCTGCACAGGAGCAAAGGTTTAGAGCCCTAAGGGAAAGAGTCTGCTCCCCTTGCTTTTGAGTCCCCTCCATGACCCCTCACAGACTCAAATGCTGACCCTACAGTTGCCAGAGGTTTCTGAGGGCTCCAGAATCTGTAAGAACATATCAAAAGGCTTCCAAGTCCACACTGCTGCCTAGCAATGGAGACCGAAAATGGTGACGGGGGGACAGGAGGGATGCTAATAAGGTATGAGTGTATCCAAGCACCTGAAATGGTGCTGGAAAGGGCTGGGAAAATCGTTGGTGATTAATAAATTTTTGTTAAATAAGTTAATGGTTGTAATAGTTGGGGGGGATTATGGTGGTGATGGTGGTGGTGATGATGGCAGTGATCATGGTGGTGATGGTGATGACTGTGAGCGTGATGGTAGTGGTGATGATGATGATGGTGATGATGGTGATGACTGTGATGATGGTGATGGTGATGATGGTGGTGGTGGTGATAGTGGTGATGGTGATGATGGTGGTGATGGTCGTGATGATGATGGTAATGATGGTGGTGGTGGTGATAGTGGTGATGGTGATGATGGTGGTGATGGTCGTGATGATGATGGTAATGATGGTGGTGGTGGTGATAGTGGTGATGGTGGTGATGGTCATGATGATGATGGTGATGATGGTGGTGATGGTGGTGGTGAGGATGGTGAGGATGGTGAATGTGATAATGAAGGTGCTGGTGGTGGTGATAGTGGTGATGATGATAGTGGTGATGATGGTGGTGATGGTGATGATTGTGATGATGATGGTGGCGGCGATATTGGCAGTGGCAGCAGCACCCAAGATGACACTATTCTGTGTCAGTGTAGCTGCCGTGAGGAAATATGGGGCTCCATTCTGCCTGTTAGAGAGGGATTATGAATAAGCACAAAGAGGCCGCAATTACGAAGAGACAACAACAATGACAATGATCATGGCAAATACCTGTGCCAAGCTCTTCAGGGGGAATTTATGTCATTGAAGATTTGCAAAAATACTACTTTGATCCCCACTCTATAGAGGAAGAAACTGAGGCCAAGAGGATCTATGTTGTTTTTTTAAGGCCTTAGAGCTGGTAAAAAGCAGAGCAGGGCTCAGAACGGAGTGTCCTGACTCCCAAGATGGTCACCCCAGCCCACTGGCTGGAAACATGCTGCATGCGGCCTCTCGGGCCAGTGTGGCCACGGCAGCTCCTGAGCATTGCTCTCTCTGGGGACTCTGGCCAGCAGAGGACCTTCCCTGTCTGCTCTAATCCAGGAAGTGCCTCTGAGAGATTAAATGCCTCAATGCAGAGGAGAAACACAGTAGAGAAGCGATCATATCAGGAAAGGTGCTCAAGCCCAGGGACTTCCCCAGGCTGCCGCACTCCTCAGCCGTGACACGCCCGCCAGCCACAATGGGACATGCACATCACGAGGCAACCTCCCCAGGAGCCTCCCTTAGGAGTCAGCAGTGGGGAGGGACAGCTGTTCTTCCCACTGTCTCGTCTGACCACGCATCACCTGCACACACATGTACACACACATACATATACACGTGGCTGCATGGTCCACCTTGCTCACTTTCCAGATGGGAAAAACAAGGCCCAGAGGGGAACAGCTTTTCTCAGGGACACTAAGAGGACAGGGCTAGGATGGTGGCAGCTTGAACACCCCCACTACCCTGTCCCGCCTCTACCTACATAACACCTCCGGTTGGGGCCCTTTGAGGTTGTAAGGAGGGAACACTTGCTTTAGATCCCTGGGCACTTTCTTCAGAATCACCTTTTTCCGGGTCCAGGCAAACATCCTGGACCAATAAGAAACCTCATTCCAGCTGTCAGTCATTTTCCTGCTAAAGCACCACCCATAACCCCCCACTGCCTGAAGAACAGAGTTCCCCCAACCGGGCCTTCAAGATCCCACCTGCTGTCCCCAGCCCCTTCAGTTCTCTCTTCTCTGGATAGATTTGAGGTCCATCATTTCCTCTGCCCAGAAAACCCTCCCTTTCTGCTTAAGTCATCTCCATCTTCTACCTGCCCAATCCACAATCCACGTGAAGGGTTCCTTGCCCACCCCCACGCTGCCCCCCATGCTGTGCCCATGCTGTCCCCAATGCTATCCCCCGGCTCCCCCCCGACTATCCACCCCACACCATCTCCCCCAACACCATCTCCCCCACACTATCCCCCCACTATCCCCCACACTATCCCCCCCACACTATCCCCCCGATGCTATCCCCCCACTATCCCCCCAGCTCCCCCCAACTATCCCCCACACTATCCACCCCACACCATCTCCCCCACGCTATCCCCCTAGACGATCTCCCCCACGCTATCCCCCCACACCATCTCCCCCCACACCATCTCCCCCACACTATCCCCCCACTATCCCCCACACTATCCCCCCGATGCTATCTCCCCGCTATCGCCCCAGCTCCCCCCAACTATCCCCACACTATCCCCCCATACCATCTCCCCACGCTATCCCCCCCACACCATCTCCCCGACACTATCCCCCCAGACGATCTCCCCCACGCTATCCCCCCCACACCATCTCCCCCATGCTATCCCCCCCACACCATCTCCCCCACGATATCCCCCCCACACCATCTCCCCCACGCTATCCCCCCAGACGATCTCCCCGACACTATCCCCCCCACACCATCTCCCCCACACTATCCCCCCGCTATTCCTCTGGCCACCCCCACTGTCCCCCCATGCTATCCCCCCACGCTATCCCCCTGGGTGCTCCCCACTGTCCCCCACACTATCCCCCTGCTATTCCTCTGGCTGCCCCCACTGTCCCTAACACTATCCCCCCACGCTGTCCCCCGTTATGTCCCTGGCTGCTCCCCACTGTCCCCCCCCACACACTGCCCGCACACTGACCCACACACTGCCCCCACACACTGCCCCCACACTGCCCCCCACACACTGCCCCCACACTGACCCCCACACTGCCCCCACACTGACCCCCACACTGCCCCCCACACTGCCCCCCACACTGCCCCCACACTGACCCACACACTGCCCCCACACTGCCCCCACACTGCCCCCCACACTGCCCCCCACACACTGCCCGCACACTGACCCACACACTGCCCCCACACTGCCCCCACACTGCCCCCACACTGACCCACACACTGCCCCCACACTGCCCCCACACTGACCCCCACACTGCCCCCCACACTGCCCCCCACACTGACCCACACACTGCCCCCACACTGACCCACACACTGCCCCCACACTGCCCCCCACACTGCCCCCCACACTGCCCCCACACTGCCCCCCACACTGACCCCCACACACTGCCCGCACACTGACCCACACACTGCCCCCCACACTGCCCCCACACTGCCCCCACACTGCCCCCCACACTGCCCCCCACACTGCCCCCCACACTGCCCCCACTCTGCCCCCACACTGACCCACACACTGCCCCCACACTGCCCCCACACTGACCCACACACTGCCCCCCCACACTGCCCCCACACTGACCCCACACTGACCCCCACACTGACCCCACACTGCCCCCACACTGTCCCCACACACTGCCCCCACACTGCCCCCCCCCACACTGCCCCCACACTGACCCCCACACTGACCCCACACTGCCCCCACACTGTCCCCACACACTGCCCCCACACTGCCCCCCCCACACTGCCCCCACACTGACCCCCACACTGACCCCCACACTGCCCCCACACTGACCCCCACACTGCGCACACACTGACCCACACACTGCCCCCACACTGCCCCCACACTGCCCCACACACTGCCCCCACACTGCCCCCACACACTGCCCCCACACTGCGCACACACTGCCCCCACACTGCCCCCCCCACACTGCCCCCACACTGACCCCCACACTGCCCCCACACTGACCCCCACACTGACCCCCACACTGCCCCCACACTGCCCCCCACACACTGCCACACACTGACCCCCACCCACTGCCCACACACCGCCCCCCACACACTGCCCCCACACTGCCCCCTCAATCTCAACTATCAGCTGCTCTCTCAATGGCCCCCACAAGTTTTCCCATCTCTGAGCACCAACAGATCATGGGCTCAGCCACAGACACCTGCCATGAGCAGGAGCCCTGGAGCCTGAGAGGGGTTTCAGAACGGTCCGAGCTCCAGCCCCTGCGCCTCCCTTCGCCCATCTAGGGAATGGGCTGAAAAAAGACTCTCCCAGGGCCGCTGTGGGATCTCATGAGGTCATTCAAGCAGACAGCTTGACACAGAGCCTGGTCCACAGCTCAAACCAGAGGTCAGGGTGGTGACGTCTCTGCCTGGGACAGAGCGCGGTGGGCCAGGGCCAGCCCCCTCCCCTCCCCTCCCTGTGGAGGGGAGCACCCAGGGCCTCAGGACTGACCCTGCCTCCTGGACAGGGTCAAAAACATTGAATGGGGGAAGCAGGAAATCAACACCTGCTCAGGCCCATCCAGAACAGACCCCGTCTCAGTTTCCCCCTCTGCAGCCGTGTGGGACTCACCAGACAGGAACCTTGGGGCCCAGCCTACCTGAGGATGACGTACATGACAAGGCAGTTCCCCAGGAGCCCTCCGACACACACGGCCAGGTAGAGCCCCACGATGGTGACCTTGAGCCCGAGGGGCAGGAAGGCGCCGTGGCTGGCATTGAGCAGCAGATGCGGGGGCAGCAGACTGTGGTTGGGGCTCAGGAGGGACAGGTTGCCCTGAAGGTGGCTGCCGTAGATAACCTCCCAGAACGGCGCGGGGAAGAGGGGCTCCATGCCACTGCCCTGCAAATCCACTCTGTACGGTACCTGGGACAGAGCGCAGAGACAAGTGGCTGCAGTGCCAGACACACGCCCAGCGGAGGCCTCACAACCCAGCACGTGCAGCCCAGCAGGCACATGGACCCCCACGCTGGGCAGCCACAGACACTGAGGCACACGGGCACACACACCAGAACACACAGGCACACATGCACATGCAGGGACACATGGAGACACGAGGACACGTGTGCACAGACAGGGACTCACAGAACACAAAGACACACATGCACCCGCAAGGACACGGTCCCATTTGGTTTAGAGACTCACACACAGGGTGCCTGGAGGCAGCTACACCCCAGGACACGTGTCCACCCACAGGGACTGATGAACACACAGCCACTCGCGTGTTCACAGGCACAGGGATGCAGGGACACAAGTCACACACACAGACACACAGAAATGCCCAAACCTGCCCTCACGCACACGCAGGCACAAAAGAGACTGAGACACACCCAGAAACGCCTGGGACCCAGCTTCCTCCTGCCCCCTCCACCCGCCCTGCTTTGCTGCAGTCTGTCAGCAGGACCCCCACCCGACCTCCAGCGGCTCAGGCCCTTACTTCTGCAACCTCCTTGGGAGCTGGGACCACCGTGGAGACCCCCGCCCTCAGCCGGCTGGCAGTCGAGCACAGGTGCAGAGCAGGGTAGAAGAGGATCTTCTCAGCAGACGCCAGACCAGACGCAGCAGCCGAGTGAGCCGGCAGCCCGAAGCTGGGGGGGAGGGGGAGGAGGCTGCAGCTCCAGAAGGGGAGGGGCTATGCAGGCTGGAGGAGGTGGGGGCTGCGGGAAGGTGGGTCACCGCACCCAGGGCTGCGCCGGCCCCACACTGGACGGGGACAGACACACAGTCCAGGACACACAGAGATGAAAAAGGAGGCTCAGACCCACAGACCCCAGACAGACACACACGCACAGGCCAGGACACACGGACAGAGATGCCCACGGGTTCACAGACACAGGATTGGAGACACAGGACAGAGAGACACACACAAGGACACACAGACACGGGGACCACGACTCACACGGAGACACAGCCTTGGACAGACTGGCCCGGACCCCCCAGCTGGGCTCCCGGCACACCGAAATGCCCCCACCCGGCCAGCTCTCGACAGATCAAAGCTTCGTCGTAAACAAGCGGGTAAGATGCTTGGGTCCAGGACACGGCACTGGCCCAGCACCTGCTGTGTGCTCCTGGAGCTCAGTCACCCCCACCATACCCGGCCACTGCTGAGAGCACGAAGCCTCAGAGGTGTGAGGCCACCTGTCACAGTGGCAGAGACGGGGTGAAACCCGGGTCTGTTCGTCACTTGGAGACACGCCCAGGGCACCTCTGCCACAGCTGGGCCCCAGATCAGTGCCCAGGGCACCTCTGCCACAGCTGGGCCCCAGATCAGTGCCCAGGGCACCCCTGCCACAGCTGGGCCCCAGATCAGTGCCCAGGGCACCTCTGCCACAGCTGGGCCCCAGATCAGTGCCCAGGGCACCTCTGCCACAGCTGGGCCCCAGATCAGTGCCCAGGGCACCTCTGCCACAGCTGGGCCCCAGATCAGTGCCCAGGGCACCTCTGCCACAGCTGGGCCCCAGATCAGTGCCCAGGGCACCTCTGCCACAGCTGGGCCCCAGATCAGTGCCCAGGGCACCTCTGCCACAGCTGGGCCCCAGATCAGTGCCCAGGGCACCCCTGCCACAGCTGGGCCCCAGATCAGTGCCCAGGGCACCTCTGCCACAGCTGGGCCCCAGATCAGTGCCCAGGGCACCCCTGCCACAGCTGGGCCCCAGATCAGTGCCCAGGGCACCTCTGCCACAGCTGGGCCCCAGATCAGTGCCCAGGGCACCTCTGCCACAGCTGGGCCCCAGATCAGTGCCCAGGGCACCTCTGCCACAGCTGGGCCCCAGATCAGTGCCCAGGGCACCTCTGCCACAGCTGGGCCCCAGATCAGTGGCTGAGCATCACTCCTGCAGACAGGCCCCTGGCACCCACACAGCTGAATGGCCCCTTCAGAGTTGCCTCCTTCTCAGCACGGGGGTCCCATGCCTGATCCACTGAGATGAAAGGTCACAGGTCAAGGCTGTGTGGGTGACCCCTGAGCTGAATCACCAGCTCCCTCCCGGTCATGGGGTTGTACTTCCTGCACGAGCTTTGCAGGAAAACCAGACCTCTCCCCACACAGCTCAGACCCTGCTCCGAGCACCTTCTCCATGAGTGGGGACCTGGTTGCTAGGCAACTGGCAGCAGCGTTGCTAGGATACCTGGCAAATCAGGAGAGGACGGAACAGGCAGATGCCCCAGGACCCAGCATCCCTCGCTGTCCCCCAGGATTTCTCCCTGCATCTTCACGGCAACCAAGACTCAGGGACACGTGTGAAGGCACGGGGCACGTCAACAGAGACACTCAAGGGACACATGGGGACACACATTCCTGCAAACACACACACAGATGCCCAGACAGGCATACGGGTGAACACACAGAGACATGGATGGGTACACACTCAGAAATGCAGACACTCACAGGGATGCACAAACACACGGGCCACACACATGCAAGATGACGCCAACGTGCACGCAGGCACATGGGTAGACCTAGAGTGTGCATGGACACCTTTGGGAACAGGCAGACACAGACCAAGGCCCTCCGACACCCAGAGGACACACACATGCACAAACACGCTCTCCAGGCAAAGCTCGAGGGTGAGCCCCCTGACCTCAGGAGCCGAGAGGGGGCAGGAATCCAGGCAGGCTCGGACTCCTGCAGCCCTCCGCCCCAGCTGGGCTCACCAACGTCTGAGCAGGAGACCCTAGACCCTCCTACCCGAGCTTCCTGAGCCTGCCTCCCAGCCTGGGACCCAGCCTGGGCACTGTAGGCACTGAGGGTGGGCAGAGCAGAGACCTCGTAAGGGAAGGACAAAGGAGCCCAACCTGATGTCCCCGGACCAGGAACCAGTGTCAGAGGCCAGGGCAGAGTGTGGGACACAAGCACCTCATCCCTGCTACTGCAGACACCTCTCCCTTCGCATGTCTGTCTTCCACCTGGGTCACCCCACAGCTTCCTCCCTACAGGCAGAGACAGGGAGGATGAGGGGTTGGGATGGGGAGGAGGAGGAAAGGGAAAGGAGTGGGGAGGAAGTATGGAGAGATCAAGAGAGAGGATGGGTAAGGAAGGATGGGAGAAGAGGGAGGAAAACACGCTGGGGATAGGAGGACAGGAAGAAAGGAGGGGGGACGAGGTCAGACCTAGCTCCCTGACCCCCACCTCTTTTGACCCCAAGCCTTCTCACCCAGCAATAGCAACCAGCCACCTGCACCCCCACCAAGGCAGCTCCCAGCTCTGCCTTGCCTGGCCTTTCAGGAGTCAATAGAGACCTCAACTCCCTCTGTGGGAGCCGTTCAGGGTCCAGCAGAAGGCCGTGGCCTCCCCAGTCCAGGTGTTCACAATCTCATAATGTGTTCCCTTGAACTTCTTGTGTGTTCTGTGTCATTCTGCCCTGACATGTTCATAACCATAGAACCCAGGACAGCTTCTCCCTCCCTTGTGCCTGCGGCAAACCCCCAGCACAGACCCTGGCATGCTGAACAGCCTAGGCCCCCTGCGCAGAACCTGCCCCCCACCCACATAGACCCCTAGCCCACGGTACAGACCTTGCCCCCTGCATTGACCCTGCGCACCTGCCTGCACACAACCTGTCCCCCCTGCAAAGATCCTGCCCCCTTGCAAAGACCCTGGCCACTCTGCACAGATCCTACCCCTTGCACAGATCCTGGCCACTCTGCACAGACCCTGGCCACTCTGCACAGACCCTGGCCACTCTGCACAGACCCTGCCCTCCCTGCACAGATCCTGCCCTCCCTGCACAGATCCTGGCCACTCTGCACAGATCCTGGCCACTCTGCACAGATCCTACCCTCCCTGCACAGATCCTGGCCACTCTGCACAGATCCTACCCCTTGCACAGATCCTGGCCACTCTGCACAGACCCTGGCCTCCCTGCACAGATCCTGGCCACTCTGCACAGATCCTGGCCTCCCTGCACAGATCCTGGCCACTCTGCACAGATCCTGGCCACTCTGCACAGATCCTACCCCTTGCACAGATCCTGGCCACACCTGCAAAGATCTAGTGCCCCCAAAACCTGGCACAGACCGTGCCCCCACCCCACATAGATGCTATCCCCGTGCGTAGATCTTGGTCCCTCTGTACAGATCCTGCCCTCCCTGGACGGGTCCTGTCCCCCGACTCCCTTGAACAGACACTGACTCCCAATGTAGATCCTACCCACTGCACAGATCCTGGCCCCACTGCAAAGATCCTGCACGCTGCACAGATCCTGTTACCCCCTAAAAGTCCTCCCCGCAGAGACTCCTGCCCCCATGCAGAGATCCTGGCCTCAATGCACAGATCCTGGCCCATGTGCAGATTCTGGCCCCTTGCATGGATCCTGCCCCACCCCAGCCAGCTCCAGTCCTACCTCCTCCAAGAAGCCTACCCCAGGACCCCCAGCCCTGGGAACCTTCCTAACTTGGCCATTATTCAGTAATACGGCTGCCAGGCTAGGCCTGTGAGCTCTGGTCTCAGCAGATATCCTCTGAGAGTGTGGTCAGCAGAGCCCCGCAGGAGGCAGGCACCTGGCCCCTCACAGGCGCAGTCTTAGAGTGAAAGACAGGCCTGGTCACCTGGCTAGGGGATTGGCCAGGTGTGACACTGACAGTGCTCCCTGGGGTTGGCAGGGGCCCAGCCCTGGACCCAGAAACGCTCCCACGGAGGAGAACTGGTGGTGCAGATGAAATGGCCCAGGTATCTCTAGACCCCTAATAGAGTCCTGCCCTCCCCCAACCTGCCAAGGGTGGGGTGGTCCCTCCAGAAGGGGGAAGGTAGAATCAGGGTCCTATATAGAACATATATGTTACACAAGAGATAGCAAGAGGCACATGTTATATGAGAGAGCAAGACAACCTCAAACACACATGTTCTGGGCAGGCGAAACAATATGCAAGGATACTAGGGATAGCCCAAGACACGAACGATGACACGCGAATGACAGCACAGAGCTTGTGTGCGAGGATACTAGGGATAGCCCAAGACACGAACGATGACACGCGAATGACAGCACAGAGCTTGTGTGCGAGGATACTAGGGATAGCCCAAGACACGAACGATGACACGCGAATGACAGCACAGAGCTTGTGTGCGAGGATACTAGGGATAGCCCAAGACACGAACGATGACACGCGAATGACAGCACAGAGCTTGTGTGCGAGGATACTAGGGATAGCCCAAGACACGAACGATGACACGCGAATGACAGCACAGAGCTTGTGTGCGAGGATACTAGGGATAGCCCAAGACACGAACGATGACACGCGAATGACAGCACAGAGCTTGTGTGCGAGGATACTAGGGATAGCCCAAGACACGAACGATGACACGCGAATGACAGCACAGAGCTTGTGTGCGAGGATACTAGGGATAGCCCAAGACACGAACGATGACACGCGAATGACAGCACAGAGCTTGTGTGCGAGGATACTAGGGATAGCCCAAGACACGAACGATGACACGCGAATGACAGCACAGAGCTTGTGTCCACAGATTAAAGCCTGACACAGGCTGCTCTTGGAGCTCCTGGGTATTTGGGCAGGCCTGGGTTCCGGGGTGAGATTCACACCCACTCAGCAGGCAAATACACACACCTCACTCTCATCCAGTGACTCAGAATCAGCAAACGCCAGACGGCAGCTGGAACACTGTCTTTTGTCCTCCCCACTCCCACCCCCAGGGCAGGCACAGTCTACCCTCCTCCTTCCACAGGCTCACCACCCTGGGCTGGCCAAGAACAGGAATCAAGGCAGAGGGTCTGGCAGCCCCTCACAGAGCAGCCATCCCCCAGGGAAGCCAGTCACCAGGCCGCACATTTGTGCTATTAAAAAAGTGAAAGAATTTTTAACAATTCTGAGTTTCATCAAAATAAATTACTTTGTCCTTGTGATTTTAACTTTACAAAATCTATATACAATGACAAAAAAAATTGAGTTGTAGCTTCTCAATATCATGTTAAATTTTGTAGTCATTAATAAAGCTTACTAATTTGACTTGAAGTTTCATCGTCAGGCCTTGGCAGCAATAAACATGCTTTTAGATCTCAGCATTTCCGTTAGCCCTTGAAAAACACGTGAATCCTGGGGACAGAAACAGATGGGAGGTGTCGGCCTGCTGGGTCCCTCACAGTTGCTGGACCCCAAACACACAGAGAACACCTCCCTTCTTGCAGAACTGCAAACGTGTGGAGAAACAGTAGGGGTGAGGAATGTGAGCCAGGTAGGCCCTGGGAGTACCTGCTGCAAATTATGGACTAGGGGGTGTCAAGGTTTTCCAGTCCTATAAAAAGAGGTTACAAGCCCCTTCTTGCAGAACAGAAGAATATTCCCCTACTCCCTGCGTGACTCCCCCACAAACGCCAAGAGCCAGAAAGTGCCCCACCCATGTGTCCCCCTGGCCTGGACCCAGGGAAGCTGAGAGGATGGCCCAGGTCCCTGTCTCAAAGGACTCACCCCTATGGGAGCACAAAGGCTGCCCAGAGAAAGCGGCTGCTGGGTGAGCATCCCTAAGCAGTCACTGCTGCTTCTGGAGACCAGGGACCTTCCTCAAGCCAAGCTGGTGCTGCAGCCCAGGCAGGACCCCAAAGGCACCTGCAGGAGGGGAGGGAACAGCACCAGGAAGGGCCTTCCTGGGGAGCAGCAAAAGCTTGAGGGCTGGAAGGATGGGCCTAGCTGTGGGATGGGGTGCCGGCTCTGGGACATAGGGCTGAATGTCAAAATTTACCCTCTTACTGAGAGGCCAGGGCAGTCTCCCAAAAACAATGGGAACACCCAACAGCCTCCTGCCAAAAGGCCAGAAGCTCAGCTAAGACCCTGCTCCTCAGCTGGGACAGCCCTACTCCCAAACTCACAGGTTCCAAACTCCCAGCAAGGTGTCCCAGCGGCAGGTCTGTGAATATAGAGAGAGTACAGACATCTCGTGGAAGTAATAGATACGTAACAGATTGGACTTTTTGCACTAATTTTTGCCTAATTTAAACTGTGGAATAAGCACGTGAATTAGGAAATTCTAGAACACACTTATGAGTGCCTGAAGAAATTATAAAATGATTAAGTAGTTAATTGAGAATTAGTTACAAAACAAAGGAATGCACAAATAGATTTCCAAAATCTAGTATCTAGGACCCAAGATCCCAAGACACAGTGTTCAGCAAAACCCAGCTCTAGTCCTGGGGACACCAGGACCCCTGAGACCCCAAACTTGCCCTAGAAGAGGTGAGGGGTCCTGAGTTCTGCCCCATTATCCCTTTCTGTGAACACCAGTGGCTGGGGCCAGAGCCCCCTGGCCATCAGAAGGGAATGGGCCTTAACCACAAAGGTCTCCTCATAGCCGAGGGCCCCACCCACAAAACTAACCCCAAAGACCCCTCAAGCCAGGAACCTGGGCCCACAACCCCTAGGATGGCGCGTCTGCGGCCGCCTGGAAAGGACGCTCACCCAAGCTGGAGAAGCCGGCTCTATGCCTCTATGCCCCAATGACCCCTATGAGGGGCGCGTCCACGCCCAGACTCTAACCCAGGGCCCTCCGGAGGGGACCCTGCCCCCCGCCACGACCCGCCCCACCTGGTCGAGGGAGGGGCAGGACTCCCGGTTGCTGGGCAACCGCGTCAACAAGCCCAAAGAGTCTGGGCTACGGCGGAGGTTCTTCCGACCAGAGAAGGCAGCAAGCAGGGGGTGTAGGGACCAAGAGGTGGGGGCTGGGCCTCGGCTGCAGGAGCTAAGGAGGGGCGGGGGCGTTAGCCGCCGCTGGGGCTGGCCGTGGCTCTGCCTCTGGCACAGCGAGCCCAGCCCTGGCTGGACAAGGTGGCAGCTGTAGGCTGGGGCCGGGAAGGGAGGAGCCAGCTGGGCTTTTGGACCCTCCCTCCTCTGTCACCTGCCCTCTAGGCTCTGCTCCCCACAACCATCTAGGCCTCGAAGGGCAAGAGCGAGCTGTCTGGTGGGAGACCCTGACTGTCGGGGACCGCAGACATAGGGGCACAACGAAGGTCCCCCAGGCGTCACCTAGAGCTCTCCATGTGGCAGGGCCTGAGATCAACCCAGTGGGGTCTCAGCATTTTCTCAATTCAAACAGAACAGTCCATCGGGTAGGAAAGATATTTCCTACAACTGAGTTGATCAGAAAGTCCTAGTTGACTGCAGGACTGAGCAGGATCAGCCGATGGCAGAGCTGCTGGGGACGTGCGCTTGGGAGAGGGAGAGCGCCTGGGCAAAGCTCAGAGGCTGGGGGTGCGGAACTCAAAACCGACTGCGGAGAGCCCAGCGGGCGGGAGCTGGGGCGCACGTTGGGGCCCTGCCGAGGGGCGGGCAGGGCCCGGTGCCAGCCCCGGCACCGACGGGACGCCCTCCTCCCTCCGCAGGGCGGGAGGATGCCGCCGCCAGCGAAGGAGGGCGGGCGCAAGGGCCCGCGGGAGCGAAGCGGGAAGAGCGCGCCAGGCACGGCGCAGGGTGAGGAGCGTGCCAAGGGGGCGCCCGCGACAGAGCCCCCCAAGCCGGGCTGGGCCCTGACGCCGCAGGGACTGGCGGCCATGCTCCCTGCGCAGCGCCACCGCCATCTGCTCTTCGGCGACCTGCTGGAGGACGTGGGCGCGGCGGCCTCCACCTTCCCGTGCGGGTCGGTGGAACCGGGGTACCGCATGCCCGACCCGCGCCCGTGGACGCAGTCGCTCGAGCTGCCCGCCGAGCGCCAGAACCGGCTCCTCGGCGTCCTCAAGGCAGCGGAGGCCCGCGGGCGAGTCCGCGCCCTGCGGCTGCGCTACACCCGCATGCGGGTGAGGCGAGGGGGTCGGAGGGCAGAGGGGGCGCACCGGGAGCGTTGAGCGGAGCCGGCCGGGGCGGGGCGGGGCGGGGCTCGGCGCGCGCTCAGCTACCCGGGCCCCGCAGGCCGAGGAGATCGCGCTGCTCATCCAGCGGCAGAAGTCCGCGCGCGCCGCCATCCGGCTGGAGCTGTTCCTGCCGCCGCAGCTGAAGCCCGCGCGGATCCCGGACCCCCTGGACCGCCAAGAGGTGCAGACAAGCCCCGGTAGGGGCGGGGAAAGGGGAGGGGCCCTGCCCGCCTCCGCACACGCCGGACCCCAGCCTCTCTCCCCGGCAGCGGAGGCGCGTGGAGACCATCCTGGAGGAGAACGTGGATGGCACCATCTTCCCGCGGTGACGGCGACTGAGAGTGTGCGACGCGCCCCAGCCTCCCACATAAAGTTATAATTCTCCGAAGGCTCGCTGGTCTTTTTGCTGCCACTCCCCAGGACCCCGAGGGAAGCGGGGAGTATGGACGCTGCCTCTCCCATGCACCTCACAGACATCAGGGTACAGAGAGTGGGGCCTCTCCCAAAAAAGTGGGGAGACGCAAGTGGGTGGGTGTGAAAGTAACAGGTCAGGGACACGCCTACCCCTAATCCCGATCTGCCCCCCACTGGCAACCTGGCGTTCTGTGGGTCTATGGGAGGCCCCCAGTCTTGGGGAGGACGGAGAAAGAGCCTGTTTCAGCAGAAGTCACCCCCAGATGTAAGGGTAGCCTCAGGCTGCAGTGGTCTCGAGTGCGAGTCATCCCACCAGGGGGCCAGGGAGAGGGCAGTGCTGTGGGCAGCGGAAGTGACCTAAGCTGGCCTTTGAAGAAGCAGCAGCTGTGCCCAAGAGGACCAAGAGACTGGGCAAGGGGAACCCCTGCGGCCCCCAGACAAAAATCCCACCCTCTGGCCTTCCTTTCCATCCTGAATAGCCTCCTGTGACCCCTTTAATGCCCCATGCCACACCCCCACACCCACCCCCCCACACACACACACCCCACACACACTCACGCATGCAGTACAAAAGGAAGCCACCCCTGTCCCATTCTGACAAACAGGCCCACGACCTACAAAATCCCTGGACTCTGAAAAGCCCCGAGGTTTCTGGGCAGACCTTACTTTTCTCCCCGACGTGAGCTCTTTGCAGACGCTGGGGCTTCCCTAGGCCCCCGCTTCCTTTTCCTCCCTCCCAGCCCCCTGCCCAGCAGGCTGCACAGAAGCGGGACCGCAGGAACTCAGACAAACCGCTCCTCCTGCTAGGGGGCTCCAGCTGACTGGAAGGAGGGGCAGAGGTCAGAACTGGGGTCCAGAAGGGATCCTGCTCCATGGCAGCCAGTGTTTCTCCCCAGCCCCGGCCAGGGGGTGGAGCCCTGCGCACTCGCCCCTCAGCCAGCCCTTCTCCCCGTGCACCGAGCACTTTACTCTTTCTGGGCTGTTGCTGCCCTTGGCCTTGACCCAAGCCCAGACTGTATACAGAGCTCAGAAGTCAGCTGACAAGGAGGGGACAGAGAGATGGCAGGAGGGGTTTCAGGAAGGGAAGGGTAGAGAGGAAGGAGGCCAGGGAGAAGGGGCTTGAGCAGGGGCAGACAGACAGGGAAGGGAGGCAGTCTGTCCAGGAGTGGCAGCCACTCACACCCTGATGTGCTTGTGACATGTGATGACAGCCAGCCCTGGTGTCGTCTGGCCAAACTCCCTGCAGCCTGGACCCCAGGATTCTGTGTCTTGGGGATTGACTGAGTGCCTAGAATGAGTTCATCTACTGGGAGAATCACATATTATTTCACCATTTCTCTGAGACTCCATTTCTTTATCTTTAAAATAAGGGTCTTGGTGCAGTACCCCACAGCAGCAAGTGCTCCAAAGGGGATGGGTCACTCTGCATCAGACAGGCAAGAGGGAAGAGGGGCAGAGACAGGCACAGCAGACCCAGCACCCAGAGAAGGCCAGCAAGACAGTGACCTCAGTGACTGCACCAGGGTCAGGCCGGCACTCGGGCCCTTTGATCCCCATGAAAAGGCGCAGGGGGTGCTGGATGTGCAAAGGAGGCTGGGGAATGGGGCCTGGAGGGACGCCTGCCTGTAGAAAGCTCTATGGGAAGGAAGGCATGTGGTCCAAAGCCCAATATATTGAGGGCTGTCAGGGCGCAGAGGGTCCTGGGTTCAAATCCCAGCTCCGCCATCAACTGCCCAGCTCACCTGGCCCCACCCATGGACTTCAGGATGCTGTGTGCCGAGAGGCAGAAGCCAGGGCGGTGGAGAGCAGGCCCAAGGGGCCAGAGGAGACGGGGGAATGACTGGGGGGTTGTAGAGTGACCCGAGGGGGCAGGGAGGGCACTGACCTTCACCCCCTGCCAGCTGCCCACAGCTGCATTTTCCCACAGCAGAGACAACAGGCCGGCTCAGCGGGGTCAGCCTGGTTGTGTGTGGCCTGGGCCAGGTGCTGGCCCATCTTCGTTGAGCTTCCCTGACCTCACCTGTGCCCACCGCTCAGGAGTGTTATGTGGGCTGAATAAGTAGCAGCCTGCCTCTTGTCCCTGTGGGCTTCCTGGCCCCTGCCTTTCCTTGCCTGGCCTGACAACATGGCAGTCACAGGGTTCTGGGTACAGCTTCGAGAGGCAGCCTGTCTGTCCTCCAGGGCCCTCTGACCTCTGACCTCCCCCTTCGGGCCCCCGCCCCCGCTCAGCAGCGCAATACCCTCCCCTCCTCAGCCCTCCCCCCTCTCACCCAGGCCTTCCCTGCCTGCTCCCCACAACTCACTCTGCGCCCCCCAGCATAAGATCCAGGCTGATCTATGTTGCTGGCTTCTGGTCCTACTGCCTGGCCCACAGGGGCACCCAGATACTGATACTTGTCCGTTGAATGAGGAATACAAGTAGAATCTCCAGCTGCCTTTGCACCCCTCAGAGTTCTGTGAAGGTGTAAGGTGTGCACCTGACCTGTGCAACTGGAAGGCATTTTATGAACAGATCCCGACACTGGGAACTATCCGGGTGGAGTGCTTGTGCTGGGGAGGACAGGAGCTGCACACAGCCGGGCCAGGGGAGGGGCGGGGGGCACAGATGCTCTGCAGACACTTCCAGAGCAGGGTCAGGGCCACCCTGACACAGGGCCAAAGCATGCTGCGATGAGAAGCCTAACCCACGTCTGTACCGAGTCATAAAGGATGAGAAGAGTCGGCCAAAGGGACAGGGCGTTCGTGGCAAAGGGGACAGTGTGGCCTTAAGCTTTAGGACATCTTGGGACACACGGGTCAGCAGGGACTCTGCCAGGCCCCACAGGAGACATTCGGCATGACTCCGGATGCAAGAACCCGCACCCCCAGTTCTCCCCAGCCCCGCAGCACAGGAATCTCCCCCTTCCTTGGGAACCCCCCACAGCACAGACAGGCGGCTCTTAACCCAGTTTTACAGACGCGGCTCACGGAGGCGAGGGGTGGGCCGGGCTGGCGTACCCGCCGATCGGTCCTTTGCAGCAGCCTCCTCTTTCCCAAGCTGGGCAAGCAGCATATGGGGCCCAGCTCTCGTGCCTCCACTGTCGTGGAAGTCCCACACGGATGGCAAAGCAGGAACGGCCCCGCCGAGCAGAGTCGGGGGCCACGGCCACACCCCCATCTACTACCGTGCGGCTCCGTCCGCCCGGGAGCCAGGGCTCCACTATGAGCACCTCGACTCTCCGGGCCACCCCCAGGCGACTGTGGGGGCCGACGCGCGGGCGGGGCGGGTGGGGTGCGGAGCCGGCCGAGCGCGGGGCGGGGCGCGGCGGGCGGGGCGGGCCCGGCGACCGCCGGCGCGAGGAAGTCCCGGCCCCTGGCTTTGGGGAAGTGCCGCCGAGGCGCCTGCGCACTGCGCCCCCGCGCCCCCTCCCCGACTGTCGGGCCGGACCTTGGAGCGCGCGGGCCGGCGGCGGCGCGAGTGGCTCGGGAGCGCGGCTGGTGAGTGCGCGCGCGCAGCGCCGGGGACAGCGGCCCTGCCCCTCCCGGCCCGGGCCCGGGGACCGTGCTGGGCGGGAGCTTCGGGAGCCGGCGCACGGGACTCGAACCCCAAGGGCTCCCGCCGCCAGGTCCACGTGGACCCTGGGCCGCAGTGGAAGTGGAGCCCGCCCCCCGCGCGTGGGGGAGGGGGCGCCGCAGCCGGGTTCCCCTTTTTCTGGAGCTCAAAGCCTGGGGAAGTGATTGCTCAAAGGTGGGGGCCGGAAGAACCCAGGTTTCCGCGTCTCCCTCCCCCTCTCAGCCCGGTGAGGAGGGGCCGGGGCGGGACACCCTGTCCGCCCCCGCCCCCACCCCGCTGGATCTGGCAGCCACTCAGCCCTTCGAGCTGTAGGGGAGGCGCTGCGCCCCCGGCCCCAGCCGATCGGGGGCTCCTGGCGCTAGCCTCCCTCCAGAGCGCCGCAGGAGTCCCTCCTGCCGTCTGACTTGAGTCCCTGCTGCTGCAGTGCACGCCCCTTCGGCAGCCAGGGTGGGGCCCAGACCCAACCTGGCCCCTCCTGCCCCCACCCCGCCTTTGGGTCGCTGGTGAGTAGGGAGCTTTGAGGTAGGGGTGGGGGCGTCAGAGGCTGAAGAAAGAGGCACCTGGAGGAGAACACAGGCTTCTCCAGACTGGACCCTAACAGCAGAGAGAGGAGCGTGGTGGGTGGGCCACCACCACCATTTCAGAGGTGGGGAGAGCTGGCCTTCCCTGGAGGGGCCAGGCCAGGGCTCGCCCACCAGCCAGATGTGGAGGGTGGCAGATGGGAAAGGCCCTGGGTAGGAGCTAAGGACTGAGAATGGAGCCCCTCTTCAACCCCCCTCCCAAAGGTTATGACATTTTTTTCTGGGATTGTCACATTTTCTTATTCTTTTTTTGGACTGGGCAGGCTCTGGGACGTTCTTTTTCCTTCTGTGGAGCAAAGCGGCAGCCACTCCCAAGGGATCCTCTATCCCCAGAGAGCAGACGTGCCGCCTATCCAGCCTATCCCATCCCAGACTTGGGGGCCAAAGCCTGGGAGGCTGGGGAAGGGGGTCCCCAATGCCAGGTTGACAAGCAGGAGGACCCTAGTTGAGACTCTGTATCCCCCAGGAGAGACGGGGGGAGGGTAGCCTGGGGACATGGGTTGCCCCAGTTGACCTGAGAAGGGTACAGGAAGCCAGGTCCAGGGACAGGTGACCAGGTCCAGGGCCTGCAACTGGGAAAGAAGGGGCTGGCTCCCTGCTCTGCAGCAAATGCAGCCCCTAGCACCCCGGCCCTGCACCCCTAAACACGTCCCCTCCTCCAGTTCAGAGCTGGGGTGGAGATGGTAGCCCAGGGGGACAGTCTCAGGGGTGCTAGAGTGTGGGGGAGGACCCTGGGTGGGGACAGAGAGGAGGAAGAACTGCTGCCTGGGGAAGCCACAGACAGCCCCGTCTGGGTACAGCTACCAAACCTCAGGTTGCCACGCCCCTTCCTTTCCCTAGAAACTTGACCCCTGAAAGAAAGCCCAGCTGCAGGGCTACTTTCGGTCTCCTCATCTACTTGCTAGGAGCCCGTGGGACCCCCAGTCTCAGAGGAAACTGGGCCGGTGGTGAGGGGCCAAGGTCCCAGGGGATGCTGCACCTGCCCCAGACTTGGGCCAGGGCAGTGGCCTCTGCATGCCCAGGCCTCGGGGGTATTGGGGGCCCTAAGAGTGCAGAACTCCAGCACTGTCTCTTCTGAGGGCCATTCACACACCGTCCCAGGAGGCCAAGAGAAGCCAACCAGCCAGAAACAAGCATTCAAAGGCCACGAGCTAGGGGAGGCGTGGCGGGGGGATGAAGATTGAGAAAATAAAGTAGAATCAAGTTGTGAGCTTCCTGGCCAGGGAGGGTGGCGGCACATGAGGAGGGTGGCGGATGTGCACGGAGGCCCCTCCCTGCCCTGGGCAGAAGTGGGCGCAGGTGTTCACAACTGCCTCCGGGGCACTGATTGGCCCCCCTGTACCATCGCCCAAGGAGACTTGGGATTCGAAGTGGCATCTTAGGTGGCATGAGGGCCACTCACAGCTTTGGCGCTCCTGGTGCACCTCCCCTGCAGACGGTGCAACCAAATGCTGGGAGGGACATGCACCACACCACACCCCCCTCAGGGACTCCGAGGCTTCGACTGGGGAGCAGGGTGCCCCCCACCCCTGCCACCCCCACTTCCCTGGCTGGCGCACCCTGTGGTAGGGCCTTGGTTCCACAGCAGTTTCACAGCCTAGAGGCAGTGGGCAAGGAGGGAGGGAAGTCTTGGGTGGGAGGTAGCAGGACCAAAGAACCATGTTTGGGGGGCATGTCCCTCCTCACCGGGGCCCTGCCCCCCTTCCCACACCCTCAGCAAGTCCAGCCTGAGTCCCACTTAAATCCTCACTGCTGCAGGTCTAGCCTGCTGCCCCTGGCTGAGACCTCTGGGACCCACAGACAGACCTGGACTCTTGGTGGGAAGCCACTCTGCCCACTCCCCACCCCAGACACCCTAGAAGCCAGTCTGGCCACCACCCGCACGCACCAGTTGGTAGCCCCAGACTCTCGGGGCCCCTTTGGGAGGGGCTGGGAGCCGGAAACCAAGAAAGAGGAACCCAGGCTTCCGGCTTCCCAGGGAGTGAGCGGATGGGGGTGTCTCGGAACCTCCAGTGGGGGCCTCATCTGGGGCCCAGCCTGGGAGGAGGGGCCAGAAGCTGCTGCAGCTCCCTCCTCAATGATCCTGGACCCCCTCCCAGCCCTGCTGTAAGCTTGGGGTCGGGGTAGAAGCCCTAGGCAGAGCTGGGTCCAGAGGCAGGAGCAGGCCCCGCTAGGGAGACACCCTCTCAGGACCCCTCCTAAGGGGTAGGCAGGGGCTGGGGTTTCAGGTTCTCAGTCAGAACCTTGGCCCCTCTCCCCAGACCCCCAGGCTGTGGTGAGGGTCTGAGAGCTGGTACCACGGAGCCTGGGCAACCTCCTCCGCCCACCCATGCCCACCCCGCATGAGGCTGAGAAGCAGGTATGCCACCTCCCCCTCTGCCTCTGCTCCCCTGGGGGAGATGGGGTGGGGCAAGCTGAGGGGCCACAAGGAGCTGGGAGATCCCTGAACACCCGGGAGGCCAGAAGGGTCATGTGCCTGGGAACAGGGCTACCCATGGGAAGGTGGGGGAGAGGTGGAGAGTCTGGTGGGTTCTGACCTGAAAGCTGAGGTAGCCCCACTTTTCCCCAGATCACAGGGCCAGAGGAGGCGGACCGGCCCCCTTCAATGTCCAGTCATGATACAGCCTCTCCAGCGGCCCCCAGCCGCAACCCCTGCTGCCTGTGCTGGTGCTGCTGCTGTAGCTGCTCCTGGTGAGTAGGGCCTGGGGTGCCCAGCTGGCGAGGGGGTCGAGGGCATGGGGCCAAGCAGACCCAGGAGGGGACCCAGTGGTGGCTTCCGAGGCATCCCCGCAGGCAGGATGCCCCTGCCACCTCACAGCACTGTCCTGTCCAGGGTCTGTTGGGCCCTGGTGATGAGTGGCCGGTGCCTTGGCCCCAGGGAGCTCATGTATGGCTCTCGTACCTGTCTTGCCAAGGGTGTGTCCGTGTGCTGTGTACATGCATGTGCCCGTTCACGCGGCATGTGCTTTATCCATGCTGCTGTGAGCCAGCCCAGGCTAGGCCCTGGGGGCCTGCGGTGGAGTAAGACAGGCACAGGCCAGGTGCAGTGGCTCATGCCTGTAGTCCCAGCACTTTGGGAGGGCAAGGTGGGCGGATCACCTGAGGTCGGGAGTTCGAGATCAGCCTGACCAATGTGCAGAAACCCTGTCTCTACTAAAAATACAAAATTAGCCAGGCGTGGTGGCGCATGCCTGTAATCCCAGCTACTCGGGAGGCTGAGGCAGGAGAATGGCTTGAACCTGGGAGGCGGAGGTTGCGTTGAGCCGAGATCGCGTCATTGCACTCCAGCCTGGGCAACAAGAGCAAAACTCCGTCTCAAAAAAAAAAAAAGAAAGAAAGAAAGAAAGACAGGCACAGACCCCATACAGTGTGTGGGGTGGAGGGACGTTTGAACAGAGACCCCAATAAGGGAACTGCTGGCCCTGGGGCGATGGCCAAGAGCTTCCCGGACAGCATGCGTGGGGGAAGAAGAGCAGGGGGCGGTGGCGGGGACGTCTCTGGGCATCCCTGTGAGGGTGGGAGTGGGGCTCCCAGATGGTAACAGATTTCCTAGGAGTGTAGGGGAGCTGGTGGATGTTTTCACACCTTGCAGAAGCCTGGCCCTATTCAGGCTTCAGGCCCTGGCTGATGAGAGGACAGCGCTTCTGGATCCAAGGTGGCGTCAGCTGACCCACGGGCAAGCTGGGGGTGGCCAGGGGGCAGTCGGGAAAGGGGGTGGGAGGAGCCCAGGGGCCTAGTTCTGTCAGGACGTTTGGGTGCACGATGTCTGCCAGCCATCCAAGTGCCCTGGAGAGAGGTCAGCCGGGTATGGATTTGGGTCCAGCACTGACAGGATGCTAGGAGCCAAGGCAAAGAAGCTGCTTCCCTTGAGACAACCGGGGATCAGGCTCCAGAACCTGAAGGAGTGTGGACACGGGTTTGGGGCTCTCACCTGCGTCAGCCGACGAGAGACACTGCTGACACGCCAGACCTGCAGCGTGTGACCCCATCGGTGGGACAGGGACAGGCCAAGATCAGGCCCAGGAGCAGGGTGGCCCTGTTCCCAGGCACATTCCCATGGGTGGCCCTGTTCCCAGGCACATTCCCATGGGTGGCCCTGTTCCCAGGCACATTCCCATGGGTGGCCCTGTTCCCAGGCACATGACCCTTCTGGCCTCCCAGGTGTTCAGGGATCTCCCAGCTCCTTGTGGCCCCTCATCTTGCCCCACCCCATCTCCCCCAGGGGAGCAGAGGCAGAAGGGGAGGTGGCATACCTGCTTCTCAACCTCATGTGGGGTGGGCATGGGTGGGTGGAGGAGGTTGCCCAGTGGGCCAGGGATGGGGAGGAGCACACCAGGAGCCGAAGGGCCCCTCCTGGAAGGCCAGAGACTCGCGGGCACTGGGTCACACTGCTGGAATGGAAGACGGCAGAGTCTGTGGTCTGGGCACTGTGGCAGGGACAGTAACCTGGACTGCAGATTCTGTGGGGAATTTGGGAGTGTGGGAGAGTGTGGGAAGAGCCAGCTCCAGGGGCTGCCCTCCTGCAGTGGGTGCCCATGTGTGTCAGGTGCCTGCAGGGGCTGCCCTCCTGCAGTGGGTGCCCATGTGTGTCAGGTGCCTGCCCATGTGCTGAGGGCCTGTGTGGCCGTGGAGGCGTGTGTGCCCACGGCAGCGCTGCTTCCTCTCTGCCACTAGGAACCAAGAGCGGCGGCGCGCGTGGCAGGCCTCCCGGGAGAGCAAGCTGCAGCCCCTCCCCAGCTGTGAAGTATGGTGAGTCCAGCCGGCTGGTGTGTGCGTGCTGGGGGGGCCCCAGACCGGGAGACTCGGGCCTGACATAGCCTGGCCCCCGTGCCCACAGTGCCACGCCAAGTCCTGAGGAGGTGCAGAGCTGGGCGCAGTCTTTTGACAAGCTGATGCACAGCCCAGCGGGACGCAGCGTGTTCCGGGCGTTCCTGCGGACAGAGTACAGCGAGGAGAACATGCTCTTCTGGTTGGCCTGCGAGGAGCTGAAGGCCGAGGCCAACCAGCATGTGGTAGACGAGAAGGCGAGGCTCATCTACGAGGACTACGTATCCATCCTGTCCCCCAAGGAGGTGCGCCAGACACCAGAACAGGCCGGGGGCCGCCTGCTCCAGGCACTAGGTGGGGAAGGCAGCTCCCGCACCCCCTGACCTCAGTGTCTTGTCCTGCAGGTGAGCCTGGACTCCCGTGTGCGGGAGGGCATCAACAAGAAGATGCAGGAGCCGTCCGCACACACGTTCGACGACGCGCAGCTGCAGATCTACACGCTCATGCACCGGGACTCCTACCCCCGCTTCCTCAGCTCTCCCACCTACCGTGCCCTGCTGCTGCAGGGGCCATCACAGTCCTCCTCCGAGGCCTAGGCCGCCCCCAGCAGCACAGACCCCGCCGCCTCCTACGGCCGACTCTGGGTTCCCTTCAGGTGTTGTTGTCGGCAGGGCTGTCAGGGCACATGCCTGGCCGGCTGGGGTCCCCACCCGCGGAGACGGTCCTAGACCCAGTGGGGAGTGCTGTGTCTCCTGGGTCTGCCCACCCGTGGCCAAGCAGGAACTCCAGGTGCAGGGCGGGCCTCCAGGTGCAGGGCGGGCCAGAAGCCCCCTCATCGGCCCGCAGCTGGCTGGCCCAGTGCTCCTGGCTGGGGGCTCTTGCGTGGTGAGAGTAGGGGTCCCCCCAGGAGCCATGCTGGACCCATGAGCCTCGCTGGGGCCTCCTCCCCAGGCAGCCAATGGGCCCCAGACAAGCCTTTGGTGGGGAACAGAACCTCCGCATCGTGTAGTTTTGTGACATAAGGAGACCTCCTACTTGAGCTGTCTGTACCCCAGAATCAAACACAGAACCTCAGAACCAGATTTAGGACCTCAGAATCCTGCACTCAAGGTGGCAGGACCCAATTTCTGTTTTATATGTTCATGAACTTTAAACCTGGAAACATGTCCTTACTAGGTGTTTTATCAAAAAAAAGTTTTCATATTTATCTCTATCCCTAACCCCCCAAAAATAGGATGTCTTATTATTGAAGATATTTTTAAAGCAAAGTCTCTACTCATTTTTGTCCAAGTCTGGGGAGAGACTGGAGAATGAGTGGCCCCAGACTCAGGGCTGGGGAGAAGTGTCCTTGTCCCAGGGCAGGGGCTCCAGTGCCCCTTGGAGGGGACACACAGCCGTGTGCTTGCCCTCTTCCCATGCCCTGGCCTCCACCAGACCCCTCCTCAGAACAGTGGTCCCAGTGGGTGGCTGTGCTTAACCCTGCCCGGGGCATGAGCTCCACGCCCTCGGCCTCAGCCTCCTTAGCTGAAAGTCGGGCCAGAACAGTGACCCACAGCACCTCAGAAGTCGAGAGGCAACAGGAGGTGCCGCCCAGGCCCAGCCGGACGGGGTCCCCAGAGGCAGGCTGGCTGGGGCAGGAGGGGCCACTTGGTGCCAGGCCCAATGTCATCTTTCTCATCTCACAGGCCCCATGAGTTGAGTGCTCACCAGCCCATCCCCTGCATTTCTGGGAAGTTAAGTGAGTTGAAGCTGAAATTGGCTCAGGGCCCTGAGACCACAACTCCCACAAGAACAGAGAAGGCAGCATGGGGACAAGCTGTCCTGAAGTGCCGAGAGGTCCCGAGCTGCCCATGCCTGAGGCGTTGGGGAGGACACTGCCCTGCACAGGACGCACACAAGACCCTCTCCCCACCTGCCCTCACAGGCAGAGCCGCCCCAGGTGATCTCTGAAGGTCAGCCAAGCTCCTCTCCTGGGGCTGACCCACCAGGGCCAAACCCAAGCACTGCCCAACCCCAGGGAGGGGCCTTGTCCACAGCAGTGGAAACGGGTCAAACATGGGGGACAGGGGCCCACCAGGAGTAACGGCTGAGGAGAACAAGATGGCAAAAAGAAACATTTAATAATGAGGGGGAAAGGGCAGAAAGGTGCAATCCAGGCAGGCAGGTTGAGGGCAGGACATGCCGCCTTCTAGGGTCTCCAGAGAAGCTGTGTCAACGGAGGACGTGGGCCGGGGAGGGCCCAAGGCTGCAGCACATCTACACGAGGGGTCAGCAGAACTGCGAGAAAGGGGGTGAGGCCTCCAGCCTTGTGGCCACATGAGATCCCCCAGAGTGGAAGGCCGCACAGGCTCACCCAAGGCTGGGCTCTCCACCCACCATGCCCAAGACTCCCAGGAGGCTGGTTGGGCAGGGCCATCCCCAGTTCACACCACAGACCCCACAGAGGCTGAGACACCCCACCTCCAGAGAATGGAGCTGGGAGGGGCAGCCTGAGCCTGCTCACCCACCTTCCAGCGGTTTCCACACTCGTTGCAGACAACAAAGGTGGTCATGGGCTCATCAGAGCTGCGGGTCTGCACCTGTGAACAGGGCTGGGTGAACCCAGGGTCACCTCCATGCTCCGCTGCAGACGGCATCCCCTCAACATGGGCAGTGCGGGCCTCGCAGCCACTGAGCTCCCACAGGTGACCTGATCCGAGGCCGCCTCGTGACTCCAACCTTCCAAAGCTGAGCCTCCGGGGGAGGGAGACAGAGTTTATCGGGGCAGAGGCCCTTGTGTGAGCCTGAAGCAGCTCACATTGGCTGGGGACCAGGAGGGCCCAGACTTGGCTGAGGGCAAGAGGGTCCCAATGGTGGGGGGAACTAGCAGGGGTCCCCAGTGCCCGCGGCTGCCTTCCGGAAGGCCCAAGGGTGAGCCTCCGGCCACAGGCAGAGCCTGTTCTGACCAGTGGCTGGGAGCAGGAGAGAGGCAGGCTCTGCACCGACCCAGGCCCCATGCAGCCTTCGAGGGGAAGGAAAGGCTGTCCTTGCAGCCCCTCACGAGTCCCATCTGCCAGGTGCAGCGGCCGCCTCGACACACTCCCCTCTTTTTTTTTTTTTTAAAGACGGAGTCTCGCTCTGTCGCCCAGGCTGGAGAGCAGTGGCACGATCTGGACTCACTGCAACCTCTGTCTCCCGGGTTCAAGTGATTCTCCTGCCTCAGCCTCCTGAGTAGCTGGGATTACAGGCATGCGCCACCACGCCCAGCTAATTTTTGTATTTTTAGTAGAGACGGGGTTTCACCATGTTGGTCAGGCTGGTCTCGAACTCCTGACCTCATTATCCGCCTGCCTCGGCCTCCCAAAGTGCTGGGATTACAGATGTGAGCCACTGCACCCAGCCGCACTCCCCTCTTAACAGGGTCCCTGCCATCTCATGGGATCCACAGTCTCCCCAGCACACTCAGTGTCCACCTCCATGGCAGGGACTGAGGGTCCTGCAGTCACTGCCAGGCAGCAGGCAGCACGGCCCTCCCACCAACATCAACACCTCGAGGGCCCTCCGTTCAGGCTGGGCTGGGCCAGGCCAGGCCCTCTGACTTGAGTATCCGCAACAAGTGGGTCCCACCACCCAAGACGCCGCCCCGTGGAGCCCAGAGGTCCTGGGTAGAGGGGAGTGGTCCCTGAAGGTGGCCATCATGCCTTAGCCTACTCAGGGACTGAGAGGCTCGGGAAATTCATGCAGCAGAGGCGGGAATAGGCATGGGCTCCAAGGAGGGGCACCAGATGCCCTGAAGACACCGGGCCCGGGGGAGGGTGCCCAGCGGCCGCTCACCTGTGTGTAGGTGCAGTTCTTTTTCCTGCACTTGCCGCAGGTGAACAGGTCTGTCTGCGTGCCGCCAGTGCGGGCCATCTGGTGCTCTCGGATGGCCTCCTTGGTCATGGCCTTACGGATCTCCTTCAGCTCATCACTGGCCATCTCCTGGAGCACGGGGCCAGTGGCTTAGCCCACCGCTCCGAGGGAGCAGCCCTCCAGCCCCTCCAACAGGGGCTCACCTCTGAGGTCATCACAGCGATCTGCTGGGGTGTTATGGCCCCACACAGCACATTCCGCCGCAGGTCAGGGTTCTTGGCATCCTTCAGGTTGGAGATACGACTCCGTACACGGTTCTTATACTTCATGTCTGTGTTTCCAACGTCCCGGAAGATGCGTGCAAGTGTTTTAAGGACCCACCTGAGGACAACGTCGCTGCCCTCCACCTACCACCTGCCCCGCTGGGGGCCATGTTGGGGTGGGGGCTGGAAAGGTTCTGCCCAGCCACACAGGGGTCGGTCTGCCCACCCACACCTGGTGGAGAGGTGAAGGGCTGCAGGGCCAAGCCTGCCCCAGGCCCATTCCTGACTGAGACCCAGCTTCAGGCTACAGCCCCAGGGGACCTAGGCCCCACAAGCAGACAGAATCAGCCCTTCAGCTGGTCCGGGGGCCCTCCTGAGGTGAGACAGCCTGACCACCCAGGCAGGTGACCACCCAGGCAGGTGACCCCTGGACAGCTGGGCAGTGGCATCCAGCAGCCACCAGAGGGCACCAGGCCAGGCAGCCTCCTGACTCCACCAGAAACCCAGGCCCACAGCCCCTACCCAAAGGATATATTCCTCGATCTGAGCCGACAGGCGCTCGCAGTCCGCACCGATGGCCACGTGGTCATCTGCAAGAGGGAGCCCTGACTAGCTTCCCCCACTGGTTTCTCCACCTGCCACCCCTTCTGCCTGCAAAACACCCTGGCAGCTTAGAGGGCACATCCGGGTCCCTGCAAGAGGCCCACGATCCAGGCACAGGCCCCTAGCCCCTGCCAGGGCCACAGCAATGGGCTGGGGGAGGACAGTCACCCCGCTGGAAGCAGGCCTCTGCGGGCAGGCAGGGGCCCGGGCCACCCTGTGAACCACAGCGGGTGTCAGGAGCCAGGGCCGGCCGCACTCACGGTCCGTCTGCAGGGCAGCGGTCAGCATCTCGCGGCACTTGTTGCGCACGGCATCACAGGTGACAGGCACCGGAGGAAATGTGGTGATCCTCGGAGTCGACGGTGCCCTGGGCAGCTCCGGCCTCTTGCGGCTGCAGAGAGCCAGGGCCAGCTGGGTTCAGACTCAAGGCTGCAGGCACCCCAGCGAGACACTGGTCCTAGAAGCAGCAGGTGCCACAGCATAATCCCCCACCAACCCCTGCTTGTTCTACTCTGCCAGAGTCCAACAGTGGCCTGTGGCCCTGCCTATCTTGAGTCCAGCCCAGATGTCCATGGGGTGTGCCCAGCAGCCAGGAGGGAGAGGGCCATGAGGTCCCCAGTGGGTCAGGGTGTACTCTCCAGGTGGGAACAGGATCCCAGACCCAGCAGTCAGCATCTGGGCAGCATTACCAGTCGATCAGAATGAACCTGGCAGTTCCTGCCACCTCTGGGGTGCCCACCCACTGGGCCGCAACACAAATACTCTGCTGAGGGCAGCTGCAGCTGCTGCCTGGTCAGGGAGAGGGAGAGACCCACAGCTGTCTGGGGGGAGACAAGGCGGGGCCGCCCAAGGCCAGGTTCTGCTGTCACAGACGACACCCCTGGGCACGTACAGAATGGGAGAAGGATGCCCCTCAGGGCTGGACCCCAACATGGGGCTGCCCAACGACCAGGCTGCATCCACCTAGCCCTCCCCTCATCCCCTCTGTGGAAGTTGGCAGAAGCAGGCAGCTTCCTGGAGGAAAATCAACTTGCAAAGGTGTCCCTGAGCTCCTGGTGGCCCAGTCACCACAACCCAGTGTGGTCAAGGGCAAAGCCATCTCTCGGCTATAGCCTGCCACAATAAGCACCCCCAGCTCCCAGCTGCAGGCCACAGAGCCCTTATCACCCCCTGGCAGCAGTGACCACACGTGCACATGCAGGGCAGGAGGGGAGTTGGCCCCCGCCTTTGGTTCTGGGCAGAATTTTGCAGGAAGGAGGGACCGTCGTTGAGTGAGGCTGAGGGGGAAGCCAGAGTGGGCCAGCAAGAACCAGACCCAGCAGGGGGCCTTGGGGGAAGAGGCCAGGGGGCTCCCACAGGCCCACTCAGGGTATACAGCAGCTCTTGGCAGAGGAAGAGGCCAGGATGGCTGGCTGACAGCCAGGTGGACACAGACCCACATCTCAAGTGGTCAGTGCAGGCGGGACACACCACAAGGCTGGTGTCCAGCATGAGGCTGACCGACTCTGTGTGCAGCCTCAAAGCAGTGCCTAGGCACATGGAGACTGGCACCCTTTCTCTGGCAAGGAAACAGGCTGGGAAGCAGAAGTGTGTGCACCTGCCTTCCAGGTGTGCTACCTGGGATCCGGGGCCTCTGAGGCATCCCTCGAGGACGTGGGCAGAGGCATGCCCCTCCCCCGCTCCCTGGCTTTGGCATCGGAAGCATCTGCAGGAAAGATCGGGGATGGGCTGATCAAGGGGAGGCAGAGGAGGGAGGGGCACAGACCACCACCAAGGTACAGCCTCAGCCCGACCACCAACACGGCCCCAGCCCCAGCCCCCGCCCCCAGCCCCTCACCCAGCCAGGGGAGCCAGGGGCCAGGAGGCTGCCCAGCCTCTGTGAACAGGTCCTCACCCTCCCCAGCAACCTGTCCATCTCTGCAGTCCTGAGGCTGCCTCCCCAGAACCCTTTCCCGTACAAGCACCCACTCACAAAGGCCACCTCTGGGGCCTCTCTGGGGCCCACCCTCCTGCCTGTCCTGGCCAGAGAGACCAAGCATGTCCCCAAGAAGGCTCTTCCTGAAAGCCCAGAGCCAGGCCCAAGGGCTGGGGACCAGGACATGCTTGTGCCATGCACAGCCTGAGGGCCACACAGGGCTGGAGAGAGACTGTTTCACAAGGGTGTGGACAGAGCTAGGAGGGTTGCCTCCATCCCAGACAGCAGCATCTTTGCAACCCCAGTCACCCCACTGTCTCCAGGAAGAGGCAGCCTTCAGTCCAGCCCAGCCCAGCCCAGCCCTTCCCTTCCCTGGCAGGGGGCTGCCCCTCTGTTCCCTCTGAGTAGCTGAGGTGGCCCTGCCTTCTCCCTCCCGCTTCCCCTCTCCCGGCACTTCCCAGCCTCCTGGCCATGACCTTCCCCTCTGTGTGACCTCCCAACTCACCCCAGTCTCTCAGTGCTGTCAGTTCAAGTCCTGGCCTCAACTCTCTTCTCTCCTTGTTCTACCTGGAACCCTGCCCCCAGCACACACCCTGGCCTCCTAGGCCACACCTCCCAGCCAATGCTGACAGGCACCCACTGATCCACTGCCAGCCCCAAGCTGGGCGCTTCATGGTCTGGGTTTGCCACTGCCCCACTCCCAAGCGACCTGGCTCAGGGTGGACACTGCCAGCACTCTACACTGTGCTGACCAGCAAGAGGCAGCACTTCTGGGACCCCTGCCCCAGCACTCAGTGGGCACCGCCTGAGCCGCACCCAGGAGCTTCTTCCAGGACTTGATGAGAGACTTGGCCAGTGCAATGACCTCCTCATCCGAGCTCTGCTTCCGAAGGGCGTTGACAGACATCCCGACTCGGGTGGACTACGAGGCAAGTGGTCTGGGTTGGGGGAGGCAGGGGCCCACCCTAGGGGTCAGATTCTCCTGGCAGAGCCTTGGTGGCCCCCACAGGACAGGAGCCCGGGACCTCCCAGGGAGGTAGAGGCCTCTCCCAATGGCGACTGTCCCATTTGGAACCCAGGAGCCTCAGCCACGGAGGACAAGATGGGTTATCCTCAGACTCCCCTCCCTGTCCCACTGAGCCCAGAGAAAGGCAGAGACCCTCTCCTCAGGAACAGGCATTTGTGCCAACTAAGGCCTGGTGGGGAGGGTGGGGAAGCCCTGCCAGGTGCCCTCAGAACTGCCATCCCCTGGGCTGCACCCAGGAGCTGTCCTGGACCTGGGGCAGGCAGGGACCTACCTGGAGCAGGTGCAGCGTGATAGGCATGGCCTTCAGCTCCCGCAGCAAATCCATGGCTCCCTCCTGGAAGGAGAAGGAGGACCTTCATAAAGGACTTTAGATCTCAACAGACAATATCACCTCCTTCTGCCTACTGGAGGAGAACACAAGGCAGTGACAATTTGGAGATTCAACCTGGGGTCAAAAAGAAACCAAAATTCCTCTACCTGGAGACACCCAGGGCTCTGCCCACATGTTCCTGCACCACAGCAGGGAACCCTTACTGCTCAGTCAAGAAGGGGAGGGGTTCTGCAGCCTCAAGCATTCCAAGTTGTAACCCACATCCGTGGCAATGACCTCACTGACTTCGTTGTAACCACCTCAGGTCACTGACCCAAACCAGAACAGAAATGCCAGCTCCCCTGGCCAATCATGAGGCTTCAGAGCCACGGCCCCTCCCCAGCAGCCAGGGCCACACCCAGGTGAAACTGCAGCCCCAGGTTCATTCACTCCCCTGTGTCTTGATGCCCTGATGCGCAGGGCAGCCTCTCCCCAAAGCACCCCCCGCCCACCAGCTGTGAAGGGCCAACCCAGGAACATCAGTGTCCCGAGCTGAGGCCAAACTCTCATGAAGGGCCAACCCGGGAACATCAGTGTCCCGAGCTGAGGCCAAACTTTCAAGGGTCCCTCCACTCCAGGCACGGCCACAGCCAACACCTACAAGGCCCACAGCCCCCCTCCTCATCTATCCTCCAGGCCTCTGAGTTGCCCCCAAGCAGGCCAGCACCCCTCGCCTGGACTGTTCCAATGCACCTCGTTCTCTCCGCCTTGTCTCCCCACCCAAGATCTGCGTTTCCTCCAGGTCCTCAACACTGACGAGGCCAGGCACAAACCGGTCACATTTCCACACCAGGCCCGGCAACTCAGTGCTCCCCAAGGGCGCTGAGCCGCCACCGAGGCCCTCTGCACCTGCAGCTCCACCGCCTGGGGCGGCCTCCCACAACGTCTCCCTCCCTCCCTCCCTCCCTCCCGGGCTTTATTTCAACAACACCTTCTCAGCAAGGCCTCTCCTGTTTAAAACTGCAACTGTGCCCTGCAACACCCCATCTCCTCTGTAACACGTGCATGTGTTTCCACGTGTGTATCATTCCCTCTGCCCTAAGGTGACCTGATCAGAGTCCCACGACCCACAGGCCATGGGAGGGGCTTGTCCCACCTACCGCCCGCACAACCCCAGCAATCCGGGTGGCATAGTCTGCTCACGCTGCAGCCCCTCCTGAGCCCTCCCAGGCAGGCCCTGCCTCTTGGGCTGTACAGAGTCCAGCCTTGAGGTGATAGCCAGAGCCAAGGCCACTGTCCCCTGAAAGCCCTGCACCTGCTTACGTGGCTCTCAGTGGGCTCAGGTCCAGAGGCAAAAAAACCCCCACACCTGGCCCCCAGGTCCCCGAGGGGACCTCAGGCACTGGGACCCCCAGGAGGCTCTGCTGGCTCCCACTCCCCACTGCACAGCGCCCGCCTCCCCTCCTCATTCTCCCCTGGGGCTTCTACTCAAGCTGTTCTTCCACCAGAAACCCCCCATCAGTTCTGCCCAGCCCCACCCAGCCCTCCCCTGGCTCCATGACCCATCTTTGCTTCTCCCACCTACAGCTTTTATCGTTTGTGTTTTGTCTCCTTTAAGAAGGGGAACAACTCCATTCTCGGGTCATCTCTGGAAACAGCTATGAATGGTTCGCAGACCCCTACTTTGTGCTGACCAGTTTTCCGGGGTGTGTGTGAACGCAATGATGGGGGTGCTGCACCCAGCAGGAATGAGTGGGAGCCCACCCCTTCCCAGGGCAGACCCCAGTCCAGAACGCTGGTCACAGGAACCCAGACTCAACCCTGCTCAGCCCAAAAAGCTTCCCCCAAACCCCCACTGCAGTCACACAGCCCTGGGGTGGCTGCACAAATCACCCAAAGCCCATGACTCAGCCACCTTCACCGCCCTGGGCTGGCCTGGCAGACACACAGCTGGCCCTGCCCCAGGAGTTCACAGTCTGGGTGGGAAAGCACAGGTCACGTTTATTGAGCCAGCCAGGAGCTCCAAATGACCTGCGGCCAGACCCCTCCCCACCCCCCAGGAGGCAGGCAGCATCCTCTAAAGATGCTTCTGTGGGAGGGTGCAGAGGTTGCCAAGGTCATGACGCTGGAACTGGACCCCCACTGACCTGGCCCCTTCAAAGTCCTCACACACAGCCTCCTCCAAAGTCTCGCTGTGGCCGCAAGACAACAGAGGCCCAGGCCGCAGTGAACAGAGCCGGCCAGAGGCTCCAGCGCCCAGACACTCCCAGAGGAGGCTTGCCCGACCTCCTGGCTCTTATATAAGCACACCGGCTCTTTTCGGAGGGTGTCCACATAACTACCCACAACCCAAGTTGCTGCGGGCTAAGTCCTGGCTAAAGAAGGGAGAGAATTTATTAGAGAAACCTGGTTCTTGTGGGGTGGGGACAGACAGGGAAGAAAATGGGCCCACAGGCAAGACAGGTATCTGGCTGGCCTGTGAAGGAGGATGACAAGGGCTGGGAAGAGGCAGGGGAGGCACGGAAGCTCCAGAAGAAAAGGGGATCCAACCTCAGACTCCAAACTGTTGCCGGCGACAAATGCTATGGGAGACGGAGGGTGACAAACGCTGTAAGAGACGGAGCGTGGGAGAGGGCTGAGTTGGGGGGCGGGGCTCGGCCTGTGAGGATGCCCAGGCCGGGATGGAGGAAGGCAAGGGGCTGGCGCGGCCCGCAGAGGAGGCCCGAACACCCCGGGGGCTCCGAGAGGCGGGACAGGGCCAAGGAAGGAGTCGACGGGCCAGGCTGGGGGTCTGGAGTTAAGGGACAGGGAAGGGTGCGGAGCCTGTGACTGCGGGCGAGGGAGGGGTCTGAGTCCAGAGCGGGTGGCTCTCCCGGGACAAGGTCCAGGCCTGATCGCGGCCTCTGCCGGGGTTGCGGGAGTGAACGGCAGGGCTGGCCCGGGGCAGGGGTCTCGGCCACGGGTGGGGGTCTCCCCTGCGTCCCGGTTAGTCTCTGCCGGGGAGGGGTCTCGTCCTGCCCCTCAGGTCGTCTTCCGGCCCTAACGGGGGTCGGCGGGCTCGACGGGGTCTCGGCGGGGCGGGGTTCCCGGGGTCCTGGCGGCCCGCGCCCCTCACCGCGCTCTTCTTGGTCACCATCTTGTCCAGCCTCCGGGCGATCCGCGCAATCTCCTCTTCCTTGCCCATCATCGCCTCAGGAGCAGCGACCCCCGCGCCCGTCGCGCCCGCCTCCGCAGCCGGGCAGGACCCCGGCCCCGGCCGTCGCCACCTCCCACACCCGCCGCAGCCGACGCAGCCCCGCCGCGGACGACAGACCCCCGGTTCAAACCCTCGGCCCCGCGGCCGCGCGCGGCATCCTAGGATGCGTAGTCCACGCGCCCGCCTGCCGCGCCCGCCGCGCCCGCGCTCTGGACCACAACTCCCAGGCGCCACGCGGCGCGCACAGCCTCCTGGGAAGTGTAGTCCTGACCCACCGTCGCCAGTGACTCGTGATCCCACAATACCCCGCGAGGGAGGCGCCCCGGGCACGCCCCTCCCAGAGCTCAGACATCCCGGAGCGACCGGGCCCCAGGAGGCCCAGGAATCTGCTCCCTTCTCTCCTCCTGCTTCGGGCCTTGCTGTCCCGCGGCGTCCTTCGGTGGGTGGCTCAGGACCCAGTGCCCTCAGCCCTTCTCTTGGGCCCCGCTGAGCCCTGCGCGCGCCCCACTTGGCCTAGAAGGCCGTCCCCAGCCTCCCAGAGCCCAGTTTGGGTCATTCGGGCTTCTGAGTAGAGTTACTTCTTCAAGAGGCCCGCGCACACTGGGAGGCCTCTTGTGGGGCCCTGCAGGTGTGAGCGCGCGGTAGCTGGACGTGGCGTCTGGAAGGGGCCATTGCTGGGGTTCGCGAAGTGCGGGGGCCTCTGCCGAGGCTGCGTGGGCAAGGCCCCTGCCTGCAAAGTCAGCTACCAGGGAGCAGATTCTGGGCTCTGCACGTTGACCACTGTGTCTCAGTCTCCCCACCTGTGAAACTGGAGTTAAGTGTCCGCCTCACAGGGCTCCCGTCAAGATGATGTCAGCTGATTCACATCACATGCCTGAGAACAGAGAGGGGATGGAGCATGACAATTAGTGTTCATTGACATTGTTGTTGGAGGTCCCTAGGTAGGGCCAGACTGCAGGCAGCCAGAGAGATGGCCCAGGCCTAGGGAGGGTTGAGGACGGGGACAGGTGCAGGGCCAGCATCCCCACCACTGCCTGGCAGCTCCCCAGTAATGCAGATGCTGGGTGGTTTCCTGGAGAGGGCACAATCCTGGGGGAGGGTGTGGATCAAGGAGCCTGTAGTCATTCAAGTTCAGGCCAACGAACTATGAGGCCAGGTGGCAGGTGGAATGGGCTGAGCATTTCTTGGGCTGTCTGTGGCACTAATCACATATAACTGAGCTTCCCCGCAGCCAAAATGAAAAGGAAAATATGGTCAGTTAAGAGACTCATCTTAGCCGGGCAATAGTGGCTCATGCCTGTAATCCCAGCGCTTTGGGAGGCCCAGGCGGGTGGATCACCTGAGGTCAGGAGTTCGAGACCAGCCTGGCCAATATGGTGAAACCCCGTCTCTACAAAGAATACAAAAACTAGCCAGGTGTGGTGCCGGGCACCTGTAATCTCAGCTACTTGGGAGGCTAAGGCAGGAGAATTGCTGGAACCCGGAAGGCGGAGGTTGCAGTGAGCCAAGATAGCACCATTGCACTCCAGCCCTGGCCAACAACAGCGAGACTCCGTCTCAAAAGAAAAAAAAAGAGAGAGAGAGACTCATCTTGGTTGGGCACAGTAGCTCACCCCTGTAATCCCACCACTTTGGGAGGCTGAGGTGGGCGGATTATCTGAGGTCAGGAGTTCCAGACCAGCCTGGCCAACATGGTGAAACCCTGTCTCTGCTAGAAATACAAAAATTAGACCGGGCATGGTGGCTCATGCCTGTAATCCCAGCACTTTGGGAGGCCAAGGCAGACGGATCACGAGGTCAGGAGATCGAGACCATACTGGCTAACACGGTGAAACCCCATCTCTACTAAAAATACAAAAAATTAGCCGGGCGTGGTGGCGGACGCCTGTAGTCCCAGCTACTCCGCAGGCTGAGGCAGAAGAATGGCATGAACCCAGGAGGCGGAGCTTGCAGTGAGCGGCGATCATGCCACTGCACTCCAGCCTGGGCAACAGAGCAAGACTCCATCTCAAAAACAAACAACAACAAAAAAAAAATTAGCCGGGCGTGGTGGCACATGCCTGTAATCCCAGCTACTTGTGAGGCTGAGGCAGGAGAATCACTTGAACCCAGGAGGCGGAGGTTGCAGTGAGCCCAGATTGTGCCACTGCACTCCAGCCTGGGTGACAGAGTGAGACTGTCTCCAAAAAAAAAAAAAAAAAAAAAAAGACTCAGGCTGGGCGCGGTGGCTCATGCTTGTAATCCTAGCACTTTGGGAGGTGGACTGCCTGAGCTCAGGAGTTTGAGACCAGCCTGGGCAACAGGGTGAAACCCCGTCTCTACTAAAATACAAAAAAACAAAAAAAAATTAGCCGGGCATGGCGGCATGCGCCTGTAGTCCCAACTACTCAGGAGGCTGAGGCAGGAGAATCGCTTGAATCCGGGAGGCGGAGCTGGCAGTGAGCCGAGATCATGCCACTGCACTCCAGCCTGGCAACAGAGTGAGACTCGTCGCAAAAAAAAAAAGCTCAATCATAGGGAAAAAGCATAGAATTCCTTGTGAGGAGCAAAGCCTTTCTAAGACAGAGGCCCCGCGATATTATATTATTATTATTATTAATAGATGAACACGGTTTCCATACTGACTGATTCTGCCCCTCACAGTGAGCTGGGGACATAGCTTCCAGCCTAGACCATCCAAGCAAGTCCTCGTGGTCAGAATCCCATGGTTTGGGCATATATGAAGACTTGAAGGGTCCAGCCTCATCAGAGGCACGAGGGGAGGCTAGAGCCACCCAGCCTTCAACCACTGTCTCAATGGCTGACAGCCAGACCAAGGAGCTGGTCAGGGTCCTGTAGAAGCCACACTGGAACTGCCCTTGTGCAGGAACCCCAGAAAGTTTGGCTTCGGAGGTCCGGGCGGCCAGGGTTTCAAAGCTGGTTCCCACCGTCCACAAAGACACTGGCCACATCCATGGAGCCTGCCTGGCCAGACACATAGGCTTCTCCAACGGCCGAGTGTGAGTTGATTTGAAGACCACCGAAAGGAAGCCAGCCCTCAAGCTGGGGGTGGGGGGGAGACCTCCAAGTATCAGGACTGCAGATCCTGAGATGCTGGTAAGGGCTGCAGCACAGAGAGGCCCCTCCTGGGCAGGAGGTGCAGCCCAGACAGCACAGAGGAGAACTAACCCCAGAGAGCTGCAAGTTCCTAAGAGTGGAGGTGCAAAGGAGAGAGGGTCAACGTCCCAGAAGCATCAAGGAGCTGCCAGAGGAGGCTGTGCAGTTGTGCATACGCCGCAGTCCCAGTTGAAGTGTTGGTGGGGCGGGGTCTGGGGTATCAGCACGGACCTCTGGAGCAAGTCACTATCAAGGAGCCAGCAGTGAGGCCGCTCCCCACCTGATTTCTCCCTGGGATGGACAAGCGCAAGGTTCTGGGGAAGGAGTGCACACAGACGCCCCCGGAAAACCAGACTAGAGACCCAGCCTTGACCCTCCCCAGGCCGGCCCAACCAGTGGAGGGACTTTGCATGAGGGATGCTTTTAAATATCTGGTTCATCTGAATGTTTTCAGCCACAAAGATCCCCTAGCACGGTAACTCTTAAAGCATTACCTAGGGAGCTGGGAGCTGGTCGAGAACAAAGACGACTGCCCCCTTGCACTCCCCGCCCCCACCAGGGGCTGGGGCCCTGGGGTCTCTGTCCTCTGTGATACCTGTGTGCAGATCAGAAGTACAGGCCACAGGCCAGCCAGGATGGATAAGGAACAAGGGGTGCCCAGAGGAAGGGAGAGGCACAAGAAGGGCTGGGAGTTTCTTTTCAGAGGTGCAGAGAGTGTCCCAGAGTTGGGAGGGAGAGGGATGTGGTCTGGAGTGTGTATTGAAGCCTCAACAACCTTACCAAGCTGCAGGGAGGGACAGAACCCACTGCAGGACAGGGCCTATAGAGACGATGGGGTGGGACAGAGACATACTGGGCCTGGGAGCTGGTGGGGGGCGGTCGGGCAAGATGGGAGGGAACAGTGCGAGGCGTCTCAACAATCCAGGGGGTCAGAGACCCAGAGACCAAACCCCTGACAGAAAATAAACTGGTGGGAAGAAACCATCATCTCCTTTTTTTTTTTTTTTTTTTTTTGAGACAGAGTTTCACTCTTGTTGCCCAGGCTGGAGTGCAGTGGCACGATCTTGGCTCACTGCAACCTCCGCATCCCAGGTTCAAGCAATTCTCTTGTCTCAGCCTCCCAAGTAGCTGGGATTACAGGCATGCGCCACCACACCCGGCTAATATGTTTGTATTTTTAGTAGAGACGAGGTTACATCATATTGGTGAGGCTAGTCTCAAACTCCTGACCTCAGGTGATCCACCCGCCTCGGCCTCCCAAAGTGCTGGGATTACAGGTGTGAGCCACCGTGCCCGGCCCATCATCTCCTTTATACCGACCTCTAGCAGAAAGGTGTCGTTCGTTCAGTTATGAACGAGGCCATGAACCAAATCTGGTCAGCTGGGCCCGTGGCTGACCCGGCACAGATGGGAACTGCCTCGCACCCCCACACTCGCTGCTGCTGGGACTGCAGAGGCTGTTCAGTGAGTCACATCTTGTTCAGCAGATTGGTAAAGAAGCACTTGGGTTTTGATATCACACTTTAAGAAAATATTTGCATAACTGTGTGTTGGTAGAACTGGCTGCCTTTATGACCCCGTGAATTCCACCTTGTGCTCTGTGTAGGAGGGGCCTCAACTAGGACTCCAGGAACTGGGACTCGGCCCTTGCTGAGCCTGAGTGGAGGTCCCACTCTGGGCCCTGTTTCCTCCTCCATGAGATGCCAGGTGGTCTTCTACGTCCTGGGGCCCTGGGCATGGCCACACAAGACAGAGCTCGTGAGGAGCCTGACATGTCTCAGTGGGTCCCAGTGGAGGCCCACAGAGGCTGCAGACGGGGAGGTCAAGATGCTGTGGCGTCTTAAGGACAACGGCTGGCAGGTCGGGGATCCCTCAGGAAGGGGTGTCAGCCGTGGGCCCAGCCTACGGGGCTGCATTAGGGCACGTGGGGAGCCTGGTCGGACAGGTGTGGATGGGGTCACTGGTGGCCTGGTTCATGGCAGGGGCAGGTGATGGAGAGAAAGGAGCGGACGGGACAGGCAGGGAAGGGGGTTAGCAGAAGAGGTCGGGTGCCTCTGACCTGCGGGCCGCAGCCACTCCGCTATGACAGGAGCCCCGAACCCTGACATGCTCTAGTCCTGCGTGGAAGCAACTACTGCAGGCGGAGAGGTGTAGGCCCATCCTGGTGATCAGGGAACCTGCAATCCGGTGGGATGGTCCCGCCCCCGGGCAGAGGCAGGTGACTGGCCCCAGAGCCTGTGAGGAACAGTGGCCTCTAGGTGGCAGGAGTGAGCCACGGACGGGTGGGCCTCACTTCACCACCACCCCACCCCCAAGCCCCAGGGAGGTCCAGGTGGTTCCCAGCAAGAGCCACAGCTGCCCCCCAGGACTGTGAAGTGGCCGAGGTGAGAAGGTGGCCAGTCCTAGAGAGTGGCCTCGTTTGTGAGGGCTGTGGCGGCGACCAACCCTGAAACTCCCCAGTGCCCCTGGTCCCGGGTCCCTCAGGAGCTCTGGACTTCTGGGACCTTGCTCAGAGCATTCTCGCCCCCCAGCAGACCCCTCCTGGAGCTTACCGACCTCCGGACTTCCTCCTCCACGGAGCTTCCCCAGCAAGCTGCTCAGGGCCGCCAGACGCTCCCGGGCCCTCAGAATTTGCACCCAGAGGCTGACAGCATCAGAACCATCGATTCTCCTGTGGGGCCTCGCCGCAGGGTGCTGCTCCAGCCCCTACTCCCGCCCTCGGCAGCTGAAGAACTTTCCCTCCCCTGTGCGCAGGCACACATGCACACGCACACACGCAGGCGGGAGCCTCGCACACACGGGGAGCCACTGCGGACTGGTTGGCGAGTGTCTGTCTCTCACCCGGCCCAGAGGCAAGGCCTGGATCCCTCAGCCGCGTTAGGGCTACGGTTAATGTTCGGTTTCGGTTAAACCCTGAGAACAGGCGGAAATGCACGTAGCCTGAAGGGTGGCTCACAGCGGAGGCAGTGCCCACGGAGGAGAGGGACGTTCACTCACCCGCTCCAGGCGCTGGTCCTGGGAGCCACAGCCACATGACGTGCAGGTGGAGGGGAGAGGCCTCCTGACTAGGAGCTGCCACAGGGTGAGGAGTGCCTCACTCCCCTTCACGGACCCAGCGGCCGCACGACACCAGGCTAGGTCTCTGTGGTCACCTGCAGCCAGCCTCACCGGGGGCCGAGCCCCAGCAAACAGGAGGGTTCCATCTCCTCCTCCAGGGTGTCCTCCACACTCGACGTCTTTATGGACAGGGACATATGGATAGGCCTTTAGGAATTCTCTGTGGGCAACGGGGCCCTGTCCTGAGGGCTCTAAGGGGGAGATGTGACCCACCTTGGAGGTCTGAGGGGGCAGCCCTGGCCCCAACAGGCGTCTGGGGAGAAACCCCTGGTCCACCCCACAGGGCCAGCCGCACCTTTGGCCCAAAGGCCTGCCCCTCCCCCATCCTGAGTCCAGGAAACGTCGGAAACTCAGGCCATTTATTTTTCTATTTGTGTCCCCTGCCCCCTGCCCGCCCAAAGCCGGCCATGACCCCAGTGGCCGCTATCCATGCTTCCCCTCTGGCTGAGGCAGCGCCGTGGTGGGAAGGCTCCCGCTGCCAAACTCACACGGAGCCCCCCTTGCTTCCTGCAACCACAGAGCGGGGGCTGGGGATCCTGCAGCCCCAGGAGCCCCCACCCCCTGCCACCCCATGGGCAGCCCTCCCACAGCCCAAGCACCTAGGAGCCGTCTCTGCGCCCCTTTCCATCAGACCCTCCAGCCCACCTTGGGGGCTCTGCCGAGCTGTGACCCCAGTGGACCCCACCCAGGCCTCCCTTGGATGCCCCCACCAGCAGGGCAGCGACGGGGCTTAGGTCCAGCAAGTGCTCCCCTGTCCCATGCGCCAGCAGAGGAGGGCAGGGGATGGGGACTGGGCCCACTGCTCCTGGCTATGCCACTGCAGCACCCGGCTCTCTGGACCTCAGTCGCCCAGTCTGTAGAATGGGAAGAGCCACCTGCCCAGGGCAGCGTCTCTCGGAAAGTCCCCAGCCCAGCCCATAGCCTTGGCCCAGTCCCAGCTCCCTCCCACAGAAGCAACGCTGGGGGAGGCAAGAGGCATCCCCAGAGGCCAGTGGCGGCCCTGGCGGCCTGCTCCAGGCTTGCTCTAACAATGCACTTCCCCCACACAATTCCCAGAAATGCAGCCCTGCCAGCCCGCCAGCCTGGCGGCCACTCCACCCTCCCCTTCCCCAGAGGCCCCAGGCAGCCGTGGGGTCGGGGCTATGGGTGAAGCCTAGAGACCTGACTCACAGGGCAGCAAAACCAGGGTTCCCTGAGGCGGCACCTCCCAGGGGCCCAGGCCTCCCAGAGAGAGACCAGGGAGACTCCTGGGGCAGCCAGATGGGGTCTGAGAGCAAACCTTGGCCAGGCTCCCGCCGCGGCAGAAGCAGAGCCCCCTGCCTTCTGGCAGGGGACTGCCCGTCCCTCCTGCCCCGCACAGCCCCGTCTTCACGTAGCAGCTGAGCTGAGGCAGATCACACTCCACTCAGAACCTCCCAAGGTCCCACCTCACTCAGAAAATGCAAGACCCTCCCAGAGCCAACTCAGCCCCTTGTTCCCTCTGAGCCTCATCCCCTCCTCTCTGCACCCCCTGCTCTGCTCACACCAGCAGACTTCCCTGCCCCAGGGCCTTGGCACATGCTCCTCCCTCTGTGAAAAGACTCCTCCCATGAACCCCCAAGGGCAAAAGCCACGTGTGGCCCTGACACAGCCCCTCCCTATACCTGATGAACCCCCAAGGGCAAAAGCCATGTGTGGCCCTGACACAGCCCCCCTCCCTACACCTGGCACCCCAAGTTCTGGCTTGTTTGTGGATTTGTTTTTGGTTAGGTTTGTTTTGTTTCGTTTTTGTTTTTTGAAACAGTCTTCCTCTGTCGCCCAGGCTGGAGTGCAGTGGTGCGATCTCGGCTCACTGCAACCTCCACCTCCCGGGCTCAAGCAATTCGTGTGCCTTAGCCTCCCTACTACCTGGGATTACAAGCATGTGCCACCACGCCCAGCTAATTTTTGTTTTTTGTTTTTGCTTTTGTCTGGAAACAGAGTCTCACTCTGTCACCCAGGCTGGAGTGCAGTGGTGCGATCTTGGCTCACTGCAACCTCTGCCTCCTGGGTTCAAGCGATTCTCATGCCTCAGCCTCCAGGGTAGCTAGGATTACAGACATGCGCCACCACGCCTGGCTAATTTTTGTATTTTTTTTTTTTTTTTTTAAGTAGAGGCAGGGGTTTCACTATATTGGCCAAGCTGGTCTCGAACTCCTGACCTCAGGTGATCCGCCCACCTTAGCCTCCCAAAGTGCTGGGATTACAGGCATGAGTCACCACACCTGTTTGTGGATTTGTTGATTGTCTGTCTCTTCTCACCATAATGGAAGCTTCCCACAGGCAGGGACCTGTCTGTTTTGTTCTCTGCCAAATTCCTAACCCCTAAAACAGGGTCTACTACACAACAGGTGCTCAATAACAAATGGATGGATAGATGTTGCCTGTCCCTGAGCAAGAAGGGGTGGATGAGCCCCCAGAACACAGGCCTGCCCCCTCCAGCCTATGTGGCAGCCCCAGCTGGCTGTCACCAATGCCAGGACAAGCAACAAAAAGAAACACACAGCTTCAGGCATCCGGCCCTGCAGTGCCCCTCCGTGGCTGGGAGACAGATGACCCCTGAGGATGTTCTCCCTCTCCCGACTTACCAGCCTGGCAGGGGAGAAGGAGGCTGGGCCAGCCCAGGACAGGGTAGTCAGAGTGGACACTGCCCTCCAGGGACCCTGGGGACCGGAGTGTGCTAACACATGCCCCACGGTGCAGGGTACACTGAGAGCCCCATCTGGGCCTCTACAGAGCCACAAATGGACTGGGGCTCACATAAGCACAGGACCAGGTCACCCACAGACCCAAGCCCAAGTCACCACGGTCTGAATAAAGGCAGCCATACAAGCATGGAGGTGGAGACAAGGGTGGGGCCAGCGGAACTTGGGCAGGAGCTCCCAGCCAGTGGGGGCCGGGGCCGCAGCACAGAATGTCTGGCGCCTGCTCAGCCCAAGCTGGCCCCAGGCCCCCTCCTGCAAGGCCGGCCTTCCTTCCTGAGCTGCAGTTTCCTGGCCCCTCCCTGCTGTTGCCTCAGAAACCCGGAGCAGCCCAGCCCCCCAGCCTGCTTCCCATGGAACCCCCCCAACACACACACACACACAAACATCACTGGGAAGGCCGCACAGCAGGCAGCAACACCCAGGGACACAAGCGGCCCTGCAGCCGCCCCCAGGGCAGGACACCCCAAGGGCCACACAATGGCCCCCACGGAGCTCAAGCAGCTGCTCTGACACCCCGACTCTTGCCCAGTGCCCCTAAAAGTGGGCACAGCCCTTGATAACACCCTAGGTACATGCCCACCACAGCACAACACCCCAGAATTTGAGAACAGCTTCCACATCACCAGGGCCCTGGGAGCACCTACAGAAGCCCCGCTCGCCGCAGATGACCCGACCCCGACTGTCCACAGCACATCTGCTACCCGAAGCCCAGCATCACCCTGTGCATTCAGCACTCCCACCCCCACCAGCCCCCTGTGGCCCTCGACCCAGAGAAGCCCCTACCCCTCTCGGTCCTGCTGGCCCTTAGCACCGAGTAGAAGAGACCCTGACACCACACGACGACTGACACCTGACACCACACGACGACTGGCACATCACCCCTTAGACTACAAAAGCACCCCACTCACACCGCACACCCCAGCCTGCAGGCCCCAGCACAGCCCCCTGCACCCACACCTTCAGACCCTTCCCCACTCGCACCGCAACCCCAGCTCTGCATGCAACTCTCGGGTCCGCTGGACTGCGGCAAATCGTCAGGTGAACCCTAACCCCACACCTAACAGTTGAGAGGCGCCGCCCAGGTGAGCAGGAGCATGTGCACCTCTCATGCCTGCTCATGCCTAGGAAAGCACAGGCACCTCCTGCCGCCCCACCTGCCCTCTCCCAGAGTTGAGGCCGGCAGCTATCGGAAGCCCGGTGACGCTGTGCACACCAGGACTGAGAGCTGGAAGGCACGGAGCCAGGAGAAGCCTCTGTCCCTGGGCAAGGGCCACCTGAACCGGACCTGTCATTGGCCAAGAGGGACATGCACACAACTGTGTCCACCTGGTGCTGAGGCGTCAGGCGGCCTCGTCACAGACCCTCGCCCCAGCTTCACATTCTCCCTGCCCTGGCCTCTGCCATGTCTCACTAGGCCTGGAGCCGCCACCCCAGGACAAGGCCCACTAAATACAGAGCTCCTGAGGAGTCAGACATGCCTCCACGGGTCCCAAAGGAAGCCTACCGAGGCAGCAGACAGAAGGAGACCAAGATGCTATGGCCTCTGGAGGACAGTGGCTGGGAGGTCGGGGGCTCCCTGTAGGAAGAGGTGTTCAGCTGTGGGCAGAAGGTAGGATCTGAACTGGAGAGAGCCGAGGTTCGGGAGGCCAGAGAGCCCCCTCCACCTGAAACTGCATCCAACAGGAACCCCCACCTTCACCCTTGAGGAGCAGGAGGGTCCAGGCCCTGCGGGACTCGGTAATTGGTCCCAGCCTCGCTGCTCTTGCAGCCGCAGGGGCTGGGCTGGTGGGATCCTGGGAGGTCTGTGCCCAGGCAGTGGCTGGGAGGTCCTGCCATCCCGGCCCAGAGCCGCGCCAAGCCAAGCTCCCACCCAGAGCCACGGAGGGGGACTACCCAGCATCCTTTGCGGACCTCACTCAGAGGCCGGGGTTCCTGTCCAAGCTGAGGGAGAGGGGCAGGTGGCAGGCAGGAGGACAGTGTCCACTCAGTGCCCAGGCCAGCCCCACCCTTGTAGAGAAAGCTTGCCCCCAAACTCTGCCTTTCTGACTGGGGCTTGGGGGCTACAGATAGGCTCCTTCCCAAGGGTGGGCCATAGCCCACCTAGTCCAGGACAGACTGAGGTGGGGTTCCAGAGGCAGAGGAATGCCCCTAGACTCATGAACTGCCTGCCCTCTTTTGGAGAATGCTGGGGCCCAAGCTCAGTGGCCAGAGAAGCCTTGGGGACCCTCCAAACTTCACGGAGCAGGACCCCTGGTCCTGGACCTATTATGGGTCCTCATCTCTTCCTGGGAACGTCCAGCTTGCCTGGCTCTCAAGGCCCTGGGCAGCCTCCAGCACTAGAGTCCCCCTCACCCCACACCCAGGCAGACAGACAGACACAGGCCACACACAGATGCACAGACACACATCGGATGCCCCTCCCTCAGCACAGCTGGCCACACCCACACCATCCCCTCTACAGCCCTGGCAAGTCCCCCCAGCCCTGCGGCTCCAGATCACGCCACCCTGGCTGTGGTCCCTACCCCCACTTTGTCCCATCTGGACACTGGGCCAGGGCTGCCAGCCTCCTCCCTGCCACGCAGAGGGAGAGGAGCACCTCAGGAGGCTCCCCGCCCAGCCCCGACTCACAGGACATGACAGCCGGACACCTGAGTCCACAGCCCAGCCAAGAGGGTGGGTCACTGGCTGGCGCCAGGCAAGGCGGCTGCTGGTGGGTGTTGTGGGGGACGTGGAGGCGATGAGGTCATGCCGGACACTGCCTGCCACTATGTTTAGAGCAGCTCCAGTGACTCTGGGCTCTCGGGGGTGGCAGAGGACCAAGCAGGGCCCCCAGGGAACTGCAAATCCTTCCCCACGTGTGAGGGCTACTGCAGAGGACCCCGAGGACCTCTTTCCCAGGCCGCAGTGACCAGCCACTGCCCAGGCTGAGCCAGGCCCTGGTGACCCCTGACTGCAACCCTAAGGTTGTGAGTAGAGAGAGCTTCCGCCAAGTGGTAGCCCTTTGGGGTCTTCGCACGGCTCCCCACCCCCCCTGCACCCTCCTGCCAGCTGCCCAGGAGGCCCACCCACACTGAGACTCGGCCAAGGGTCCAGCCACCCATACTGAGATTAAAGGAGGACTAGCAGCATCCGGCAGAGGCCTGTGAGCCCCTCCATCCCTGTGGCCACAACCCTGCCTGCCTCCCCAGAAAAGCCAGGGGCCGCACCTCCTGGTGCCCCACGGGCCCCCCATTAGCCAGCACTGGCTCAGTGTCTGTGAACGAGGTGCTAGGCCCGTGGGGCAAACTGGAGGGACGGGAGATCTGGAGACCAGACTGGGAGACCCAGCCCCGTATGCTGGGACGATGGGCGTCGAGACAGACTGTGATGTGGGGCTTTGGGGAGGGCTGGACACCGACCGCGACAGCCCTCGGTGGGAGTGCCCCTGTGGGGGTGCTGGCCTCAGGGCAGGAGTGCCCCTGGGGACAGTTCAGGAACAGCCTCTAAGGGGCACTGCAAGGCCCACGTGGGGCCCACCCCATTCATAACACAGGCTGGATGTGGCCTAGCGAGGCTGGCAGGGACAGAGAACCAAGAGCTTCTGGCCACACAGGCTCAGGGTCACAAGACCTGTGGCCTCTACCCATGGGGCTCCCGGCATAGTGTGGCGGGGGGAGCTGGGGAGCCTCCAGGCTATGAGGAGATGTGCCGCGAGGTGGCGAGATTCTGACCCTGCCTGGAGGGCTGCTGGGGACACCCAACCCTTCTCCAGTAGAACCATGCGTGGCAGTGGGAGGGGAGGACCTCCAGAGGGAGACCCTCAGCTCTGGAGCCCAGATCCCCTCCTGATGGAGTAGGAAGGGGACAGTGAAAATTCAGGAAGCTGGACGCTCCTCCGGAACCCGCCCCCGCCCAGGTCAGAGGGTCCAGGGAGGGGCCAGTGGGAAGGACCCAGGTAGGCCCTGCCTCTTGCTGCAGCGGTGGCCTGGGCTGGGCAGGGGAGCCAGCAAGCCACTGAGGGTCCCAGCCCCTTCCCCAAGGGCCCTTGGGGGGCAGGGAGGACGCCACAGCCTCTGCGTCCCTGCTCCCCCTTCTCTTTGTGGGCTCCGTCCAGGGCCTCTGCTCTCTCCCTCCCTGTGTCAGCTTTGCCTTGTGCCAGAGTTGGTTTGGGAGTGAGGACAGAAGACCATCTTGTCCCATAAAGGCACTCAAAGTCCCTGGTGCTGACGGTTACACATGGGTGTAGAGTTTCCAGCATGGGCGCCCCTGGGGACTCAGAGCGCCTCCCCAAAGACGGGGCCTTTTCTGAAGGCGCTGCACTCCAGGAAGGACTTACCGGCTGTTGGGAAGGCAGCCTCCCCAGAACTTGGTGTGAAAAAGGGCCCTCTCCTCCCCATGGAGCCTCCCAGCGGGGGGCGGGGAACGGCAACCAGCGGGACACTGCCGCCCTCCCCCAGTTACTGCCCGGGGGTCCGACTCCGTGGGTGGGTGGCAGCTCGCCTCCGAAAGTCTGGCAGCACCGGCCCTCATCAGCAGCCCTTTCTTTCCCACCCGGGGGGTCTCTCCTTCTGAGAGGTCGCGGGGGAGGTGGGGGGGCTGTGCGCGGGGGAGGCCTCAGCGGAATCCCGCCCGGCCTGAGAAGAAAGGGAGCCCCCGGGGAGGAGGCGGCCCCGACCCGCCCCCGCCCGCCCGCCCCGCCGCCGATTGGCCCTGAGCCGCTATATCTGGGCGCCCGCCCGGCCCGAGGCCACCGCCGTCCCCACCGCCATCCGCCCTCCCGGCCTGGCCTGCCCTTGCGCCCGGCTCCCCAGTGCCCGCCGCCCGCCCGCCGCGCTCCCGCGCTCCGTTCCGCCCAGGCCGCGCCCAGCTGGAATGCAGAGATCGCCGCCCGGCTACGGCGCACAGGACGACCCGCCCGCCCGCCGCGACTGTGCATGGGCCCCGGGACACGGGGCCGCCGCTGACACGCGCGGCCTCGCCGCCGGCCCCGCCGCCCTCGCCGCGCCCGCCGCGCCCGCCTCGCCGCCCAGCCCGCAGCGCAGTCCCCCGCGCAGCCCCGAGCCGGGGCGCTATGGCCTCAGCCCGGCCGGCCGCGGGGAACGCCAGGCGGCAGACGAGTCGCGCATCCGGCGGCCCATGAACGCCTTCATGGTGTGGGCAAAGGACGAGCGCAAGCGGCTGGCTCAGCAGAACCCGGACCTGCACAACGCGGTGCTCAGCAAGATGCTGGGTGAGCGGCGGGAGGGCGGCAGAGAAGGGGGAGAGGGCGGGGGGGGCTCGGGCCGGGGTGGGGCGGGGGGGGCAGGGGTCCCGGGCCGCGGGGTGCGGGGGCTGCGCCAAACCCTCGCGGGGCGTCCCGGGCGCACGGAGGGCTCGGCGCCCACCCGCCCGACGGCGTTCCACTCACTGGCGCCCACGGCCCGCAGGCAAAGCGTGGAAGGAGCTGAACGCGGCGGAGAAGCGGCCCTTCGTGGAGGAAGCCGAACGGCTGCGCGTGCAGCACTTGCGCGACCACCCCAACTACAAGTACCGGCCGCGCCGCAAGAAGCAGGCGCGCAAGGCCCGGCGGCTGGAGCCCGGCCTCCTGCTCCCGGGATTAGCGCCCCCGCAGCCACCGCCCGAGCCTTTCCCCGCGGCGTCTGGCTCGGCTCGCGCCTTCCGCGAGCTGCCCCCGCTGGGCGCCGAGTTCGACGGCCTGGGGCTGCCCACGCCCGAGCGCTCGCCTCTGGACGGCCTGGAGCCCGGCGAGGCTGCCTTCTTCCCACCGCCCGCGGCGCCCGAGGACTGCGCGCTGCGGCCCTTCCGCGCGCCCTACGCGCCCACCGAGTTGTCGCGGGACCCCGGCGGTTGCTACGGGGCTCCCCTGGCGGAGGCGCTCAGGACCGCGCCCCCCGCGGCGCCGCTCGCTGGCCTGTACTACGGCACCCTGGGCACGCCCGGCCCGTACCCCGGCCCGCTGTCGCCGCCGCCCGAGGCCCCGCCGCTGGAGAGCGCCGAGCCGCTGGGGCCCGCCGCCGATCTGTGGGCCGACGTGGACCTCACCGAGTTCGACCAGTACCTCAACTGCAGCCGGACTCGGCCCGACGCCCCCGGGCTCCCGTACCACGTGGCACTGGCCAAACTGGGCCCGCGCGCCATGTCCTGCCCAGAGGAGAGCAGCCTGATCTCCGCGCTGTCGGACGCCAGCAGCGCGGTCTATTACAGCGCGTGCATCTCCGGCTAGGCCGCCGGCGCCGCCCGGGTCCCTGCAGCGCTTCCTCCCGCAGCCCCCGCGACCGATCCGACCGCGTCGCTGCCGCTCTGCTCTCTCATACGCGTGTATGTTTGGTTCCATGTCACAGCCCCCTAGGAGCCAGTGATGCTCGGCCTTGCGCCCGTTCCACCTCCCAGGCCACCCTTCCTGGGCTTCTGGGCCACCTGCCCTCGGGGGGCCCCTGCGAGGGTGCCTGGAGTTCCCACGTGTCCCGGGGCTTTTCCAGGAAGCCCGAGCCCAGGACCTGTTGGCAGAGTTGCCAGGGTTACATTTTTGAAGCACCTGCTCCTTTTCTTGCAGTGTATTTTCTACAACCAGATTGTATTAATATTTTTTACTTTGCCCTTTTAAAAAATATACCTAATACAATATATTTAATTTTTAATTAAACTCTTAAACTTTTCTTCCAAGAAGTTTCAGTGATCAGAAGCGTCACTGTGGCAAAGACTTTTGCAATGTGAGGAATACAGATGTTTGCTTTCTATAAAGGAGGAGCCTGGAGCTGGGTCCCCGGACGGAGAGGCCACAATAAATCCTCGGGCCTTTCCTCTGCACACTGACATCTGTGGTGTTTGCAGGGAGGGAAAAGCAGTTCCCCAAATAGCCCTGGACGCCCCTTCCCTCCGAATCGCCCCCAGGGAGCCTGACTCCTAGCTTGAACCTCATAGCACTCCTTCATCCTTCCGTGACACATCCCAGAGAGCGTGGGTAGCAGGCATGGGTCCACACTCCCCCCCAGCCCTCCACTCCCCTCCTGTCCCACCCCCAGGTTAACTCAAGCCTATCGGAGGTCAGACTATACCAGCAATCCTGTCACACCCCCGCTAGGGTTTCATCGCCCTTGCCTCCACCTTAAAACTTCCATGCCCAAGGACTGCCCAGTACGGCCCCCTTTCCTGAGGGAGGCTGGCAGGTTGGCAGCCCACATGCAGACACAGACTCCAGGGTCTCCGTCAGCTGTTCTAACTCACCCCAGGGAGGACAGCACCATGCTACACCCACAGCGCTCCCCCCACCCGGGTGACCTGTCCAGCTCTGCCCAGAGACAGGTCCGATGGCCAAGGCAGGAGAGCACAGGCTTCACATCCCAAGACCCCCCAACTCTGGAGTCGTATCTCACTAGCCCCCAGGAGGACTGGACACCCTCTTTCTTTTTCTTTCTCTCTCTTTTTTTTTTTTGAGACGGAGTCTCGCTGTGTCACCCAGGCTGGAGTGCAGTGGAGCAATCTCGGTTCACAGCAAGCTCCACCTGCTGGGTTCACACCATTCTGCTCAGCCTCCTGAGTAGCTAGGACTACAGGCGCCCACCACCACACGTGGCTAATTTGTATTTTTAGTAGAGACGGGGTTTCACCGTGTTAGCCAGGATGGTCTCGATCTCCTGACCTCGTGATCCGCCCGCCTCGGCCTCCCAAAGTGCTGGGATTACAGGTGTGAGCCCAGCGCCCGGCCTGGACACCGTCTTTCCATGCTGACCTCTTGGTCCTCTCGACCTCAAACCCACGTGTTCAGGGAAGTTTGGAGTAATCACCCCCAAAAGTGAACACCCAGACACAGACACACTCCCTAGGGCCTGGCAGGTATAAGCCAAGAGGAGGGGCATGCACCTCCCTCCTGGGGGAAGGGCATATCCTGCCCCAGCACCCCCTCTGCATAGGTGGGGAGTCGGTGGGGAGAGCTGAACCTTTACTGCCCTGGTGTGGAAACTCACTCGCGGCTCAGCCTCCCAGGTACGGGGGAGCACACGCCTCTGAGAGTGTGTCTGTGGTTCTGCATGCGTGTGAATGAGACTCCCAGTGTGGCCCTTCATGCAGGTGACAGTGTGTGTGTGGCATATGGATGTGCAGCAAGCCTGGGGCGGGATGGACATGTGCCTGCTACCTGAGTGTGTGTGTGGAGGGGGTGGGATGGGGCTATTTTACAGGTACCCTCCCCTCAAGCAGGGCATGTCACCTCTGTGTTAATCAGCATGAGTGCCACCCCTCAGATGGGCCCCCAGTAGGGGCTGCACCTGGGGCCCCTTCCCCACCCCATTGGCAGCAGAGCACACAGAACTCAAAGACAAAGGAACAGAGACACGCAGAGGGGACAGACACAGACACGCTGAAGAGGGCAGGAGACAGGCTCAGAGGTAGACAGAGATGCACCAGGCAGGCAGACACAGCCCACAGGACACCGAGGTCATCGCCCATGTCTTCCAAGCAGTCTGCCAGCACACAGCAGGGAGGCAGAGACGGTGAGACCCAAAGGGACACAAGCCACATCTGTCTTTCGGTGGAGGCGGGGGGAGGGGGGTCTCTGAGGCACCAACATGGACTCTTCCTGGGATCATACCATGAGATAAATGCTCACACCTGTGAGAATGCAAGCCACACCCAGCTCTCGTGCCCACCAACTCCTGCTCTGGCCCACCCCCTGGAGCCCTGGGGTCAGCAAGCCCAAGATGCACCCCCTTCCATGGGGACCTCAGCCAGAGGGCGACCCAGCAGCCAGAATCCGCAAGTGGCTGGCCCAGGCATGAGACCACCTGCCCCTCCCCCAACCCCCAACCAAGGCAGGAGAGACAACAGACCCAGCCTGTCCTGCTGCCTAAATTCATGTGGACAGCCCCTGCCCCCGGCCTCCAGTGCCTCCCTGTTTGGGCTGGGCATCTCCCCAGCCACGCCTTCCCCGGCAACTCCCACAGACACAGACAGCCTGGGGAGGCCACAGTGGCAGTCCCATGGCCAGCACACATCCCCTATTCTGGACTCCTCACCCCCACTGCAACCCCCTCTAGGCCAATGGGGTGGAGAGCTTGGAAGATACCTTGGGTGGCAACACAGCCTCATGGTCTGTGTGAGGAGGGGACAGAGTGGGTACCTGTGAGAAGTCCCTCCCCCAAGTGCCAGGGTGGGGGGCTAGTGAGGGGCCCGAGCTGAAGCAAGTCCCAGCCCAGAGGCTGGAAATGCCCAGGAGAAGGATCAGAAGGGGACATGAAAGAGGCTTCCACTGAGGGCACCGGGTTCCAATAGCGGCTCCTCGGCAGCGGTGGGTGGGGTCTCCTTACAGGGCCTCTCCCAGGGCCCAGCCCAGGGATCTATCTCCCCTCTACCCGCCAAAGGCTGAACAGCCCCAGGGCCTGGGTGCTCCATCCCTGGCACCAGCTGCACACCCCTCCCGCTCCTGGCCCTGTCTGCCTTCTTCCCTGAGGCTCCAAGGGAAGTCTCCACCCTCCTCCTGCTGAGTCAGGCCTTAGATCCTGGTGAGAAGTTCTAGCAGCCCTGCCTGGCACTGGCCACAGCTCCCCTCCCGTCCCCCATGCCCAGGACCCAGCTTGTCCCTAGAGTGAACTGAGCGAGGTGTTGAACTCTCCCCAGCAGGCAGCCCAGGGGCAGAGTCAGAGAAAATGGGGGCTGAGAGCGGCTATGGTGCACCCCTCTCCCAGCACCAGCACAGACACACATACACACCCAGCCACACACCAGACGAAGAGCACATTTCACCCCAGCAAGGTCCTGCTGGGGCAGGCAAGGAGGGCACATGTGAAGACCTTAGCCCCCCACCACTCCGCCCCCACCTCTCAGCAGGAAAAGCACCCCAGAAAACCCAACCGCTCCACTTACGTTCTACAAAACCTACATAAAATTTAAGGATACAATGGAGTGGTTTTGTTGTAGTCACAAGGCTGGAAACCATCTCCACTGTCTTATTTTAGAGCATTCTGTCTGTTGCAGTCAAATGCTCTACCTCGGAGCTATGCTCCTTGTTGGTTTGCTGTAGAGACTCCTATGATTCTCAGGCTGGTCTTGAACACCTGGCCTCCCAAAGTGCTGGAGTTATAGACATGAGCTACCACACCTGGCCTTTATTTATTTATTTATTTATTTATTTAGAGAGGGGTCTTGCTATGTTGCCTAGGCTGCCGGAGTGCAGGGGCTATTCACAGAAACGATCTCAGCGCCTGCAGCCTCGAAAAGTGACCCTCCCTGTCTCGCTGGAACTGCAGGCGTGCGCCCCCACACCCATCTTTAATTTTAGAGCTTTTCATTACCCTCAAGAGAAACCCATTACTCCCTATTCTTTCCTGCCCCCTGCCCCTGATAAACACTAAACTGCTTTTGGTCTCTGTGGATTTGCAGTGTCTGGCCTGGATATTTCTTGTAAGTGGGATAATATACTATATGTGGCCTTTCGTGTCTGGCTTGGTTCACCCTGCACACTTTCAAGGTTCGCCCATGCGGTGGCCTGTCAGCGTTCCATTCCTTTTGTGGCTGAGTAACATCCCCTCCTTGTATGAATATATCACATTTTATTTATTCAGCGACTGATGGACACTGATGGTTTTTACTTTTCGGCTATCATGAATAATGATAGTGTTATTGATAATGATAATGAATAATGAATAATGTTGCTATGAACATTTGTGTACAATGTTTTGTGTAGATGTGTTTTTATTAAAATTACAAAAATGCGTATCTCTAATAACAAAGTCTGAACAATATGTTAAGTACCTGGAACCCATGCTAGAACAGCTGCCCTGGAAAGGGGGGTCCAGAGCTGCAAACCTCCAATCCCAAACAGGCCCCCTCAAAACTAAGGCCCTACAGGGACTGGCTCAACCCTCCATCCAGCCCACCCACCACTTCTGTCCCAGGCCAGGTGGGGAGCCCCAGGAGCCAGCTCCAGGCGTGCAGAAGGCGCAGGGTCTCACCTACGTTCTTTTTTTTTTTTTTTTTTTTTTTTTTGAGACAGAGTCTCGCTCTGTCGCCCAAGCTGGAGTGCAGTGGTGCAATCCCGGCTCACTGCAACCTCCGCCTCCCGGGTTCAAGCGATTCTCCTGCCTCAGCCTCCCGAGGAGCTAGGACTACAGGCGCCCGCTACCACGTCTAGCTAATTTTTGTATTAAGTAGAGACGGGGTTTCACCATGTTGGCCAGGCTGGTCTCGAACTCCTGATCTCAAGTGATCCACCAGCCTCGGCCTCCCAAAGTGCTGGGATCACAGGCGTGAGCCACCGCGCCCGGCCAGGTTCATTCTTGCTGAGACTGCTCTGGCCCGCTCCCGCTCCCCGCAACTCCTGTTCCCCGGGACCCCACCCCATCCTCCCCGACCCTGCTCCCTCTCCCACAACCCCCGTCCCGTCCCCCACGACCCCGCCCCGTCCCCCACGACCCCCGTCCCGTCTCCCACGACCCCCGTCCCGTCCCCCACGACCCCGCCCCGTCCCCCACGACCCCCGTCCCGTCCCCCACGACCCCCGCCCCGTCCCCCACGACCCCCGCCCCGTCCCCCACGACCCCCGTCCCGTCCCCCACGACCCCCGCCCCGTCCCCCACGACCCCCGTCCCGTCCCCCACGACCCCGCCCCGTCCCCCACGACCCCCGTCCCGTCTCCCACGACCCCGCCCGCCAGCGCGAGAAAACAGGAAGTGGCGGCGCTGGAAGCGCAGGAAGCGGCGGCGGGCGCGACGCTTATCTCGGGCCGCAGCCCGGACCCCTGGCCTCAAGCCGGGCAGGACCTGCTCACCTGGTGGGGAGCCCCGGCCGCCTCTTCCCCTGACCGCAGCGGCCAAAATCGGGCCGGGCCAGGCGGGGAGGCTGCGAGGAAGCCCGTGTCGGGACCTCCCGACGGGAGCGAGGCCGGAAGGCGACCCGGGAACCCGCGTCCAGCCCCAGGGCTGCCCACCTCCCCAGCGCACGCGGCTCTGCCCTGCGCCCAGAGGCCTGACCTCCTCATTTCCCCCAAAACAAGGACTCACTTCCCCCAGCAGGTGCGACCTCCCGCTGGCTCTTCCGGATTTTAATGGGGAGGGGAAGAGCGGGGAGGGAGCGATGGTTGTTTCTGTGTTTACGGAGCTGCGTCTTTTCCTGGGGAGGGGGCAGGATGGGGGCTGTCGCTGGGCCCCCCCTAGGGTCCTGAAGGCACTGGCAGAGACAATGGGCCCCAGCACCTGACATCCCCCCACCAGTGAGTATGTGTTTCCTGGAGTTGGGGGGACTTGGTTCCGAGTCAGCCACAGCTGGAGCAGGGGGGCCTCCCTGCACACCTGCAGGGCTCAGAGCCCACGCAAGGCCGGGCACCTCCCAGGTCTGGGCGCAGCTGTTTCCTCTGAGGACCACTCACACTGCCCCCCAGCCATCTCCAGCCGCGGTGTGACGGTCTGTCCCGTCCGCTCACAGGGCCTGGGTATGGCAGGCACTCAGAAAACATCCATCTTCCCCACCACCTCCCTCTGGTCAGCTTCGGCAAAACTCCCAGGCTGGGGTGGGGGCCGGTGGCGGTGGTGGGGGAAGGTGCTTTGGGAGACCCTGAGAGGCTGCGCGCCCCACCGCTGAAGGGGTGGAGGTGGGCTGGGGAGAGAGAGGAGCTTGGGGGCAGGGGTGGGGAACACACAGGAGGCAAAGTCGGGATTAACTTTTGGTTTTGCAAATCCAGACACTAGTCAGCCAGTTGCCCGAGTTCCAGATGTTCTTTCAAAGACTCCCAGTCTGGGGAGGCCTCGGGACCCAGGTCCCCTTCAAAGCCTGCCCGGCCCCCTCCTCCCAGTGCGGCACATGGAGGGGCCTGGCTCCTGGGCTGTGGGAAGTTGCACAACCCCAGCCAGCGCCCTGCAGGCTCCATCTGTTACCCTGGCACAGCCCCCACCTCCCTGGAGCAGCCAAGCCCTGAAAAGGCATGAGGGTGGGACGGGACAGTACTGTGTGCAGCCCCAACCCAGAAACAGTATTTTACGAAGAACCAGGCTCAGGCCACCTGCCCTGGGCCTCTGCAGGGAAGGCACCACCAGTCGGTCTAGAGACATACAGGGCCAGTCCATGGGATCTGCCCTCAGTGGTTCCGTGGCCAATGGCTCTGTCCCTATCAGCCGTGGGCCCAGTGAGTCTCTTTCCATCTCTGGGTTGGTTCTGGTCAGTTCCAGCTAACAAACATTTGTTGAGCAGCTCGTGTGCTGGCCTGGGCCAGGTGCTGGTGTATCATGCTGAGGGAGACATGCCTCTATCCTCATGGAGCTACAGAAGAGCTACGGTCCCAGTGCTGAGCCCAAAGAGGACCTGAGCCTCTCAGGTCTGAGCAGGCACCTGCGGCTTCTCTCCTAGTCTCTGTGGCTCTCGGTAGCTCTGGGCCGCTTCGTGTAGCTCCACACATGCCCCTAGACCTAGTCTGGTTGGGCTGTCCCCACCCTGGACAAGTGAACTTTGTCCCAGAAGCCCAAAGCCCACCTTGCTCCCATTCTGCATGAGGGAGAGGAGCCATGGGCCAGGATGCAGGACTTCTCACCCACCCACGTGGTCGTGGTCCAGGACTAGGCACCGACATGTGTCCCCAAAATCCTGAGGCCTCTGTTCCTCCTCCTGCCCCCAAGAGGCTGTGGTTTGTTTGAACCTTTCTCAGTCAGGGTAGAGGGAGCTGTTTCTGTTGCCCACCCACATCCCCAGCCTCTGACTGCTCTCAACAGCAGAACGGGAGCATTGCGGGTGGGCAGGAGCCAAGGGGCCGCCCAGGAGGTCATGCATGGACAGGAGAGGAGTGCCCTCCCCATGGCCCAGGGGTTGGGGCAGGTCCAAGTGCAAAAGTCAGCTGCCCCTGGGGCAATGTGACAGTGGGAGCCTTCATGGAGGGCCTGTCCCCATCCTGTCCCTGAGCCCAGCCCAGAACCCTGGACTCTCTCCAGGCCCCAACTCAGCTGCCTCCCAGCCATGCTCGGCTGTCCATACCTTATGCTCCATACACCAGCACGCCCAGCTGAGCCCAGCCACGTCCACAGTTCCCCAGCTCCCTCAGGGCCCTCAAACCGACCCACTCCCCCTTTAGTGCTTCCCATGTTCAGGCTCCCCACAGACCCACCCAGGTACTCCAGCCAGGACCCTGGGCAGCCTGGACCTCTCTCCACCCCTTTGTCCTCACCAACCCTCCACACAAGTCACGGGAACCTTTCTAGATTCCAACTCTAACATCCCTCTTTCACCAAAGACCTTCCGCTGCCTCGGGATAAGTCCAAGCACCCCCCTCAAGTGCTTTGGCTCCAGCTGGGGCTCCTGCACCCTGCATCTCCCCCTCATCCCTCCCACACTTGCCCCCACTGGCCCCCACGGAGCAGGCAATGCAGAACTAGGGCTGGGAATGCTTGCTAGGTGTTTGTGCTCAGAGCATGGCCAGGGACTCTGTCAGAAGTGCTAACTCTGCAGGGGAATCCAAGGCTCTGAAGTCCAGGAAGCTTGGCCCCCAGCCTCCAGGCAGGGGACATGTGGCAGATCCCATGCCCTGGGCCTGGGTCTGAGGCCAGCTCTTACATTGCTGGCTGTGATTTGGGGCAAGTCTCAGCCTCCTCGTGCTTCAGTTTCCCCATCTATAAAACAGAGACAGTAGCTCCCGTTGCACAGACTAAATACATTAACACAGAGTGTGGGGCTGGGTCAGGGTCAGCTTGGGAGGTTACTTCTTTCTTCTGCTGCTGCCCCTGATCCCACAGAATGCCAGAGGCACAGCCTGCTCGCGGCCTTTCCGGGAAGGGGAGGGTAACAGGTGTCAGGTACTTTACCTCCCCTGCTCCTCCATGGGCCGAGATTGGGGGAGGGGGGTGACAGACTCCCAGACCTGCGCATCAGATGGGGGAACCAGGGGACAGTCCCCCAGCAAATGGAGGGTTCCAGGGGCCAGAAAGCGGGCCCCAGCCTGGCCAGTCCTGCAGAGGGGGCTGGGCAGTCTCTGAGCCCAGGCCGTGGTCACCCCTCCGGAGGCAGCAGGAAATAGCCTGGCCAAGCTCACAGCCAAGGCCCGCAGCTCCCGCTTCCCTTCGGGCCCGTTTCCTTTATCCGGTTGTTTTGCTCCGAATTCACCAAGTCCAGCCTTCCCCTCCCCTCAATTTCCACCCCCGGCCCCGGTCCAAAGTGGAGCAGGACGGATACGTGACGTTTTAGGGGCCCCAGGAGTCCCCCGCTCTGCCCTCCGCCCAGCCGGGAGCCGCTGACAGAGCCGGAGCGCGCCCAGCGTCCCGCGTCCGCCCTCTGCTGCCCGAGGCTGGGAGCGGCGGCTCCGCCCCGTCCAGGTGCCACAGGAAGTGCGGGTCTCCGCATTCCCCCTCCACCGCCCCCCGCCACCGAGGCGCAGATCCCGGGGCGGTCCTAGGCCCACAGAGAGGCAGGCGAAGGGAGTGCCGGACCCGCAGCGCCAGCTCCGTTTATTGAGGCCTTCGGCGCGTGGAGGGCGGGCCTCCTCCGTGACCCAGCGGCGGCCAGGCGCGCTCCCTTCTCCAAGTCCTGGGCCCTCCGGGGAGCGCGGGCTGCGTCGAGCGAGGGGCCGAGGTCACCAACAAGTCTACAGAACGAGGCGCGTCTCCAGGCTCTGCCGCGGCCCCGCTGGTTCTCCTCCCCGCGCAGGGCCAGGACGGGCCGCGCTAGGAGTCCCTGGAGGCCGGGGCGCGCAGCGCGAAGAGCTTCTCCCAGCAGGTGGCGACGGCGTCCAGGGCGCGCAGCAGGAGCTGCCTTCGGCCGCCGCGACGCCGGGCAGGGCGCATCTTGGGCCGCCGGCTCCGCTGTCGGGGACAGGGCGGTCAGCGAATGCGCACGGCCCCCGCGCCCGGCCCGGCCCGGGAAGGGAGACGCGACCCAGCCCGACTTCAGCCTAGGGCCGTGGAGCCCCGGGACGCGCGGCGGCCCTGTGGGGGTTAAGGGAGGTCTGGCTCTGGGTGCACTCAGGGACGCACACCTGGCGCAGCGTCCTGCAGTGGCGCCGCATCACCGCCTCGGTGCGCACAGCCACGGTCCAAGCAGCTCTCTCCAGGGCCCCGCGGCGGCCCCCGGCCACCGCCCCGCGCAGGGTCCGACCCAGGGACGAGATGGACAGGAGGATACTGTGCTCCTGGGGAGGGAAGGGAGGAAGGCGGGGTGGGGGTGGGGGGAAACTGAGAGAGGAGCAGGCCGGCGAGCTTGGGTAGGGGCGCCTCCTCCATACCTTCTGGGCGCCACAGGAGGCCCGAGGCCGTCCCCGCCGTCCCGAGCTCCCGGGTCTAGTCAGGTTTTTCTGTATGAAATGAAAGTGTCTGGAGCCTGGCCTGGTCTTTTCGGCCCCCGCCCCGCCCCACTTCACGGCGGCCTGCAGATCCTCGAAGATGATGGCGCGATAGTGGCGGAGCACGTCGGGGACGCTGCAGGCCGGGGAATAGGCGCGGCTTGGCGCGGTCCCCAGCAGCGCCAGCAGGAGCGCCCAGAGTGCAGGCTTAGGGGGTACCTGGAGGAGACAGCAGGTTGGGGTTAGGCCTGGGGGGTGTTCCCAGCACAGGGAGCAGCCAGCCCACCTGCACTTTGTTTCCGTAGAAGCCCCACCCCCTGCCCCACCCCACGGGATCTCTGAGCGAATGAAATGGACGTGTCACCAATCAAGAAAGGCTGTAGGCACAGGCCTGGCGGGATAAATCAGGAGACACAAGAGATAGGTCTGCAAACCAGACAGTTCTATGCTCCCTGCAAAGATGTGAAAGGGGTGAGTGATGTCGGCTGGGAGGCGATGTCACTGAGTCCTGAAGAACCCATCAGGAGATAGAGGGGGCAGGCCCAGAGTCAGGAGAGCCTGGCTCTGTGGTCCACGTGGGAGTGGGGCCAGCAAGGGGTGGAGCACCCTCAGGACCGCACAGAGCAGGGCCCCCCACCAGCCCCGTACAGCTCTAGTGGGGCTGGTCTGCAGGCTCTTGGGGGTACAGTAGGAAGTTGTCCCAGTACAGCCTGTCTCACTCATGGCCATGCCCATTCAACTCCACACCTCCCATACTGGCGCCCTCTGGGTTAGCTCACAGAGACGTGGGAACTGGGGACTCCTTGTACCCCCAACCCAACTGGGGCAGGGGCTCAGAGCTCCAAGCCACACCCTATTGGAAGGGGAAAGCTAGGGGGACACCCAGAAGCTATAGAGGAGGAAGGAGCCACCACATCCAGCCCCAACCAACAGTCGCAAAAGGCCCCTCTGCCTGTACCAGCCGCCCCACGCCATCCCTCCGGGCAGCCTGTGCCACAGGCCTCCCCCGACCCAAAATGGAGGGCCTGCGCCCGCAGGGATAAAGCCCAAACATCAAGGAGACAGCTGACGGCCCCCAGGTTCCCAGCCACCCAAAAGGGGCCAGCCCCAACCCTTCCCCTGGGCCCCCAGGATGGAGTCAGACAGCAGATCTAGGGCTGGAAATTAATCATGCGAACCCAACCAAGATAAGAGGACTCGACTCGGCTTCCTAGCCCTGTCAGGGGAGCCTGAACAAGCAGCACCCCAACCCTTGCATAGAGCTGGGGGCCTGGTGGGCGGTGGCAGCTCCTGCTCAGAGCACAAAGCAGCAATGGCTGGAAGAGCAGATGGCTTGCTGTGGCCCCTTCCTGAAACCTGACCCCCCCAACCACACACGCCACAGCCAACTTGGTGGGCTCAGAATTGCCACGTCATTCCCTCTGCCTGCTCTGGGTCAGAGGTCATAGCGAGAACCAGAGCCTGACTCCTGAGCAGGCCAGCTGGAGCTGCAAGGATGTCCAGCACCTGCTGTGTCCCACCCAGGTGGGGCAGACTGGCTGCCCTGGGAGTCCCAACTGGCCTGTTAGTACCACTTCCAGGCTCAAGCCTCAGCCCAGCTTAGAACAGGGTTGCCCGGCACCCAGGAGCCCCCCTCCCCCAACTGCCAGAAGCCAGGGCACATGCACCCAGTGCCACCCACAGGGACGCAGTGACCAGAGCCAACCGGAGATTTCCTGGTGGGGCTCAGGGGAACAAGCAGTGTCTCCTGAGCTGTGTGTACCCCCAGCCCCTCCACCCAAGTAAGCCCCCTCCCTAGAGGAGGCCCACAGCTGCTCACCATGGGCCTTTCAGGGTCTTGCCCTCCCTCACTCCCGCCAGCAGGCCACGCACATGATCCTGGGGTCCTTGGGCAGGGTGTGCACTGCCGCACCAGGTCCAACACCAGCCAACCGCTTCCCTGGACAGGCTGCCTGGAGGACTGCAGAGGGGCAGGCCAGGCGGAGGCTTTTGAAGTTGGCTCCTCCAAGCTGAGGGAGGGAGCAGGAGAGGGAAGGAAAGGCCACGCAATCCCAGCCCTGCCCCCTCCCTCTCTCCACTCCCTATCACTTCAATTAACCTGGCCCTGGAGCTGGGCAGCCACCTCTCCCAGGGGATCCAGGGCTACTGTGGGTCTTGGATTAACTTGTCCGTCCCAGAGATACTGTTCTGTCAAGGAGGGGTGAGGCGCCGCGTGGGCTGGGGCAGTGCAGGGCCCAGCTGGTGGGGGAGGGGAGCCAGGTGAGACTGGGGCCGACTCTGTGGCCAGCAAGTGCTGCCTCTCCCAGGGATCTGGCTGATGGGCAGAGCTGGTGGGAGGCCCTCATCCCCTCCCCAGCTGCCGGACCTGCAGCCTGACATCCAGGGGGCCCTGCCCCAGCAGGTCCCAAGACATGGGGCTTCCCGGGCCCCCGCTGCTGGCCCGGCCTCACTCCTCCTGGGCTGAGGGGTCTCTGGCTGAAGAGGTAAGTCTGAGGCTGTTACTCTGCTGCCTGCCGTAAAGATACCCAGGAGCAGGGTGGGCTCCCCCGATCCTTGGCTGCTGTCGCTTCTGCTGTGGTCTGGGGCACTCTGGTTAGCAGCCTGACAGGCAGTGGTGAAGAGGCACCTCAGAACACGAGCAACCTCTGAGGCACAACTCATCTTTGCAGGCTGAAAAAATTTCAGTTGAAGACAAGTTAAGGTAGTTTCCCAGGGGGAAAAGTCAGTGACTCACAATAGTCAAGAACAGACCACACAGGTGACAGGAGTCCCCTAGGATTGTAACACTGCATCTTTACGTTTTTGCCTTTTCCGTGTTTGGATGTGATTAAATGCTGTGACAGGCTGTGCAGGTCTGCAGCCCAGGAGCCCCAGGCTCTGGCACCCGGGCACACAGCCTGGGGGTGCAGGAGGCCGTGCCTGCCAGCCTTGTGTAAATGCACTCTTTAATGTTTGCAAGACGACATCACCTAACGAGGTTTTTCTCAGAATGTATCCGCACTGTTAAGTGGCGCACAACTGTGGTTTGGCCAACTCAAAGCATTTGAGAAAACCCCACACAGGCAAGAAAGAGGAGACACTCACACATGGACAATGTAAGCGCTCCGGAACTTTCCAAGGGCCCTGCAGGAAGTATCCCCTGAACATGGCCTGAAACATTCTTTTCTGTGTGACCCCTCAATGCCCACCCAGCACTGGCCATTTCAGCTCTGAGGTCAGAGAAGGGCTTCCTTCCTACGCCTCGGTTTCCACATCTGTACAGGGCCAGGCTGGCTCACAAACTTCCTGGGCCTCGGTTTCCACATCTGTACAGGGCCGGGCTGGCTCACAAACTTCCTGGGCCTCGGTTTCCACACCTGTACAGGGCCGGGCTGGCTCACAAACTTCCTGGGCCTCGGTTTCCACATCTGTACAGGGCCGGGCTGACTTCACAAACTCCAAAAAGCTGCAGGACTCTCTTCATCTTCAGAATAAATGTTGAGGGCTCCCTCATGCTTCCGTCTCTCCATGAGGGATCAAAGGAAACTCCTCCACAAGTTCCAGTGAAAACACTCATGAAGCTCCTGCAGCTGCTCCTCAGGACGGGGCGAGAGGAAGGACTTCCACATTCCAACGATTTGAGCTGGACCCCAGGTTGCCTGCCCAGCAGAGACCAACCAGCAGTTCCTGACCCCATACAGGGGTGGCAGGTCCCTTGCCCGGGATTGACCATGTCCTCAAGGTCCCCAGAACCACAGGGAAGGGGGACCCACACCCACATTCTGGTCTACCAGGACCGCCCCACGTGCAGGCAGGGATCTCCCACCCCAGCCATTCTCACTCGTCAGGAGCAGGGCAGGCAGACCACAAGGCCTAGCACAGGCCCCCATGTGCAGGTGGGCAGAGCTGTGGGTCAGTGACTGACCACCACCACAGGCCCTGCCATCGGTACCACAAGACAGGCCGGGACCCTCCAGGGCTCCCCTCTCACAAGGAACATCCAGGGACAGCTGCTCTCCAGCAGCCTCCTCAGCCCACATGACAGCGCCCTCCTCCCCGCCCGCTGGCCTCAACGACTGTCCACCCACACCCTCTGGGCCAGCCATGACCTCCAGCCAGATGTCTCTAGCCCCGGCCTACACAAGAACCAGCTGGCTCCCAACTGAATGCACACACATGATCCCAGGCCTGAGGACGTCCTTTATCCTTACACAGCTAAGGCTGAAGAGAAGCCAAGTCTCTCGGGTGATCAACGTTCAACCTAGAGATGAGAACCATCACTGTTCAACCTGGAGATGAGAACCATTACAAGGGCTTTAGGGTTAAACTGCGAATGATAAATTAGCAAAGATAAACTCACGGCCGGGTGCGGTGGCTCACGCCTGTAATCCCAGCACTTTGGGAAGCTGAGGCAGATGGATCACCTGAGGTCAGGAGTTTGGCAGCGGGCGCCTGTAGTCCCAGCTACTCGGGAGGCTGAGACAGGAGAATTGCTTGAACCCAGGAGGCAGAGGTTGCAGTGAGCCGAGATCGTGCCACTGCACTCCAGCCTGGGCGACAGAGCGAGACTGTCTCAAAAATAAAAAAATGAACTCACCTCCAAAAGAAAGAACGCCTCTTACTGGTGACACTGTCACTCAGCACATGCCTGAGGGGCCCGGGAGGCTGTGTGGAGAGGCCCTGCGCAGAGCTGGGTTCTCCTGTTTGCACTCAGACCCCAGGGAGGCCCCAGCTGTCCCCTGACCAAGACCCTTGCAGGCGGCTGCCAGGCTCCTGCGAGCACCTGCGTCCTGCATGCAGCTTGGTCCCCACTGTCTCCAGCTGTCCTCACAGGGCTTTTGGCCAGAACATCTGCACCCCTACCACCTTCTCCACAGTCTTGGGGAACCCGGGCACCTCCACAGTGCCTCCTCTGTGAGACACCGGCTGTCTGCAAGAGGCTTCTGTCCAAGCAAGGGCGATCACAGCCACCCCAGGACGGCATGGGACAGGCCAGGACAGGCCAGACTGGGGCAGCAGAAGCAGGAGCCAGAGAAGGGCCCCAGAGAAAACCAGCAGGCTGCCTGTTCTGACACGAGACATAAAAACTTTTAATGAAGGAGGACACAGCTCAGAGCCCTTCCACATGCGGCCCAACCCTGCCCCACGGAGACCGGCCATGGCAACCGCTCAATCAGAAGGTGTTCTTGATGCGGCCGGCCACCAGCCTAAGGATGTCCCCGATCTTCTTCTGCCAGTTGGCGATGTCCTTGGACACGGCGCACCACAGCTCCCCATGCCGAGGCTCTGCACTCTCACAGCGCTTCCTCACCTCCTCCTGCTGCTCCTGGGGGGACCACAGGGCACGTCAGGCAGGGGTCCTCCCACGCTACTCCCCGGACCTCGCCTGCTTCTCGCCTGGCCCCTGCAGACCTGGCCCTGGCAGCACCAACCCCAACTGGCGGGCCAGAGGGCACAGGCCCTGCACCGGAAGGCAAGGCTCTTTCAGGTGTGTTCCTCAAAGGAGCCCCACCTCCTGAGGAGCATGGACCCCACCAGCCTCAGCCCACAGATGAGGAACTGAGCCAGGCTCCCCATGTCTGTGCCTCACACAAGTGCTCACGTCTGCCTTCTCCAAACAAGGAGTTAGGGTTCACGTGGGCTGGCAACACTTTCCAGGGAGGACCAGGACAGCCTGACTGCCTCCAGCACAGCTCAGACAACGCTTGGCTCTAGCGGGGCGGGTGGGAGCAGAGGGGCTGCTGCCCAGGCTGTCCTAGAAAGCCACACTCAGGCTCAGGCCCAAGAAAAAGGCCAACTCCATTCCCATTCCTAAAGTGAGCCCAGGCTCCAGCCAGCAAATAACTCGTTAAAATACTCCAGCAGACAGGCCACCCTAACGGACAGGGTGCCTCAATTCCAGGGTGTGGAGCTGTGAGGCTATAACCAGAAAACGGATGTGGAGGCAGAGACTGCCTTGTGGGGAGGTGTCGAGGATTCTGTGCCCCACACACCCGGTCCATCCTCCCGACCCCGGGCAGAGTCACGCTGGCCGTGGCCACCTCCTAGAGCCCCCAGGGCTGGCGGAACTCCCCGCCACAGTCCCAGAAGGCACTGAGCGGCGGTCTGTCGAGGGGCCTCACCTCAGTGCCATGCTGCAGCTCAAACTTGTAGAAGAAGGCCCAGGCATCCCCCAGGTCCGAGTCAATCTTCACAGTGCGGTGGAACCACTCCCTGGCCTTGGTGATCTTCCGCTGACTCCAAAACAGCCTGTTCCAGCAGAAGGACGTGAACCCAGAGTGAGTGGCTGCAGGACGGTATTCTGGGGCAGGGGAACGGCTTCAGGGCCATCAGCTTCATCCCTGACCCGCAGCCCTGGTGCTCCCCTCAAGAAGGCCTGAGGATCAGGGCCTCGGCTGATCCAGAAATAATTACCCCAGATCATTAACTTGAAGCTGCCCTTCACGGGTCTAACCAAATTGGTTTTTTTTTGTTGTTTTTTTTTTTTTTTTTTTGAGAAGGAGTCTCGCTCTGTCGCCCAGGCTGGAGTGCAGTGGCGCGATCTCGACTCACTGCAAGCTCTGCCTCCCAGGTTCAAGCGATTCTCCTGCCTCAGCCTCCTGAGTAGCTGGGATTACAGGCATGCGCCACCACACCCGGCTAATTTTTGTATTTTTAGTAGAGATGGGGTTTCACTGTGTTGGTCAGGGTGGTCTCAAACTCCTGACCTCATGATCCACCTGCCTCAGCCTCCCAGTGCTGGGATTATAGGCATGAGCCACCGCACCTGTCCCAAACTGTTTCTTAAAAAATTCACACGCAGGGAAAGATCTTCCAACTCCGTAAAATTAGGGTCAGATACAAGGAGATGAAACTAAACCTGACACAAAATTAAACTGCAACTTTGATGAGGGAAAGTTATACAGTTTCAGCTCCTCACTGAGACACCTGCTGGATCATCCTGCCCCACCCGGCCTCCAGCAGCAACCCCAGTGAACACTGAGAAGATGGGCTCCAGGCAGCACAAGGGCCTGGGCCTGCAGCCCACAGCCCTCAGGCCACTGGATTCACACCGCCGTGCCTGCCAGACACATGCACACCTGAAAAACCGGGCCCGAAGAGGTCCATGCTATGAGAGGCCAGGTAAGGGTGTGCATGGCACCCCCACCCGCTGCTGGAGAAGGGATGGCGGGCGCTGGCTGCTGAGCATGCTGGCAGGCCCGGGACTCTGCGTTGCTGCCACCCTCTCCTCAGGGTCACCTCCCCCTGGAGCCAGAGGCACCGTAGTCAAGAGACAACACGAGGAGCCTCCACTCCGGGCAGCTGTTCGGGTTCGTCTCAGTTGCCAAACGGAATAATTTCACACTCTGATAACCTGATTGTTTTTTAAGCCTTGTGGTATTCTTAATTGCCCGGTGTTAGATAAACTGTGATTTAAAGAGCACAAACCCAGATAGCAGACACACAAAACACTGGCTTGGGAATAGCAAGGAGTGACTTATTTACTTTAGCAAAGCCTTTTATAAGGTTTTATGGCTGCACTATCAGAGTGTCACCCAGAAGTCACTCTGGGAGGTGAACGCACAGGGCAGGACCAAGGTAGCACCAGGCAGACACAAGCCTCCCTGTGGGGAGCCTCTCTCATCTGTCGGGGGCCTGCGGGCAGGGGAGAGGAGGTGCCCCTACAGGCAAGCCTGTGGGGGCGGCACCCAGACCTCTGGAGACCAAGCACCACTGCCACCCAGTGCTGGGGAGAAGGGATGGAGAGAATCAAAAGCCAGCACTAGGAAGGCTGTTGTCTCTGCATGACCCATGGCGGGGCAGGTGGAGGGGAAGCCGGACACAGGAGAGCTCCTGGGGCCAGACACGCCACCTCTGCCAGGTGAGCCCACGTCCTGAGCTGCAGCCTCAGGAACCCAGGGTTCTTCCAAGAACTCCCTTCACCCCACATGGTCACTTCCCAGCCTCCTGACCCACACTCAGGCCCAGCTCCTTCCCAGACTGTCATCCTCTTTCTAGAAGGAAACAGGGACCCTGGGGGTCGGGGATGGCCCTGAGCTCCCTGCTGTGCCCCACACCTGGCGGGTCTTTGCCCACATGTGCCTAGAGTCTGCATGCTCTGCCCCATGGCTACCCGCTGCTGCCTGCAAGGTTCCAGAGTCACGTCCCCAGTGAGTCTCTGACCCAGCGGCCAGCGCACCAGTGTGAATCACACGCGTCCCCAGTGAGTCTCTGACCCGGCGGCCAGCACACCAGTGTGAATCACATGTGTCCCCAGTGAGTCTCTGACCCGGCGGCCAGCGCACCAGTGTGAATCACATGCGTCCCCAGTGAGTCTCTGACCCGGCGACCAGAGCACCAGTGTGAATCACATGCGTCCCCGGTGAGTCTCTGACCTGGCGGCCAGCGCACCAGTGTGAATCACACGCGTCCCCAGTGAGTCTGTGACCCGGCGGCCAGCGCACCAGTGTGAATCACATGCGTCCCCAGTGAGTCTCTGACCACGGCACCCTCAGGTGTGTCTGCCAGGAGAGGCGCCTGCCCCAGACCACAGCAGGAGCGACGGCAGCCGAGGATCGGGGAAGCCCACCCTGCTGCCGGGCATCTTTACAATGACCAGGAAGAGGCAGACAGACTCTGGAAAAAGAGCCCATTAGGACCCCGAGGTTCAGCAATCCTGTGGGGGCCCCACTCACTTGGCCACGGCCAGGAGCACATGGGGGTCATGCTCACACTTCTTCAGGGCATCCACGCTCTTGGTCCTCCTCTGGGGCCTTGCCTCGAGGAAGATGGCCTCAGACCACAGGATACCTATAATTCAGAAACAAAGAACAAAGATTTGCACTCCAGCCTCTGGTTCCGGAAAGGTGCCCAGCCTACAGATTCTAACCCGGGACGTCCTCAGACCACGACAGGGGCCTCCCACACACGGCTCGCAGAACTTGTGCAAGGAGAACCACAAAGGATGAGCACTCTGGCCCACCCAAAACCATGGCAGCCCTGAGGGCACAGACTGGACACCCTGCAGAGTCTCACTCTGTCATTCAGGGTGGAGTGCAATGGCGCAATCTCAGCTCACTGCAACCTCCCACTCCCGGGCTCAAGCAATTCTCCTGCCTCAGCCTCCCGAGTAGCTGGGATTACAGGCGCCCGCCACCATGCCCAGCTCATTTTTGTATTTTAGTAGAGACGGGGTTTCACCATGTTGGCCAGGCTGGTCTCAAGCAATGGACTCCTGGACTCAAGCAATCCTCCCGCCTCAGTCTCTCAAAGTGCTGAGATTACAGGCATGAGCCACCACACCTGGCCAATTTCTTTTAAATTTTAAAAGAAAAAGAAATGATAACACTTCAGAAATGAAATCAAATTCTCCCATTTTGAGGCCAAGAATTTCATTAAGTTGTCTTAACGGCCGAGTATAGCTGAAACTTTTGACTGAAATGATTCACACAAACTACACATTTTAATAAAGTCCGTCTGAAGCCTGAGCCCCCACTCCCTCAGGAAGTGCCAGCCCTGCGGAGTCTGGGAAGCCAGGAAGCACCCCCTTACCGGAGTCAAGGCACCCCCTTACCGGAGTCAGGGCACCCCCTTACCGGAGTCGGGGCACCCCCTTACCGGAGTTGGGGCACTCCTGCAGCGCCTTGGCCATGAGTGTATTTGCGATGTTCTTCAGCCCCGCACGGTACTCCAGCCGCACGGACTCCAACCTGAGGAGACAGGCCCCCGGAGGTCCCACAGCCGTCTACCAACAGCACATATTCTGGTAGCTTCTGGGAAGCCTTGTCTGAAAGGGCTCTCCACCCAGTCACAGCAGCAAAAACTCCATTCCCTCCACAGCAGAGCTCATCCACCACAGAAACAAGGCGCTGGGGCCCACATCCCTGCCAGCCCCACTGGCAACCGCCCCAAGGCAAGACCTCAGATCCTGACGCTGTCCAGATGCAGGTGAAGGCATCCAGAACAAACAAGACCAGACTGGGAGAGCCAGGGCCGCACAAGGCACCCAGAAGCTGCCTGTCTGCGGCAGTGCCTGCACAGTGCTCCAGCCCCGTCACCCTGAGCTGGACGCAGCACCTCCATGAACAGAGCCTGCACCTAGCAGGCTCCTGTCCACCTCCAGGGCTCTCCACGCCACCTCCTCTGTGGAGCTGGCTCTCCGGGGTCCATCCTTCCCTCGTCCCAGCCATCATTAACCCCTCCCTCTCCCAGGCGCCCTCCATCAGAACACAAATTAAACTGCATCAAACCATCTACAGGCCTGTCACAGTACCTAGGCCGAACTCTCCTAAGGCAGGGACCGTGATTTTTCATGGCCAGCACCTACCGCCCCCCAAGCCCCTGAGCCTGGAAGCACTGCACGAGTGACTCCACACAAGCAGCTGGGTGACGGCGGCCCACCTGATGGGGAAGCTGTGCCCAGAGGCCAGGCTGCCCCCTCCAGGACTCACCACAGCCCAGGGTTCTTTGGGTTCTTCAGACGAGACTTTTCCAAAATGGCCCGTGCTCGAGTAAGCTGCCCAATCTTCTCCTCCAGCCGAGAGAGCAAAAGCCACAGGGGTGTGGAGTGGGGACACTTCTTCAACTGCAACCAACAAGTAAGAGAGCAGCTCAGGTGGTGTCTATGAAGAACTGGGACACAGCCATGCCCAGCTTCTCATCTGCAGTGGGTGACCGAGTCCCTCAGGGCTGCCATGTCCATGGAAAAACACCCCTCACACTCTGCATTTGTGGGTGTACAGGTGTGCGGTGGTGCTGTGGACCTGTGCACACAGGTCTGTACGTACCAGCCTTTACTGCAGGTGTGCCACACTCTGCACTTCTGAGCAGTGTGTGCAGCTTCATATAAGGAAAAGCACAGAACTCAGCGAGGGGACCAGGGTTTGGGTCCTGAGTCTGCAGCTCCATCAGCTGTAACCCCCAGCCCTCCACATCTCCTCAGAGGCGAAGGGCAATGACCCTGCACCAGGGGGCTCAGTTTTGTGAATGCCGGGTCAGCTGCAGCCCCAGGGTGCAGGCAGAGACGTACCCCCTGGTTATAGGCTTCCCGCGCCTTCTCCATCATCTCCTTCTGCTCCTCGATCTGCCCCTTCATCATCCACAGCTTGGGGAAGTCCTCATAGTGCCGCAGGGCCTCCTCGCACAGATCTTGGGCTGCCCTGATGTTGTCTTGCACCCACTCCAGCTTCACAGACTTCATGAACACCTGTGGGGCAGACATGCACTGTCACGCAGGGCATCAGCTCCAGGGTACGTGCTTCATGGTACACTCATCCTCAACACTGTTACCTGCAGTACTGTGTGTACTTTTGTAAGCTTTTCATAGCCTGTTTGTGTACACAAAAGGTGGGGATAAATATATGTTTTTGTTTTGTTTTGTTTTTTTTTGAGATAGAGTCTCGCTCTGTCACCCAGGCTGGAGTGCAGTGGCACGATCTCGGCTCACTGCAAGCTCCACCTGCTGGGTTCACACCATTCTCCTGCCTCAGCCTCCCAAGTAGCTGGAACTACAGGTGCAAGCCACCACACCCAGCTAATTTTGTATTTTTAGCAGAGTTGGTCAGGCTGGTGTCGAACTCCTGATCTCACAATCTACCTGCCTTGGCCTCCCAAAGTGCTGGGATTACAGGCGTGAGCCACCACACCCGGCCGTATGAACATGTTTGTTGTTGTTGTTGTTGCTGAGACAGTTTCCCTCTTGCTGCCCAGGCTGGAGTGCAGTGGCGCGATCTCAGCTCACCGCAACCTCCACCCCCGGGGTTCAAGCGATTCTCCTGCCTCAGCCTCCCGAGCAGCTGGGATTACAGGCACGCACCACCACGCCCGGCTAATTTTGTATTTTTAGTAGAGACGGGGTTTCTCCATGTTGGTCAGGCTGGTCTCAAACTCCCACCCTCAGGTGATCTGTCCGCCTTGGCCTCCCAAAGTGCTGAGATTACAGGCGTGAGCCACCGCGCCCGGCCACCACGCCCGGCCACATGAATGTTTTAGTCACATCACAAAGATGAGTGTGCTGTGGTCTCGTTTGCCTGCCGTCATCTCACTCCCATCACCACCCAAGCCAGGCGTGGGGCCCGCATGTGCACACCATGCACCCCAGACGGCCCAGCCCTGCCTGCCACTGCGTACCCGGGCGGTGGGGGCACTGCTCCGCGCCTTGGCCAGCAGCCTCCGGGCCCGCTCGTACTCATCATTCTCGGACTCCAGCTTCACGGCTGCCAGCCAGATCTCCTCACTGTTGGGGTTGGCCTGAAGGGCAAGTACAGCAGCGTCAAGAGGGGTCAGAACACAGGGACCAGCGCCTGATCACACTTAATCAAAAGCAGGCAGGCAGGAACTGAGCCAGGCCTTGCTCTGCTACAGGATTAGTCTGGTCCAAGCCCTTCCCAGGGAGGAGATGACAGAGCCGACTCCAGTGCAAGAATCCAGACTCACCTGGAAACACACAGGCCCATGTTCACTCTGGTACAGTGAGGACAGTGAAGAGGCTGCTAAAGCACTCGAGCAATAACGGGGGCAGGTGCAGGGCCATCTTACCCAGGATCCACCCACGCCCTCTCAAAGCCCCTGAATGGGGCACTCGCATCCTATACTGGTAGACTCATCACACGCAACCTCGCTCTTTCCCCTGAGCTTGATGAAGGGAAGCCAGCTGTCCTGTCCTCATGAGCCCACATGGGCAGGAGAGAGGACTCCCAGGGTGCCACTGACATGTGGAGAAGGCGTCCACAAGCCACGGAAGCTCACACAGCCCAGAGCCCAGTGGACACGCAGGCTCTGCCCTCAAAGCCTCCCCAGCCCGGTGCCCAGGGCTGTCTGAATGCGTCCCAATCAGCACAGCCGCCCAAGAGAGCGGGTGGAAGGAAGCCACGTGACAGGCAGAGAGCGGGCAGGTGGAGGGGACGCTGCAGTTACTCACAGGAGTGATGCCATCTCAAACAGGCAGCTGAGAGCGAAAGGTTAAACCCAGGCCAGTCCCCTCTCATGGTATTTGCTCAAAGAAGGGCACACTCTATGATATTAGCCTGAGCTACAGTAACAGACTTTTATATAGCATTCTATAGCTTATTAAAAAGTATGTTATAAACTATTAGGATGTTATATGTGAAAATAAAGACAAGGTACTTAAAAAAAACACACACCCCCCTCATGACAACCAGGCACCCTCAGGCCTGGCTCAGTGAGGCGGTCTGAATACATCCATTCACATAAGGGCGCCCTCAGCCTGTGTGACCCCGTGTTCCATGTTCTGAAACATTTACCCGTGGTCACACTGAGTGGGGGGACCGAGAGGTAAGTATCTGCCAGGTGGGCTGCTTTCCTGCTCTCGGGCCCCTTCACGGCCCCTGCTCCTGTGGAGCAGCCCCTGGACTCCAGTGCACCCCAACAACAGCACGTGCCACATTGTATGTGGGAGATTTTCAGGCCCCAGTCAGCACCCAGGTCAGCTCCTGTGTGCACAGGCCCCTCACCACACAGGCAACCCTCACCCACCTGGAAGGCCAGGGCCAGGATGCTCCTTGCTGCAGGCACATCCCCTGCCAGCCACTTGGACTTGGCGCCCATGAGCCACAGCACCTCTGCTTTGGGGCAGTGGGCCACAGCCCTCTGCAGGAGTGCTTCCAGGGACTCCCTGCAAGATAAGAGGCCACGGTCACCAGAGGCAGGGCCATAAACCAGAACACACATCACACTCAGCCATGGCGTGGGCACGCCAGAAAGACAGTTACTGCTCCAAAGTTCGATGCTATAAATGATTGACCAGATTTTACAATGGGGAGAGTGTGGGGAAATCTTTCCTCTCCATAAAGGTTCTAAAATCAACTACTGAAGAGGGTTCTACAAAGGAATGCATTGTTTAAATAGCAGAGCTGGAGAGACGAACTTCACAAGAGAACCTTTTACAGCCGTGTGTCCTGGAAGCAGCAATAACCTCAGTCTGTGACAGGGGAGGCCTTTTCATCTTGAACCACAGAGCACAAGCGCACCCCGGACCCACTGATAAAGATTATGATCCCAGGTTCACTCTCCCGGCATCCAAAAGAATTATCTTATAGGAAGAAAGTGATTTCAGGTCACTATTGAGCAAAACTGCCAGCCGTGGGCATCAGGTCTGATGCTCCTGGACTCTCATGTGGCCCACCACCCTCAGTCACATCAATGACCCCTTTGGGCCTCAGTGAGTGCGACAGCAAGACAAAGTGACCACACACAATCACACTGTGTGGAGCAAGGGCCAGCAAAGCAACCGTGCTCTCCAGAGGACCAGCTCCCCCAGCACTACTGCCTCTCCTCATCCCTGCAAGCATGCACTCGGGAGAAGGCAGGGAAGTCGGAGGGCACTGCCCACTGTGCCCAGGGGTCAAGGGCAGCAGTTCATATTCAGGTCACGGGCCGAGAGACCTCAGCCTACACCTGGCACCGCCCTGTTCTTCACTCAGACTGCCCCAGGTGACCTTCTACAGAGGGGCACCATGGCAGCCATTTCAAAACGTCCCCAAAGGAGATCACTCCCAAACACAGACCAGCTGGTGGGCATGGGGAGGGGGCCAGGTCTTCAGGAGGACACATGGAAAGACACCCTGAAGAGGCTGAGATTAAATCACACCAGAAAAGCAAAGAGACAATGGCTCAACATTCTCAGCTGTAGCCCCAGTGAAACCAGCAGGGCCTGTCCTCACCTGGTACAGGGAGCATCACCCGAGGACCTGGGAGAGGACGGACAGAGGGTGCGTGGGGACACGAGCCCAATGCCCTTGAGAGCTATCCATTTAAAACAATAAACTGCAACGCCAAATTTAATCAGCATTTACAGCCAATAAAGCGGACCTGAAAGATGTTTTCAATTAAAGAGTGCAGTTAAATAAAATTGTCAAGGACCTCCTCTGAGCACAAAAACCAGTCAAAACCCAAAGCCAGCACAGCTTAAATGGAAAATATGCCTGCCTGAGCCCAGATGCTGCCCCACCCACCGCTGCAGCCAGTGCTCGGCCATGGGCCACGCGGGCTCCAGCCTCAAGTCTATACCCAGGCCACTCCTCAGGCTACAGGACACTTAGCAGGACGGGCCCCCGGGGTTCCTTGTTTCTCAGCTAGAAAATGGTATCATTGCTGTCCCAGAAGGGGCTATAAAGATGGATCCAGTTGCAAAGTCCCAAATGCCATAAAATCCTTCATCACAACCAGAGGGCCAGACCTCAAATGGGCACAAGACTGGATGAGCAGACATGAGAGGTTTAAATTCAGGGCTACACAAATGGAGCTGGAGGTTTCATTAGCACCCTTGGGCAGGCGGGTCCCACCACATACCGAGTGCCATGGTTCTTCTCGAAGTACGCGGCGCGCAGCCACACACTCTTCTTGCTGGGGAACACCTGCAGGGCGTAGGCGTAGATGGCTCGTGCACACTCCAGGGCATTGTGGGCTACACACTAGAGCAGAGAGAGACATGAGAATGGGCAGCCCAGCACTGGCCACAGAACAAGTGGCATGATGCCCTCCCCAGGCTCATACGATTCTGAAAGATGATATCTGCTAGAAGGTGTACCACAGTGTTTTATCTAATTAGAACCACAATCCAGGCCAGGTGCGGTGGCTCACGCCTGTAATCTCAGCACTTTGGGAGGCCGAGGCGGGTGGATCATCTGAAGTCAGGAGTTCGAGACCAGCCTAACTTACATAGTGAAAACCTATCTCTACTAAAAATACAAAAATTAACCAGACGTGGTGGCATGCGCCTGTAATCCCGGCTATTCGGCAGTCTGAGGCAGGAGATTCACTTGAACCCAGAAGGCAAAGGTTGCAGTGAGCCGAGATCACGCCACTGCACTCCAGCCTGGGCGACAGAGTCACACTCTGTCCTCCCCCTCCAGAAAGAAAGTAGAACCACAATCCAGGACTGGGAAACCTACTTCTGGGCACAGAAAACACTGTAGTTCTTACTCCAGCATTACAAGCACTTTGAAAAACAGCTGTGCTTACTCCAGTGTACATGAAAGAGACAAGCCTGAGGATGAGGACAAGAAACAAGAACACTGAAAAAGGGGCACATGGGGCTGCTTGCTGCTTCCTTGGCCTGCGAGAGGTGCACAAGTCACTAGCTGCAGGTGATGGAGGTGTGCACACACATGCACACACAGGGCTGTGGCTGAGGCATATGCATACGTGCATGCACACACACACACACACACACACACACAGGGCTGTGGCCGAGGCATATGCATACGTGCACACACACACACACGCACACACACGGCTGTGGCTGAGGCATATGCATACGTGCACACACACACACACACAGACACGGGGCTGTGGCCGAGGCACATGCATACATGCACGCATACACACGCACACACACAGGGCTGTGGCCGAGGCATATGCATACGTGCACGCATACACACGCACACACACAGGGCTGTGGCCGAGGCATATGCATACGTGCACACACACACACGCACACACACGGGGCTGTGGCTGAGGCATATGCATACGTGCACACACACGCACACACAGACACGGGGCTGTGGCTGAGGCATATGCATATGTGCACGCACACACACAAACACACGCACACACAGACATGGGGCTGTGGCTGAGGCATATGCATATGTGCACACACACACACAGACACACACACACAGACACGGGGCTGTGGCTGAGGCATATGCATACATGCACACACACAGACACAGGGCTGTGGCTGAGGCATACGCATACATGCACACACATGCACGGGGGCTGTGGCCGAGGAATATGCATACGTGCACACACACGCACACACAGACACAGGGCTGTGGCTCAGGCATATACATACATGCACACACATGCACACGCACACACACACAGACACACGGCTGTGGCTGAGGCATATGCATACATGCACACACACACACACACACGCACGGGGCTGTGGCCAAGGCATAGGCATACGTGCACGCACACACGCACACACAGACATGGGGCTGTGGCCGAGCCATATGCACATACAAGTGCACACACACACAGAGGGCTGTGGCCCAGGCATATGTACGTGTACACACACACACACATGCTGTAACTGCAGATCAAACATATTGGTTTCTTTTTTAAAAATCAGGTATAGTGGCTACAGCGGTGGCTCACGCCTGTAATTCCAGCACCCTGGGAGGCCAAGCTGGGTGGATCACCTGAAGTCAGGAGTTTGAGATCAGCCTGACCAACATGGTAAAACCCTGTCTCTACTAAAAATACAAAAACTAGCTGGGCATGGTAGTGCATGGCTGTAATCCCAGCTACTTGGGAGGCTGAGGCATGAAAATTGCTTGAACCCAGGAGGCGGAGGTTGCAGGGTGCCAAGATTGCGCCATTGCGCTCCAGCCTGGGCGACAGAGAGAGACCTTGTCTCAAAAAAAAAAAAAAAAAAATTAGGTATAGTATATATTTACCACGATAAAAAGTTACATTAATTAGAAACCTGTAAAAGACAAGTGAATACAAACAGGAAAAAACCCATCCACTCAACAGAACTACAGTAAACACAGTTCTATTTTCTTCAGGCTTTTTTTTCCCTATACTCAAGAATGACTTTATCTTTTGGTTAGCATCAACAACAAAAGAAAACAAAAAAGCCAGTCACCATTTGCAGCGCTAAAGCCTCTGGGGGTTCGTCTGACTGGCGATCATGACACCTGGAGACTCACTGGGCCAGGTTCAGACACCTGTTCCCACTCAGCCTCACACAGGGGCAAGTCACCGTCCTCTGCGCCCTGCAGATGCTGAAAGGATTTTTTTTTAAAGACAGAGTCTCGCTTTGTCACCCAGGCTGGAGTGCAGTGGCGCGATCTCAGCTCCCTGAAACCTCCACCTCCCAGGTTCAAGCAGTTCTCCTGCCTCAGCCTCCCAAGTAGCTGGGATTACAAGCGCCTGCCACCACACCCAGCTAATTTCTGTATTTTTAGTAGAGACGAGGTTTCACCATGTTGGCCAGGCTGGTCTCGAACTCCTGACCTCAAGTGATCCACCCACCTCGGCCTCCCAAAAGTGCTGGGATTCCAGGCATGAGCCACTGCGCCCGGCCGCTGAAAGGATTCTTGTACCAAGAAGGAGTTTGTTGCTGAAGGTAAGTGAGAGGCCACCAGGAAGTGGGTCAGGAACAAAGTTTTGCAACTATGAACATGACAATGGCAAAGATCTGGACTGGCAGCTCAAAGCTGTCCAAGTCCCCACACAGGGGCACCCAAGAACAGTTCCCAGAGGAACAGCTGCCTTCTACGAGAGGAAGGGACAACAGTGAGCCTCCCAGTTAAGGAGCCCCAGCATGAAAATGGGTCAGGAGGACGAGGAGTGGGGATGTCACTGAGATTTCTTCACTCAGACCTGATGCCTCCCAAGTCACATGGCTTCAGTCTGACTCAACCAGCACAGAAACCAGCAAGGGCCCTGCCTCAGGCACTGTGTCCTGACCAGGAGCATCTGAGGGGGTCAGGGAGGATGCCGGTGAGGGTCAGGCCCTGGATAGAGCACTCTGGTCTATGCCCCTCTCTGTGATTTCTGATCCAAGTCCTGAGGGTTGGTGACAAAGCATTTCAGATTCTCCATCGCCTCCTTGGACCTTCACAAGCAACCCGAGAGTGGCCTGAACACCCACAGGATCAAGTGATGCTGTGCCCAGGGCCCTGGTGTCCGGGAGGGAAGCAGCACCACAGCACACTTCTGGGCACAGAAAACACTGTCCTCCTTACTCTAGCATCACGAGCACTTTGAAAAACAGCTGTGCTTACTCCAGTGTATGTGAAAGAGATGACAAAATAATAAGAGAAAAACAGGCCAGGAGCAGTGGCTCTGGGAGGCTGAGGCAGGTGGATGGCCTGAAGTCAGGAGTTCGAGACCAGCCTGGCCAACATGGCGAAACCTCATCTCTATAAAAAATATAAAAATTAGCCAGGTGTGGTGGCAGGCACCTGTAGTCCCAGCTACTCAGGAGGCTGAGGCAGGAGAATTGCTTGAACCCTTGAACCTGGGAGGCGGAGGTTGCAGTGAGCCAAGATCGTGCCACTGGACTCCATCCAGCCTAGGAGACAGAGTGAGACTCTGTCCCAAAAAAAAAAAAAAAAAAAACCAACAACAAAAACTATTACCGCTGCCCTGCGTCTTAACTCACCTAAGGATTGATGTGTGTATTTTAGCATACATGGGGCAGGAGGATGGCCCAGCCGGCACACAAGCTCTGGGTCACGCCACACGGGGTGCAAAAGAATCATGTGTGTATCACACGGTCAATGCCAGCAGTGGGGTCTGATTCCAAGGACCAAAGGAGGAGCCATTGACCAATCCAGATGGAAGGAAGTGAACGCACACGGATGAAGGAGAAAGTGAAGCTCTTCGTTACTGTAGAATTCCAACTAATAAAATGTAAGAGAAACTGTTCACAAAATCATTATGCAGGTGTGACCAGGCACAGTGACACGCCTGTAATCCTACATACTTTGGGAGGCTGAGGTGGGATCACTTGAGGCCAGGAGTTCGAAACCAGCCTGGACAACATAGTGAGATACTGTTTCTACAAAAAAAATTTAATATATAAAAAAAGATTTAAAAAAAATCACCATTTAGCAAACACCACAGAAATAACTGATTCAGGCCAAGAAGCATCATTAATGGATCCTCAAAATACTTATTAATAATAACAAAGAAACAAACAGCAACCATACAGTGGAAACACCTGCGGCCACTGCCCGCACCAGACGGTCGGAGTTGAACAGGTGCACACCTCTCCGTATGATGCACCAAGAAGCCTCAACCCAACCCGGAGGAGACACCACAGAGAACCAGATGAAAGAGGAGTCTACAGCATCACTGGCCCGTGGTCCTCAAAAAATTCACACTCAGGAACAACAAAGGCTGAGGCTCTCTTCCAGACTAGCCTGAGGATGACCCTGTATTCCTCACAGAAGACAGTTGGTTTTTTCTTCTGCTAAAAGGACACAGAGACAACGGGTGAGACTTTTTCTTTTTTTGAGATAGGGTCTTGCTGTCACTCAGGCTGAAGTGCAGTGGCGCAATCACAGCTCACTACGGCCCCAAACTCCTGAGCTCAAGTGATCCTCCCACCTCAGCCTCCTGAGTAGCTGGGACTACAAGCGTGCACCACCATGCCTGGCTTTTGTTTCTGTAAAGATGGTGTTCTGCCATGTTGCCCAGGCTGGTTTCAAACTCCCGAGCTCAAGCGATCTGCCCATCTCGGCCTCCCAAAGTGCTGGAATTACAGGCGTCAGCCCCATGCCCAGCCTGTGGGTGAGATTTGAGTAAGGTCTGAAGTTACCTGACAGCACTGTCCCAACATCAATGTCCTGATTTTGATAACTGAGCTATGGCTGTGTAAGAGAACGTCCTCTTTTAAAGAAATACACACCAAAGTGTTTAAGGTAAAGGGCACCACATCTGCAACTCATTCATTGTCAAACAGTTCCAGAAAAAAAAATAAGAGGTAAGTGCATGAGAGCGAACAGAGTAAGAAAGCAAATCTGCGGCCAGGCGTGGCGCCTCACGCCTGTGATCCCAGCACTCTGGGAGGCCGGGCGCGGCGGCTCATGCCTGTGATCCCAGCACCGTGGGAGGCCGGGCGCGGCAGCTCACGCCTGTGATCCCAGCACCGTGGGAGGCCGGGCGCGGCGGCTCACGCCTGTGATCCCAGCACTCTGGGAGGCCGGGCGCGGCGGCTCACGCCTGTGATCCCAGCACTCTGGGAGGCCGGGCAGGGCGGCTCACGCCTGTGATCCCAGCACTCTGGGAGGCCGGGCGCGGCGGCTCACGCCTGTGATCCCAGCACTCTGGGAGGCCGGGCGCGGTGGCTCACGCCTGTGATCCCAGCACTCTGGGAGGCCGGGCGCGGTGGCTCACGCCTGTGATCCCAGCACTTTGGGAGGCCAGGCATGGCGGCTCACGCCTGTGATCCCAGCACTCTGGGAGGCCGGGCGCGGTGGCTCACGCCTGTGATCCCAGCACTTTGGGAAGCCAAGGCGGGGTGGATCACGAGGTCAGGAGATTAAGACCATCCTGGCTAACACGGTGAAACCCCGTCTCTACTAAAAATACAAAAAATTAGCTGGGCGTGGTGGCACATGCCTGTAGTCCCAGCTACTCGGGAGGCTGAGGCAGGAGAATGGCGTGAACCCAGGAGGTGGAGGTTGTAGTGAGCTGAGATAGCGCCACTGCACTCCAGCCTGGGCGACAGAGCAAGACCCCGTCTCAGATTTAAAAAAAAAAAAAAAGAGTTTTAAAATAGCCTAGTAGTTTATAAGGTGCCTGCTGTTCCCACAAGCAGAGACTCCATATTACGGACAAAGGCCCCTGTTGCCAACTCACACTGTCAGCATCCTCCATCCAGGTATGCTTCCGATCTTCCTCCTCAATCCCAATCCCAATCACGGCACGCATGACGGCCTGGCAGGTGGCCACACTCCCAGCCCTGTCACATTCCTCGGCATCCTGAAAGAGGAACACAAAACTTATTTGTGATTTTGGAAATCAGAGCTGCAGATTCCCAACGGGGAGTACGGAGTTCCTGAACGGTTAAAACTGACAGACATCAGCACAAGATGCTGACACTGCCTACTGGGGATCTGAGGAAGTGAGTCTACTGCACGCCAATCAGAAAAAACAATAGAGAAATGTCACAAAGGACATAGGCACACTGTTCACTAGAAAATAAAAATACAAACAACTTTCAAACATGTGAAAAGAAATGTAAAGCCTTTTTATTTTATTTTTTTAAGAGACAAGGTCTCAGCCAGGTGTGGGGGCTCACACCTGTAATCCCAGCACTTTGGGAGGTCGAGGGTGGATCACGTGGTCAGGAGTTCGAGACCAGCCTGGCCAACCTGGTGAAACCCTGTCTCTACTAAAAAATAAAATACAAAAATTAGCCAGGCGTGGTGGTGGGTGCCCGTAATCCCAGCTTACTCGGGAGGCCGAGGCAGGAGAATCACTTGAACCCGGGAGGCGGAGGTTGCAGTAAGCCAAGATCACGCCACTCCACTCCAGCCTGGGCAACGGAGCAAGACTACGTCTCAGAAAAAAAAAAAAAAGAGAGAGAGTCAAGGTCTCTCCCTGTCACTCAGGCTGAAGTGCTGTGGTACAATCATAGTTCACTGCAGCTTCCAACTCCCAGGCTCAAGGGATACTCTCACCTCAGCCTCCCGAGTAGCACAGACATGCACCACCATGCTCAATGGTACATTATGTTTCATAGATACAGGGTCTCCTTATGTTGCCTAGGCTGGTGTTAAACTCCTGGTCTCAAGTAACCCTCCTGCTTTAGCCTCCCAAAGTGCTGGGATTAGTGCATAAGCCACCACACCCAGCCCCTATTCTTATTTTCAAGATGCTAATTAAACTATTCTAAGTACCATTGTGCACGTATCAGATGAGCAACATTGAAACATGTGCTGACTGGCTCACTTGGTGAAGGGGGCATAAATCTTATACTGCAAAGAAGCACATATCTCTATGGAGGGCAATTTCTCATTCTCTATCAAAATAAAACAGGCACATATTTGACCCAGCAGTTCTACTTTAAGGCATTCATGTGACAAATATATTCCCATGTGTGCAAGAGAATGTGTCTACCAACAAGAGAACAATAACCCAGCCAGAGCAACAGGGTGCAGGAGCACAGGCACCACTGCGGCATGCCAACATGGGGGACCACGACATGGACCGTGAGCAAAGTGCAACCGGAGCCACATGCCTCCCAGACCCTCCCAGGGCCCTGCCAGCACCAGAAAACCATCCCAGACAGAAAGCAGAGCCAAGAGCAAGGATCTGAGGCAGAGACGCTGGCACAAAGGTCAGTGGTGAGAAGAATGCGTGGGGCAAGGACCCAGCACCCAGACCCTCAGGGGCCTGCGGCAAAGGTGCTGGCTCTTCCTCCATGGACAGTTTCTACTGAACGCAAACTGCGCTGGCTCTTCCTCCATGGACAGTTTCTACTGAATGCAAACTGCTTTTGAACCACGGCAAAAGTCAAACCATGGGAAGTCAGGGACCATCTGTAGTTGCAAATCATGTCTCTGATAAGTGACAATATATCCAGAATATATAAAAACATCTCTTACAACTCAATAATAAAACAACAGACAAAAATAATACATAGACCATAATAAAGACACAATCCAATGTAAAAGTAGGCAAAGGATTTCAATACCTCCATGCTACAACATGGAGGAACCCTGAAAACACACTAAGTTAAGGCCAGTCACAAAAGACCACGTGTCGTGTGATTCCACTCACGGTGTCGGACGATGCAAAAGCCACCACGCTCAGTAGAAGCAATACTTTGACTCAAACCACCAGTCTGTTTTTCACTTTCATCGTAGCATTCAATAAATTACGTGAGTTATTCAACACTTTACGTTCGATGACTCTGCCCAACTGTAGGCTAAGGTAGGTGTTCTGAGCATGTTTGACGTAGGCAGGCTAAGCTGTAAAGTTCAGTAGGTTAGGTGTATCACACGCATTTTATTTCATTTTATTTTATTTTATTTATTTTTTGAGACAGAGTCTCGCTCTTTTGCCCAGGCTGGAGTACAGTGTCACGATCTCGGCTCACTGCAACCTCTGCCTCCGCCAGGTTCAAGCAATTCTCCTGCCTCAGCCTCCCGAGTAGCTGGAATTATAGGTGCCCACCATCATGCCTGGCTAATTTTTTTGTATCTTTAGTAGAGACAGGGTTTTACCATGTTGGCCAGGCTGGTCTCAAACTCCTGACCTCAAGTGATCCACCCGCCTCAGCCCCGCAATGTGCTGAGATTATAGGTGTGAGCCACAGCACCCAGCCTCAAATCCATTTTAGACTTATGATATTTTCAACTTACAATGGGTTTATCAGGATATAAGCCCATAAGTTGAACATCTGTATATAAAATGTCCAGAAAAAAATGTGTAGAGAAAGAAAGTAAAAAAACAAGGTTAGACAGGCACGGTGGCTCACGCTTGTAATCCCAGCACTCTGGGAGGCCGAGGCAGGTGGATCATCTGAGCTCAGGAGTTTGAGACCAGCCTGAACAACATGGCAAAACCGCGTCTCTACAAAAAATAGAAAAAAATTAGCCAGGTGTGGTGGCGCATGCCTGTAGTCCCAGCTACTCAGGAGGCTGAGGCAGGAGAATTGCTTGAGCCCAGGAAGCAAATGTGGCAGAGAGCCAAGATTGATTGCACCATACACTCCAGCTTGGGAGACAGAGACCCACCCTGTCTCAAAAAAAAAACAAAAACAAAAACAAAAGGCTACAGAGGTATGAAAATGGGGAGCAACAACTCACGGACACAGGATTTCTTTCTGGGGTGATGAGAAGGTTCTAGGATTGTGGTGATAGCGCATAGCTCTGTGAATATACTAAAACCACTGAATCGTAAACTTTAAATGGGTGGATTCTGTAGAACGCTAGTTATAGCTTAATAACCTGTCATATGCTGGGTATGGCAGCTGATGCCTGTAATCTCAACACTTTGGGAGGCTGAAGTGGCAGGATTGCTTAAGGCCAGGAGTTTAAGACCAGCCTGGGCAGCATAACAAGACAAAAAATAAAAATAAAAAAAATTGGCCAAGCATGGTGGCACACGCCTGTAGTCCCAGCCACTTGGGAGGTTAAGGCGGGAGGATTGCTTGAGCCCAGGTCAAGGATGCAGTGAGCCATGACTGCACCACTGCACTCCGGCCTGAGCAACACGGCGAGACCCTGTCTCAAGAAAGAAAGAAGGAAAGAAAGAAAGAAGAAGAAAGGAAGGAAGGAAAGAAAGACAAACTGTCATAAAATATAACAGAAAATAGTAATTTCATTATTTATTTTTCTTGAGAGAAACATAACTCAGTGGGTGACTCCTTAAAAGAAGGCATTAGAGGGAACCCAAGCCCTACTTCCTAAGTTAGATCATCTTTGGAAACTTTTCTATAGCCTTAAGTCTACAGACAAAGATAAAAGACAGGGAAGACCAAGGCGGGCAGGTTGCTTGAGGTCAGGAGTTCGAGACCAACCTGGCCAACATGGTGAAACTCTGTCTCTTCTAAAAATACAAAAATTAGCTGGGTATGGTGGCGGGTGCCTGTAATCCCAGCTACTCAGGTGACTGACGTAGGAGAACTGCTTGAACCCAAGAGGTGGAGGTTGCAGTAAGCCAAGATCGTGCCACTGCACTCTAGCCCTCTAGCCTGGGTGACAGAAAGACTCCCTCTCAAAAAAAAAAAAAAAAAAAGGGTGTGGGGGAGAGGGGAAGAGTAAAAGAAGCCATGAGACTTCCTGTCCTCCTCTCGTAGGTGTATCATTTCTACTAGCAAAGAAAGAAGCCATGAGACTTCCTGTCCTCCTCTCGTAGGTGTATCATTTCTACTAGCAAAGAAAGAAGCCGTGAGACTTCCTGTCCTCCTCTCGTAGGTGTATCATTTCTACTAGCAAAGAAAGAAGCCGTGAGACTTCCTGTCCTCCTCTCGTAGGTGTATCATTTCTACTAGCAAAGAAAGAAGCCGTGAGACTTCCTGTCCTCCTCTCGTAGGTGTATCATTTCTACTAGCAAAGAAAGAAGCCGTGAGACTTCCTGTCCTCCTCTCGTAGGTGTATCATTTCTACTAGCAAAGAAAGCCGTGAGACTTCCTGTCCTCCTCTCGTAGGTGTATCATTTCTACTAGCAAAGAAAGAAGCCGTGAGACTTCCTGTCCTCCTCTCGTAGGTGTATCATTTCTACTAGCAAAGAAAGAAGCCGTGAGACTTCCTGTCCTCCTCTCGTAGGTGTATCATTTCTACTAGCAAAGAAAGAAGCCGTGAGACTTCCTGTCCTCCTCTCGTAGGTGTATCATTTCTACTAGCAAAGAAAGAAGCCGTGAGACTTCCTGTCCTCCTCTCGTAGGTGTATCATTTCTACTAGCAAAGAAAGAAGCCGTGAGACTTCCTGTCCTCCTCTCGTAGGTGTATCATTTCTACTAGCAAAGAAAGAAGCCGTGAGACTTCCTGTCCTCCTCTCGTAGGTGTATCATTTCTACTAGCAAAGAAAGAAGCCGTGAGACTTCCTGTCCTCCTCTCGTAGGTGTATCATTTCTACTAGCAAAGAAAGAAGCCGTGAGACTTCCTGTCCTCCTCTCGTAGGTGTATCATTTCTACTAGCAAAGAAAGAAGCCGTGAGACTTCCTGTCCTCCTCTCGTAGGTGTATCATTTCTACTAGCAAAGAAAGAAGCCGTGAGACTTCCTGTCCTCCTCTCGTAGGTGTATCATTTCTACTAGCAAAGAAAGAAGCCGTGAGACTTCCTGTCCTCCTCTCGTAGGTGTATCATTTCTACTAGCAAAGAAAGAAGCCGTGAGACTTCCTGTCCTCCTCTCGTAGGTGTATCATTTCTACTAGCAAAGAAAGAAGCCATGAGACTTCCTGTCCTCCTCTCGTAGGTGTATCATTTCTACTAGCAAAGAAATGCAGTCAGGTGTGCACACACTGAAAGGGCTTCTGAAGTGTTCACCCCAAGACGAACTCCAGGCCTGAATCCATCAAGAGCGACAGTGGGCATGCCCAGGTCCCTCAGGGCCCATTCACACCTGTGCCTGCTTCTGGTTTGGCACAGGACTCCCCAGTACCATCCAGCAACCCCCAGTCCTGCGTGGGACTCTCACGTGCTGCATGTGCACTGTTAAAGCAGACACCACGACACCCGCCTGCGGCCCACCTGGATCCACTGCTCACGGTTGATCTCCACACCGTTGGCCCGCAGCGAGGTGATGGCTCGGTCGATGATCTTCTCCACCATCTGCGTGTTCCCATTGGCTTCCTCCAGCTTAGCAGCCGTGATCCAGATATGTCGGTCTGTAGGAATGTTCTCCCGCGCCTTGTTCAAGACCTTGCGGGCATTTTCATAGGTCTCCAGCCTTGCCAGAGCAAGCCAGAGCTACGCGGAGAGGACACGAGAAAAAGGAGAGGACACTGTGCTGGGGGGACAGCTGCAGGCCAGACAGCGACCCACCCTCCAGCGTTGGCCACCACGTTCTTTCTTAGCTCTCGAGAACCATCTGAACATGGCCTGAGAAGTGTCCACAGCAGCACTTCTCACCTGACCAACTGTTCCTTTATGCTTCTGACTCATTTAGTGACTCTCGTGAGCATCAAAAGATTCTCAGTTGAATGTTCACAAACACAGCCTCCAGGCACACAGCACGCCAGACCTGATACCAGGGGCTGGCACAGACGAGCAGGATGAGGCTACTGCCCTCACAGGCTAAACACACAGAAGGGTGTTCAGCCTCCTGAAGTTCCCAGACCCTTGGTTCTGCAGCATTCCATCCCTAAGATGTGTACGGGCTTTATTCATTTTTATGTAAATAAAATAAGATTAATGTTGTTTGGAGAATTTCACAATACCCCTTAGGATAATTAAAGACATACTAGGTATCATAAAACCAAGACTAAAAATCACTGCACAGAATGCTGTGAACTGGAATGCTTAAAACCAAAGAAATCCCACTTAGCTTAGAGGCAAAGAGCAGTCATGCGGAGCTGACAGAAAGCAATGTTTTCTATCACGCTGCCACCTTCGGCTCCCATGACAAACTCTGGGCTGCTGAGAGGAAATGGCCCCTGAGCAACTGCCCAACAGAGAATTTTCTGCAGTGGTCAGGTATGAGCTAAGATTCTCCCTGCACGTCCATTAAGAGCACAGCTAGCTGAGGCCACTGACCACCCTGCCTAGCGGCTATGTACAGAACGGCATCCTGGGGTTCCACAGGGCCTTCTGCTCCCAGAAATTGCAGCCTGAGTGAGCTCAATGCTCCACTTGTATCATCACTTCCAGACACTGAACCTGGGCTCAGGCCTTGGCCACTTTGGGCTCTGGTGGCCCTGAGCCCGCCAGACTCACCTCCACGCTGGTGGGGCAGCACTCCACAGCTCGGCTCAGCATGATTCTAGCATCTTCAGGTTCTTCCAGCTCAACGGCTGCTTTCCACAAGCGAACCGAGTTTGGAACATGCTCGAGGGCTAGGAAAGGTCAAACGAGAAACCACGTCACAGAAAAGGAGATAAAAACAGGAGGCTCATGTGGTGAGCATGCTGCTGGTCAGGATGAGACGGACTTCCCTGGTTGACAGTCAGGGACCACACACCTGCCCTTTATGTGGCTTCCTTCAGGTCTGGGGCAGACACAAACAAGGACAAACGGAGCATCTTGTGGTAGCAGAAAGCAAGGAAGTGACTGAAGACTGCCAGGGTCATATCAACAGGACTCAGGAAACCAGTGACCACGGGAATGAACCTCAAAAACATGCTGAACAAAAGAAACCAGTCCCAAAACAGTTTATACTATATGACTCCCTTTATGTGACGTCTGAAAAGAGGCAAAACTAATCTTGGTAAAATAAGTCAGAAGCATGACTGCCAACGAATGGGGATAGTATGGATTGATTGAGAGGCACCAGGGGACTTTCTGCGGGGATGGAAATGTTTTTGTTTTTGTTTTGAGACAGAGTCTCATTCTATTGCCCAGGCTGGAGTACAATGGCACGATCTCAGCTGACTGCTACCTCCGCTTCCTGGGTTCAGAGATTCTCCTGTCTCAGCCTCTAAGGTAGCTGGGACTACAGGTGCGCACCACCACGCCTGGCTAATTTTTGTATTTTTAGTAGGGACGGGGTTTCACCATATTGGCCAGGCTGGTCTCAAACTCCTGATCTCAAGTGATCCGCCCGCTTCGGCTTCCCAAAGTGCTGGGATTATGGGCGTCAGCCACGGTGCCCACCCTGGAAATGCTCTATGCCTTGGTCGAGTGTGGGTTACAGGGGTGCATGCACTTGTGAAGACATCAAACTGCACACTTAAGATCTACGTAATTCACTTCAAATATTTACGAAAAAATGCCAGTGTCTGAAATACCTCTCTTTTTTTTTTTTTTTTTTTTTTTTGCGATGGAGTCTCGCTCTGTCGCCAGGCTGGAGTGCAGTGGCGTGATCTCGGCTCACTGCAACCTCTGCCACCCGGGTTCAAGCGATTCTCCTGCCTCAGCCTCCCAAGTAGCTGAGTACAGGCGTGCAGCCACCATACCCAGCTAATTTTTGAAATTTTAGCAGAGACAGGGTTTCACCATGTTGGCTAGGATGGTTTGATCTCTTGACCACATGATCCGCCCGCCTCGGCCTCCCGAAGTGCTGGGATTACAGGCATGAGCCACCACGCCCGACCTAAAATACCTCATTATTACATGTTTTCCCTTAAATAAAAATACCTAAAACTTAAAAAAAATTCAAGAGCAAACTAGAAGAGACTTCCACTGGACAATGATCAGAGAGTCTGAAGGTCAATAAGCATATTAAGAATATTACCTGCAATGTATTCAAACCCATGAAATACCACAGCATTCAATAGTTCATAACAAAGCTCCAAGAGACCATTAGTCACCTTTGGAGAATGCTAGAGAATCAACGCATCATCCCGAAAGTTGAAAGGAAGCAAATCAAATATCTATTCTGTCTTTCCCAAATAAACTCAGAATAACCAAATCATGGATATAGGAAAATTCTTCTCTTAAGAATAATTCTGGCAATAAAAGCAAAGAGTGACCTAATTATAATGTCACCGTTTTGCACACCCTAATGAAGGAACAGATGCGGGCACGGGTCACCAGCCACTGCCAAAGGCAGGAGCTGAAAGGCTGTGGAGAACTCCATGAAGGACACTGGGGCCACTGAGCAGTGACAGCCTCTGCAGCTCCTGACGCTGCTTGCATTGCCACGAATATTTCCTTGATAAAAAAAGAAAAAAAAAACACAAAGCTTACTCTTATGAGTCTCCAAATCTACCTTCCAATTTACAAGAGGATACAGGAAACAGAGGATACAGGAAACGAGACCCACATGAAACAATCTCACAGGCTGCAGTGAGCAAACCCTGATGTGAGGAATCTCAAGGAAAAACAACCCAATTCCATCAACAAACCGAGAGAAGACATCAACCAAACGGCAATGTTCAGACTTTGCTTAGATCCTGATTCAAACCAACCATGTGTGCATGTGGTTATGCATGCATGTGCCCGTGCAGGTACTGACATGACAGCTGGAAAAATATGAATGCAGTAGACATTTAATGATGTTAAGAAATTAGGCCGGGCCAGGTACAGCCCGTAGCTCACGCCTGTAATCCCAGCACTTTGGGAGGTCGAAGTGGGCAGATCACCTGAGGTCAGGAGTTCGAGACCAGCGTGGCCAACACAGTGAAACCTTGTCTCTACTAAAAATACAAAAATTAGCCAGGTATGGTGGCATGCACCTGTAATCCCAGCTACTGGGGAGGCTGAGGCAGGAGAATCGCTTGAACCCAGAAGGCGCAGGTGCAATAAGCTGAGACTGTGACACTGCACTCTAGCCTGGGTGACAGAGAGAGACTCCAACTCAAAAAAAAGAAAAAGAAATTAGGCCAGGCAGCTGATTGTGGTGGTTCACACCTATAATCCCAGCATTTTGGGAGGCTGAGGTGGGAGGATCGCTTGAGCCCAGGAATTCGAGACTAGCCTGGACAACATGGCGAAACCCTGTCTCTACAAAAAATACAAAAATTAGCTGGGCGTGGTGGCATGTACTTGTGGTTCCAGCTAGCTGGGAGGCAGAGGTGGGAGAATCGCTTGAGCCCAGGAGGTGGAGGTTGCAGTGAGCCAAAACTGCACCACTGAACTCCAGCTCCAGCCTAGGCAAAAGAGGGAGACTCAGTCTCAAAAAAAAAAAAAAGAGGAAAAGGGCAGGGCAGGGGAGGGGAGGCGGGGAGGGAAGCGGAGGCGGGGAGGGGAAGAGGGGACGGGAGGCAGAGGGGAGGGGAGGCGGGGAGGGGAGAGGGCAAGTGAGCTAGCTCTCCTGCAGGTACCTGCTCTCCTGCTGAGAAACAGCCCCAGGCTGGCTGTGAGGCCCTGGCAGGGAATGAACACTCAGCTAAGGGACATAAAATGACTGAGCAACCTGCTGCCCACTCCAGGTGTTACTGACAGACCAAGCCACAAGGTTGGGCAGATGCAGCAGTGGCCTCATAGGGTGGAAATGGCACCCAGGAGATGGTGTGGAAGGAAGGCAGGTGCAGCACAGCTGCCTAAGCTATGGGGCAGATGCCTCCTGCACTGGTGGCTGCTCAACCGCTTTCCTCCCTCAGCCCACACTGACAACCTCTGGGGAGTCCCTTAGGGTCAAGGGACTGAGAAGACAAAAGTCTGCTGTGGTTTACGCATGGTTCTGCACAGCACACTGGCACTGACACCCCTGGCCTTATTATCTGGATGTCCACTTGACCAACTGAAAGACGGCCAGAAGACGAAGCTATATGAATTCACCGATTCAGGCAGAACATGGTCTTACCATGTGCCCATCACTCAGAGCCATGGCCTGGCAGCCCAGTAGGATGCCACAAATGCTGTGAATAGACACCAATCCCGGCTGGATCTCACAGCCAGAACACACGGGTCTAGGAATAAACAGTGATGTCTGAATGGCTCAAGTCCCATCTCCGCTGCCACAAGTCCCGTCTCCACTGCCAAGAGTCCCGTCTCCGCCTCCTTGGACCCTCCTGTCAAGAGAGCTGGTCCAAAGGCCGGGTGTGGTGGCTCACATTTGTAATCCCAGCACTTTGGGAAGCTGAAGCGGGTGGATCATGAGGTCAGGAGTTCGAGACCAGCCTGGCCAACACAGTGAAACCAAACCCCATCTCTATTAAAAATACAAAAATTAGTCGGGTGTGGTGGCAGGTGCCTGTAATCCCATCTACTTGGGAGGCTGAGGCAAGAGAATTCCTTGAACCCAGGAGGCGGAGGTTGCAGTGAGCCGAGATTGCGCCACTGCACTCTAGCCTGGGCAACAGAGCAAGACTCAGTCTCAAAAAAAAAAAAAAAAAAGAGCAAGCTACGAGCTACTCCAAAGGGAGTATGTGCCAACCAGGGTGCAGACCACAGCTCCCTCTGGCCTCCTCATGTACCAGCCCTGGCTGGAGAGGCTAACCCTGACTCCCAAAGCGAGACTGAGTTGCTGCCACCCACTGTGGGAGACTATCTAGAGGCCAGTCCTAAAAACAGTTTAGTATTTCTGCTTTTACCAGTAAAAGTTAATGGGAACTACAGCCACCAAAAAAGCAAAACTACCAACAAGTCAGACCCTTTGGGGATAAAGATATGGGTCCTGGCTGAGCACAGTGGCCCCCATCTGCAGTCCCAGCATTTTGGGAGACTGAGGTGGGAGGATCACTTGAGCCCAGGAGTTTAAAACCAGCCTGGATGACACAGGGAGACCTCGTCTCTTTGAAAAATTAAAAACTCAGCCAGGCATGGTGGTATGTCCCTGGAGTCCCAGCTATTCAGGAAGCTGAGACTGGAGGATAGTTTGAGTCTGGGAGGTTGAGGCTTCAGTGACCCATGATCATGCCACTGCACTCCAGCCTAGGCAACAGAGCAAGATCCTGTCTCAAAATAAAAATTATTTAGGCATGGTAGTATGTACCTATGGTCCCAGCTACTCAAGAGCCAGAAGCAGGAGGATCACTACAGCCCAGGAGGTTGAGGCTGCAGTGAGCTGATTGCAACACTGCTCTCCAGCCTGGGCAATAGGACGAGGCTCTGTCTAAAACAAAAAAAAGATTTGGGTTACTCATCCAGGTCAAGAACCCTGACCAAGCAGGGTGACAGCAGAGGGCACAGCAGTAAAGAAGGAAAGTCCTAACCTCCAACCAGGCGACTAGGCATAGAGAGAAGACACAGAACGACCCAGTTGTTTTTCCTGTGCGCTCTCACCTCGACTGCGTGGGAGATGAGTGCTCTATTTGTCTAAATATGAACTACTTCCCTTAATACTTTGTACATTGGTGGAGATGAACTTCGCGTCTCTAAAGAACAGAATATTCATGCGGGACTCAATTTATGGAGTCATTAACTTACGACTCCCAGGACTCTGTGTCTTCAAGTTTTGGGAGAGAGCTGACATATCTCCATGGCATCTCATCAGCAGCCCACAGGCATGGCACTAAAACCAACAAGGTCACCTTCCCCAGGTGCTTTCGGAAGCCACATGGCACACCATGATACAATGGCCTTCAAGGAGTGTGACTTTATGAGCAGAAGTGGAGGAAGCACACACCCCTGAAGTTGGCCTAGAACAGAAGAGTATTCTGAATGCTAGACACAGCCATGAAGACGTGACCGTGCAGAGGCCAACATGCTCTCCGGGGGTCACGTGACTGCAGGGAAGACCCTCAACCTGAACTGTGCCATTCCTGTGCCCCCAGAGGGACACGCTGGCGACGGCCACTGAAGGATGCCACGCTTCACAGGCCAGAGCATATGGCGTTAGTGTAAAATAACTCCACTTCCACACATCTGCATTAACTAGCGGAGTACACAGCATGTGAGTGCATTATTGTAGGGGAGCTGCCAGTCGGGCCTCCCCAGGGGACTCTGCACGTGGGACACCCCACCCTGGCCAGGAAGCTCACATGCTGCACCCTCCCCAATCCTGAAAGCCCTCTTCCCTTTTACAGAGGAAGACATGGAAGCTCAGAGGCCAAGCACCATGCCTAAGGTTACTCAGCCTCCTCAGGTCTCAAGATCAGCACCCAAAACGCCCATTCTCCCAACAAAGGACTAAGGTGTCAGCTCAGCCCAACAGCGACCCAGAGCTCACAGAGACCATGCACTGCCAGGCTCCCTGGCTGGCAGGTGTCCTAAGTCACCAGTGGAAGTAGCTGTCATCTTAATTTCAAAAACCAGACCCTTCAAGCAACGTGTAAGTGTTTGCTAATAACCAAATGAAGCAGTGCTGGGCTTCACCCCAGGAAAAGAATACAGTTTTTGGAAACACTCTTGGGAAAGGGCAGGCCAGGACCAGTATTAGGGCAGCGGCAAAGGCCATCCTGGAGATCCTGGGTTCATTCCACCTTAGCCCAGCTTCTCTGCCTGAGAGAGCACAGCCAGGAGGCCACTCCCTGAGAGAACAGCCGTGGAAACACAGTCCCTCAACACTCCCCGAAGGCCCCCGCCTCCAACAGCATACTCCCATCTCCAAATCCAAACCAACTGGAAATGAACCCAGACAATCTGGTGGTGAGCAGGGAGTGGCCACAAAGACATTCATGATCATTCATCAAACTGTGGCAGGAAGAATTCAATAGAGCTTTTCTAAGTAAACAATACTAATTACCCAGACTTTCATGGGCTCTTCATCAAAGAACTATTTCTTCCTAGCTGAAAAAAGATAAACTGATTTCTACAAACCCAGACAGGTGCTAACTTTCTGTTCCTGGCCACCTCATTATAAGACGCTGTCTCTGGCCGGGCGCGGTGGCTCACGCCTGTAATCCCAGCACTTTGAGAGGCCGAGGCGGGTGGATCATGAGGTCAGGAGATCAAGACCATCCTGGCTAACATGGTGAAACCCCATCTCTAATAAAAATACAAAAAAAAATTAGCCAGGCCTGGTGGCGGGCGCCTGTAGTCCCAGCTACTTGGGGGGCTGAGGCAGGAGAATGGCGTGAACCTGGGAGGCGGAGCTTGCAGAGAGCCGAGGTCGTGCCACTGCACTCCAGGCTGGGCGACAGAGCGAGACTCTGTCTCAATAAAAAAAAATAAAAGAGGCTGTCTCTGAGCATTCACTGAGCAGCTGGGCTGCGGTCAAGAAACCAGCCTCGACAGAGGAAAGCACGTTCACATGTGAGTGCACAGGGTCGGGGGAACATGCATCACAGGCAAGCAGCCTTCACCTGTCTTCTAACAGACGTAGACAGTAAGTGAATGAAACTATATTTGATAAGGGGCTTTCTACCAAAGAGCCCTCATCTGCACGGTCCTATCAGCACAGAAGCCTCAATGGGATATTTCGCTTAAAGACATTTGGAAAAACAAGAGCTGGAAAGCTCTCACTGAAAACTGCCCTTGATTCCATAAAATACACTTTATTTTTCCTAGGCTATAAATTCAGGAAGAATAGGCTGGATGCGACGGCTGATGCCTGTAATCCCAGCTCTCTGGGAGATCAAGGCAGGAGGATCACTTGAGGATGGGAGTTTGAGACAAGCTTGGACAACACAGCAAGATCCCATCTCTACCAAAAATTAAAAATAGCTGGGCATGGGGGTGGGACCTATACTCCCAGCTACTTGGGAGGCTAAGCTGGGAGGATCGCCTGAGCCTGGGAGGTGGTGGCTGCAGTGAGCCAAGATCGTGCCACTGCACTCCAGCCTGGGTGACAGAGCAAGACGCTGTCTCAAAAAAAAAAAAAAAATCTGGCCGGGCACAGTGGCTCACGCCTGTAATCCCAGCACTTTGGGAGGTCGAGGTGGGTGGATCACTTGAGGTGAGAAGTTCAAGACCAGCCTGGTCAACACAGTGAAACCCCGTCTCTACTAAAAATACAAAAATTAAGCAGGCGTGGTGGCAGGTGCCTGTAGTCCCAGCTCCTCAGAAGGCTGAGGCAAGAGGATTGCTTAAACCCAGGAGGCGGAGGTTGCAGTGAGCCAAGATGGTGCCATTGCACTCCAGCCTGGGGGACAAAGTGAGACTCCATCTCAAAAAAAAAAAAAAAAGAAAAGAAAAGGCCAGGCACAGGGGCTCACGCCTGTAATCCCTGCACTTTGGGAGGCCAAGGCAGGAGGATCACTTGTGGTCAGGAGTTTGAGACCAGCCCGGCCAACATGGGGAAACCCCATCTCTACTAAAAATACAAAAATTGGCCAGGCATGGAGGCGCACACCTGTAATCCCGGCTACTCGGGAGGCTGAGGCAGGAGAATCACTTGAACCCGGGAGGCAGAGGCTGCAGTGAGCCAAGATCGTGCCCCTGTACTCCAGCCTGGGCGACAAAGCGAGACTCTGTCTAAAAAAAAAAAAATGGATAGAAGCCACCTGCATAGGCCAGGTGCAGTGGCTCACGCCTGGAATCCCAGCACTTTGGGAGGCCGAGGCAGGCAGATCACAAGGCCAAGAGATCGAGACCATCCTGGATAACACAGTGAAACCCCATCTCTACTAAAAATACAAAAAGAAATTAGCCAGGCGTGGTGGCAGGCGCCTGTAGTCCCAGCTACTCAGGAGGCTGAGGCAGGAGAATGGTGTGAACCCGGGAGGCGGAGCTTGCAGTGAGCCGAGATCACGCCACTGCACTCCAGCCTGGGCGACAGGGCGAGACTCCATCTCAAAAAAAAAAAAAAAAAAAAAACCAGAAAAAAAAAACAAAAAATGAAAAAAAAGAAGCCACCTGCACAGATTAGCTTCAGAACAGCCCCCTGACTAGCACTCGTTCTGGACCCAGTTCAAGAGCAGCATCTACTACACACTTCCAGTGACAGGAGAAACAGTGCTCCTTTTATGAATCCACAGTAATAAAAATAAACAAACTACCCACAAAAGCTCTACCCTGGCAGGAATCCCTGGATGGAATCAGGTTGCCTGGTAGGCACACCGTCTGTCGTTATCTGACCTGAGCTGACGGCACACGCTGCATCGCGGGAGCAGAAGGCACAGCCTCGTCAGCAGCAGGAAAGAGTTCAATCAACGTGTGGCTCTGGTGCCTTCTCAGGAGAGAAAATGAGTAACACCCACAACGGGTCTGCACGTGCCAGGTGCCGGCTCAGCTCTTCACACAGACCATCTCCAGAGCCCCAGGACACAGGCTTTGAGCTACCGTTGTTCTCACCCTGCAGATGAGGGAAGCCTGGACCAGAGTGACCGCCCAAGCATCCAAGATCACACACTGGAAAAAGGCAGGAGTGAGGGCTCAACCCAAGCATCCCTTCCAGGATGGGAACTTGCCCACCACAGTATCCCTCCCCCATGGGGGTCCAAGGGCAGAGGCAACCCAGCCTGAGAAAAGGCCTGAAAAATGTCCCTGGTTCCTTATCCACTCTCACCAAAAGCCTGAGCCAGGAGCAGGAAAGCTGCTGAGAGGAGGGGCCCCAAGGAGGGAGAAAGCAGCACCTCCGAGGGAGGCTCACCTTTCCGAAGAACCCGCTTCTTTGCACGAATGTCCGTTTCCAGCTCTGCGGCTCTGATGTAAATCCTGACAGACTGTGGGAGATGACGGACAGCTTGGGCTACCACGGCCTTGGCTGTGTCCCCAGGCTGCAACCTGGCTGCTTCCAGCCAGACATCTTCACTCTGTGAGGCAAGAGATAAGACCAATAAGGCTCAGTGCAGGCTGGAAGCCGCAACAGGGCAGCAGGCACAGATCTCCAGAGCAGATCCTCGGGCCCCAGAATTTACGAAAGCCAATTAGCTCAGCCTCTAACACACCTGCACCAGGAGTCGCCCCCTTATAACCACACTTGGGAACATGGCTACCATATGTCTGACTGAAGAACACCTAATGGCCGGGCGCGGTGGCTCACGCCTGTAATCCCAGCCCTTTGGGAGGCCGAGGCAGGTGGATCATGAGGTCAGGAGTTTGAGACCAGCCTGGCCAACATGGCAAAACCCTGTCTCTACTAAAACTACAAAAATTAGCCGGGTGTGGTGGCAGGTGCCTATAATCCCAGGTACTCAGGAGGCTGAGGCAGGAGAATTGCTTGAACCCGGGAGGCAGAGGTTGCAGTGAGCTGAGATCACGCCACTGTACTTCAGCCTGGGCAACAGAGCGAGACTCAAAAAAAAAGAAAAAAAAAAAATGAAACACCACTTTGTGAAAAGAGCATGATTTCCTTCAGGACAACTCCATGGACAAAGCAGAGACTGCACATCTGCTCGGGTCGTTCTTTTTTGTTGTTTTTTTTTTTTTTTTTGAGACGGAATCTCGCTCTGTCGCCCAGGCTGGAGCAGCATGGTGCAATCTCAGCTCACTGCAACCTCCACCTACCGAATAGCTGGGATTATGGGCACCTGTCACGACGCCTGGCTAACTTTCATATTTTTAGTAGAGACGGGGTTTCGCCATGTTGGCCAGGCTGGTTTCTAACTCCTGACCTCAAGTGATCCACCCGCCTCAGCCTCCCAAAGTGCTGGGATTACAGGCGTGAGCCACCGTGACTGGCCACCATTAGGCGGGTGAAGAGCTGACCAACTGAGCTCTTTATAATGAAGCTTAGCCTGCCGTCAAACCAGTGGTGGATTCAGGCGTGGTGGATTCAGGCATGGTGGCGGGCGCCTATAGTGCCAGCTACTCTGGAGGCTGAGACAGGACAATGGTGTGAACCTGGCAGGTGGAGCTTGCGGTGAGCCGAGATCGTGCCACTGCACTCCAGCCTGGGTGACAGAGCGAGACTCCGTCTCCAAAAAAAAAAAAAGTGGTGGATTAGCCTTCACTCCACATGAAAACAAGCAGGAAAAAGCCCTTGGCTGCTTTTCACATCCTCCCCCAGCCTGCCCTATTGTCTGTAGTTTCAATACCAAAAGACAAAGAGATTTGCTCTAACAAGTTTACTCCCGTAGGGGCCACAATCACGCAGCCTCCCAGGAAACGCCTCCCAGGAAATACCTCACCTTGGGGCACATCTCCGTCCCCTTCATGATAAGGTTCCGAGCTACTTGTAGCTTCCCAGTGACTTCTTCCAGGCGGGCTGATGCAATCCAGGCTGGCGGGTGATGAGGGTTCGTCTCCCGAACAGACTTGAGGAGCAGTCGCGCCTTCTTGATATCACTATGAGAGGGAGAGTGCACACGGCATCAGGCCATGCTGTCAGGGGTGCACCCGAGACCTGGGATGAGGGCACCCACTTCACAGTCACAATGTAAGAACTATCAGTCCTGATGTCCTGAGTTACAAAAACCAACTCAAAACCTCAGTGCGCACTATTCCAAGCCTCTGTAGCCTCCCCGCAGACAAACGCTGAGAACCGAAGGTCCAGATGGGACATGTGGGACACAGCCAGCTGCTTTCCTGCCCAGCACAGGCAGGGACTTTGCAGTATCATATGTAACACATTGAGTGTACGCAATGAATGGATACAGATACATTTCAAATGGAAAAAACAAACTACTCCACTTTACATTTCTTAGAACCGCCATGTCCCATTTTGACAGCATACTGTCCATATAAAATCCAAAATACCCTAGGCAACTAGAGTCTCCATCCCAGCCCAGCGATTCTGCAAAGCACTCACTTGATGTCTCCTCCGTGTGTCGGGATCATGGAATTTAAATCCGTCAGGTAGCCTTTGGGGTCAACGACGGTCTGTCCACTCACGGAGTCAGACACCTGTGAGACAGGCCAAGCTAAGAGTCAGCTGGACATGACCAGGTGCAAAACAAAGTTCTCAGAGGGTCCCTGGTGCCCCTCCCACAACCCTGAGAGAGCAGTCAGAAGGAGAAGGAAAACAGCCTTCATTTCACTCAGACAACACCTTGTGATAATAACAAATTTCTTCTGTATGGAAAAAGATCTATTTTTTTTTTTTTTTTGAGATGGAGTCTCGCTCTGTCGCCCAGGCTGGAGTGCAGTTGTGCAATCTCGGCTCACTGCAAGCTCCACCTCCCAGGTTCACGCCATCCTCCTGCCTCAGCCTCCCGAGTGGCTGGGACTACAGGCGCCCGCCACCACACCTGGCTAATTTTTTTGTATTTTTAGTAGAGACGGGGTTTCACCGTGTTAGCCAGGATGGTCTCGATCTCCTGACCTCGTGATCCGCCCGCCTCGGCCTCCCAAAGTGCTGGGATTACAGGCGTGAGCCACCGCGTCTGTCCAAGATCTATATTTTTATTTATTTTTTTGAGACAGGGTCTCACTCTGTCACCCAAGCAGGAGTGCAGTGGCAATCATAGCTCAGTGCAGCCTCCAGCTCCTGGGCTCAAGGAATCCTCCTGCCTCAGCCTCCCAAGATTCTGTCTCTACAAAAAAAAGTGTAATTTTTGACCAGGCGTGGTGGCTCACGCCTGTAAACCCAGCACTTTGGGAGGCCAAGGTGGGTGGATCACAAGATCAGGAGTTCGAGACCAGCCTGGCCAGGATGGTGAAACCCCGTGTCTACTAAAAATACAAAAATTAGCCAGGCGTGGTGGCACATGCCTGTAGTCCCAGCTACTCAGGAGGCTGAGGCAGGAGAATCACATGAACCTGGGAAGCAGAGGCTGCAGTGAGCCGAGATCACGCCACTGCCCTCCAGCCTGGGTGACAGAGCAAGACCCCGTCTCAAAAAAAAATAAATAAAATTTTTATTAAAAAAGAAAGAATAGAAAGCAGGGTCTCTGACAAATATCTGTACACCCGTATTCACAGCAGCATTATTCACAATAGTCAAAAGGTGAAAGTGGTCCAAGTGTCCGTCAGCGAATAAACAGGTCAGCGAATGCGGTCTACATAGATGAGCGAATGCGGTCCACACACACCAAAGAGTCAAGTCTCATCCTGCCTTAAACTGAGAACATGCTGGCCGGGGCGCCGGGGCTCATGCCTGTAATCCCAGCACTTTGGGAGGCCGAGCCACGTGGATCACTGGAGGTCAGGAGTTCGAGACCAGCCTGGCCAACATGGTGAAATCCCATCTCTAACTAAAAATACAAAAAAATCACACTTCTAATCCCAGCATCCTGGGAGGCTGAGGCGAGTGGATCACGAGGTCAGGAGATCAAGACCATCCTGGCCAACATGATGAAACCCCGTCTCTACTAAAAATACAAAAATTAGCCAGACATGGTGGCACACGCCTATAGTTCCAGCTACTCGGGAGGCTGAGGCAGGAGAATCACCTGAACCCAGGAGGTGGAGGTTGCAGTGAGCCGAGATCACACCACTGCACTCCAGCTCGGGTGACGGTGCCAGGCTCCGTCTCAAAAAAAAAAAAAAAAATTAGCTGGGCTTGGTGGTGCACACCTGTAGTCCCAGCTACTTGGGAGGCTCAGGTGGGAGAATCATTTGAACCCGAGAGGCGGAGGCTGCAGTGAGCCAAGACCATGCCATTGAACTCCAGCCTGGGTGACAGAGAGAGACTCTGTCTCAAAAAAAAAAAAAAAAAAAAGAACATGCTGACGCATGCTGCACCATGAGCTAATTGAAATAAGCCTGTCACAGTAAGGTAAATACTGTATGATTCCAGTCATATAAGATCCAGAGAGTAGTGACATTTATAGAAACAGAGAGAACGGTGGATGCCAGGGGCTGGGGAGAAAGCGCACGGGGACTCAATGTTTAACAGGTACGGAGTTTCAATTTGGGAAGATGAAAACAGTTCTGGAGATGAATGGTGATGAGGTTGTATAACAACATGAACATAATTATGTCAGTGAAGGTATGTACAGTCAAGAATGATTAAAATGGTAAATTCTGTGTTACATATATTTTACCACAAAAAAATTACTGTGACAGTTTTATTTATTTATTGAGACAGTCTCACTCCGTAACCCAGGCTGGTGTGCAGAGGCGCGATCATAGCTCATGGCAGCCTCAAACTCCCTAGCTCAAGCAATCCTTCCACCTCAGCCTCTCGAACAGCTGGGACTACAGGCACCACCAGGCCCAGCTATTTCTTTTAGTTTTTGTAGAGACAGAGTCTCACCATCACCATGTTGCCCAGGCTGGTCTTGAACTCCTGACCTCAAGCAATCCTCCTACCTTGGTCTCTCAAAGTGCTAGGATTACAGGCATGAGTGCCTGGCCCAAAAAGTTTTACAATTTCTATGTAAACAAATTTCAGGCTGGGCATGGTAGTTCACACCTGTAATCCCAGCACTTTGTGAGGCCAGCGCGGACAGATCACTTGTGCCCAGGAGCTCCAGCCCAGGTTGGGCAACCTAGTGACACCCCATCTCAACAAAAAATACAAAAATTAGTTGGGTATGGTGGCACATGCCTGTAATCTCAGCTACTTGGCAGGCTGAGGTGGAAGGATCGCCTTAGCCCAGGGAGGTCAAGGCTGTATGTAGCCAGCCATGATTGTGCCACTTTTTGTTTTTGTTTTTGTTTTTTATTTTGAGACAGTCTCACTCTGTTGCCCAGGCCGGAGTGCACTGGTGCAATCTCGGCTCACTGCAACCTCCAACGCCCGGGTTCAAGCAATTCTCCTGCCTTAGCCTCCCAAGTAGCTGGGATTACAGGCGCCCGCCACCACACCTGGCCAATTTCTGTATTTTTAGTAGAGACGGGGTTTCACCATGTTGGCCAGGCCAAAAGTAGTATGTTCCTTCGTGGTATCTGATATGCATATCAGAAAGAGTTCTGTACTTCACTGGTGTCTAGAGCACCTAGTCTCCAGATCAAAGTACACGTTCCATGCAGGGCCACAAGACAATTTACTGAGAGGCAGGAAAAAAACACACTTTTTAAAAAATTATTATTTTATATTTTAAAAAAAGGCCAAGTGCAGTGGCTCACACCTGTAATCCCCGCATTTTGGGAGGCCAAGGCAGACAGATCACCTGAGGTCAGGAGTTCAAGACCAGCCTGGCCAACATGGTAAAACCCCGTCTCTACAAAAAATACAAAAATTAGCCGGGTGTGGTGGTGGGCACCTGTAATCCCAGCTACTCAGGAGGCTGAGGTAGGAGAATCACTTGAACCCAGGAGGTGGAGGTTGCAGTGAGCCAAGATCACACCATTGCACTCCAGCCTCTGAGTGACACAGCAAGACTCTGGGTCAAAATTTTAAAAATCTGCGGAATTATTCAGGCAAAAATCAAGCCAAAAAAAAAAAAAGGAGAAGGAGAAGAAGGAGGAGGAGGAGAAGGAGGAGAAGAAAAAGGAGAAGAAGAAGAAGGAGAAAAAGAAAACAAAACAAAATTAAACTGTCTAAACCTGTCCACAGGAAAATGCTGTGTGACAAACTCACCTGGCTCAGCCTCATGTCCATCAGAGTGTTCCTCGCTTGGCCAATCTTCCTCATGTCCAGCTCACCTGTGCCAGGTGTCATCAGTCCTGGCGTCATTCCACCTGGGTATGGAGTGTTTAGTCCACCTGGATAGGGTGTGTTAAGACCTCCAAATTGCTGGAGGGGAAGAGAGGAAAGGCAAGAATAAAACAACGGTTTGCACTGCATGCCCAAGAAATTTACTCTCTGAAATACTTCCCCAGTGGCCTGACATATGCACAGCTGTGCAGACAGACTCGGCCACAGCATAGCCATGACCTGCAGAAGCATTGAATCCAACACCACCCACCATTCCTGCCACTGATCTAACAGGACTAAATGGGCCACATGTGCCCTTTTTTGGAAGCTCACAGTTTGTCGGGGATCCACTGAGGTATGGTTCTCTCCGGTCTGTAAATGTTTGGCAAAGAAACTGTCAGGAACAGGGGTCAGCTTCTCATAGCGTGGGTTCCGCTGACGTTTATTTCTGGCATCGCCAACCTCGGGGATGCTCAGCCACTCTTCTTCTGTGACTTCTGCCAACTTCCTCTGGAAATATCCAGCCCCCAAAAACATTAATTCTCTGACAGAATTTCATGTGCCCAGGTAGGACCATGCCCTCTCTCACCCCTAGCCTCCAGATCACCAAGCTTTAGAAGGGATTTGGATGCAGCAACTGTTTTTTACTTTTGTTTTGAGATGGGTCTCATTCTGTTGCCCAGGCTGGATTCAGTGGCACAATCACAGCTCACTGCAGCCTCAACCTCCCAGGCTCAAGTGATCCTCCCACTTCAGCTTCTCAAGTTGCTGGGACCACAAGCGTGGGCCACCATGCCTGGCTAAGTTTTTATTTTTTGTAAAGACAGGTTCTCCCCAAGGCTGGTCTCAAACTCCTGGGCTCAAGTGATCCTCCCACCTCAGCCTCCCAAAGTGCTGAGATTACAGATGTGAGCCACTGTACCCAGCCCCAAAAATAGTTTTCTACTTCACTTAGAAAAATCAATTTAGGCCGGGCACGGTGGCTCATGCCTGTTAATCCCAGCACTTTGGGAGGCCAAAGCGGGCAGATCACCTGAGGTCGGGAGTTCGAGACCAGCCTGACCAACATGGAGAAACCCCATCTCTACTAAAAATACAAAATTAGCCGGGCATGGTGGCACATGCCTGTAATCCCAGCTACTAGGGAGGCTGAGGCAGGAGAATCGTTTGAACCTGGGAGGCGGAGGTTGCGGTGAGCTGAGATCGCGTCATTGCACTCCAGCCTGGGCAACAAGAGCCAAACTCCGTCTCAAAAAAAAAAAAAAAAGAAAAAGAAAAGAAAAATCAATTTATTGGATCTGTTCAACTTCACTAAAATGTAAATTATTCTCTCAAAGCCCAGGGGACACAGTTTAGAAAATCTTACGTATAAATGGGGCCAGACGTGGTGGCTCACGCCTGTAATCCCAGCCCTTTGGGAGGCTGAGGTGGGCAGATCACTAGAGTTCAGGAGTTTGAGACCAGCCTGGTACACATGGCGAAATCCTGTCTTTACTAAAAATACAAAAATTAGCTGGGTATGGTGGCAGGCACCTGTAATCCCAGCTACTTAGGAGGCTGAGGCACAAGAATTGCTTGAACCTAGGAGGTGAAGGTTGCAGTGAGCTGAGACCACGCCACTGCACTCCAGCCAGGGCAACAGAGCCAGACTGCCTCCAAAAAAAAAAAGAAAAAAGAAAAAAGAAAATCTTAGGTATAAATGGAGTCAAAATTACAAAGAAAATAAGTTCATTTGTCCTACCTTTTACAGTAGGGGAAGGGTTTTTTTTTACACACATATAATTAAACATACTGAAGCAAACACTTTCTTCTTCTAAGCAATGACCCCCTAAATTAAAAACGTAAAGTCTCATAAATTCCACGTAAGAGCAGTCTGAGTCTCTGCGGGTTAGGGTGAGAGCGTTAGAAACCGCACACCATTCACCGCTTCATCGGCTCACCTTGAGGTCTGAGAACTGCTGTTGGATTTTGGGGCGTTCCATACGATATTTCTCTATTTCTTCTTTCTCCCTTTGCTCCCTAGGAAATAAAACATGCACACATCAGAAACACTGCATGTCTGTTCTGAAGCAAATTTATTATCCATCTCAATTAAATCACCAAAAAGAACAATTCCATACTCTTAGTAGCTAAATCAAATATATATATATATATATACATATACACACACACACACACACACACACACACACACACACATTTTTTTTTTTGAGATGGAGTCTTGCTCTGTCACCCAGGCTAAAGTGCAGTGGCGCAATCTCAGCTCACTGCAACCTCCACCTCCTGGGTTTAAGTGATTTTCCTGCCTCAGCCTCCCAAGTAGCTGGGATTACAGGTGCTCGCCACCACTCCCAGCTAATTTTTGTGTTTTTAGTAGAGACGGGGTTTCACCATCCTGGCCAGGCTGTTCTCGAACTCCTGACCTTGTGATCTACCCACCTTGGCCTCCCAAAGTGCTGGGATTACAGGTGTGAGCCACCGCACCCAGCCCAAATCAAATATATTTTAAGGTAACTATGAATACATTCTTAGCTGGGCATGGTAGCACACACCTGTAATCACAGCTACTTGGGAGGCTGAGGCAGAATCATTTGAACCCAGGAGGCAGAGGGTGCAGTGAGCCAAGATCGCACCACTGCACTCCAGCCTGGGCAACACAGAGAGACTCTGCCTCTAAATAAATAAATATAAATACATTCGTAAGTCTACTAATTCAATTATCCACCAAATAAAAACATGTAGAAATTCATTAAAATAAAAAAAAAAGATCTTACTTTGATCTAAATACCTCCATTTGGACATGTGTATATTTACTGCTTGAAAATTCACAAAATCCCAAAGGTAGGACCATCCCATAAACACCTAAGAAGGCCAGGCGTGGTGGCTTACACCTGTAATCCCAACGCTTTGGGAGGCCGAGGTGGGCAGATCACCTGAGGTCAGGAGTTCAAGCCTGGCCAATGTGGTAAAACCCCATCTATACTAAAAATATGAAAATTAGCCAGGCGTGGTGGCGCATGCCTGTTATCCCAGCTACTCAGGAGGCTGAGGTAGGAGAATTGCTTGAACCTGGGAGGTGGAAGTTGCAGGGAGCCAAGATCATGCCATTGCACTCCAGCCTGGGTGACAAGAGTGAAACTTCGTCTCAAAAAAATAAAAATAAAAATAAAAATTAGCTGGGCATGGTGGTGGGCACCTGTAATCCCCAGCTACCTGGGAGACTGAGGCAGGAGAATCATCTGAATCCAGGAAGTGGAGGTTGCAGTGAGCCAATCTAGCCTGGGCGACAGAGCGAGACCTTGTCGCAAAACAAAACAAAACAAAACAAAACAAAAAAACACCTACAAGGAAAAACAGTAACTATCCTAGTTACCACCAAACACTCCAAACACTCTACTGAACTCATCCCACCTTTCCTTCCTTGCTTCCTTCTCTTCCAAGTAAATAGTTCACCTCTAACCAACTCAGCTCAGCTGCACAGCTCTATGTGCCAGAACATAACCCATGTAATTGCACTTCGGTGTTGAGACTACATGTGAGGATATGGTATTCACAGTACTGTTCTTCCTACTTGTTTGTATTACGACAGTTTTCAGAATAAAAAGTTTTAATAAGTACACTACTTTTTTTTTTTTCTTTGAGACAGTCTCACTCTGTCACCAGGCTGGAATGCAGTGGTGCGATCTCAGCTCACTGCAACCTCCGCCTCCTGGGTTTAAGTGATTCTCGTGCCTCAGCCTCCTGAGTAGCTGGGATTACAGGCATGCACCACCACACCCAGCTAATTTTTGTATTGTTAGTAGAGACGGGGTTTCACCATGTTGGCCAGGATGGTCTCGATCTCCTGACCTCATGATCTGCCCGCCTCGGCCTCCCAAAGTGCTGGGATTATAGGTGTGAGCCACCGTGCTCGGCCAAGTACACTACTTTTTAAAAACATTTAATTTAATGGCTTTCTTCATGGGTCCGTGTCACCTGCTGTTTTTTGTTTTGTTTTTGTTTTAGAGACACGGCCTTGGTCTGTTGCCCAGGCTGGAGCACAGTGGCATAAGCATAGCTCACTGTAGCCTCTAATTCCTAGGCTCAAGCGATGCTCCTGCCTCAGCCTTGGGAATGTAGCTGGAACTACGGGCATGTGCAACTGGCTAATTTTAATTTTGTTTTTGTAGAGACAGGGTTTCACCATGTTGCCCAGGCTGGTCTCGAACTCCTAGACTCAAGTGGTCCTCCTGCCTTGGCCTCCCAAGGTACTAGGATTACACATGTAAGCCACTGCACCCAGCCTGATGTTTTTTAAAATGCATTAACCCTGGAGGTTCCAATCAATTTTTAAAATGTAGGGCTGAGTGTAGTAACTCATGCCTGTAATCCTAGCACTTTGGGAGGCCAAGGTTAGGGGAGGCAGGTGGATCACTTGAGGCCAGGAGTTCAAGACCAGCCTGGGCAACATAGACAAAAATTAGCTGGGTGTGAGCCTGGCGTGGTGGCTCAAGCCTGTAATCCCAGCACCTTGGGAGGCCAAGGCAGGCAGATCACAAGGGCAGGAGTTCAAGACCAGCCTGGCTAACATTGGTGAAACCCCGTCTCTACTAAAAATACCCATCTCTACAAAAATCAGCCGGGCGTGGCGGTGCATGCCTGTAATCCCAGCCACTTGGGAGGCTGAGGCAGGAGAATCACTTGAACCCTGGAGGCGGAGGTTGCAGTAAGCCGAGGTTGCGCCATTGCACTCCAGCCTGGGCAATAGAGTGAGACTCCATCTCAAAAAAAAAAAAAGAAAAAAGAAAAATTAGCTGGGTGTGGTAGCACGTGCTTGTAATCCCAGCTACCTGGGAGGCTGAAGCAGGAGAATCGCTTGAGCCAGGAATTGAAGGTTACAGGGAGCTATAATCAAGCCACCGCGCTCCACCCTGGGTGACAGAGTAAGATCCTGTATCCAAAAAAAAAAAAAAGTGAAATGCAATGCCATTCACGTTTAATTACTATAGGTATAAAATTTATGCACAATGATTTAATAACGAGCTTCTAAAAAGATGTCCAGGCCAGGCACATTGACTTATGTCTGTAATCCCAGCACTCTGGGAGGCCAAAGGATATGGTTTACATCTGTGTCCCCATGAAATCTCATGCTGAATTATAATTCCCAATGTTTGAGGTGGGGCCTGGTGGGAGGCCACTTGAGTCTTGAGGGCAGACCCCTGATGGCCTGGTGCTGTCCTCGAGGCAGCAAGTTTACATCACGTAAGATCTGGTTGTTTAAAGTGTGTGGCAAGACTGGGCACGGTGGCTCATACCTGTAATTCCAACACTTTGGGAGGCTGAGGCGGGTGGATCACTTGGGGTCAGGAGTTCAAGACCGGCCTGGCCAACATGGTAAAACCCTGTCTCTACTAAAAACACAAAAATTAGCCAGGTGTGGTGGCGCGTGCCTATAATCCCGGCTACTTGGGAGGCTGAGGCAGAAGAATCACTTGAGCCTGGGAGACTCAAAAAAATAAAAAATAAATAAAATTCCAGAAGAACTATATTTTACTATTCTAAAATTATCTTCAAAAAATAAAACATTCTACATACATCACAGGAAGTTATGATTACATGTATAAAAAGCAACAGAGCTGGGCGCAGTGGCTCACGTCTGTAATCCCAGCACTTTGGGAGGCCGAGGTGGATGGAGCACAAGGCCAGGAGTTTGAGACCATCCTGGCCAACATGGTGAAACCCCGTCTCTACTAAAATACAAAAACTAGCCAGGCGTGGTGGCAGGCACCTGTAATCCCAGCTACTTGGGAGGCTGAGGCAGGAGAATTGCTTGAACCCGGGAGGCAGAGGTTGCAGTGAGCCAAGATAAAAAAAAGCAACAGAAAGAGGAAATGAGCCAAAATGTTAACTGTTACTTTCTAGACTTATGAATAAATGTTATGCTTTTACCCATACTTACTCTTATTTTCCTAATATTCTATAATGAGAACTTTTTATTTTTTTCCTTTTTGAGACAGTCTCTGTGGCCCAGGCTGGAGTGCAGTAGCGCACTCTTGGCTCACGGGAGCGAGCCACCACACCTGGCTTCCGTTCGTTGCCTGTGCTTGTGGGGTATTACTCAAGAAATCTTTGCCTAGTCCAATGTCCTGTAGAGTTTCTCCAATGTTTTCTTCTAGTAGTTTCAGCTTGAGGTCTTAAAGTCTTTTAATTTGATTTTTGTATGTGGTGACAGAGAGGGGTCTAGTTTCATTCTTCTGTATATAGATATCCAGTTTTCCCAGCACCGTTTATTGAAGAGATTGTCTTTTCCCCAATAAATATTCCTGGTACATTTGTCAAGAATGAGTTCACTGTAGAGGTACCTATTTGTTTCTGGGTCCATTCTGTTCCATTGGTCTATGTGTCTGTTTTTCTGCCAGTACTATGCTGTTTTTGTTACTACAGCTCTGTAGTATAATTTGAAGTCAAGTGTTCCCCCAGTTTTGTTCCTTTTGCTCAGGATAGCTTTGCCTATTCTGGGTCTTTTTTGGCTCCATGTACATTTTAGAATTATTTTTTCTTTTTCTTTTTTTTTTTTTGAGACGGAGTCTCACTCTGTTGCCCAGGCCGGAGTGCAATGGCACGATCTCAGCTGACTGCAACCTCTGCCTTCCAGGTTCAAGTGATTCTCCTGCCTCAGCCTCCCAAGTAGCTGGGATTACAGGCACCTGTCACCATGCCCAACTAATTTTTGTATTTTTAGTAGAGATGGGGTTTAGCCAGGCTGGTCTCGAACTGCTGACCTCAAGTGATCCACCTGCCTCAGCCTCCCAAAGTGTTGGGATTACAGGCATGAGCCACTGCACCTGGCTATTTTTTCACTATCTGTTAATAATGTCCCCAGTATTTTGATACGGATTGCATTGAATCTGTAAATTACTTTGGGTAGTATGGATATTTTCTTTTATTTTAAGATGGAGTCTCACTCTGTTACCCAGGCTGGAGTGCAGTGGTGCAATCTCAGCTCACTGCAACCTCGACCTCCTGGGTTCAAGCGATTCTCCTGCCTCAGCCTCCCAACTAGCTGGGACTACAGGCGTGCACCCCCACACCCGGCTAATTTTTGTTTTTTGGTTTTTTTTTTTTTTGAGACAGAGTCTTGCCCCGTCACTCAGGCTGGAGTGCAGTGGTGCAATCTCAGCTCACTACAACATTTGCCTCCTAGGTTCAAGCAATTCTCTTGCCTCAGCCTCCTGAGTAGCTGGGATTACAGACGTGTGCCACTACACCCAGCTAATTTTTGTATTTTTAGTAGAGACAGGGTTTCACTATGTTGGTCAGCCTGGTCTCAAACTCCTGACCTCAAGTGATCCACCCACCTCACTCTCCCAAGGTGCTGGGATTACAGGCGTGAGTCCCAGCGCCTGGCAACTTTTGTAATTTTTTTAGTAGAGACAGGGTTTCACCACGTTGGTCAGGCTGGTCTCGAACTCCTGACCTCCAGTCATCCACCTGCCTCGGCCTCCCAAAGTGCTGGGATTACAGGCGTGAGCCACCGTGCCCGGCCATTTTTGTATTCTTAATAGTGACAGGGTTTCTCTTTGTTGGCCAGGCTGGTCTCAAACTCCTGACCTCAGGTGATCCACCCACCCTCAGCCTCCCAAAGTGCTGGGATTACAGGTGTGAGCCACCACACCTGGGGGCATAGCCTGCAACTTTAATCAATTTGTCAGTTCCAATAGTGTTTTGGTAGAGTCTTTAGGGTTTTCTAAATATAAGATCATATCATCTGCAAACAAGGATAATTTAACTTCTTCTTTTCCAATCTGGATGCCCTTTTATTTATTTCTCTGGTCCGACTGCTCTAGCTAGGACTTCCAGTACAATGTTGAATCACAGTGGTGAAAGTGGGCATCCTTGTTGCGTTCCAGTTTTTCCCCATTCAGTATGATACGAGCTGTGGGCCTACCATATGTGGCTTTTTTTTTTCTTTGCGACACAGTCTCATTGTGTTGCCCAGGCTGGAGTGCAGTGGCACAATCTCAGCTCACTGTAACCTCCACCTCCTGAGTAGCTGAAATTATAGGCCTGAGCCACCACACCCAACTAATCTTTGGATTTTTAGTAGAGACAGGGTTTTACCATGTTGGTCAGGATGGTCTCAAACTCCTGACCTCAAATGATCTGCCTGCCTGGGCCTCCCAAAGGGCTGTGATTACAGGCGTGAACCACCCCATCCAGCTGTATATAGCTTTTATTGTGTTATGCTCCCCCCCCCTTTTTTTTTTTTTTTTTTTTGAGACAGGGTCTCGCTCTGTGGCCCAGGCTGAAGTGTGGTGGTATGATCTCAGCTCACTGCAACCTCTGCCTCCTGGGCTCAAGTAATTCTCCCATCTCAGCCTCCTGAGTAGCTAGGACTACAGGTGTGTGCCACGAAGCCTGGCTAATTTTTGTATTTTTTTGTAAAGAAAAGGTATTACCCTCTTGCCTAGGCTGGTCTCAAACTCCTGAGATCAAGCAGTCCTCCCGCCTCAGCCTCCCAAAGTGCTGGGATTACAGACGTGAGCCACCACACCCAGCCTGAGGTATGTTTCTTCTATATGCAGTTTTTTGAGAGTTTTTATCATCAAGGAATGTTGAATCTTATCAAATGCATTTTCAGAATCAATTAAAATGATTAGGCCGGGCGCAGTGGCTCACGCCTGTAATCCCAGCACTTTGGGAGGCCGAGGCAGGTGGATCATGAGGTCAGGAGATCAAGACCATCCTGGCTAACACAGTGAAATCCCGTCTCTACTAAAAATACAAAAAATTAGCCAGGCGTGGTGGCGGGCAACTGTAGTCCCAGCTACTCAGGAGGCTGAGGCAGGAGAATCACTTGAACCCAGGAGGTGGAGGTTGCAGTGAGCTGAGATTGCGCCACTGCACTCCAGCCTGGGCAACAGAGCGAGACTCCGTCTCAAAAAAAAAAAAAAAAAGATCATATGGTTTTTGTCCTTCATTCTGTTGATATGATGTATAACACTGATTAATTTGCATATGTTGAACCACCCTTGCACTTGTATCCCCTGGGCAAAATGCCACTTGGTCATGATGAACGATCTTTTTTTTTTTTTTTTTTTGAGATGGAGTCTTGCTCTTGTCTCCCAGGCTAGAGTGCAGTGTTGTGACCTCGGCTCACTGCAACCTCCACCTCCCGAGTTCAAGCGATTCTCTTGCCTCAGCCTCCCAAGTAGCTGGGATTATAGGCGTACACCACCCACCATGCCCGGCTAATTTTTGTATTTTTAGTAGAGACTGGGTTTCACTAGGTTGGCCAGACTGGTCTTGAACTCCTGACCTCAGATGACCCATCATCCGCCCACCTCGGCCTCCCAAAGTGCTAGAATTACAGGCGTGATCCACTGCGCCCAGCCGATGAACCATCTTTCTAATGTGTTGTTGAATATGGTTTGCTAGTATTCTGCTGATTTCTGCATCAGTGTTCATCAGGGATACTGACCTAACATTTTCTTTTTTCAGTGTGTCTTTGTCTGGTTTTGGTATCAGGGTAATACTGGTTCTGTAGAATAAGTTTGGAAGTATTCCCTCCTCTATTTTTCAGAATAGTCTGAGTAGAATTGGTATTAGTTCTTCTTCAAATATTTGGTAAAATTCAGCAATGAAGCAATCAGATCCTGAGATGTTCTCTGCTAGGACACTTTCTGTTACAGCTTTGATCTCATTACCTTTTATTGGTCTGTTCAGGTTTGGGATTTCTTCATGGTTCAATCTTGGTAGCTTGTATGTGTCATTTAACATCTTTAATTCATTTGCAAATTACTCAACATATAATAATCAAGTCAGTAGGCCCTTTTCATTTCAAAGATGGTAACCCTGATGTATCGTAAAAGTAATCCACAAAATTCTGCTGATTTCTGGAAAAACTTAAGAGTTCTTAAGCTCTCCACTGCAGCCCCCAGGCCCTAAGGCTGTTCTGTAACAGCCCAGTGCTTATCCAGGCATGGCTACGACAGACCAAGACCCTCAGGTGGCCTAAAAGCTAAGCAGACACACATACTCTATTGCAACTTTTCTCCAAATATAAAACAATTCAAAACAAAACTTTTTTTTTTTTTTGAGACAGGGTCTCACTATGCCAACCAGGCTGGAATGATCATGGCTCACTGCAGTTTCTACCTCCTGGGCTTAAACGGTCCTTCCACCTCAGCCACCCAAGTAGCTGGGACTACAGGTGTGTACCATCTGGCTAATTTTTAAATTATTTGTAGAGATTAAGTCTCCCTACGTTGCCCACACTGGTCTCAAACCCCTGGGCTCTAGCTATCGTCCTACCTCAGCCTCTCAAAGTGCTAGGATTACACACGTGAGCCACTGCGCCTGGCCACAAAACTTTTTTTTAAACTTGGATAAATATTGTGAAAGGCAACAATTTCTTTTACCGTCTTTCTTTTCTTCTTTCATCCATCCTTTTATCCAGGGCTGCATAGATAGCATCTGCTTCCTCATCATCTTTCTCGTAGGGTCCACTTGAGAAGAGGCTCCCAGCATAGCCATTAAACTGAGAAGCAAACAACACGTGTAGAGGTCAGCTTTTCCTTCAACACCATCCCCACCAGCGAAACGGAGATCTCTACTTGTGAAATACTTGCTAAATTATTTTCTTCAGCCAACGAAGCCAAATCAAGGGACAGTCTACCATATAACTGGTGACTACTCTTCAAGCGTCAAGGGCATGGAAGACAGAGGAGACCCCCAATTGGAAGGGACCAAGGAGACATGACGAAATGCAATGGGGGATCCTGGACTAAGCCTAAGCCAGAAAGCGGACATTCATGGAAAAACATGAAATGCAAATACGACTGACAAATTAGTTAATAGTACTGTGTCAATGTTAACTCCTTCGTTTCAATAACTGCACTAAGGTCATGTAACATCGGGAGAAGCTTGGTGAAAGACATGCAGAAACTTTTTTTTGGGGGGGCACTATTTTTGCAAATTCCTGCAAATTTAAAATTATTTCAAAACTAATTTTTTTTTTTTTTCTGAGACAGAGTCTCGCACTCTCGCCAAGGCTGGAGTGCAGTGGCGCAATCTTGGCTCACCGCAACCTCCGCCTCCCGGGTTCACAGCATTCTTCTGCCTCAGCCTCCCGAGTAGCTGGGACTACAGGCACATGCCACCATGCCCGGCTAATTTTTGTGTAGTTTTAGTAGAGACGGGGTTTCACCATGTTAAACAGGATGGTCTCGATATCCTGGCCTCATGATCCGCCCACCTCGGCCTCCAAAAGTGCCAGGATTATAGGTGTGAGCTACCGCACCTGGCCTCAAAACTAAAATTATTTTTAAAAATTTTCCTCAGAGGAAAAATGTCATCTGTTAGAAGACAGTTAATCGGTATTCAGTCAGCTGAAGTTTTTCTTTAGATGTCTGTTTAGAGGGCAATCACTAAAGCTAAAAAAAGCAAATACTATCACCAATTCCACTTTAAGTTTTTATCATTAAAGACTGGCAGCCAGGCGCAGTGGCTCACGCCTGTAATCCCAACACTTTGGGAAGCCGAAGCGTGCGGACAACCTGAAGTCAGGAGTTCGAGACCAGCCTGACCAACATGGAGAAACCCTGTCTCTACTAAAAATACAAAATTAGCCAGGCATGGTGGCGCATGCCTGTAATCCCAGTTACTTGGAGACTGAGGCAGGAGAATCGCTTGAAATGGGGAGGCAGAGGTCACAGTGAGCTGAGATCACACCACTGCACTCCAGCCTGGCCAACAAGAGCGAAAGTCCGTCTCAAAAAAAAAAAAAAAAAAAGACTGGCCAATAGGAAATGCCAAGGCAGTGGTCCTAACACCTGCAAGAACATCTCTTCCGACAAGAGCGAAATTCCATCTCAAAAAAAAAAGACTGGCCAATAGGAAATGCCAAGGCAGTGGTCCTAACACCTGCAAGAACATCTCTTCCGACAAGAGCGAAATTCCGTCTCAAAAAAAAAAAAGACTGGGCAATAGAAAATGCCAAGGCAGTGGTCCTAACACCTGCAAGAACATCTCTTCTGAGGGACAAAAAGTGCACATTTCTCCGTGTTTTTCCTGCTCCCTCTCACTCTCAGTAAAGATGTTCCATGAATAGCTAAAATTTAAATGCATGAGCCACTCCAAGCCATTCATTACAGACACCAACACACACTGGTTAGGTCAGCTGCTCCCAGAGACTGGCTGGAGGAGCCACGAAAGCCGGACACATCTCACCTCATCGTAATTGGTGTCATTTAGATCCTCGTCGTCATCGTCAGCAGCCTGATTTTTCTTCATCTGGTCCCCAACGGTTCTCTTGCCTGGGGGTGCATGGCGATCATCCACAGGGTCATTTGCATCACGGGCGGGCCCAATGTCTGACCGCGTGGTGAAGCCAGTGGCGCTGCAGGAGACCCCCAAGACACCGGGTGTCTGAATAACTCTGTTCCTGTGCTCTTCTCCACTCCTGGTTATCACTTACTAACACCTCTTTTTCTAACACCTTTGGGAAACCTCCAAAGATCCTGGTGACAATGAACTGCAGTCTCAAACACTTCTGATCTTCTCTGCTTACCTGAAAGTTTCAGCCTACCCTGATGATGTTACCAAGGCAATCTCTCTCCACCCTAAGGCTTCGATCATCTCCCCCTCCACATCCAACCAGGCCCTTAAACCCAACTTGGCCCACACTGAGCTCTTCCGTGCCCACCTTACAGCTGCTCTGGGGGGTTTCAGCTGATAACAGCTGTCCCAGATGCCACGGGACCATGATGTAATTTTTGCCTCCCTCTCCCACTTTCCCCATCCTGTCTGTCCCCAAGTACTAATGAATCCACTTTCAAAATCCCTCCTTCCCAGACTATGACTCCCATCACAGCTGGAAACCAAGTTACCTCTCCCTGCCTTTAGCCTTCCTCTACTTCAACCCATGCTCTGCCAGATGATTCTTCCCAAAACACAGCTCTGAGTAAAAAATTCTGGGCCGGGCGTGGTGGCTCACGCCTGTAATCCCAGCACTTTGGGAGACGGAGGCGGGTGGATCATGAGGTCAGGAGTTCAAGACCCCCCTGGCCAACATGGTGAAACCCTGTCTCTACTAAAAATACAAAAATTAGCCGGGCGTGGTAGCGGGCACCTATAATCCCAGCTACTCAGGAGGCTGAGGCAGAGAACTGCTTGAACCCGGGGGGCAGAGATTGCAGGGAGCTGAGATCGCACCATTGCACTCCAGCTTGGGCGACAGAACAAGACTTTGTCTCAAAAAATAATAATAATAATAATAATTCTGAAGGGTCATGATCTTTCTAACGTCTCCAGGAGCTCTAGCCTGACGCTCAAGGCCCCTCCAACCTCCTGAGCTCTATTCTATTCGCTGTACATTCCACTCACACTGGACTCCCTCCTGTTCCCTGGGCTTCCTCCTTGCCTCACTTTTTTTGAACTCCCACACGCAGAATGTCAGTTTCTCTTCTATCGTCACCGTTTCTACAGCCCTAAGTCCAGCTCTCTTACTAAACTTGGCTCCAATGCTACTCTCCATTAAGCACTGGGTTCTAAATCTGGTCCTCTTTACGTACTTATTTATGGTAATAGCAAACCCTCCTTAGTGAGCTTGTGTGTGCCCCACAGATTCCAATATAATACCACCACCAAGAAAAACCCAGTAGTGTTCCTCATCAAATGAATAGCCAAATAGGATAATAACGACTGCTCACTTATCCAGCAACGCACGGTGGTCATCTGTGTTGCAGGCATAGAGGACCCAGGCACGCTTAAGGCGGGGCGGGCGGGCGGGCGGGGGGGGGGAGTGTCAGCCCGACCTGAGGAAGGTGGTCGCGTGTTTCCACTACACGTCAGATTCCTCTACTCCTCACTGCAGACCGTATACAGCATTACCCATCTTACAGACCAAAACACTGGGCTGAGAGTCAATGTGTCACATCTAGGCGGCAAGCAGGGTGCACACACAGGTATGTCCTGACCCCAAAGCCCGTTGCTTCCTGCAGGGATTAAGCCGATCCACCAAGCGTCTTTCAGACTGCGCGGCCATAGACCCCCGCCCCCAAACACGCCCCAAAGCACTGCGCTCCTGTAGCCGGGTCCCCGCCCCTCGCGCGCCGCCCCAGGCCTCACCCCCGGCCCAGCCCCGGCACGTAGCCGAGGGGCGCGGGCATCCCTAGGAACGGTTTCTTCTTCTTGTTCATGGTGGCGGCGACGACCAAGGCTAGGAAGGAAAGGAATGAGGCAGCGGAAGAGGGAAAGACGCAGAGACTCTAGGCTTCGACGTCCGATGCACTCCGTAGCAAAGTGTCGCCGTCGTCGCGTCACCCGCGCCCCGGAAGCAGAGCGCTCAGTCCGCACACGCCCCGCCCACTTTTGATTCCCTGGGCGGAAGTCCCGACGTCCTGGTTCGACGACTTCCGGCCGCGGCTAGGGGGCAGGAACGTGGTAGGCGCGTGCGCGGGAGCGCCTCCTCGTGGAGAGGCGGAAGAAGCTAGGTCGAGCTTGCACTGGGACCCTAACTGGCCCCTGGGGGCTAAAAACAGCCTGGGGCATTGCTGCTTCCCGAGTGCTCTGATGCAGTCCGGAGACCTGTCTGTGAGAGTGGGACCCATGGTCCCCTCCCTCTGAACCCATGGCCCCCTCCCTCTGAACCAGCCCAGCTGCCCGCCCTCGCCCCTGGTGCGCCCTGTCCGAGCAGAGCTGTACCCTGTCCAGTTGTGTAGAGCTTGTGTGTACTGGTTATGGGCACACCTGTCTGTGTGCGTCCTGTGCGCACACTGCTGCCCTACGCTTTTAGCACTCATATTCTTGAACCCCCATTCAGGCATCTGTCCCTCCAGTGGGACTAGAGACCCCACCCACGCCCGCCAACATGCCTTGGACATTCTGGTGAGGGCCACATCCTTAGCTCCTGGAGAGCTAATTGACGAAATAAATAACCGCAGCTGAGCTGTCGGGAACACGTCAGTACATGAACATGGCTGTCAAGCATGTGGGTGAATTCTGTGTGTGTGATTAGTGGGGTGTGTGCACAGAGGTCACGTGTGCTCGTGTTTTGGGTGCAAGTGCATGACTGTACTCTGTGCATGCATTTCTACATGTCTGTGTGCATCTCTGGTCCTCCTGCTGTAAGACATCCTCCAGAGCCCCTACATACACCCAGGGAGAGCACCCAGGCTCCTGGGCAGAGCAAGCCGAATAGCTGGTTGCAAGCCTGGCCTGCTGCTGCACCAGGCAACCACAGTTCCCTAGCCCAGCCCCATCTCAGCACTTCTCACTGGAGTCCTGGAGCAAACACACCGCTCCGGCCTGCTACAGCCTCCTTGGAGTTCCCCTCTGCCCCATCTCCAGGCAAGCCAAGCCCCTTTCAGTTACAGAGCACTGTACCGCCCCCTCTCCCCCGGGCACTGAGCCAGGTTCTGGGGCTGCAGAGGGAAGGGAGAACCACCCTGATGTTCACAGTGGGGTGGGCGGTAAGCAAGAGTCAAGCTGGTTTCTCCGGGGAAGCGGGTGCCTATTTGAAGGCGAGTAAAGACGTAGGAGACCGAGGAAAGTGTGTGGGAGGCGTTGACCTGCCCCTTGTCCTGGCCCCGGTAGGTAGAAGACCCCTGTGAGATGCCCCTCAGCCCACCCCCACGCACAGAGGGGCCCGACCTCAGAGGACGCCCGGCAGGTTCACGGGGACTCTCCTCCGCGGAGCCGTGCCCAGGGGCGCACGGACGCCCCTCGCCCTGGCGGACAGCCTTGGTGCACGCAGGCCCGCGCGCCGCCGACACACCTCGGAGCTCCCGGAGCGCGCCCGGCACACAGGGCTCGGCGGCAGGTGCCTCGTCGCGCACACTCGCGGGCCGCGGGGACCGGCTCGGGCGCGGGGCCGGCTGGGGCGGGGCGGGGCGGCGGCGCGCGTTCCCCGCCGGCCACACCGGCCGCCCTGCACTCGGCGAGGGGCGTGTGCGCGGGCCTGGCACCCGCGGGCCCCATGTTCACCGAGCTGAGGTCCAAGCTGAGCCCCCCGCGTGGCCGCGCCGGGGCCGTGCGCGCGGGCTTCGGGGAGCGCCGGGATGTGGACGGTGAGCGGGGCTGGATTGGGGAGCGGGGATTTCTCGGGCGGGGGTCTCAGGGACCCAGAGGCACGGGGGCGGGGCGGGACCCGGCGGGCTTCGAGCGGCGGTGGCTGGGGGTATTCGGCGGATGTCTCGGCTCAACGGGGTCCCGTAGCCTTTGTCCTGCTTTAGGGGGCAGCCAGCCTCAGGCCTTGGGGGTCAGCGCGCCCTTGGCTTGGGGTGAGGGGGTGTCAAGCCGGGGCGCCTGTGTCCAGGCTGGCACTACGCTCGGGTCACCTTTTCCTGCGCACGGGGAAAACCCTCCCCCGCTTTTGCAGTGGGGCCGAAAGGGGGCCGAGGTCACATCCCGCCTCGGTGCCCCCGCCCCATTTCCTTCTGGAATCCTGACGTTGGGGCGGGAGGGACCGGACCGACAGACCGCGGGACGGACGGAACTCCCTCCGGGAGTGCAGGCAGGAAATGGGCGGAGCCTGCTTGGCCGGGGCAGGTGCCGTGCGGGCTGAGGAGTCCGACGGGTTTCCCCGGACTGCCGCGCGCTTCTGCACCAGCCCCGCCGCTCGAGGCCCTGCAAAGCCCGGCGACCACGGCGCCTGTCCGCTGGAAGGCGCGGGCTTAGAATAAGCCTTTTCCCACAGCACTAGGGGCCACCTCGGGGCGGTGGCCCACTGAGCACACCCTCTGCTGACCCCAGACCTCAAATTTGGAGTCACCCAGGGGTCCGGTTCCTGAAAGTTGCAAGAATGGGGGCGGAAGGTGTTATGTCTCCTAAGTCTTACAGGCGTGGGAGGACGGGGAAGTAGGATGTGGTTTTCACCGATACTTAGACCTCCTAGACACATCCCCAACCCCTGCCCTGGGTGTGGAGTGGGTGGCTGAGTCTGAGGCCGGGAGGGTCTCTCACTCTAGGGTGGATGGGATGAGGGCCCTAGCGTGGGAACCTCACCTGCCCTGCTGAAGGCCTGGGTGCTAGGGTGCTGTAAAGACAGGGGCAGGCCTGTGCCCACCTTCTGTCTCCCCACAGGCTCTGTTCACTTGCAGATACCATACAGAGCCTTCATTCATTCATTCATTGACAATGAATGTGGGGTGCCCCTCTGTAACCAGACCTGGATCAAGACGCCTGCCTCCCCAGACTCAGGTCAGCAGTGCCCCCAGAGATGATGACAAAGCTCAGATGAAACACTTTAATGCAGTTACTGTGGGAAGAGGGAGCACAGAGCATCACCGTGGGTCCCCAAGCAATGGCTGCACCCCACATACCTGTGCTGACCCGCCCATATCCAATGGGTACCCACCATTCACATGGCCGGTGTTGTCCCGGGCTGCAGGCCCTGTGGGGGGCGGCACAGCTGGAGAGCCCAGCGCGTGTTTGCGGAGTGAGCCCTGCTTGTCAGTTGGCCCACAGTTCAGGCTGTCAATGAGTCATAGTCAGTGAGTCGGGCCCCAACACCAGATAGGGCTGTGTGAACTGGGTGCCTTCAGTGGCGATGGGCAAGCAGCATCCTCAGCCCGGTTTCCCCAGCACAGACGACCTCCCCGGACTCGGGATCTGCCTTTCCTCAAAGCAGGCCGTGTGTGCACTTCCTGGTCTGGTGTGGTGTGTGCAAGACTTGTGGGCCAGCCCAAGGCAAGGGTGAGGTCAGGGCTGTCCCAGGATAGCTCCTCTTGTCATATGTCTCAGGTTCCCTTCCCTAGAGGGCACATCCTCTGATCTAAGAATCCATCCTGCTCCCCTGGGTGAGGGCTGTAGACTTGCAAGATGAAAGGTGTTTCCAGTTCTTCTCTTTTTGTGCTGGGTGAGGTCCTCGAAACAGGTCCTGCACACTTCCTTCTGCCTTTGGAGGCTTGGGAACCCCTCATTGGGGAGGTGATTTCCCGCACTAGTGTGGAGGAGATGGGGCAGGGAGCTAGCTCTCAAGTAGAGGAAGCCTCTGGTTCTGCCCTTGACTGCCCTGACCAGGCACCCCCACACACAGCCACTGCCCACTTCAGCTTCTGCCGGACCCTCCTGGAGCACACGGTGTCAGCTGAGAGCATCCCCTGCCACTTGCCTCGGACACCTGGCACCAGCCTCACGTGGCATGACTCCCGCAGCCAGAGGGCGGCCAGCAGCAGGCCAATCAAGCTCCTGCAGCAGCCCGGCACAGACACCCCCCAGGTACCCACCCACTCCACCCACCTCCGTCCCTGCCCTCCTTCTCCACCACTCTCACTCTGCCTGCCACGCCCCTCCCCTGCAGGGCCGGCTGTACTCTGACCACTATGGCCTGTACCATACAAGCCCCTCGCTGGGTGGCCTGACCCGGCCCGTGGTCCTGTGGAGTCAGCAGGACGTCTGCAAGTGGCTCAAGAAGCACTGTCCCCACAACTACCTCGTCTACGTGGAGGCCTTCTCCCAGCATGCCATCACCGGTACAGTGGCGCTGAGGGTGCTGTGGGAGTGGGGCTAACCTGCCTCAGAGCGTCTCTTCCCCACACTCAGCCTGCCTTTCTCTTGCTGTTGTTTTCGTCTGTCTAGTTTCTCCTGTGAATCAACCTCCCCTCTGTTCTTCATCTCCGCAGAATCTGTCTTTTCTATCTCTCTGCCTTTCTTTTTTTTTTTTTTTTTTTTTTTTTTTGGTGAGACAGAGATTTACTCCTGTTGCCCAGGCTGAGTGAAATGGTGCGATCTTGGCTCACCACATCCTCTGCCTGCCAGGTTCAAGCAATCCTCCTGCCTCAGCCTCCCGAGTACCTGGGATTACAGGCATGCACCACCACGCCTGGCTAATTTTGTATTTTTAGTAGAGACAGGGTTTCACTGTGTTGCCCAGGATGATCTCGAACTCCTGATCTCAGGTGATCCGCCTGCCTCAGCCTCCCAAAGTGCTGGGATTACAGGTGTGAGCCACTGCGTCCGGACCTCTCTGCCTTTCTTCTGTGTCTCTTCCCATCTCTCTGTGCTGTCTTCATCTGGCTTTTCTCTGTTCCGTCCCTGCCTTTTGCTCTCCTTCCTTTCCCTCTGCCTCTCTCCTTTAAGTCTCTGTGTGTTTTGCTGATTCTCTTTCTCCCTCTGAGTCTCTCTGAACCTCGCTTCCTCTCTCTCTCCTCCCTCTCTCCGAGTCTCTCTGTGCCCGTGCTTCCCGCTTCCTCTCTCTCTCCTCCCTTTTTCTCTTTCAGTCCCTGCTTCTGCCTTGGCTCAGTTTGTTGTTTGTTTGTTTGTTTGTTTCTGAGAAGGAGTCTCGCTCTGTCATCCAGTCTGGAGTGCAGTGGCACGATCTCAGCTCACTGCAACCTCCACCTCCCAGGTTCAAGTGATCCTCCCGCCTCAGCCTCCCGAGTAGCTGGGACTACAGGCGCACACCACCAAGCCCAGCTAATTTTTATACTTTTAGTAGAAACGGGGTTTCACCATGTTGTCCAGGCTGGTCTTGAACTCCTGACCTCAAGTGATCTGCCCGCCTCGGCCTCCCAAAGTGCTGGGATCACAGGCATGAGCCATGGCACCAGCCTTGCCTTGGCTCTTGATGCCTCTGTTGGCCTCAGCTCAGCCCCTCTTTCCTCTCCCCAGGCCGGGCACTGCTGCGGCTGAATGCGGAGAAGCTGCAGCGGATGGGGCTGGCCCAGGAGGCCCAGAGGCAGGAGGTGCTGCAGCAGGTGCTCCGCCTGCAGGTGCGTGAGGAGGGGCGGAGCCTGCAGCTGCTCAGCCAAGGTCAGTGTGAGGTGCCAGAGAGGCCTGGGGGCTGATGGAGAAGCCCCTCTGAGTGTGGGGTGGGATGACCTCAGGAGGTCGGCTGCAGGCCCCAGTAAGCGCCCTAATGCAGATGATGCCAAAGACCCCACCCCATTCTCACCCTCTTCCATCACACAGCTTCCTTCGGGAAAATGTCCTAGCTGCTGCTGAGGCTTGAACCCAGACCCCAGCACTGTGATGGGAGTCCACGGCTAGGGAGGAGGCCAAGCTGGCCCCGCAGCGCCTCTTGGACCCTGCGGGATGCCGGGGCGGCCAGGCTGGCCCAACGGACAGACAGGACCAGGATCACACCTCCAGGCGCCTCTGGTTGGACATTCCAGGTCGTGCCCTGGGGCTGGGTGGGTAGGGGGCTGCTTGAGTGTGGCCCCACCTCCTGGGACCTGAGCCCAAGCCCTCCCCTGGTGCAGCTGGCAGCATGTGGGGCAGCTGCCTGGAGCCAGAACCGGTTTGGATGTCCCCCCTAGACTCCCAGGGAGTCTGTTTATTTACATTCCCCTCTCCACGTGATGTCGGTCCCCCATCGCCTGCTGAGTCACTTGTCTGTCCACCCACCCAGCCCAGTTCTAGGTCGTTCCCCAGCACCTCCAGGTTGGCCCACACAGGTACCATAAGCTGCCTCGGCTCCCTGTGGCTTGTGCCCATGCACCTGCCAGGGCCCAGCAGGCCAACCCATCATCTAGAGTAGTGGCCATCAGCACCCGCCTAACGGGCACCATGCCAAGCACTTTCATCATTATTTATACATCGTCACCACACCCCCTCTATTCATGAGAAGTAAAGCTGAGAAAGGACCAGATTGACCAAGCGCCAGAGACAAAATGTGGCACAACGAGAACCCCAGCCCTGTCCAGGTGGCTCCGCGCCCAGGGCCCAGGCTTAGCAGTGCTCCCTGCCCTATCTTTGGGAAAATCTTGCTTTTATGGTCTTCCCCCCTCGCCCTCAAGAACAAGGGCCTTGTGCGTGGGCCTTCCCATTGCTGCTTTCCCAAGAAGGCCTGGATTCAGGGGAGAGGCCTTCCCAGGGCCACTCCCCTTACACCCTCCCAGAGGCCTGAGCAACCCCTCTCTGGGTGGTTTGGGGCTGGTGCTGCCTGGCGGAAGGACAGTGAGGGCGGCCCTAGCCGCCTCCACCCTCTTGCGCCTCTGCCCTCTCCCAGTCCCCCTGTGGCTTCTGAAAATCTCAGGGACAGATGAGGCTGAGCCCCTAGTCCCCTCTGTGTGCTTTGAGCCTCCAGACTCGAGGCTGGTCACTGCAGGTCCCAGGTGGAATTTGGACAACTGGCCTGGCCGCTCCCATCCTGTAAGCCCCCACCACGGGGAGACCCTCATCCCTGCCCCTGTGTGGCTGCGCAAGTATTCTGCCCGCCTCCCACCATCAGCCTTCGCCCAAGGGGCCCTTCTGCCTCTGCTTCCCTCCCTTCTCCTCTGTCTTGCCCTGGCCCACGCACGCCTGTCTCGTCTTCCTTGTTTTGCTGCACTCACTTTTTTATACTCTGACAAAAAAAAAAAATCAGAAATAAAGCTGGTTCCCAAGTGCTGGCGGTGCTGGGTCTGCGAGGAGAGGGCGTCTGGGCAGCCGCGGCCACCAGGGGGCAGTGGCGTCACGCCCTGGAGGGGCGTCTGGGCAACCCCGCGCAGAGGCTGGAAACAGGGCTCAAGTCACGCCTGTGGGCGGTCCCCAGTGCTGGACACAACGCCCGACACGCTGGAAGGGACGGCCCAGACAGCGCGTGAGGGTCCCGCGGCTGCCGTGACAGAGGACCACGGAGGGGTGCTGAGAACAGCAGACATTCATTCTCTCTGGAGTTCTGGAGGCCGCAGTCCAAAATCCAGCTCCCTCAGGGCCTCCTGGGGCGACTCCTCACCTCTCCAGCTTCCAGTGGCTGCCGGGGGAACTCGGGCGCATGGGCATTACCCGTCTCCGCCTCTGTAATCAGATCACCTCCTCCTCTTCTGTCTCTCAAATCTCCCTCTGTCTCTCTCTTATAAGGATGCTTGGATTTGGGGCCACCTGGGTAATACAGGATAATCTCCTCATCACAAGATCTTTCATCACATCTGCAAATACCCTTTTCCCAATAAGATCCCATTCACACGTTCAGGGATAAAACACAAACATCTGGCCTGGTACGGTGGCTCACGCCTGCAATCCCAGCACTGTGGGAGACCAAGGCAGGAGTGTCGCTGAAGGCCAGGAGTTCAAGACCAGCCTGTGTGACATAGCAAGACCCCATCTCTACAAAAAACTTTTGAAACTAGCCAGGCATGGTGGCGCATACCCGTAGTCCCAGCTACTTGGGAGGCTGAGGCAGGAAGATTCCTTGAGCCCAGGAGTTCAAGGCACAGTGAGCTCTAACCACACAACTGCACTCCAGCCTGGGCAACAGAGCAAGACCCTGTCTCAAACACAGATCACAGCACACACACACACACACACACACACCACACACACACAGCAATCAGACACATAAGAGCATAAACCACACACAGAGACTCAATGACACTGACACCAGCAAACACCAACACACACAAACACATGCATGTAGTTGGCCAGGCACACAGACACAAAGGTATGTAACAGCATGCCCCCATACAAAGATGTCATTACACAAATACACAAATACTAGCATGCAGACACACAACGACCTCCTAACACATAGAAACACATGGGACACGGCACATCCCCGGTGCACACAAACACACTGTATTCCACGACACCCTGGCATGTAGATGCTCACAGAAAACAGCCGTCCCTCACCAGCACCCTGACACTGAGACATGCCGCAGCCTGGACACATGGATACTGAAATCCAGACACATCGTCCCCAGGTACCCTGAGGTCTAGTCGCCCAGATGCTAAAATACAGACAGGCATTGGTCTCACCTAGCATGGGACACTGTCATATCCTGACACGGCAATGTCCAAACAGGTCGCATGTATGGACACCCAGACTTACACAGGGAGAGCTGACGGCCTTGGCTGCACCTAAGGGGACACACACTGACCCCTCAGGAAATCCTGCTGGTCCCGTCCCCAGGGTGGGAAAGGTCAACAAGGGAAGGACGTGATGACGCTAGCCTCACAGGGAATGCCCTCCCCTTCCTCCTCGGGTCACACAGGCTGGTGTGCACTGGCCTCTCTGACTCAGATTCCCGAAGGAAGGATTGACTGACTGCCTCTTCTATAAGAGCCAACCTCCAATCTCCATGTGAGTGCTCTGCACCAGCCTTGAGTGAAGCAGATCCCAGGCCCCTTTGAGGAAAGGCAAAAATCTTACTGCCCAACCCCCTAGCAGTGCCTCTGAGCTTGCTCCACGGGGTACAGGGAAAGGGGCCGACTGGGCCGGAAGGGCCCCAGCGAAGGAGGCACACCTGGTAGTTCCATTTCCTGACTAGCAACTTCCAGCCCACATCAATTTTAAGGAGTCCAGAATATTTGTAGTATGCAAAAAGGGGCATTACGAAACTTTTAAAAGTCTGTTTTAATTATAAAAGTAATATATGCACATGGTTTTAAAAAAAATGCTGGCTGGGTGCGGTGGCGCATGCCTGTAATTCCAGCACTTTGGGAGGCCGAGGTGGGTGGATCACGAGGTCAGGAGTTCGAGACCAGCCTGGCCAGCTTGGTAAAACCCCGTCTCTACTAAAAATACAAAAAATCAGCTGGGTATGGTGGCACGTGCCTGTAATCCCAGCTACTCAGGGGGCTGAGGCAGAATTGCTTGAACCCAGGAGGCGGAGGTTGCAGTGAGCAGAGATGGCGCCACTGCAGTCCAGCCTGGGCAACAGAGAGAGACTCCATCTCAAAAAAAAAAAAAAAAAAATGCTCTATGGGCACAAGATGAAAACCCAGAGTCTCCTTGACTCTTCCCTCCTGAGGCCTGAGGCCTTCCCTGGGAGATGGGTGCTGTGAACAGGTAAGAATGGCCCTCCTAAGGCCAGGGGCAGTGGCTCACGCCTGTAATCCCAGCACTTTGGGAGGCCGAGGTGGGCGGATCACGAGGTCAGGAGATTGAGACCATCCTGGCTAACAGGGTGAAACTCCGTCTCTACTAAAAATACAAAAAAATTAGCCGGGCGTGGTGGTGGGCGCCTGTAGTTCCAGCTACTTGGTTGGCTGAGGCAGGAGAATGGCATGAACCCAGGAGGCGGAGCTTGCAGTGAGCCGAGATCGCACCACTGCACTCCAGCCTGGGCTACAGAGCCAGACTCTGTCTCAAAAAAAAAAAAAAAAAAAAATGCCCTCCTAGCCAGAGGCGGTGGGTCACACCTGTAATGCCCACACTGTGGGAGGCTGAGGCAGGAAGATGGCTTAAGCCCAGGAGTTCAAGACCAGCCTAGTCAACACAGAAAGACCTCGTCTCTATGAATACTTTAAAACTTAGCCAGGTGGGGTGGCACACACCTGTAGTTCCAGCTACTTGGGAGGCCGAGGTGGGAGGATTGCTTGAGCCCAGGTGGTAGAGGCTGCAGTGAGCCAAGATCACACCACTGCATTCCAGCCTGAATGACAGAGCGAGACCCTATCTCAAGAATAAAAAAAGAACGGAGAAGGAGAAAGGAGAGGAGGGGAAGGGAGGGGAGGAGAAGGGAGGGGAGGGGAGAAAAAGAAAGAGAGAGAAAGGAAGGAAGGAAGGAGAAAGGGAGGGAGGGAAGAGAAGGAAGGGAAGGAAGGAGAAAAGGAAGGGAGGAAGGGAAGGGAAGGAAGGAAGAAGGAAGGAAAGGAAGGAAGAAGGGAGGGAGGAAGGTAAGGGAAGGAAGAGAAGGAAGGGAGGAAGGGAGGGAGGGAAGAGAAGAGAAGGAAGGAAAGAGAAAAGGAAGGAAGGAAGAAGGAAGGAAAGGAAGGAAGAAGGGAGGGAGGGAGGGAAGGGAAGGAAGAGAAGGGAGGGAAGGAAGAAGGAAGGAAGGAAGGAGAGAAGGAAGTAAGAGAGGGAAGGAAGGAAGGCAGGCAGGCAGGCAGGCAGGCTCTCCTGGGGGAGATTCTTGTGGGTCCTGTGCCAGTCCCGTGTGGTGCCTCCTACCAGTCCTCTTTAGGAGAGCCAACCTTTCTCTGTCTCATTCATTCCCAAGTCCTGTGCTGTCAGTGCCCCGCCACCTCCAGACCACTCAGCCCACACCGGACCCCAGTGCCCCCTGCCTGCAGAAGCCCAAGCTGTGGGGCAGAGAAGGCCCTGGCACTGGTTCAGAACCACTGCCCCCAGAGCTGGGAAAGGGTGACCCAATGGTCAGTGACCCCAGTAAAACCCCATGGCCTTAAGCCGCCAGGCACCTCCGGGGGTCAGTCGCAAAAGTGGTCTCAGGGCCAGTTGGAAGAAGGCTGAATCCTGCGCTGCCGGTGCACGGCCCCCAGGGCCAGAGGTCAGGGTCCCGAGCCCAGAGACCACACTCGCCGCGCGGGCCAGGATGCGGCGGAATCAGGTCGCCTCAATCCGTGCGCGCCGGACTCCGGGCAGTGCCTAGCGCCCCTATCGGGCCTCAGTTTACCCCACTGTCCAAAAAACGTCCCCCGCCCCAGGACGGCAGAACCGGCTACTCTGGACTGCGGGCCCGGCCGACGGGGGCGGAACCGCGGAGCGGGGGAACCACAGGCCAGCGCCGGGCCCCCGCCCCCGCCCCCGCCCCCTCCCCGCCCCCTCCCCGTCGCGGAGCGGCCGCGGGAATAACGCGAGAGTTCGCCCCCTCCCCCCCGCAGTAAAACTGTCAAAGGTGGGAGGGGCGGGAGCGCGCATGTGCGCAGCGCGGCGCGCAGCCTGCGCCGCCCGGACCCAGCGCCCCGCGCCCCGCGCCCCCCGCCCCGGCCCGGCCCGGCCCGGCCGCAGCCCCGCTGGGCGCCGCAGGTAAGCGCCCGGCCGCGCCCCGGACCCATTCTGGCCGCAGCCCCGGCGCCCACCGCGCCCCGGATCTCGACCCTGCGCGCAGGCCAAGGAGGGGGCCGGGCCCGGAGCCCCCCCGCCCCCCGCCGCGCCCGAGCCCCCGCGCCCCGCGCCGGCGCCGTCTTCCTGCCTCCTCCTTCTCCAGAAAAAGTCGCCATTTTGGTTCACTGCCTTCGCCCCCCCACCCCGCGCCCGCGATCGGCCCTGCCCGGCCAGGCCGAGGCCCGCGCCCCGCGCCCGCTCCCGGCCCCAGGTGACAGGTGGGTGGCGAGGCTGGCCCCAGGTGCGCGTCCCTGGCCGCGCTCACCCGCGCGCCAGGCCTGGGCCGGGGTCCCGGGCCGAACGGCCTACGCGGCGGACCCGCTGCTGGCGTCTCCTGCGCGCAGCGCGGCGGAGCCCCCTCTCCCCGCGAGGGCTCTGTGTCCCCGCTGGGCTCGGGAGGGCCGAAGCCCCTTCTCATCCGGGGCGCCAGTCGCGTCTCTGCCTCCCAGGCTGGCCCTGGCCTCAGGCCCCACTATTCTGAATTCTTCTCCCAGGCTTCAGAAAAATTGGAAGTGGGGCCTCAGCAGGCACCTGCACCCCAGGCCACCGGGGTCATCAGGTGCTGGGATGACTCATGCCGGCCCTGTCTCCTTTCAAAAGTTGCAAAGTGAGGACTTCCAGAGAACTTTGTCCCCGGACACTGGCCTCCCCCTTGGCAATGGGCAGTGACTGTCCTGACCTCTGACCTCAGCTCTCTGGCCCTCCTGGACACAGCAGCCCCTTCCCATCCCCTCGGATCCAAGTTAATTAGAAGCTATCAGGAGGGGGCCACCTGCCCACTCAACCCTCACCCTGCTTCCTGTCCCACCCCCTTCCGTGGCTTTTCCACAGGGCTGGGCCCAGAGTCTCCTCTGCTCCCCAGCTCTCAGGATGGGGTTCCCAGCAGCACAGGCCCTCGGGGGCCCCAGCCTTGGGCAGCAGGGCGTTCTCTCTGGCCAGCATCCTGGGCCTTCACTGCTGGTGCTTCCACGACTTGTTTGGCTGAAGTGGTAGTGGTGGGTCTGTAGGCAGAGGACTGAGAGGATCCAGAGAGAGGTGGGGGGCGGGTCAGCCTGCCAAGCCTGGAGACAAGTCTGCGAAGAGCATCAGGTAGGATAGTTCAGCCGGCACAGGGACGGGAGCTTGGTGCAGTGCCAGATTGGGCCAGGGGTCCTCAGTGCCCACCTTGGCTGTTTTCCATCTGTGTCTGGAGAGAAGATTCCAAGGGTACCTGCCTGGGTAGGCTGGCATTGCATCAAGTCAGCATGGGAAGGTATGAGGGCCCCAGTGAGAAGCTGTGCCCCCACTGCTGGGCCTGGGCAGCTTGTGAGCCAGCAGCCATCATCAGAGACATAATTGGCCCCTGGAGGAATGTTGCCAGCCTCCTTCCTCCTGCGCAAGGCACCTCTCCCAGGGGCACACCCCCTCCCAGCACTGGGTAGGAGTGCATCACCTTCGGCATCATCTTCGCAGCTGTGGGGCTACGCACACTGTGGAGCTGCGTACACTGTAGAGCTGCGTGTTGGGAAGGGGGTCTGGAAGTTGGTGAGGGTCTCAGGACAGGACTAGATCCTATCAAACTGATGATGACTCCTGGGTTATCTGGGGAGACCTTGGCTGGCAGCCCCTCCCCTAAGTCAGAAGCCCCCATCACTTGCTTTTCCCACGTGAACAAAACCACAGGAAGGCAGGCCCCTCTTCCCTGACCAGAGAGGACCTGCCAAGGGCAGGGCTCCAGGGCAGCCTCACCACGTGTTCCAAGTGGGGCCCGTCAGGCTTCACAGATTGTCTACTTGCTCTGCAGAGATGACGGATCCTTTCTGCGTTGGAGGCCGTCGGCTCCCGGGGTCCAGCAAGAGTGGTCCCGGGAAGGATGGCAGCCGAAAGGAGGTCCGACTTCCAATGCTGCATGACCCACCGAAGATGGGTAAGAGGAGTCAGGGCCAGAGTCAATTCCAGATGGTTCTGGGCAGCAAGTGGTAGGAGTGGACCATTGCCCTGGGCGTCCTGTCTCCAGGTACCCAGCTAGGCCCCTAGAGTTCCCAAGGACCTTACCAGGGTAGGGGTTGCCTTGGACATAGCCCAGGGTCCTGGGTTCTTGTCCTCAGCTGGCCGCAGCCCCTGCCCCCGGTGCCCTCGTGTTGGGACAGCGGTGCTCACTGTGGGCCTGTGCAGCCGCCGGTGGTAGGCGGTGCTACACAGCTTCCGAGCCTTGCTGTGTTGTGTGCTGCAGGGATGCCGGTGGTCCGTGGTGGACAGACAGTGCCCGGCCAGGCCCCTCTCTGCTTTGACCCGGGAAGTCCAGCCAGTGACAAGACAGAAGGGAAGAAAAAGGGGCGGCCAAAAGCCGAGAACCAGGCCCTCCGAGACATTCCTGTGAGCTCCCTCAGGGCCATGGTGGGGCTCATGCTGGGGTCTCCCTATCCAGCCACTGCCCTGCCCTGATTTGTCCTCTGCACATCTGGTACCAACTCTATGCCTCAAGATGTGGGCACTGGCCTGGCAGACTTCACGTGGCCTGGCTTTGTATCTGATGTGCCGGGAGATTCGGGGGATCGCGTTGGTGGGCTCCTAGAACGGGTCTTGTGCATGGCCCCTGCCAGGTGGCTTGAATTCCCACTGCAGTCCCGAGGTTGAGGGGCTCATGTGGTGTGTGTGCCCTGCAGGCCCGGGGGGGCTCTGAGTCTGGGGCTCGGGCTGGCAGTGGCCCAGGTGGCTGCGGGTCAGCAGCACCACCTTTCCCCACGCCTAGCTCTCCCTGATGAACGACTGGAAGGATGAGTTCAAGGCACACTCGAGGGTGAAGTGTCCAAACTCAGGGTGCTGGCTGGAGTTCCCCAGCATCTACGGGCTCAAGTACCATTACCAGCGGTGCCAAGGGGTAAGGGACTGTGGGTCGGGGGAGAGGAGGCCTCGGGGTGTGTTTGGGCAGAGGCCCTTGGGGCCCTGTCCCAAACCTTCCCTTCCCTGCCCAGGGTGCCATCTCAGATCGCCTGGCCTTCCCCTGCCCCTTCTGCGAGGCCGCATTCACCTCTAAGACCCAGCTGGAGAAACACCGGATCTGGAACCACATGGACCGACCCCTGCCTGCCTCCAAGCCTGGGCCCATCAGCAGGCCGGTCACCATCAGCCGGCCTGTTGGGGTCAGCAAGCCCATCGGAGTGAGCAAACCTGTCACTATTGGCAAACCTGTGGGTGTCAGCAAACCCATTGGCATCAGCAAGCCAGTCTCGGTCGGCAGACCCATGCCAGTCACCAAGGCCATCCCGGTCACTAGGCCCGTGCCAGTCACCAAACCTGTCACAGTCAGCAGGCCCATGCCCGTCACCAAGGCCATGCCGGTCACCAAACCCATCACAGTCACCAAGTCTGTGCCGGTCACCAAACCCGTACCTGTCACCAAACCCATTACGGTAACAAAGCTTGTGACAGTTACGAAACCCGTGCCGGTCACCAAGCCAGTGACAGTCAGCAGGCCCATTGTGGTCAGCAAGCCGGTGACAGTCAGCAGGCCCATTGCTATCAGCAGACACACACCGCCCTGCAAAATGGTGCTGCTGACCAGGTCGGAGAACAAAGCACCTCGTGCCACAGGGAGGAACAGTGGTAAGAAAAGGTATGGGGGCTCGTCCCAGGTCGGGGAGGAACAGTGGTAAGAAAAGGTATGGGGGCTCGTCCCAGGTCAGGGAGGAACAGTGGTAAGAAAAGGTATGGGGGCTCGTCCCAGGTCGGGGAACAGTGGTGAGAAAAGGTATGGGGGCTCGTCCCAGGTCGGGGAGGAACAGTGGTGAGAAAAGGTATGGGGGCTCGTCCCAGGTCAGGGAACAGTGGTAAGAAAAGGTATGGGGGCTCGTCCCAGGTCAGGGAACAGTGGTGAGAAAAGGTATGGGGGCTCGTCCCAGGTCGGGGAACAGTGGTAAGAAAAGGTATGGGGGCTCGTCCCAGGTCGGGGAGGAACAGTGGTAAGAAAAGGTATGGGGGCTCGTCCCAGGTCGGGGAGGAACAGTGGTAAGAAAAGGTATGGGGGCTCGTCCCAGGTCGGGGAGGAACAGTGGTAAGAAAAGGTATGGGGGCTCGTCCCAGGTCAGGGAACAGTGGTGAGAAAAGGTATGGGGGCTCGTCCCAGGTCGGGGAGGAACAGTGGTGAGAAAAGGTATGGGGGCTCGTCCCAGGTTGGGGAGGAACAGTGGTGAGAAAAGGTATGGGGGCTCGTCCCAGGTCGGGGAGGAACAGTGGTAAGAAAAGGTATGGGGGCTCGTCCCAGGTCGGGGAACAGTGGTAAGAAAAGGTATGGGGGCTCGTCCCAGGTCGGGGAACAGTGGTGAGAAAAGGTATGGGGGCTCGTCCCAGGTCAGGGAACAGTGGTGAGAAAAGGTATGGGGGCTCGTCCCAGGTCGGGGAACAGTGGTGAGAAAAGGTATGGGGGCTCGTCCCAGGTCGGGGAACAGTGGTGAGAAAAGGTATGGGGGCTCGTCCCAGGTCGGGGAACAGTGGTGAGAAAAGGTATGGGGGCTCGTCCCAGGTCGGGGAACAGTGGTGAGAAAAGGTATGGGGGCTCGTCCCAGGTCGGGGAACAGTGGTGAGAAAAGGTATGGGGGCTCGTTCCAGGTCAGGGAACAGTGGTGAGAAAAGGTATGGGGGCTCGTCCCAGGTCGGGGAACAGTGGTGAGAAAAGGTATGGGGGCTCGTCCCAGGTCGGGGAGGAACAGTGGTGAGAAAAGGTATGGGGGCTCGTCCCAGGTCAGGGAACAGTGGTGAGAAAAGGTATGGGGGCTCGTCCCAGGTCGGGGAACAGTGGTGAGAAAAGGTATGGGGGCTCGTCCCAGGTCAGGGAACAGTGGTGAGAAAAGGTATGGGGGCTCGTCCCAGGTCAGGGAACAGTGGTAAGAAAAGGTATGGGGGCTTGTCCCAGGTCGGGGAACAGTGGTGAGAAAAGGTATGGGGGCTCGTTCCAGGTCAGGGTGCTCCTCGGCCACGGCCTGGGGGTAATGGGGCCCACAGTTAGGCCCTCCTGGCCCTCACCTCACCTGCTCCCTGCAGGGCTGCGGACAGCCTGGACACCTGCCCAATTCCACCCAAGCAGGCCAGGCCAGAGAATGGGGAGTACGGCCCCTCCTCCATGGGCCAGAGCTCGGCCTTCCAGCTGAGTGCAGACACCAGCAGTGGCTCCTTGTCGCCAGGCAGCAGGCCGTCAGGGGGCATGGAGGCACTGAAGGCTGCAGGCCCTGCGTCCCCGCCTGAGGAGGACCCGGAGCGCACAAAGCACAGTAAGATGAGAGCTCCAGGGGTGGCGGCCGGGGCAGGCTCGGCCTCCTGACGGTTATTTCACCAGAATCTTGGCCCCCGTTTTCTCTCCCCGAGTCAGGAAGGAAACAGAAAACACCCAAAAAGTTTACAGGGGAGCAGCCATCCATCTCAGGGACCTTTGGGCTCAAAGGTAAGACCCCAGCCCGGTGTGCACCTCCAGGGCTGGGGCTGTCCACCGAGTGACAGCCCCTGAGCCCATCCCTGTTTCTCTCCACCCCATGTGTGCACACAGGCCTGGTCAAAGCTGAGGACAAGGCCCGAGTTCACCGCTCCAAGAAGCAGGAGGGGCCAGGCCCTGAGGACGCCCGGAAGAAGGTGCCAGCTGCCCCCATCACTGTCAGCAAGGAGGCACCGGCCCCTGTGGCCCACCCAGCTCCAGGTAGGGGCTGCCTGGCAGGGGCTCAGGGCAGCTCTAGACGGCGGGTAGATCCCACAGCACAGGGATGGGGGCTGAGTGTGGAGACTGGATTCTGTGCCTGGCGTCTGGGCCACCCAGCAGCCCCCACAAGCCTTCGAGGCCCCTGCCTTACCCACAGGTGGCCCTGAAGAGCAGTGGCAGAGGGCCATCCATGAGCGCGGGGAAGCCGTCTGCCCCACCTGCAACGTGGTCACCCGGAAGACTCTCGTGGGGCTTAAGAAGCACATGGAGGTGTGTCAGAAGGTAAGGCAGCTCCCGGAAGGCGCTGGGAGGGAGGCGCCCTGGCCCCAGGCAGGCTTCTCACATGTGGGCCATCTGCAGCTTCAGGATGCACTCAAGTGCCAGCACTGCCGGAAGCAGTTCAAGTCCAAAGCCGGCCTCAACTACCACACTATGGCCGAGCACAGTGCCAAGGTACCGTCGGGCCCCCAGCTCCCGTCCAGCGTGACCTCTGACCTCGCACCCCACCTTCACCGCAGTGCCCCCGGTTTCTAACCTCGGACAACGGTGGCCCAACACCTGGGCGGGGCGGGGCCAGGGCAGGGCTCCGTGGCGATGGTGCCGGGTCACCGATGCTCACCCTGTCCCCAGCCCTCTGACGCCGAGGCCTCCGAAGGGGGCGAGCAGGAGGAGCGCGAGAGGCTGCGCAAGGTGCTGAAGCAGATGGGACGGCTGCGCTGCCCCCAGGAGGTCAGTGGGGGGCCGCGGCAGTGTGGGGTGGGGGGGCCCTGCTGGCCACTCACCCACCCTCTGGCCTGACCCCCAGGGTTGCGGGGCTGCCTTCTCCAGCCTCATGGGCTACCAGTACCACCAGCGGCGCTGCGGGAAGCCGCCCTGCGAGGTGGACAGCCCCTCCTTCCCCTGCACCCACTGTGGCAAGACGTACCGATCCAAGGCTGGCCACGACTACCACGTGCGCTCGGAGCACACGGCCCCCGTGAGTGGCTCTCTGTTCTGTGGCACAGTGCTTGTTCCTGTGTGCCGTGTGTGTTCCGTGTGCCTTGGGTGCCAACTGTATTTGTCCATGTACCGCCCAACGCGTGTGTTTCCCACCCCTCTCTGTAAGAGACGTGTGTCCTGGTGGGCGGGAGGGTGAAACCTCCGTGTTCCCTCGGGTTGCCTGCGTCAGCCATGTCCCCAGCACACTGGGAGGCCTGTGGGTCCACCGGCCTTAGGGTGGCCTCGCCGCGCGCTGACCTGACTCTTGCTCCCGCGGCTCACTCTAGCCTCCATGCCTTCCTGCCCTCCAGCCCCCTGAGGAGCCCACAGACAAGTCCCCTGAGGCTGAGGACCCGCTGGGTGTGGAGCGGACCCCAAGCGGGCGTGTCCGCCGCACGTCGGCCCAGGTGGCGGTGTTCCACCTGCAGGAGATAGCGGAGGACGAGCTGGCCCGCGACTGGACCAAGCGGCGCATGAAGGATGACCTTGTGCCCGAGACCGCACGGGTGAGCTGCCCCCCCCAGGGCTGTGGACAGCGCCGTGGCCTCTGCGTGGGGCATGCCTTGGCCTGAGACTTGGGACAGCCACTGCTGTGACCTGGGCCACCCGCTGCCCCCGCCATCTGCGGCGAGTGTCGCCTGCTGCCGAGGCGAGTGTTCTTAGAGCAGCTGGGGTGTCTTCTGGCCTCAGGCTCACCCTGGTGCTGTCGAATTCACAGCTCAACTACACTCGACCAGGGCTCCCCACGCTGAACCCCCAGCTGCTAGAGGCATGGAAGAATGAAGTGAAGGAGAAAGGCCACGTCAACTGTCCCAACGACGTGAGCGGAGGCAGCCGGGTGGGGGGCGTGGGGAGCCATACAGGGCCAGAGCCTGGGTGTGGCCCTCTGAGCAGGAACAGAGGCTGAGAGCTTTCAGGAGGTGCCCAAGCCCACCCCAGGCCTCACATGCCCAGCCTGCCCAGTCCCCAGGACTCACACCCCCTCACTTGCCCCAAAGAGCCTCAGAGATCCCCTGGGGTAGGGCAGGGGTATATCTTGGTGTGGGGTGCCCACCAGAGGCCTTCGCCCACGGCTCCCTTCCCTGCAGTGCTGTGAAGCCATCTACTCCAGCGTGTCCGGACTCAAGGCTCATCTCGCCAGCTGCAGTAAGGTCAGTTCTGGGGCCTGCCCCACGGCCAGGTGCGCTGCACTCAGAGCTCCCAGCTCACCCCACGCGGGCTTCCCACACAGTAGTGAGGGACCCTGCCTTGTCCCCTACTTTTTCTACGTGGCCTCCTCTTCCACGAACCCAGAGACTGGCCGGTGGCTGATGGCCAGCCTAGGACACCTCCCTCGCCCCAACCCCAGCCACAAGACAACGAGTCCTAGTCCTGTCCTTGGAGCTCTGCGTCCATGTAGGCATGGGTGGGCACCCCGACCCACGCAGATGGCACACTGGCTTACAATAAGGGATGCTCGGCAAAGGTCTGCAACTCTTCCCCTGGGCACCTGCCTCTCCCTACCCTTCCTCTCCCCTACCACCCCTGCCGCCCTGGTAACTCAGTGGCCCCCTGCATTGTCTGGCACAGACAGCCACAGCTTTCCTTGGGCCACCGCTGACTCTGACCCTTTAGCCATGAGTAGGGGCTTAGGACAGATCTGGGTCCTCCAAGGGCTGGGGCACTGGCCTGCCTATGCATTGCAGGGGGCCCACCTGGCAGGGAAGTACCGCTGTCTGCTGTGTCCGAAGGAGTTCAGTTCTGAGAGTGGCGTCAAATACCACATCCTGAAGACCCACGCAGAGGTGCGAGGGCCATCACCAGGGCCTGTGGCTGGGGGCTAGCCCAGGAGGGGACAGGGCTGGGGTTGGGCACCCCTTGGGGGTAGAGAGGTCAGTGGCCTGCATGGGGTGTGCCTGGGAGAGTGGCCAATGTGGAGAAATCTGGTAGTTTCTCCTCAAAGTGGGGTCTGGCTTCCCTGGGAGAACTGGGAGGCTTGCACCCTGAGCTGGAGCTGCCCTCGGGGTGTCCGCCTTTCCAGCCCCCAGCAGCCCTGCTGCAGGTGCTTGCCTGGTCCCGAAGGCTGTGTCCAGCCCTGCTGCAGGTGCTTGCCTGGTCCCGAAGGCTGTGTCCAGCCCCCTGCAGGTGCTTGCCTGGTCCCGAAGGCTGTGTCCAGCCCCCTGCTGCAGGTGCTTGCCTGGTCCTGAAGGCTGTGTCCAGCCCCCTGCTGCAGGTGCTTGCCTGGTCCTGAAGGCTGTGTCCAGCTCCCTGCAGGTGCTTGCCTGGTCCTGAAGGCTGTGTCCAGCCCTGCTGCAGGTGCTTGCCTGGTCCTGAAGGCTGTGTCCAGCCCTGCTGCAGGTGCTTGCCTGGTCCCGAAGGCTGTGTCCAGCCCCCTGCAGGTGCTTGCCTGGTCCCGAAGGCTGTGTCCAGCCCCCTGCTGCAGGTGCCTGCCTGGTCCCGAAGGCTGTGTCCAGCCCTGCGGCAGGTGCCTGCCTGGTCCTGAAGGCTGTGTCCAGCCCTGCGGCAGGTGCCTGCCTGGTCCTGAAGGCTGTGTCCAGCCCTGCGGCAGGTGCCTGCCTGGTCCTGAAGGCTGTGTCCAGCCCTGCGGCAGGTGCCTGCCTGGTCCTGAAGGCTGTGTCCAGCCCCCTGCTGCAGGTGCTTGCCTGGTCCAGAAGGCTGTGTCCAGCCCTGCTGCAGGTGCTTGCCTGGTCCCGAAGGCTGTGTCCAGCCCTGCTGCAGGTGCTTGCCTGGTCCCGAAGGCTGTGTCCAGCCCCCTGCAGGTGCTTGCCTGGTCCCGAAGGCTGTGTTCAGCCCCCTGCTGCAGGTGCCTGCCTGGTCCTAAAGGCTGTGTCCAGCCCTGCTGCAGGTGCTTGCCTGGTCCTGAAGGCTGACAGGTCTTCAGCTCTCAGGCTATGCCTGGCTCAGGTGCTCAGCATCCAGTCCCAGGTCTTCATCAGCGCTTTTCTCTCCCCAGAACTGGTTCCGAACATCAGCAGACCCACCTCCCAAACACAGGAGCCAGGACTCATTGGTGCCCAAGAAGGAAAAGAAGAAAAATCTGGCAGGTGGAAAGAAGCGGGGCCGAAAGCCCAAGGAGCGGACCCCAGAGGAGCCTGTGGCCAAGCTGCCCCCGCGCCGGGACGACTGGCCTCCAGGATGCAGAGACAAGGGGGCCCGGGGCTCCACCGGCCGGAAGGTGGGAGTCAGCAAGGCGCCTGAAAAGTGAGCATGGTGCGTGGGGCCTGGCCCCCATGCAGCCGCCACACCGCCCTCTGTTCAAGGCAGGGCCAGCTCCGGGACCTCTGTCCTCCAGTTCTCCATCCCCCACCCCCGCCTCTTCATCCGTCCAGTGGGGCAGCCAGCCACTCTCCCTTCCCTGAAGGTGGCCCTTCCCCTGTTAAGGCTGCCACAGGGCACACCTGGGTTGGGGCTCCCCAAGGTGTGCCCAGCAGAAGTGCAATAGCCAGGAGGGTTGCCCCTCCTCATGGGAATGTGTCTGGGGTCTTGGTGCCACAGGGGCTGCAGCGCAGAGTAGGCAGATGGCCTTTGGCCCCCCGGCTCCGCTTCCTCAGGCCCTGCCGGGTCCCTTCCCTGGCTACCCCAAGGCTCAGGCATCCCTGGTGACCTGTGGTTCTGGGCTGGTGAGGGCACCTGAGCAACCTGGCACGGGCAGCCACCATCCTGGCCTCACCTCCACCCAACACTGGAACTCCAGCACCCCCAGCTACCTCCCAGGACAGACCCCTGTCTGACCACTGCCATGCTGACCTGACAGGCTCCGGCCTGCCCTTGGCCACCCACTTGGTCCCCTTGCTTCTGTTTTCTACCTCTCCAGGCCTGCCCACTACCCCCACCCCTGCTCCTCCTTTGTCAGTGCGATCCCTGCTGTGCTCAGGCCCTGCCCCCCAGGCCTGTCTGTAATTCTCCCAGCTTGGGGCAAGGGAGGGGTTTTGCTTCTTGTACCTACAGGGCAGCAGAAGCTTGATGCCCTTCAACACAGCTGCCAGCCCTGGGGGTGTGGGGCCCCTGGAGTGTGCTCTCCTCCAGTGTTCAGCCTTCTGGCACTGCAGGCCTAGGTTGGAGCAGCCTCGTGGAGTAGGGACGGACTAGTTCGGGCCCTGGGGTCTTGCTGGGGCCCATAGGCATGTGGGGCAGGAAGCTGGGCAGAGCTGGCCTGGCTCTGAGTGGCCACTGGGGGAAAGGCAGCCTTCTGTCTGCCAATCTGGGTAGGCCCAGTGGCCAAGCTCTCATGGGAGCCCCCTCCCCACTTTTTTTTTTAACCTGCCCCCATTGTTTCTGGTTGTGTGGTCATTTGATATGGGAACTGAAGGCCAGCCAGGGGAGGGGCTTGGCCAAAGTCACAGCAGGTTGATGGCAGCTCCAGAGCTGTCTTTGCCCCTTTGTGGCCCTGAGGACGGCTGGGTCTATAGGTAGGGCAGGGGTCAGGCAGGGAGTCCAGGGTGCCTGGAAGAGGTGGCCACAGCCTGTGGCTCCCTCCCTGGGGTCCTGCCTTCCAACCACGGCATTGCAGGGAGGATGAGGCTCAGAGGGGGTAGGTTTGGAGGGAGGCCATTTTCCAGGGTGGGTGGGAGTGGGCTGAGGGCTCGGCCCCACTGACCCTGGACGATGAGAATTTTGATGTTTGCCCGTGTGCGTGTGTCTCCTGGGTGTAGTGGATGCCAGTCTTGTTGCTGTGACAAGTAACAACCTTTTTTTTAAATTGTTTTTTATACAAACACTCGCAATCCGACATTTGGTGCTAAGGGTTTCCTGGTGCAGACGGTGGGCCTGGGGGCTGGGCTGGACCAGGGCGTGGGTCTCTGGGGTTGGGGTCCCTTGCTGCTCAGGGAGGCAGTACTGACTGGGCACTGCCTCTGCCCCCAGCACCCACCCTCCCCCATTCCCCAGGGAGAAGGGGCCCCACTGGGCTTGGCCTGCAGTAGTAGGGAGACAAGTTCCAGGAGCACTTTGGGGACTGGGGTTGCAGAACACTTCCTGTCTCTGGCTTCATCCTTGGGCCAGAAGGCTCCAACCCTCAGCAGCCCTTGCCAGATGTGCCAGGGAGTGGGTGTGGAGACCCGGACTCCCCCCACCCACGCACACCTCGGCCTGATGAGAGGATGGAGGCTGGGGCAGAGATGGGCGTGACCCAGCGTCAGAGGGTCGGGGGAGGCATTCCTTCCTGTGTCCCAGAGCTTCACTGGTGGAGCTGGAGGAGCCGGAGGTGGAGGGTGGGGTCTGGCAGCTGCTGCTGGGGCAGCCTCATGAGGGGAGGGGAGGGGAGGGGAGGGGAGCAGGCACTGGGCGGGGGCCTAGGTGCACTTTGTCCTTGCCACCAATGGCGGGAGGAGGGTGGACCTGAACACCTGCAGGGTGTGGTGCCTGCCCCAGCCTCTCAGGTACTTGGCCCTTGGGGAGAAGAGAAGAGGGTCTGGTTTTTGCTGGGGGTGAGTTTCCGGGACACTCCCAAAGCCCACAGATAATCCCTGGTGTGGGAAGAGGAGTCCTGGATACCTTGATGTTTAGCACTTTAACCCCCTTTGTCTTTAAGGTAGGCGTGGGGGCTACTGCCAGAAGTGGCTGTTGGGTCTGACCCCCTCCTTTCTGCCCTCCCTCTGCCACATGCTGGTCCGCAGAGCCCTCCTCCCAAGGGGTGGGGCCCTGGGTGGAGCTCAGCAGGGTCTGCCCACTCCCTACGCTGGCCCACATAGGCCTCCAGGAGCCCTCAGTGAGAGGGACCAGCATAGCTGACCCCCAGAGTGTGGTGGGCGCCGGCCCTGCCCGAGGCCCAGTCGGGGCCCTTTCTGCAGATCTACCTCTGGCTCAGCGCACGCCCCCTGCCCTGAGAACAGGAAAGGGCCCGGAAGGGCTGACTCACCGGGCCGACGCTCACACGAAAATGGGATGCACTTTATTTGCTGGTGCAAAGGCAGGTGAGGGTGCCTCCTGTGTGACCGTTGGCCCTCCTGCCTGGTGGCGCTGAAGGGAAGGAGCCAGTGAGCCTGACCCCGGGAGGGGCCGTCCCCGTGTGCCGCGTTTGGCGGGGCCCCAGGCGGCTCCCCCAGGCCCGGGTCTGGGGCCCCAGGCTTTCCCCTGCCTCGCGGCCGGGCGTCCCGTGCTTTGGGTTTCTTGGTTTGGGTTTTTTAATGCCAGTTCTCAGTACATAAGTGCATTTTGAAAGAGGTTCCAGCTATCACTTGTAACCATATATATATACATATATATTCTATCTACAAAGTGTTTATTTGCGAGATGTTTCAACGGTGAGTTCGGGCCCCGCCCGCCTTGTGACCATCTGTCCCCGGTCCTCGTCCCCGCCCCGCGCCCTGGTCCCGAGTGGCGTGGGGACGGGCCATCACTGTATGTATTAAAATGACTGTATCAAATAAATGTTTATTGATTTTTTTCCAGGGTTTTTGTGCGGCTCAGTTTGTGGTGAAAAACAGGGGGCGGGGCCCTCCAGGCACGTGGCGGAGGCTGCCGAACTACGGGTCCCCCATGCCCGCCGCGCGGCCTTGTGGGGCTTGTAGTCCGCGACGCGCGGCCTTGTGGGGCTTGTAGTCCGCGACGCGCGGCCTTGTGGGGCTTGTAGTCCGCGACGCGCGGCCTTGTGGGGCTTGTAGTCCGCGACGCGCGGCCTTGTGGGGCTTGTAGTCCGCGGTGGGCAAGAGAGGGACCCGCCAGCTCCCGGCGGCCCATGCGCGCCGCCCGGCCAGGCCCGCAAAGAGGCCTCCGAGCGCCATGGCTGCGCCCCCGGCCCGCGCGGACGCTGATCCTTCGCCCACGTCGCCACCTACGGCCCGAGACACACCAGGCCGGCAGGCTGAGAAAAGCGAGACCGCGTGCGAGGACCGGTAGGCGTGGGCCTCGCCTCCACTCCACTGGCGAGCGGGAAGGGGCTGCAGATCCGGCCGAGCTGGGCGGGTGGTCCGTCCCCGCCGCGAGCCCAAGTCCCCCACTCCCGGAGGCCAGGCGGCGGCGCCCCGTTCTCCCACGTGCCGGGTGGAACCCCGCGGGCTTGAAGCGGCCGGGAGGACGGACCTGGCCCAAGCCGGCAGGCTCCTCGGGGCTCGGGGAAGGAGTCCGGGTGCGCACCCCCAGCGTTGACCTTGGTCTCTGCCCCCGGTGGGTGGGGCCCTCGGCCTCGAGCGCCCGGCGGGCTGTGTGCCTGCTCGACTGTGCGAGTTGGTCTATGTTGTCGGCTCGGGGTGTGGCCCTGCCCGACCCGCGAGGCCAGGGCTTAGGATTTGGAGGTGCTGCGGCGCACGGTGCCTTCGGATTGCCTCGCACGCGCGTGGCACCTTCGAGCCTCTGCGGGGGCTTTGCAAGAGCATGAAGTGGGGAAGTTGTGGGGGTGCAGCGGGAGGAACCCGCCCCCACCCCGGTTCGTCACCCCGAGTGGCCCCTCTGGGAGCCGGGCCCTGCGCGGCGCCTTTGGGGCCGTGGCCGTCAGGGGGCGGTGGCCACGCAGTGCCCGGGGCTGCAAGAGGGCGCTCTGGGCGCTGCCCCTCCCTTCCGGGTCTGAAGTGTCCCTTGGGGAGCCCGCGGGGTCCCCAGGAAGGGGTTGTTCCCACTCAGGCGCCTCTTGCCTGGGTTCAGGCTGTGACTCCTGTCAGAAACGCTGTGAGCCAGGACTCCCTCAGAGATGGGCTGCGCTGGATGCCGCAGGGGGAAGGGTGTCCCGGCACAGGGTCGCTCCTCTCCAGGAGCTGCTGAGCAGAAAGAGCTTTCCCCTGGCCCTGCGTCCCTTCAGGTCCACACCCTCCCAGTGGGCAGTGACTAGGAACTTTGCATGGCTGGAGTCTAATAGGGCCTGAGTCTGTTCCTCTGCTGGTTCCAAAGAGGCGTTGTTTTTTTGTTTTGAGATGGAGTCTCACTCTGTCGCCCAGGCTGGAGTGCAGTGGCTCGATCTCGGCTCACTGCAACCTCCCTTTCCCGAGCTCAGTTCAAGCAATTCTCCTGCCTCAGCCTCCCGAGTAGCTGGAATTACAGGTGTGCGCCACCACGCCCGGCTAATTTTTTTTTGTATTTTTAGTAGAGAGGTATTTTGTCAGGTTGTCCAGGCTGGTCTCCAACTCCTGACCTCAGGTGATCTGCCCGCCTCGGCCTCCGTGGGATTACAGGCGTGAGCCACCGCGCCCAGCCACCAAAGAGGTTTTGATTTAACCCGAGGTGGGGCAGGCCAACGCTAGATAAGCACTGAGAGCTCTTGAGAAAGGCACTCCTGGATGACACAGGTTGGTGGCAGCAGCCATCTGGGCCTGCCCTGTGCACAGACGGTGGGCTGGGCACGGTGGCCCTCGCTGTGTCCCACGAGGCAGAGACTGTTGTTATCTTTCTTTGGTGTGGTTACCAAGGGACAGGAGGGAAGCTCCAGGCAGTGAGGATAGATTGCAGCACCCTTCTCCAGGGGCCCCGGTCTGCCCTGGAACTGCCTCTTGTCTTAGGCACATTTCTTGCACTTTGTGTCCTGATGCTTGTGCCATCGAGGACTTCCTCTGCCCCAGCCTAGGGCTTTTCTCACTGTTCCCCGAGCGTGTCCCCAACGTTCCTGCGTCTGCCCCTCTTCAACCTCTGCTGCTGCCCTTAGTGTTCCAGAGCAGGCTCCAGCTTGGAGGTCTGTGCACGGGTGGAGGTCTGTCCCCAGGGCTGGGGTTCCTCCACCACCGTTCCAGTGCCTCCTGCCACATCCTCCCGGCAATCAGTCTGTCCATCTTGCCTGTTGTTTATTGTCTGCTTGCCACTCGTGACTCTGTCCTGGGCACCTGCCCCCAGAGCTGGCCCGTGCTGGTGCAGGAACAGGTCCTTTGTGGTGTTAGCAGTGACTCCTGGCTGCGGTTGAGATGGAGTCTGGGGCTGTGGAAGTGGGGAGCAGAGGGAGGCTGCCCATGATCTGTGCAGGGCAGGTCCTGCTGAGGGAAGGTTTCCTGAGTGGTGGGGTGGGCCAGGGCAAGCCCCCAACCCCCAGTGCTCATCCAGCCTGAGAAAGCAGCCCTAATGACTCTCCCTGAGTCAGTCCGGCACCAGTGGGGTCAGGCCTGCATTGGCTCCTGTGGGCTAGCTCCTCCCTGCTCCCTCCTCCCCCCAGCCTCATTTTAGTTATCCAGCAAACTTCCCTTAAACCTGACCTGTCAGGAGGTGCCGTGCTACAGGCACCCAGCAGGAAGGTCCGTGGGCGATGGTGACCCCAGGGGTGGTAGAACAGGCCTGAACCACAGCAAGGGAGTGCCCGAGCCTTCCTTTCTCCCTGTGTGCTCTCTCCCGTGGCTGTTTCCTCAGTGTCGGTTTCACATGCCCTGCGCTCCCTGCTGCTGGACGTTTGCTTCTGGTTTCCTTGGCATTGTGGATGGTTCGTGAGGGGCAGCCCTGCCTCCAGGTCTCCACACATGCCTGTGCTTATTTTTCTTCCTTTCTTTTTTTTTTGGAGATAGAGTCCTGGGCTGGAGTGCAATGGCACCATCTCGGCTCACTGCAACCTCCGCCTCCCGGGTTCAAGCAGTTCTCCTGCCTCAGCCTCCCGAGTAGCTGGGACTACAGGCGCCCGCCACCACGCCCAGCTAATTTTTTGTATTTTTAGTAGAGACGGGGTTTCACCATGTTGGCCAGGCTGGTCTTGAACTCCTGACCTCAGATGATCTGCCCGCTCAGCCTCTGAAAGTGCTGGGATTACAGGCGTGAGCCACTGCACCCGGCTGCCTGTGTGTATTTCTTTTGTTTTGTTTTGTTTTGTTTTTGAGATGGAGTTTTGCTCTTGTTGCCCAGGCTGGATTGCAGTGGCGCAATCTCAGCTCACAGCAACCTCTGCCTCCCGGGTTCAAGCAATTCTCCTGCCTCAGCCTCCCAAGTAGCTGGGATTACAGGCATGTGCCACTACGCCCGGCTAATTTTGTGTTTTTAGTAGAGACAGGGTTTCTCCATGTTGGTCAGGCTGGTCTCAAACGCCCAACCTCAGGTGATCCACCTGCCTTGGCCTCCCAAAGTGCTGGGATTACAGGCATGTGCCACCGTGCCCAGCTAATTTTGTATTTCTAGTAGAGATAAGGTTTCTCCACGTTGAGGCTGGTCTCAAACTCCGACCTTGGGTGATCCGCCCGCCTCGGCCTCCCACAGTGCTGGGATGACAGGCGTGAGCCACCGCGCCCGGCCACCTGTGCCTATTTCTTGACGATGACATCAGTTATGGGGCCTGATCACCGATGAGGCATCTGCCTTGGACTTTATGAGCTGACCCACCTGTAATGAACCTGCTGTTAGTCCTTGAGGAGGAAACTGAGGCAAGCTGTGGCTCCGTGGAGGGGACTGAGCCACATTCGACTGTGCTGTGGCCCAGAGTAGGATGGCTGAAGGTGAGGGAAGGGCAAGGGGTGCCCTGAAGTGACTGAGGCAGCCTCCAGCACCACGGGCCTCAGACAGCCCCACCTGCAAGGAGGAAGCCTTAGGCAGAAGGTGCTCTGGGCAGCGCTTACCCCAGCGCGGCATCAGCACCTGTGGGTGGCGTGGGAATGGGAGTTCTCTGGACCGGCCCAGCTCAGGAAGTTAGAACCTGGGAGGAACACCAGTGAATAGGACCAGGGCAGGCTACCCCTCCCCACCGTGAGCGGCCCCTCCCTGCCGTGGGCTGCTGTGGCCGAGAGCAGCCCCGTGGAGGGGCATGTTGGGGACCACGTGGCCTGCAGCGAGGCGACGTGATTCCAGGGTGGGGCCTGGTGGTTCCATTCACAGCTGCGTGCCTGGGCTCCTCCGTCCCTCGCCTGGCCAGCACAGTGCTGGCTTCCCCAGGCCTGTAGCCTTGCCTCTTGGCCGGCTAGGGCAGCCAGGGTGCATGCCCATGCCAGGCAAGACCAGTCTGCGTCCACTCTGCTGTTCAGACAGCCCAGCCAGTGGCATGGCCCCCAGGAGCCCGGACTCTGCGCCCCTGCTCAGGACAGCCTCCGCCTCCCCGACCCTGGGCTGTCTCCTGCCCACTTCCCAAGTGAGGGATGTAGCCGCCTCCTGGGAGCAGAATGAGGAGAGGAAGCACCTGTGGACACAGACAGATGGGCCGGTCCTGCCTCTGAGGCAGCTCCCAGGAGTGGCCTACTATTGAGGAGTATGACCTCCATGTGGAGTCTTCCCTTTTCCCTGAGCTTCTGGCAGCCCCTGCCTCAGTACTAGAAGCTCCAAGAGAAACCCATGGTAGGAGGAAGCTGACACCCATGGCTGACCTGTCTGCCCCTGGGAGAGAGCTTAGGGCTGCCAGGACTTCTCTGTGCACATCCTTGACTGACTCTGCGGAGGGTGGGGCCGAAACCCTGTTTCTGTGGGCGGGGAGGTGGCTGTGTCCCCTGTGCCCTGCTGAGCCCTGGGCGGGGAGGTGGCTGTGTCCCCTGTGCCCTGCTGAGCCCTGGGCGGGGAGGTGGCTGTGTCCCCTGTGCCCTGCTGAGCCCTGGGCGGGGAGGTGGCTGTGTCCCCTGTGCTCTGCTGAGCCCTGGGTGGTGAGCCCTGGGTGGCTGCAGGTCCCTGCAGGATCCCCCGTGAGTGGGGGTAGGGCAAGGCAGTTATTTTCAGATGGTGCCAGAGGGTGGAGTTTCAGATTTGTTTATGCCTGTCGGAAGCACTCTGGGGCTAGGGATGGGGTGCCCAGCTCAGCACTGACGTTCAGGACACCTGGCCAAGAGGCGCCTCAGATATCCTTGTCCTGCTGCGGGGGGTTCACTCTGTAGCCCCAGGCAGGCCGGGGTACTGTAGCTTTTTCCAGGGGATCCAGGAGGGGTGCAGGCACACGGCGCACAGTGGTCCTCCGCAGGCCTGCGGTCCTAGGCTGGCCGAATGTGCCAGCCCACACACAGGAGGGGGCAGTTCACACCGAGGGCTGGCCCGAGGATTGTCAGGGCCACACCAGGCAAAGCCAGCGCTATTAATATCAGGCATACACAAGCCCCCAGCTGGGTGATCCTCTTATGCCTGTGGCCTTGGCCTCTGAGGACGGCAGTGAGTGCTGTTCCCTCAGTACGGTGGAGGCTTCAAGGGCCTCCTAGCTGCTGTGCCTCTGCTGACATTTGGCAGGCAGCTTCTGCCAGCCAAGGGTCTCACCCCAGCCACCCGGCTCTGCACCCACTGTGCTGCCCACAGGAGTGGTCCTGCCCATGGAAGGGCCAGTTCAGGTGGCCGGAGCTCCTGAGCTGCCCTAGGGGACTGCTGTGGGTCTGAGGTGGTGATGTCCCCCACGGCTGCCTGCGCCTGAGCCCCCACGCATCCACCCCTGGGGCCACTCTGCTGTTCAGGAGCACCCACCCGTGTCCTCGACCATGAGCAGCCCCCCAGCTTACCCTGGCATCAGGATCTCAGGGTGCCGGGCCCTTGGAGCAGAAGGCAGGTGAGTCTCGACTGGAGGTCTCTGCCGTGAGGGGCACCCACTTGTGCTGTGGTCCTGGCCACTCAGACCTGTGTTTGGTGCATGTCTGTGGATATCAGGAATCAAACAGGCTGGCAGGTGCTCTCGGGCACCGGGCAGAGCCCAGGGTCGAAGGTGCCATTTTGCTTGAGGCTGTTGGTCTGGGCGCGTCTCTCTTGTGTTGGTTACGGCTTGGAACCCTCCGGGTTGGAATTAACCTTTTGTTGTTGTGGCCAGAAGCACTCCTGTCCATCTGTGCACAGGAAGTGAGGTTTGCTGTGCAACTTTCTCCTCTGTTTTTATTTATTTTTAATATTCTAAAGTTTTTTGTGTGGAGACCGTCTCACCATGTTGCCCAGGCTGGTCACGAACTGCTGACCTCAAGCAGTCCTCCCACTGCAGCCTCCAAAGGACTGTTCAAGGCATGAGCCACCACACCCGGCCAACTTTCCTGTCAAGGGGTGCTGCTTGTGAACCGTGGGGTGAGGCTTTGTCCTTGGCTCTGAGACAGACCAGCTTTGGAGAAGGTAGTGGGGCTGGGCTCGGTGCAGACTCAGCCTGACGCCGTCACAGGCCTGCGGTGAGGCGGGCTTCTGGCAGATCGTCCTGGCCTGCTTGTGACCGTTCCGCTGCATGGGCACCACTCCCAGCAGAAGGGCCAGCGCCTGGCTGTCAGCAGCGTGTGCCTCAGGAGGGATCTGCGGTGACGGGGTTGTTACTTCAGTAGGATGAGGAAGAGTCACAAATGCGGGGTTGGAAGGCTCCTGCTGGAGAGGACTGAGCACCAGGAGACTACCAATGGGGAGCAGGCACGGTGCCAGCCCGGCCTCTGCCGTCTGGTGTCTGTCCCTCAAGTTAGTCCCAGCTTTGTGCATTAGCGGGCTCACCCTCGGAATCCAGGGTGCATGGCGGAAGTGCAGGCAGCCGCAAGGGCGGTGCTGGGAGCTTCGCTGGGGAGCCTCTTTGCAAGTCAGATTGTGTCGGGGCTTCCTCCCTGAGGTTGAAGACAGTGGGTGATTCCCTGCAGATGCTGGGGTTAGGCATAGAGGGGAGGGGCCGCCTGGATTTGTTCTCTGCCCACCACGGCCTCCAGGGCCACCAGAGCGTTTCTGTCTGCTGGGAACCTGCTGCTGAACCTAAGCAGGACTGCCCCACTGTGCACAGCTGCGGGCCATCCATCACCACCTGCTGGGAGGGGTGGCCCCGGGGGTGACCCTTGCAGGCCCTTTTGTTTACTGCTGGTGCGTTGGTCATGTGTGTCCAGGGCCGCTGGGAGGTCGTGGCTTCTGTTTGCTGGGTCCCGTCTTCCTTCTTGACTGACAGCCCTTCAGGCAGACCTGAGTGGGGTGCAGGTCCCATTCCAGCTGCAGCCCCCGCATGCGGTCTCGGGGAAGTGCCGTGGCACCTGCTCCCCCTTCAGGGCACCGTGCAGTGGTGCTGTCCCCCGGGCCGCCCTCGCCTGGTCGTCTTGGCGCCTGGCCTTGTTGTTTGTGCTCAGCCCTGCTGCTGACGTCACCACTCAGCTCCAGAACGATCTCCGGAGCCGAGGTGAGGCTGAGTGAGGCTGCCTGGCTGATTATTCCCCGTGCTCACTCCCCTGATGGTGGCATGGAAACAGGCAGACCTGTCTGTCTCTGAGGAGAGGCACAGCGCGTTTTCCCCGTCAGGTGCAGACGGCGGGTCTCTTTGCTGCTTTAAATGCTGCCACACTGTTCTCTGGGCCCAGGAGAGCTGTCACGTGTCGGGCTGGGCTCCCTCCTTCCACTGCCCCCTGTGTGTGCACACGGACACTGTCCTCCTGGCTGTGGGTGTCACGGGTGCACGGGGAGGAGTGCCCAGGTGGGAATCAGTGTTCCCACGCTGGAGATGCCACCTTCAAAGACAGACTACGGTTTGGTTTATGGCAACAAAGTGGCACCTGCTTTAAAAACATTCAAATGTGACAGAAGTTGCTGTTCCAAATCTTGGTGGCCAGAGAGTGATCATGGTTAGGGCTGGTGTGTGCACACGCTTCCCTCTCACACACACCCCCTCCCTTACACGCCCCCTCGGTCTCACACACACCCCCTCCCTCTCACACACGCCCCTCCCTCTCACACACGCCCCTTCCCTCTCACACACGCCCCTCCCTCTCACACACGCCCCCTCCCTCTCACACACATCCCCTCCCTCTCACACACGCCTCCCTCCTCACACCGAGGCGCATGGCGGTGAGCGTCCTTCGTTTCCTGGATTTTATACAGATGGAATCATCTCTCCTTCCAGCTTGCTTTTCTCCCCTGACCATGCTCTGAGGATGCCGTTCCCTGTCCGCACCTGTGTTCTGTGTCGTTTTCGGGCGTAACTGGCATCTGTGGAGCGTTCCATTTCCTGTGGAACTCCGGAGCGCGGTGGACAGACTGTGCCGCTGCAGGAAGCTACAAAGAGGCGGTCCTGCCGTTTGCGGAGCTTTCCCTCTTGCCCCCGGGGGCTCTGCCCTGCACAGACAGTGACTGTGGTTCTGAGTTGCTCCCCATGTGAGTGGGCCATGACCTGCAGGGCCAAGGTGCTGACCCCTGAGAGCTTCCCAGGGAGACCTGAAACATGGTGCTGAGGCCACCACAGCCAGCTCGGTGTCTCCTGGGCAGTGGCCACAAGTGCCTTCTGCCGGACCTGTGTCTTGTCTCATGGCATCTTCACACCAGGCTCTGCATCTGAGCCTCTCAGAACAGACTGGGCAGGCGCCACGTTGATGCCCCCCCAACCCCCCAGCAGGGCACTCGGCCATATTGAGCCTCCCCAGAGGCTGCCCCTCCCAGGGCTCCATGGCCAGTCACGGCCCCCTGCCCACTTGAGGTTGTAAACTGACGGAGAAGTTGGCAGGCGCCTGAGTGCCGGTCCAGCACGTGCAGTGCATGTAGATGCCACACAGCCTAGGCCTGTGTCTTCCTCCCGTTGATTTCCCCCTTGCAGACTTTAGGGGCTCCCCCTTACCCTGGGCAGGCTCACGGCAGCCCAGACAGGTGGCAGCACTTTCCTCTCTGGTGTTTGCCAGATGCCGGAGGTTTCTGTCTTGGGGACCCAGGAGGGGCCACAGCAAGAATGAATGGGGTTCCAATAAGGCTCCCAGCGCAGGGTCCCCCATCCGGCACTCTGACAGCCAGAGAGGCCAGGCCGAGGCACTGTGCTGGGCCTGCTGTCACTGCAGGAGAATCAGGTCCTGGCTGAGCCCTCTGCCTCTCTCCCTGAGCCCTTCAGCCTGGTCCTGTCTGGGGACCTCACCCTCGGTGTGTGCGCACAACCTGGTCTGGTCTCGCCTCCACCCACACGCCGCCCTCACGTCTCCTTGGGCACCCAGCCTTCAGCATGGCAGCGATTTGGCTGCCCAGAGAGTGTGCCGGGTTGCAAGGGAACGTGGTCCATTTTGGGGTCTCACCTGCCTTTCACAGGCCCACCTTGAGTCCCCTAGGGGACAGAGCCTGGCCCAGCCAGTGCCTGTCCACACAGCAGGATGAGCATGGCCCCAAGATAGCGCCTCTCCTCCTTCCCTTGTCCTTGTTTGCTGTTCCTCTGTCCTTGCTGTGTGGACAGTGATGATCTGAGGCCCTGTGCCAGGCTGAGCACTTGGGTCTGTGTGTCCTGTGGCCCAGCTGCAGGCAGGAGGCAGGGTTTTTTTTTTTTGAGGTGGAGTCTCACTCTGTCACCCAGACTGGAGTGCAGTGGCACGATAGCTCATTGCAATCTCCACCTCCCGGGTTCAAGCCATTCTCCTGCCTCAGCCTCCCTAGTAGCTGGGATTACAGGCACCCACCACCGCACCCAGGTAATTTTTTTTTTTTAATTTTTAGTAGAGACGGGTCTTCACCATGTTGGCCAGGCTGGTCTCAAACTCCTGACCTCAAATGATCCACCTGCCTCGGCCTCCCAAAGTACTGGGATTACAGGCATGAGCCACCACGCCCAGCCCAGGCAGAGTTCTTATGTACCCCCAATGAGCCTGCCCGCCTCAGCCATGCCTGTTGAGGGGGTGGGGGGGGTGCCCTGTGGGCCGGCCATGCCAGCGGGTACCTGGGAGGTGGGCAGCTCTGGGCCACATCCGAGTACATCCCTCTCTGCAGCAGCAATGCAGAGTCCCTGGACAGGCTCCTGCCACCTGTGGGCACTGGGCGCTCTCCCCGGAAGCGGACCACCAGCCAGTGCAAGTCAGAGCCTCCCCTGCTGCGTACAAGCAAGCGTACCATCTACACCGCCGGGCGGCCGCCCTGGTACAATGAACACGGCACGCAATCCAAAGAGGCCTTCGCCATCGGTGAGAGCAGCGGGGGGGTGGGACCTGCTGCCGGACGCCTGCCTCCGGCTCCCCTCCAGTGCCTGTGGAGCAGGAGAAGGAAGCCGGGCAACCGCAGGCAGCGGCAGCGGGATGGGCACCTCTGGGACCTATCTGTGCCGGCAGCCTGCCTGTTCCTCACAGAGGGTCTCCACTCCCGCCGGCAGGCTTGGGAGGCGGCAGTGCCTCTGGGAAGACCACTGTGGCCAGAATGATCATCGAGGCCCTGGATGTGCCCTGGGTGGTCTTGCTGTCCATGGACTCCTTCTACAAGGTGGGCCCCCGCCCAGCTCCCCCGAGGACCCCTTTGTCCTCTCCCTGACCCTGGACCCCCTGCAAAAGTAGGTCCCTGGTCTCAGCCCCAGCGTGGCTGCTCCTGGGAGGCCTAGAGCCCCTGTCCGCTGGCATTGGGTGAGGGCCCTACTGTGCCCACAGCTGCTCCACAGCCTCCCCCACCAGGTGCTGACTGAGCAGCAGCAGGAACAGGCCGCACACAACAACTTCAACTTCGACCACCCAGATGCCTTTGACTTCGACCTCATCATTTCCACCCTCAAGAAGCTGAAGCAGGGGAAGAGTGTCAAGGTGCCCATTTATGACTTCACCACGCACAGCCGGAAGAAGGACTGGGTAGGCCAGGGCCCTGCAGAGGGGGCCTCGGGGGGCTGCAGGCACATGAGCCAGGCTCCGCAACTCCTGGGTTTCTTCACAGAAAACACTGTATGGTGCAAACGTCATCATCTTTGAGGGCATCATGGCCTTTGCTGACAAGACACTGTTGGAGGTAAGCACCCGCCGGGAATACCCACCCCGCTGGTATCTCAGCCCTGGCCGCCCTGTCCATGAGGTGTGCGTCCTCCTGCCCTGTCCCCAAGGCCTCCACACTGTATAGGCCTAGGCCAGCCACTCCCTACCCCAACCCCAACCCCAGGCATGCCACAGCTGGGTCCATCTGCCGGCCCCAAAAGGCAGAGCGTGGCTGCCTGAGGCAGTGGTTCCTCTCCACCGGCTGAGGCCTGTGCGCATACCTGGAGTGTCCTTGGCGTTCTCGTCCCTTGCCGTGGTCCTGACGGACAGGTGAGGACCCAGGGCTGGTGTGTTTGAGAGATTTTGCTGTAGCTCAAGGGGGCCTTCAGGACACAGCTGAGTGTGACTCAGGTTGGCCTGATCCCAGGGCCCAGGTCCTGCCCCTTGTACAGGCCCAGAGGACTCCATCATCCGGCACATAGCAGCCCCCAGCCTCCACAAGGCCTCTTCACGGGCCAACTACTGTGTGCTGAGCATGGGGACAGACCCTAAACTCGCCACGTCCCCCATTCCCCAGTGTGTTGGTGCAAGTTACCCCAAGCAAAGTAAGGAGATCACATGTGCCCAGCCCCATTCCTGCCTGATTCCTTAGCCAGCCACCATGCCATGCCTCTTCACCTAAGCCCCTGACGGGCAGCACCGCATCCCCAGACACCCCCACCTCCCCACTCCTTCCCACCTGCCAGGGTGCCCTGGGGAAGTGGCTCGGGCCAGGCCCACGGACCAGGTGCAGACACCCCCACCTCCCCACTCCTCCCCACCTGCCAGGGTGCCCTGGGGAAGTGGCTCTGGCCAGGCCCACGGACCAGGCGGCCTCAGTGCAGGGGCTGGTCCCAGTGTCTCCATGCCCACTGCTGGCATCTGGCCACTCACTGGCCCGCTGTCTCCACCAGCTCCTGGACATGAAGATCTTTGTGGACACAGACTCCGACATCCGCCTGGTACGGCGGCTGCGCCGGGACATCAGTGAGCGCGGCCGGGACATCGAGGGTGTCATCAAGCAGTACAACAAGTTTGTCAAGCCCTCCTTCGACCAGTACATCCAGCCCACCATGCGCCTGGCAGACATCGTGGTCCCCAGAGGTGAGCCTGCTGGGCTGCCTGTTGGGTGGGTGTCGGGCAGGCCAACGGCCCAGCCCCCGGTCACCCGCCCCCCCATCCCGCCCCAGGGAGCGGCAACACGGTGGCCATCGACCTGATTGTGCAGCACGTGCACAGCCAGCTGGAGGAGGTGAGCGGGGTCCCACGTCCCCACGGCCTAGCCCCCAGCCCCTCTACCCACTTCTCCGCTGCCACCACCCCCAGTGGCCTGGTCACCTCATCCCCCTGCGTTCACTGTCCCCTGCCAGGTGCCAGCCCTGAGTGTCCTGAGCCTGCTTGGCCAGTCAGATTGTCCAGCCCAGACCCCATCCCGTTGTGCTGTGCAGGGCCTGGGTTCCCTGAGGAAGCTGGGGTGGGGGTACAGGTGCTCAGGACCCAGCCGAGGGTGCAGCCCGCTCAGCACACCCAGCCTGAGCTTTTGGGAAGACAGGCATGACCTGCTGGCCCAGGATTGTGGGGTTTCACTGCTGAGTCCCACGCCAGGCCAGGCTCCTCTCTTTCTCAGGGGGTCACCCCAGGAGCGACACCCCCACCAGAGGTCCCCTGCTCCCTGAGGCATTCTATGGCTGGGCCTTGGAGCCTGAGTGGCTCTGAACACACTCCCTACCAGGATGTTGAAGGCCTGAGGCCTGCAGAACAGAGCCCAGGGTCCTGGCTCTGATTGCCCCAACGCAGAACTGCAGGTCTGGCCCAGGTGGTCCCCAGGTTACAGGCATTAGAAGCTTGCCACCCCCCATGGCTGGCTGTGTCCCCGCGGGCCTGCAGCATGTCCATTCCTGGGTGGGGGTGGCCTGGCCGCCTGCCCTGGTCACTGACGCGCCACCGTTCCCTTGTGTCTTCCTGTGTTGCTGCCACAGCGTGAACTCAGCGTCAGGTAAGACTTGCACAGCTGTCTGCACAGATGGAGGCACTTCCAACACCTCCAAGGAGCTCTGGGGTCTGGGCTGTGATCCAGCCAGGCAGCTGGCTCTTCCCCAGTCACAGAAGGGGTGGTGTGGAGTGGTCCCAGCCCTGCTTCTGCCTCCCCTTGCTGGCAGATGAGGACACTGAGGCACAGAGACGTGAAGTAGCTTGCCCAGCGTCACGGAGTCCTGACCCTGTCCTGGCCAGACTTTGCTGGAGGCTCCCCTGACTCCTGAGTCTGTCTATGGGATTTGACCCCAGAGAGCACAGCTGTCCTCCTGAGCCAGCACTGCCAGGCCTCTGGGGCAGTGACTACAGACATGTCCCAGCAGCCAGGGAGCCTGCTGTACCTCCTGTGCCCAGCCTCACGGACCAGTCAGCTTTCCCTGGTTGCAGGTGGAGGGCCTCGCGCCTGTCCTCCCACCCACCCGGGTCCTGCTTGCCCCAGCTCTGTCCTCGCAGCCCGCACAGCTCTGCCAGCAGGAACTGGGCAACTGCAGCAAGAAGCTTGGGCTGGGCCGGGGCCGCATCCCACTGTCCCTCCCCAAGGGCAGGCATGCAGGGGGGTCAGCCACAAGGGACCTGCCCTTCTCCCTGCCTTCTGTGGGTTGGGAGGCTCCTGACTGAGCCACCTGGAGGGAGAGCCCTCACATTCAGAGCCCTCCAAAGAGTTTGCCAAATGTTGGAAATGCCTCCAGGGCCCGTCCACCAGCCGTCCAGCTTCCGGTGCCTGCATGAGTCTCCGCTTGGCCCTCTCCTCGGCCTAGGAACCCGCAGGTCTTGTCCCGTCAGGTTCCTCCTGAAGCTTTTGTTCTGAGAGGAAAAACTTTCCAGGGTTTCAAACTTGGAAAAACACCTGAACGCAGCCAGACACATTTTCCGTCGTCTGGTCAGCCAAGGAAGTGTTGGCCTGTGGCTGCACTCACTTCCTTCAGCCCCAGGAAGCCTTGGTCGGGGGCAGGAGGGAGGGTCAGGCAGGGCTGGGGGCCTGACCGCCCACACTCCTCCTCAGGCCTGCGGGGAACGCCCTGCTCCCCAACTAAGCAGCCTTCTCTTTGTTCTCTTCCTTCTCTCTGTAAACCCCCGTTTCCTGCCTTGTTCCCTCCCTGAACATGCTCTTCACCTGGCAAGCAGAGGAAGCTACGTTGGGATATGTGAGCAGTGTGCTCCGTGGTGCTGCTGTGTGACCCGCCTTCCCGTAGCCCCTTGCCCCGCTGCTCCCGCTAGGCCCTCTTTCCTGCTCCTGCCCCGCCCCTTTCCCTGCCGCTGTCACGCCTCTTTTCTGCCCTGCCACACCCCATTTCCGGCCCCGCCCCTTTCCCTGCCGCTGTCACGCCTCTTTTCTGCCCTGCCACACCCCATTCCCGGCCCCGCCCCTTTCCCTGCCGCTGTCACGCCTCTTTTCTGCCCTGCCACACCCCATTCCCGGCCCCGCCCCTTTCCCTGCCGCTGTCACGCCTCTTTTCTGCCCTGCCACACCCCATTCCCGGCCCCGCCCCTTTCCCTGCCGCTGTCACGCCTCTTTTCTGCCCTGCCACACCCCATTCCCGGCCCCGCCCCTTTCCCTGCCGCTGTCACGCCTCTTTTCTGCCCTGCCACACCCCATTCCCGGCCCCGCCCCTTTCCCTGCCGCTGTCACGCCTCTTTTCTGCCCTGCCACACCCAATTCCGTGCCCTGCCTCTTTCCTTCCCCTGCCACACCCAATTCTGTGGCCTGTCGCTTTCCTCTTCCTGCCCCTGCATCACCCCCTTTCCTGCCCCGCCCCATTCCCTGCCCCTGTCATGCCCCTTTCCGGCTTTGCCTCCTCCCTGTCCCACCTCTTTCTTGCCTCCACCCCGCCCTTTTCCTGCCCGCTCCTAGACCTGCTGCTGCCCCGGCCATCCCCAGGCTTGGGCAGCGGGGCGGGACGGGACAGCCAAGAGACACTGAGCCAGCTTTGCCCCCCACCCCCCTCTCTTGAGGGGCCGCGCACCACCTCGGGGAGGAGCCAGGGCGGGGCCTGACCCCACAAAGCTTTAGTTCCCCCGGGGAGAGGCTGGGGACAAGCTACCCATTCTGGGGTATGACACCTATCAGCACGTGTGAGCCCGCCCTGTGCCCGGCCCACTTCTGCTTCCTCTTAGCGCAGGAGGGGTCCCGCACTGGGAGGGGCCCTCACAGCCTACCCCGCTAGCTTTCTGCCTGATGGTGAGCTTGCCCCGTTGTTCGCCGCCATCTTTCGCCTTTGCCTGACAGCTCAGGTAGGGCGACGTCTCCCCCCAGCTCAGCCCCAGGCAGAAGTCAGGCCCGCTCTGCACCTCGTGCTGTGCCTGGCCCGTGTGTTCCCCTCACAGTGACGCACAGCCGTCCTGTGGGGAGGGAGGGCTCTGGGAAAAGACCCCCTTCTTGAGTGTTCCCCATCGGTTTGTCCCCAGGGCTGCGCTGGCCTCGGCACACCAGTGCCACCCGCTGCCCCGGACGCTGAGCGTCCTGAAGAGCACGCCGCAGGTACGGGGCATGCACACCATCATCAGGTGAGGGCCCACCTGGGGACGGGGCGGCCCCGGGCGCGTGCTCCCGCTCAACTGTTGGCCCCACAGGGACAAGGAGACCAGTCGCGACGAGTTCATCTTCTACTCCAAGAGACTGATGCGGCTGCTCATCGAGCACGCGCTCTCCTTCCTGCCCTTTCAGGTTCGTAGCCCGTAGCCCGCGAGGTGGAGGGTGGGTCTTGGAGCCGGTGCGAGCTCCCTGCGCTCACCGGAGTCCTCACCCTGCACCCCACAGGACTGCGTCGTACAGACCCCGCAGGGGCAGGACTATGCGGGCAAGTGCTATGCGGGGAAGCAGGTACCTGCCTGGGCACACCTGGGCGCGGGACAGGCTGCTGGGGCGGGATGTGGGCGCTTAGCCTCCCCTCCCCGCAGATCACCGGTGTGTCCATTCTGCGCGCCGGTGAAACCATGGAGCCCGCGCTGCGCGCTGTGTGCAAAGACGTGCGCATCGGCACCATCCTCATCCAGACCAACCAGCTTACCGGGGAGCCCGAGGTGCCTGGGGGCAGCCGGGGTGATGAGCCCGGGGGTAGGGGGCAGAGGGAGCTCACAGCAAGGGGACGCAGGGAGCCCCACCTGCAGCCTGACCCCTGCTGCCCGCAGCTCCACTACCTGAGGCTGCCCAAGGACATCAGCGATGACCACGTGATCCTCATGGACTGCACCGTGTCCACGGGCGCGGCGGCCATGATGGCAGTGCGCGTGCTCCTGGTGAGTGAGCCCTGGGTAGGCGGGGCAGGTTCAGGCAGAGGTGGGATTTACCTGCCCAATACACTCGGTAGGACCACGACGTGCCTGAGGACAAGATCTTTTTGCTGTCGCTGCTCATGGCAGAGATGGGCGTGCACTCAGTGGCCTATGCATTTCCGCGAGTGAGAATCATCACCACGGCGGTGGACAAGCGGGTCAATGACCTTTTCCGCATCATCCCAGGCATTGGTGAGGCTGCCCGGGCCCTTCAGCCGCACATGAGGGCAGGGTGGGTGGCCCTGGGAGGCCCCACCACACTGGACCCCCCCCCCCCTTTTTCCAGGGAACTTTGGCGACCGCTACTTTGGGACAGACGCGGTCCCCGATGGCAGTGACGAGGAGGAAGTGGCCTACACGGGTTAGCTGCCCAGTGAGCCATCCCGTCCCCACCACCCTCCTCCTGCCTCCTGACCCAGGACTGCTGAATACAAAGATGTTAATTTTTAAAATGTTACTAGTATAATTTATTCTATGCATTTTATAAAATAAATAAAGCTTTAGAAAAATGAAGGTGTGATTGGTTACAGCACAGGAGAGGTGTCCTGGCTGAGGCATGCATTTGTGGAGACTCCCATGGGGAGGGAGGGAGGGAGCTGAGGGCCCTGCCTTCTCCCCTGCAGGACCAAGCATTCCCAGTCTTGCACTTGTGCCAGATGAAGGAAGGGGTAGAACTGGGCCCTGCAGCTCCTAGCTCTGCTAGATGGGGCCCCTAGAACCCATAGCTTGGTGGCCACCTGGCCTGGACCTAGGGAGGGGACAGGGCCCCCTGGTGCTCTGGGTCTCACAAGAGGCAGGCTGTTTTGCCCCCACCCACAAATTTGTACCATCAGGGTCCTCCCCACAGTTGGGGGGGGGGAGGGTCCTTCCCGTCAGGACAAGTCGCTGGAGGCAGCAAAGCCAGGAGGCAGACCAGGGCGGAAGTGGGGGCCTGCGCTTGGAGGCGGGGCCACCCGGGGCCCACGAGCCCGGAGCCACTGCTGCTCAGGGCCCGCCTCGCTCACCCCTCCAGACCTGGAGGCCCACCCGCATCCCGTGCTCTCTGCCGTGCCCACGCCCGCAAGCGTGGGTTCCCTTAGGTCCTGCCCACCCTGCTTTCCGAGCAGGCCCCCCCCGGGCTCCCCGAGAGGAGTCGCCGCCGTGGTTTACTGAGGAAGAGGAGGTGCACGCGCGGCGCCCACACGTCGGGCCCCGGAGAGGCCCAGATAACTGAATCAGCCTCCCGGGGCTCAGCCGTGGAGCTGAGGGCTGATGCTGGGGACTCAGCCGTGGGCCAGGCGCATCTGACACGGGACACGGTCGTCCCCGTCCTCTCAGGCGCCAGTGTCTTTCTGCGTGGAAGTCCACGGCCAAAAGCGTGGCGTCCTCGGAGCCTGGCACCTCGATTATGCCGGATCCCGGATCCTGGACAGGGGTCTGCTGACGAAGGGAGGGACGGCGTAAGGCCGGTCTTCCCAGATGCCGCGAGACCTTGCGCTGCAGTGGGGTCTCCCATTGCCCATGCGACCAGGCCGGGTGGGCGCTGGTCCCCACGTGGGGGGCCCATCTGCGGGTGCAGCGCTCCCGCCACTCGCCCGCCCCACCGGTCCCGATTGGCCACGCCCCTGCCCAGCCCCCGCTCCGCCTGGTAGGCCAGGTCCCGCTGGGCCCCACCGAGTGACCACGCCCCTGAGCCGGCCCCGCCCCCGCGCTGGCCCCGCCCCCCACCCGACCCTGAGCAGCGGGGCTGGCGCTAGAAGTGGTCCCTTCCTGGCGTTCCTCGGTCACGGAGAGCGGGGCGCAAGGAAGGCATAGCCGGGGGGAGCGGGGAGGGTGGTCCGACCCCGTCTTGGAGACGGAGGAGATTCCTGGGGCGCTGGGCGGACGGAGAGTTTTGCCGCAGCGCCTGTTAACCGCGGTCCCCTGGACCAGGAGAAACAGGGCCGACAACCCTCCCTGGCAAGGGTCTTGCTGCCCGCCACCCAGTGTCCAGTGCTCGGCTTGCTGTTAACATTTCTCTGTAAGAATCCCATATATAAAATACTTAACATAGGCCGGGCGCGCTGCCTCACACCTGTAATCCCAGCACTTTGGGAGGCCTACATAGGTTCGAGACCAGCCTGGCCAACATGGTGAAACCCCCGTCTCTACTAAAAATACAAAAAATTAGCTGGGCGTGGTGGCGCGCCTTTAGTCCCAGCTACTCGGGAGGCTGAGGTACAAGAATCGCTTGAACGCAGGAGGCGGAAGCTGCAGTGAACCGAGATCGCGCCATTGCACACCAGCCTGGATGACAGAGCAAGACTCTGTCTCAAAGGAAAAAGAAAAAAAAAACTGAACTTAATAAACGTGGATTCTACTTAATTAAGAAAATTCAAAGACCAAGCCAGAAAAAAACGTCTGACAACGCTAAGGCTAGAAGGGGCAGCGAGAAGATGGGGAGCCTCTTTGCAGGGCAGTGTGGGGCCACCAGTCAAGGGAAGGCTTCCAGATCCCGCTCCCAGCGATCCCACCCGAGACAACTCAGCAGCGACATTCAGGCAGCTTTGTTTCCACAGTGAGAAACTAAAAACCTGTGGTCAGTTTGCCCAGGACCGACTGTGATTAATTCGTGACTGTTCTGTACAGAAGCTAAAATGAACCAGACCTAATATAACCACACGGCTTGATTTCTTAACTACTACTGTATCAAATGAAAAACTTAGGCCTGGTGCAGTGGCTCACGCCTGTAATCCCAGCACCCTGGGAGGCCGAGGCGGGCGGATTACCTGAGGTCCGGAGTTCAAGATCAGGCTGGCCAACATGGTGAAACCCCGTCTACTAAATACAAAAAGTTAGCCAGGCGTGGTGGCACATGCCTGTAATCCCAGCTACTCAGGAGGCTGAGGCACAAGAATCACTTCAACCCAGGAGATGAAGGTTGTAGTGAGCCGAGATTGTGCCACTGCACTCCAGCCTGGGCCACAAAGACTCCGTCTCAAAAACAAAAACAGGCCGGGCGCGGTGGCTCATGCCTGTAATCCCAGCACTTTGGGAGGCCGAGGTGGGCAGATCACAAGGTCAGGAGATCCGAGACCATCCTGGCTAACACGGTGAAACCCCATCTCCACTAAAAATACAAAAAATTAGCCAGGCGTGGTGGCGGGCGCCTGTAGTCCCAGCTACTCGGGAGGGTGAGGCATGCGTTTTCCTAAATGGCGTGAACCCAGGAGGCGGAGGTTGCAGTGAGCCAAGATCGCGCCACTGCACTCCAGCCTGGGTGACAGAGCGAGACTCCATCTCAAAAAAAAAAAAAACAAACAAACTCATAAGGCAGGTGGTGTACTCAGTACTATGGTGTAGTACAATTTATGTAAAAAGGTATAAACCAATAGTACGTCTTACTGGACCTGACAGTGGTAGACAGAGTTTAAAGCTATGGAAGCAGAGGATGGAAATGGGGAGAGACGCAAAACGGTCTTGGATGCTGCCATTTTTTTAAAATGGAAAATCTGACTCAAATTTTTTTTTTTTTTTGAGACGGAGTCTCGCTCTCCCACCCAGGCTGGAGAGCGGTGGCACGATCTCGGTGCGTTGCAACCTCCACCTCCCGGGTTCTAGCGATTCTCCTGCCTAAGCCTCTTGAGTAGCTGGGACTACAGGCACGCACCACCACGCTCAGCTAATTTTTTTTGTATTTTCAGTAAAGACGGGGTTTCACCATGTTGGCCAGGATGGTCTCAGATCTCCTGACCTCATGATCCACCCACCTCGGCCTCCCAAAGTGCTGGGGATTACAAGCGTGAGCCACCATGCCTGGCCCTTCCTTCGTTTTTCTTAAGTCAGAATAGAGGATTTCAAGATGTTTGTTACGTTATTCTGAGTTTTTGTTAGTTTGTTGACAGGATCTCCCTCTGTCACCCAGGCTGGAGTTCGGTGGTGTGACCACAGCTCACTGTAGCGTGGACTTCCCATGCTCAAGTGATTTCCCTCCTGACGAGCTGGGACCTCAGGCACGGCTACACCCAGATAATTTTAAACTCTTTTTTGTAGAGACACGATCTCACTGTTGCCCAGGTTGGTCTTGAACTCCTGGGCTCAAAGCAATCCTCCCACACTGGCCTCCCAAAGTGCTGGGATTATAGGCATGAGCCACCACGCTTGGCCTCTTTGCTCCAGTCTTGGTATTTAGAAAACGGAGGTGAAAACACAATCAAGAGGAGGGGGCATTTATCCACATCTGGACCAGGCAGGAGGGAAGCAAGGTTCCAGCCGCAAGGGGTGTGGAGGGCTGAGATCAGCTGCTGCTCTCCAAAACCAGGGATCTGCGGGACTAGCGAGTAAGACATACGTGGGGTCCGCAGTGAAAACATTTATTTTACAACAGTAATCTTTATTTTAGGCCAACATTCAGACATACAAGACGGAGATCACCATGCGGAACCAGCCTGGCCCTTAGATGTGTGTGCTCGAGCCAGGATCAGCCGGAGTCTGACAGCGCCTGCACCCCAACACGGTCGGATTCCAGGACGCCAGTGACAAAACCAGTGCATGGACAAGCAGCTTCCATGCGTGTGCATTTGATTTTTAAAAACAATACATATTTCAGTGTTAACTTCCCCCCTCACCTGGCTTGAAACATTTTCCCCATTTTCCAGGGAAACAAACTCTACCAAAAGGTGCCGCCTGCAGGACCCCGGGCCCAGCCCCTTCTGGAGGTGGTGCTGTGTGGACTCCTCTGGGGCGGACCCGGGGCCAGCACAGGGCCCCTTCCCAGGCCGCCCTTCAGATGCAGCTTTGCCACTGACCGTATCTGCTGCTCAGAAAATCAGCTTTCATGTTTCAAGGCAGGGAAGGGCTTCCAGTCCCCTCCTCGATTTCACACCGGGACACACACCTGGGTCAGGTGAGCATGACACACAGCCCCCAGGATGGGCACCCCACCCTGCAGAGCAGAGGCCAATGCTGGTGGGGGCCGTGGCAGTGCCCTGGGCACACACCCTCTGCACACAGTGGGCTCAGCGCTTCCTTCTGTGCACCTGCTGGGAAAGCCTCCTGCAGGTCCCTGCCCGACTCCCAAGAAACCAGAGGCCATTTCAGAGCCACCTTTAATTGTACTTGTCACTTCACCAGGGGACAGCAGCATGAATGACACTCCTGCTGCGTGATATATACATATACACATATGTACACACACGGACACACCACAGCCCACACTCACAGCATGTGACGACGCAAACTGTTGCTGGTAAGGACAGTAAAAATGTAGCTTTTGCCAATTCCACAGGAGAATGATTTACAACCAAAATAACAGACACAGGCCAGTCCTGCGCCACAGGGGTTCACAGCTCTGAATACTGGGAAAGGGTGAGATCAGTCATTTCGTGTCCCCTCACGAGATGTCCCCACAGTAGGATGCACTGAGTCAGAGCTAAGGGAGGGTGGACAAGCGCTGAACTCTGCCCGCAGCACCCGGACCCTCCAGTGGCAGCCTGCATGCTGGTGCCCTTCCTTGCAGCACAAGCCTCGCCCGGAACAGAACGCCTGAGAGCAGCCTCGACGGCGTGAGGCTCCAGGGCCTCTTCTGGATGGCAGCAGCCGACGTGAAGACGAAGCTTTTCCTGCTGGGCACGTGTGCATGCCAGTTCCTTTTTCTAGTAGGTCCCCACTGGGTGCTGGCTGCACTAACAACATAGAGAACTAGGAAAGTTCACAAACACTGAGCAGTAATATCTAAAGCAGTTTAAAAATAAAGCCAAAAGGAAGACAAAAAAATCCCACGTCACTGAGTGGAGACAAATCTATACAGCAGCAGCTGCCGTGAAAGGGCCCGCAGGGCCGCTCCTACGCCTCCTGCAGGTCGGAAGCAGTCAGTGCTGCCCGGACCCCCTCGTGAACCGGACGGGCCTCAAAGCACGACCCCAGAGGGCCCCTGGCAGCCCCCAGCAGCGGCGTCCAAAGGGACATTCTGTGCCCATGGCCACACTTGCTCACAGCATTGTCTGCGGCCCGAGAGTGAGGAGTCGGGGTCCCGTCACTGCCACCAGCAAAAGCAGGCAGGGGTGCTGGGGGCGTCCTGATCTGTTAGCACGTGGACAGGGAGGCGCGGAAGCTGCCCCAGGACTCACCACCTCTTTTAATTATAGGGAAACAGTCCACTCAAGAAAGAGAGAAATAAAACCCGGGAGGATCTTTTTCCTTAAATTAAGACAAAGCCTTAAAGCCAACAGGGCAGAGCGCTGAAAACGGTTCTGCTTCTAGGTCAGGCAGGGGGAGGAACTCCAGGCCCCGAGTGTCTGGGCTTCCCGGGGGTCGTCTAATCACAATCACCACCGTGAGAATGGCCACAACCATGATTTATTAGGTTTTACAGATTCTGCAGGGGACTGGGTTCCACAAACCTCCAGACCTGCTCCTCTTTCCCACCCTACCCCACCTTCCGCAGGGAGCTGCATGGTTCTACAAAATGGTCCACTGGACTCTGTAACTGAAAAGCCACCTGGCAAGGGGCCCACTCTGATGGGTACCGAAGGGCCTTGGAGTGTTCTAGCCACAGAGCTGTGTGCAGGCCCAACAGAGGGCCTGGTGGGGCTGAGCTAGGGCCCCCGATGGGCAGCTTTCTACCTTAGGTCCAAGCTTAGAACCTGGCTCTTGGCCAGTCTGCGGAAAAATAACTCACGTCCTAAGCTACATCTACAAAAATTGCAAAGGCTGAGTACAGCCAGCATCTCAGGCTGAACTTGCTGCTGCACGAAGCGGCACGGAGGCACCCCACTGTCTCGCCACCTCACCTTTCAGGATGGGCCAAACAATGAATTTCTTATTCTTTTAGGAGAGGTCTGATTTTGATAAATTATTTCTAATTTAATATCACAGTGCATATCTCTCCTCTTGTCAAAGGTCTTCGTGATCATTTTAGTGAGAAGAAACAAAGAAAAGTGGGACAAACAAAGCTGCCCAGGACCTAGTGCTGGCAGCCGGCTCATGGTCCACATGCGGATCTGCAGTAGGGGTCAGCTGGGGGCCCTCAACCAGCACCCTGTTCCTAAGCACGTCCAGATGTATCCTCATATCCATGTCCCTTTTGGCAGCTTCCTGGTCAACCTGAACCTACCCTTCTGCACAGCCTCGGGTGGCTGCTGAGGGCAATGAGTGAGCTGGGGCCACGGGTCAGCAGGCAGGCAGGGAAGGGGGCTTCAGGAGGCTCATCTGGTTGGTCCGAGCCAGAGCCATCACACACAGCCTCCTCCTCAGCTTTATCTCTACAGGGACCTCTGCAACTCTGCAGCGGCCACCATGGACATTCTGCAGAAACCAGGCCCACTGGAGTCTGCAGCATGGCGCCAAAGGCAGGCCCAGCACATCCCATGAGCTACGGAGTGCGGGCAGCTCTGAGCCCTCAGCCAGCACAGGGACATCAGACCCGTTCCCCCTGCTCCCCTATGCAGGGCGCCACCCACAAGGTCTAGGACACGCAAGAGACTGACTTCCCATGGTCCACATGTGGATTCCGTAGTCTGGCTGCTGGCCTCCCAAGGGACCCACAATGGTCCACGTGTGGATTCCGTGGCCTGGCTGCCGGCCTCCCAGGGACCCACAATGGTCCACGTGTGGATTCTGTGGCCTGGCTGCCGGCCTCCCAGGGACCCAACCCTCCTGAGCCAGAGGGTCCCTCTGGTCCAGTCAGTCCTTCCTCCAGGGACCTAACGAATCTGGCTCTGCCTGAATCATCGATGACGGGGCAAAGGCGAGTGGGGCAGATGGGAGCTCTGGCAAACACAGGAGGAGGGGTCGTGGGAGAGCCCCCGTCCCCAGTAGCTGGGTGCTCACACATGCACAATCTACTCTCTGACTGTGGCTCATTGGGCTGGTCCTATCATCTGTGGTTCTAAAGGTCCAAAAAGGGCTATGGAAAGGACAGGTGTGCTGGAAGGAATGTGGAGAACGACCTCAAGATGGGAGGGGGGAGACTGGCCCCATCAATCCAGCTCAGAGCCCGGGAAAAGTGCAGGAACACAGACAAATAACCCCAACACGGCGAAGGACACACCTCCGAGAACCAGAACGGCAGCGTCCACACGACGAGACGACCAGGCGAGAAACACCGCGGAGGACACGGTGTCAACCTCGGAAGGGGCCTCCTATGCTTTCCACACCAAATTCTCCCACGGGAGAAACCCTGCCACAAGGCCCAGGAAACCACAGACCCCCAAGCCAACCATGCCCAGCACAGACACCAAGGAATGACAGTGACGCCGGTGACGCCAGGAGGACGCGGCCCCGCCTCTCTTCTGGCAGGTGAGATCAGAGTCCTACTGCAGCCTCAAGGCTGGGAGCACAGAGTGTGGACCAGACCCCGAGGCCAAGACGGTAACACAGCTCTGCCAGGCAGCACCTGCCTCCGGCCCCTCAAGCACAGGTAGGAAAGGGGCAGCCCCCCTTCTCCTCGCCCACCTGACCGGCTGCAGTCACCCCTCACTGGACCAACCTGACCGACAGCCCTGAGGCAGCTCCACCGTGCAGTTCACGCGGTCATGCCGCGGAATGTCCACAACACAGACATGGAACAGAACCCCATACATGCTATTAAAAAAGGGAAAAAAACAGAAGACCGTAGCTACACTGCTTTAAATACTGCATGCTACGCACTTCGTGGGTCAAGGGTCGACGCTGGGTGGGCGTGGAGGCAGGAGGGGCCCCAGCAAGGCCAGGGCAGGCAGGAGGCTGCCTTCCCATCTCTGTGACTACAGTTCATGATTCTAAGGTTGGCGTGGCCAGGCGCCGGCTCCTCCTCTGACCACAGCTCCTCCTGGATTTAGTTGAACCCGTCAGTGTGGTAGCTGGGGTGGGAGTCGGCTGTGAGCTGGGTGGTCTCGGTGGCGGATGCCGGCTGTATGACGATCGGCGTGTCTGTGGCCTCTGAAAAGCAAGCACACAGGGCACTGCACGAGGGCCACAGCCTGGCGCGCACCCAACGCTGGTCCTGTGGAGCGACTTTCGGGCACCTGGACAAACTCTCCACCGGGAGAGGCTACTCGCTGACCTCCACCCCACACGGCTTTCCTCCGTCGCCTTGGGTCACCGCCAGCCCTCGGCCCTCAGCCCCGCCCCAACTGCCTGCCGCCCTGCCCCGCCTCGCAGTCCCTGGGATCTACGGCTACCGCAGGTCACGGCGGGGACAGCTCTATGCGCCTGCTTTACCTCAGGGTCCACGTTCACACCTCAACAGTCCCAGCTGCCACCACAAACACTCGCGGCACAGTGTCAGTGCCCTCCTGTTTGACAAGACAGGTTGACACCATTCAGGGCCCATTCTGGCTCTGCCCCACACACACACACGGGCCCTGGGGCGGGCACTCACCCCTCTCGTCAGACTGCAGCTGTGCCTCCAGATCCTCGGGGGACACGTAGAACTCCGTCTCCTCGCCTTCAGGCGCCTTGGGCTTACACTTCCCGCAGCAGCAGTTGAAGCAGCAGCACAGACAGCAGCAGCAGTAGCAGCACGTGAGGAGGCCGCAGAAGACAAACAGGGCCTGGGGGGAGAAGAAGGTGGTGTTGCATGGCCTCCGAGGCCCCTGGAGAGGGAGGCGCAGGACTCCCAAATGCCCTCAGCAGAAGGCAGGGGGTGCGTTCCAGGTGGGGATACTGCCTTCCAGACAGGAAGCAGAAGGAAAGAACTGAAGAAGGGAGGAGGAGAGACAGAAAGAAACCCGCAGCTTAAAGAAAAGCAGCCTCCAAGACGGGCGTGGTGGCCCATGCCTGTCATCCCAGCACTCCAGGAGGCCGAGGCTGGCGGATCACGAGGTCAGGAGATCGAGACCATCCTGGCTAACACGGTGAAACCCTGTCTCTACTAAAAATACAAAAAATTAGCTGGACGTGGTGGCGGGCACCTGTAGTCCCAGCCACTCGGGAGGCAGAGGCAGGAGAATGGCGTGAACCCGGGAGGTGGAGCTTGCAGTGAGCCAAGATCGCGCCACTGCACTCCAGCCTGGGAAACAGAGCGAGACTCCGTCTCAAAAAAAAAACAAAGCAGCCTCCAGGCTGGGCACAGTGGTTCACGCCTCAACTCCTGCAGTTCTGGAGCTGAAGTGGGAGGATCACTTGAACCCAGGAATTCAAAGTTAAAGTGAGCCAGGATCTCACCACAGCACTCCAGTCTGGGCAACAGAGCGAGACTCTGTCTAACATTAACTAAATAAAAAGTACTTTATAAGGATTCTAGTGAGGAGGCCGACCAGTCAAAGCCAAATACAGGCTTCTCACAAATGCCATGCAGTGATTCCAACCCTCTGGCCTCATATATGACATTTGGAACAAAACGAGGAAACGAAGAAATGCGGATGTAACATCGAGGCTTATTTCCTCCTGTCTCACGAAGGACTGGGAGCCATTTACAGAAGAAACCCTGGCGGCTCCGCACGGCTCTTCCCTGGGACAATCTGTACGCTATGGCTTGTTCCAGGCAGGACACCAAGCCAGTGACAGAGCTTCGCCCATCACACAGGTGAGGAGAAAGGCTCCATATGCCCAGAAGCCTTTTCTCAGGAGTGTAGAGTTGCTGGCATCAACGCATGGGCTCTGCAATGCTGGGAACCCTGCAGGCGTGGAGTGACCCGGGTGCCCACATGGCAGGAGAGACTCGGGTGCCCGCACGGCAGGAGTGACTCGGGCGCCCGCACGGCAGGAGTGACTCGGGTGCCCGCACGGCAGGAGAGACTCGGGTGCCCGCACGGCAGGAGAGACTCGGGTGCCCGCACGGCAGGAGTGACTCGGGTGCCCGCACGGCAGGAGAGACTCGGGTGCCCGCACGGCAGGAGTGACTCGGGTGCCCGCACGGCAGGCAGCTCGCCCTCACCTTGGCCCACCAGCTGGACAGCACGAAGTAGGTGTTCACGTTCTCTTCCCCAAACTGCTCGGCCACGTAGAGACCCAGCGAGCCGTACTTGTCGTAGATGTTCCTTTTTGTGGCGTCCGTGAGGATGGCGTGCGCGTTGTTGATCTCCTTAAACTTGTCCGCGGCCTCCGGGTTGTCGGGGTTCTTGTCGGGGTGATATTTCAAGGCAAGCTTCCTGCAAACCAAAACCATGTCCTGGCTCTACCCTGGACTTTGTTCCACCCGCACCCGCCGCCGCGTCCATCCCACCCGCACGCACTGCCGGGTGCAGTGGAAGGCAGGTCCACCCAGGCCACCTCACTGTCCGACTCTCCAGGGCTGCAGGGGCCAGGGACAAAAGCAAGCTCCGCGGTTGTTTCAGGTAAACCTCCTCACCCTGACCCAGCCTCAGAGGAGGGAGCCCCAAGGGCTGTGAGTGCCACGGCACATCTAAGTTCAGCGGCACCAAGGCCAGCCCTGGTGTCCCAGCCGCTAACTGCACAAGTGCCAAGTGAACGGTAAGCACGGCGGGGCGTAATGATGGCACTTTAAGAAGTGTTTTATGAACTACACGATGCTAGCACACGAGAGGAGGACTATCTGAATTGTCTGGATTAGTGATGGTGTCTCTTACAGGTTACTCAATGAAACTGTACCCAAGAGTGCAGTTCTTCAAGCTCAATCAGAAGGCCACAACAGAGTGAGGGGTCTCTGTCATCACTGTGCTAAAACAAGGAGACCACAGGACCATGCCAGCGCTCTGCGGCTCCTGTGAGGCCTCAAACAGGTTCAGACCCTGACTCCCTATGGAACTGTGGACAGTGTGTCAGTTTCTACTAAGTGCTATTTTTTGTTGGCAAGAGAACATGAATACCATAACTTTAAGCTATAAGGAGCACATTACACATACAAAGGTGTTACCGAGCTGTGACCAGTTCAACGCTGAGTCGGCCAGGATAAAGTATGTGCAATGGTTCTTGGTAAAATGCAGACTAAACCACACGGGGCATGTGTGTCTTCCTGGGGGGATGTGGGGGCCACACTTGTCCACTTACCGATAGGACTTTTTAATGTCATCTGAGGTTGCGTTCTTGTCCAACCCAAGGACGTGGTACAATGACTCCCCAGAGGTAGACAGTGAGCGCTGTCTCTGGTCTGCCATGTTAGGCTATTCTAGAAGAAAAAATAAAAAGAAAGTATCACAAAGTATAGATGAAAGTACCAAGGGCAGAGCTGATGGACTTTATTCCATAAGACCGTTCAAAGCAAAAGAATCCAACACTGCCTTGTGGAGTTTGCCACGTGCACAGACAGACGCCATGGCATGGAGAAGTGTGAGACGGCAGAATACGGCCACCCCAAGAGATCCTGAAGAACTGCAGCTGTGTACTGTGGGCCGGCACAGGGGCTCACACCTGTAGTCCCAGCATTTTGGGAGGCTGAGGCGGGAGGACCGCTTGAGCCCAGGAGTTTGAGGCTGCAGTGAGCTATGATCACTCCACTGCACTGGAGCCCAGGAGACAGGGACCCTGTTCCTTAAAAACAAATATATAAATAAACAAAATAAATTAATTAATTAAAATAAACATGCATATTGTAATCCTTACAGCAACCTCTGCATAAAAAATGCAAAGAGGTATAAGCTAAAAAGTTACAAGAAAAATGAAAAAGTAACTCAACACAGGAAACAAATAGAAAATTAGTTGGAAGATCTAAATCCAAACATATCAACAATTAAATTCAATGTTAGTGGACAAAAAACTCCAATTAAAGTAAGGGACTGACAGAATGGATAAAAATGCAAGACCCAACTTTAATTTTAATACTTTCTCAGAAATCGACAGAACAGACCAAAAATCAGGAAAAACATCGATGTTCTGAACAACACTATCAACCACCATGACCTGATCTTCACAGAACACCCAACATCTAGAGAACACACAGTTTCTTTCTTTCTTTTTTGGGGGGGGGGACAGTTTTGCTCTTGTTGCCCAGGCTGGAGTGCAATGGCACGATCTCGGCTCACCACAACCTCCGCCTCCCCGGTTCAAGCAATGCTCCTGCCTCAGCCTCACACAGGAGTAGCTGGGATTACAGGCATGTGCCACCACACCCAGCTAATTTTGGTATTTTTAGTAGAGATGGGGTTTCTCCATGTTGGCCAGGCTGGTCTTGAATTCCCGACCTCAGGCTGAACTCCCGACCTCAGGTGATCCGCCTGCCTCAGCCTCCCACAGTGCTGGGGTTATAGGTGTGAGCCACAGCGCCTGGCAAATACACATTGTTTCTACATTGTTTCTAACTAATCAACCACCATGACGTGACAGTCACAGAACACCCAACATCTAGAGAACACACATTGTTTTTAACTGAATGCTGTACACTAAGACAAGCCACATGTTAGGGCTTCAAGCTGGTTTCAATAAACGTAATGGAATGAGGTCACACACAGCACTATCCCTGACTTAGCTACAAACTGGAAACCCAGGAGGAAGATACTCTTGATATTCAACAACACACCTCCGGCTAACATGTAGCTCAAAGAAGAAATCCCAGGGGAACTTAGAAAATGTTTTGAATTGAATAATAAATACAGTGTACATGACGGTTAATTTCATGTCTCCTTTGCTGCATCGTGGGGCACCCAGATGAAACATGACTTCAGGGTGTGCCTGGGAGGGTGTTTCTTGGTAAGAGCAGCACCTGAGCTGGGGGCTCCATGAAGCCAACTGCGCTGCCCTGTGCAGGTGAGTGTCGTCCCAGTCCACGGGGGTCCCGAATAGAAAGGGGTGGGAGGAGGAGTTGGCCTGGGTTTTCCTTCTCGCCTGCCAGCCTGAGCGGGGCCACGTGTCTCCTCCTGTCCTTGGACTGTTATTATCCCACTGCTTTCCTCAATCTTCAGCAAATGGCAGAGCATGAGATTCCGTCTCCATAATGACGTGGGCCAATTCCTCATAACAAATCTCCTTTAGAAAGAGACACAGATAATGGCAACGTTCCTCTGCAGAATGCTGACTAGTACAACACGTTAATCAAGGCCTAAGGCTCCGCCTCAGGAAGCTACAAAGTAACAGGATAAACCCAACATAAATGCAAGCAAGGAAATCATAAGGAACAGAAATCCATGAAAACAAACAGATAACTTCAACAAAGCCAAAAGAGTTGGTTCTTTGAGCAACATGAGGAAAGACATCACTACAGATCCTAGAGGCGTGAAAAGGATAAAATACGAACAACTTCATGCCAAGAAATTAGAAAAATTAGATGAAATGGACAAATATCTTGAAAATTACAATTTACCAAGACTGACATGAAATAGAAAATCTGAATAGGCCTGCATCTGTTAATAAAGTTATATTTGTAATAAAAAATCCCCAGAAGGCCAGGCGCCGTGGCTCACGCCTGTAATCCCAGCACTTTGGGAGGCCAAGGCGGGCAGATCACGAGATCAGGAGATTGAGACCATCCTGGCTAACACAGTGAAACCCCATCTCTAATAAAAATACAAAAAAATTAGCCGGAAGTGGTGGCAGGCACCTGTAGTCCCAGCTACTCGGGAGGCTGAGGCAGGAGAATGACGTTAACCCGGAAGGCGGAGCTTGCAGTGAGCAGAGATCGCACCACTGCACTCCAGCCTGGGCGACACAGCGAGACTCCGTCTCAAAAAAAAAAAAAAAAAAAACCAGATAAAATTCCAGGCCCAGATTTTTTTTTTAACCAAATATTTAGGAAATGACATCAATATGGGGTTTTGAGATAGTCTCGCTTTGTTGCCCAGGCTGGAGTGCGGTGACGCGATCTCGGTGATACTGGCAGGAGGCAGCTGAATGCCAGGCAGATGGGGCGGGTTCCCGGTGAAACCCACCTCCAAGCCAAAGACAGTTTAAAGCCTGACAGCTGAGCTACAAGTTAAATCCTCAGACTAGATGAAGAACTTGCCTTCCTGTTTGCCACACTTTCCTCTGATTGATCCCCATCCTTCACCTATTTTACACATACCTACCCTTTCCTAATTTTTATTTTTGAGGTGGAGTCTCGCTCTGTTTGCCCAGGCTGGAGTGCAGTGGTGTGACCTCAGTTCACTGCAATCTCTGCCTCCCGGGTTCAAGCGATTCTTCTGCTTCAGCCTCCCAAGTCACTGGGACTACAGGCACGCGAACCACGCCCAGGTAATTTTTGTATTTTTAGTAGAGATGGGGTTTCACCACATTGACCAGGATGGTCTTGAACTCCTGACCTTGTGATCCGTCTGCCTCAGCCTCCTAAAGTGCTGGGATTACAGGCGTGAGCCACCGTGCCCGGCCTCTTATAATTGGTTTTCTACACTGTCATGCCCACTTTAACCTTTTCTGCATACTCACAAACCCATCAGCAAGCTCTGCAAGCACTCCGCATCCTGAGTCCATAAAAAGCCCCAGACCCAGCCACACAGGCGGACTTTCCTGCCTTCAGGTAGGGGAACCACCCCTGCATCCCCTGGTCCGCTGAAAGCTGTTTCACTGCTCAATAAAGTTCTTCTCCGCCCTCCTCACCCTTCAATGTCCAGTGTATCCTTGATCTTGAGTGCGGTACATGAGCTCGGGAATGGCCGAACACAGTACAAGCTATAACACAGGTGAGTTGGGGCACGCCAGTGTGGCCAAGCAGGGCCCAGGTGGGGCATCACTGGCCAGGGGTCCCCGGCTTGCAAAGTGACCGAGAAGAAAAATCCTAAGTCATCAACTCACTGCAACCTCCGCCTCCCAGGCTCAACCCATTCCCATGCCGCAGGCACGGGACTACAGGCACGCACCACTGCACCCAGCTAATTTTTGTATTTTTAGAGACAGGGTTTTGCCATGTTGTCCAGGCTGGTCACGGACTCCTGGCCTCAGTCAATCCCCCCCTCGGCCTCCCAAAGTGCTGCGATTACAGGCATGAGCCACCGTGCCCGGTTTTTTGTTTTTGTTTTTAAGTTAAATAGGCATGGTGGCTCATGTCTGTGGTCCTAGTGACACAGGAGGTTGAGATAAGAGGATGGCTGAGCCCAGAAGCTCGAGGCTGCAGTGAGCCATGATCGTGCCACCACACTGTAGCCTGGGTGACACAGTGAGACCTTGTTTCAAAAAAAGAAAAAGAAATAACAAGACCTATGAAATCTGTACGTTGAAAACCACAAATTGCTAAGATACTAAAGATAAGAAAAAGATTCCTCATGTTCACGGATTAGAAGCCTCGATATAAAGAAGTCAGTTCTCCCCAAACTGATCTGTAGACTTGACAGAAGCCTAACCCTAATCCAAGAGGATTTTTTTTTGCAGAAACTGATACTGATTTTTTTAAATGTATAAGGAAATGTAGCAGACAGATTAGCCACAGCAACATTAATAAAAAGAACAAAAGTTAGAGAATTTACCCTATTGATTTCAAGACATATACTATATATCTACAGTAATCAAGACCATCTGGTACTGAGGAAAAGACACACACACAACAGCAGAATCGAGTTCAGATAGATTCATACTGAAAGGCACAGAAGGGGAGAAAATATTTACATTATGTACGTATAAAAAACAATTCACAAGTGGAATAAAGAACTCTTACACAAGTCAATTACTAAGGCAAAAAACTCCATTTTTAAAAACGGCCAGGTCGTTCTGGCTCAAGAGCGCAGAATGACTTGGAGGCAGTGAGAGTGTAGGAACGGATGGACTTGGCAGATTTTCTTTTCATTCTTACCATTTCAGGATAGAATCCAAAATCACTCAACACATAAAGCTGAGAAAATGTTAACTCATTCTTTCTTTTCCCCGCCTGACTTTATTGCCCGGGCTGGAGTGCAGTGGTCACATTTCAGCTCACTGCAACCTTGACCTCCTGGGCTCAGCTGATCCCCCCACCTCAGCCTCCTGAGTAGCTGGGACTACAGGTGTGCAATACCACGCCCAGCTATTTTTTAAAATTTTTATAGAGTCAGGATCTTGTTGGTCTCAAACTCCCAGACTCAAGCAATCCGCCTGCTACAGCCTCCCAAAGTGCTGGGATCACAGGTGTGAGCCACCCTACCCAGCCTAATTTTTTTTTTTAGAAACAAGGTTTTTCTCTGTTGCCCAGGCTGGAGTGCAGTGGTGCGATCTTGGCTCACTGCAGCCTTGAAATCCTGGACTCAAGAAAGCCTCCCTTCTCAGCATCCCAAGCAGCTAAGACTACAGGAATGTGCCACCATGCCCAGCTAACTTTAAAATTTTCTATAGAGACACGGTCTGGCTTTGTTGCCCAGGCTGGTCTCAAGTGATCCTCCTGCCTCAGCCTCCCAAAGTGCCAGGATTATAGGTGCAAGCCACTGCTCCTCACCAAAATGTGACTTATTCTTTTTTTTTTCTTTTTTGAGACAGAGTCTCACTCTGTTGCCCAGGCTGGAGTGCAGTGGTGCAATCTCAGCTCACTGCAACCTCCACCTTCCAGGCTCAAGCGATTCTCCTGCCGTAGCCTCCTGAATAGCTGGGACTACAGGCACGTACCACCACGCCTGGCTAATTTTTGTATTTTTAGTAGAGATTGGGTTTTGCCATGTTGGCTAGGCTGGTCTGGAACTCCTGACCTCAGGTGAGCCACCCGCCTCAGCCTCCCAAAGTGCTGGGGATTACAGGCATGAGCCACCATGTCCGGCTAAAACCTAGATTTTTAGAAAGGAATGAAGACCACTGGAAATGGTAAATACCTAGGTAAAACACCATTTTTTGCTTTTTTGTTTGTTTGGAGACAGGGTCTTGCTCTGTCACCCAGGCTGGAATGCAGTGGTGTGATAAGGGATCATGGCAGCCTCAACCTCTCAGACTCAAGTGATCCTCCCAACACAGCCTCCTGAATAGGTGGGACTACAGGCGTGAGCCACCATGCCAGCTAAGTTTTTAGAAATTTTTTGCAGAGACGGGGTCTATGTTGCTCAGGCTGATCTTGAATTCCTTGGCTCAAGTGATCCTCCTGCCTTGGGTCATGGTCACCAAAGTGCCGAGATCACAGGAGCCAACCCTTTCTGATGTCTATTTTTTTTTTTTTTTTGAGACAGAGTCTCACTCTGTCACCCAAACTGGATGGAGTGCAATGGTGCAATCTTGGCTCCATGCACCCTCCACCACCCAGGTTCAAGCGATTCTCCTGCCTCAGCCTGCCAAGTGGCTGGGATTACAGGCGCGCGCCACCACACCCAGCTAATTTTTTTGTATTTTTAGTACAGATGGGCTTCACCATGTTGGCCAGGATAGTCTTGAACTCCTGACCTCAGGTGACCCGCCTGCCTCGGCCTCTCGAAGTGCTGGGATTACAGGCGTGAGCCACCAACCTGGACTGCCTATTTCCTTGGGGTAATGAGTCCGGGAGTTTGCCACCTGATGTTTGAAGTAGCACCTCACAACTTCATTCTTCCTAAACTTGGTTTAAATTTCAAGGGGGCCGGGAGTGGTGGCTCACGCCTGTAATTCCAGCACTTTGGGAGGCTGAGGTGGTTGAATCACCTGAGATCAAGAGTTTGAGACCAGCCTGGCCAACGTGGTGAAACCTCATCTCTACTACAAATACAAAAATTAGCTGGGTGTGACGGTGTGCATCTGTAATCCCAGCTAGTTGGGAGGCTGAGGCAGGAGGATGGCTTGAACCCGGGAGGAGGAGGTTGCAGTGAACTGAAATTGCACCACTGGACGTCAGCCTGGGTGACAGAGTGAGACCCTGTCTCCAAAAAAAAAACTTTCAAGGGGATCCCATGTCAACAGAAAGGTTATAACACAGTTAAAGGAGAGGCCTGGTGTGCAGCCGCAGCTACACGAGCAGCACGTGCTGCAACCTGCTGCAAGTGACGAGCTGCCATCAGCGTTATTCGCAGTCTTCATTTCTGGAGGGCTAAGTTCCAACCTTCAGTCAGAACTCTTTTTTTTTTTTTTTGAGACGGAGTCTCGCTCTGTCTCCCAGGCTGGAGTGCAGTGGCACTATCTCGGCTTGCTGCAAGCTCCGCCTCCCGGGTTCACGCCATTCTTCTGCCTCAGCCTCCTGAGTAGCTGGGACTACAGGCACCCGCCACCACGCCCGGCTAATTTTTTGCAGTTTTAGTAGAGACGGGGTTTCACCGTGTTAGCCAGGATGGTCTTGATCACCACACCTCGTGATCCACCAGCCTCGGCCTCCCAAAGTGCTGGGATTACAGGTGTGAGCCACCAGGCCCGGCCTCAGTCAGAACTCTTTTAGTGACATCATTATCTTTAAAAAGCAAACAAGGTGGCCGGGCACGGTGGCTCAAGCTTGTAATCCCAAAACTTTGGGAGGCTGAGGAGGGCGGATCACCTGAGGTCAGGAGTTTGAGGCCAGCCTGACCAACATGGAGAAACCCCATCTCTACTAAAAATGCAAAATTAGCCGGGCGTGATGGCACATGCCTGTAATCCCACCTACTCAGGAGGCTGAGGTAGAAGAATCACTTGAACCCGGGAGGTGGAGTTTGCAGCGAGCTGAGACCGTGCCGTTGCACTCCAGTCTGCGTAACAATAGTGAAACTCCGTCTCAAAACAAAACAAAATAAAAAAAAGCAAACAAGGCTTTGGGAGGCTGAGGCAGGTGGATTGCTTCTTGTGGCCAGGAGTTCGAGACCAGCCTGACCAACATGGAGAAAACCTGTCTCTACTAAAAATACAAAATTAACTGGGTGTGGTGGCACACACCTGTAATCCCAGCTACTCAGGAGGCTGAGGCAGGAGAATCGCTTGAACCCTCGAGGGGGAGGTTGCAGTGAGCCGAGATCTCACCACTGCACTCCAGCCTGGGTGACAGAGTCAGACTCAGTCTCAAAAATAAATAAATAAATAAAAATTAAAAATTAAAAGCAAACAAAAAGGGTCACGTTTTACAAATCCAGCGTATCCCAGTCCGTTCTGCTGGCAGCAGCCCCAGGGCCCGCACACATGCCTAGGCAGACAAGACCGCACACGTGCAGGGACGCTGAGCTTCTGAAATGGCGGGGACCCGTGTCCTCCCTCCCTACGCCAGGGCAGCCACTCTATGACCTCGGCTCCTTCACAGCCCTGGCTGTAGCCTGAGGCCCCCGCATGGCGGGCATCCCCACCAGACGTTGGCGGACGAGAGCCCTGCTGACGCCAGCCCCTTCCCCCACCACACCCACCACACTTCCCGGTCCGACGCAGGACTACCTGTTCCCGGGCAGACACAGAGCACAGAGTGCCGGGTCCCACGTCAGCCCCTGACGCACCTGCCGTCTCTTCAACACCCTGCCCTGCTCCCTGCTGGCTGGAGAGCCCTCACTCAGACCCCAGAGCCCTGAGCCTGCTCTTGGGAACCTCCCCTGCCACACAGCCGGGTGCGTCCTCTTCCGTGGCGCTGTCCTGTGCGTCCTCTTCCGTGGCGCTGTCCCGGGCCCTGGGCACATGTCCACACAGCCGGGTGCGTCCTCTTCCGTGGCGCTGTCCCGGGCCCTGGGCACATGTCCACACAGCCGGGTGCGTCCTCTTCCGTGGCGCTGTCCCGGGCCCTGGGCACATGTCCACACAGCCGGGTGCATCCTCTTCCGTGGCGCTGTCCCGGGCCCTGGGCACATGTGCACACAGCCGGGTGCGTCCTCTTCCGTGGCGCTGTCCCGGGCCCTGGGCACATGTGCACACAGCCGGGTGCGTCCTCTTCCATGGCGCTGTCCCGGGCCCTGGGCACATGTGCACACAGCCGGGTGCGTCCTCTTCCGTGGCGCTGTCCCGGGCCCTGGGCACATGTGCACACAGCCGGGTGCGTCCTCTTCCGTGGCGCTGTCCTGTGCGTCCTCTTCCGTGGCGCTGTCCCGGGCCCTGGGCACATGTCCACACAGCCGGGTGCGTCCTCTTCCGTGGCGCTGTCCCGGGCCCTGGGCACATGTGCACACAGCCGGGTGCGTCCTCTTCCGTGGCGCTGTCCCGGGCCCTGGGCACATGTGCACACAGCCGGGTGCGTCCTCTTCCGTGGCGCTGTCCCGGGCCCTGGGCACATGTGCACACAGCCGGGTGCGTCCTCTTCCGTGGCGCTGTCCCGGGCCCTGGGCACATGTCCACACAGCCGGGTGTGTCCTCTTCCGTGGCGCTGTCCTGGGCCCTGGGCACATGTCCACACAGCCGGGTGCGTCCTCTCCCCGGACACGTCGGTGCCATCACAGCTCAGCATTCATTTGCTCAACAGTTACGATGCATCGATCACATGCCTCGCTCTGTTCTCAGAGCTGGGGACTCAGTGGTAACAAAATAAACCAAACAGGCAAAAATCTCCGCCTGCGGCAGCTTGCAGTTTAGCAGGTCCCTGCTCCTCAGAATGCAGCAGCTTGCAGTCTAGCAGGTCCATGCTCCTCAGAAGACTTAAAGATCTTCAGGGGTAAAAAAATAAAATAAAATACGTGTGTTCTTATTTCTGTACTTCCAGGTGCAATCTCAGTGTGTGCAGCAAACGTTTTATAAAAGAGCTGCTGCTGAACTCAAACTACTGTTGGGGAAAAACTGTGGCCAACTTTGTAAGAACAGATATGAAAACATCTTAAAAGGAAGTCTATTTTTGTTCTGTTTTAAATATTTTACTATGTATTATGTGAAATACAGAAAGAAATATATGGAACATATCAGCCGGGCGTGGTGGCTCACGCCTGTAATCCCAGCACTTTGGGAGGCCAAGGCGGGCGGGTCACAAGGTCAGGAGATCGAGACCATCCTGGCTAACACAGTGAAACCCCGTCTCTACAAAAATACAAAAACATTAGCCAGGCATGGTGGTGGGCGCCTGTAGTCCCAGCTACTCGGGAGGCTGAGGCGGAGAATGGTGTAAACCTGGGAGGTAGAGCTTGCCGTGAGCCGAGATCGCGCCACTGCACTCCAGCATGGGTGACAGAGCGAGACTCCGTCTCAAAAAAACAACAAAAAATATATGGAACATATAAATTATGACGCATAAACACCATGATCCCGTCTCTAATTTAAAAACTGGAAAATTATCAATAACTTGGAAGTTTCATTTTCCCCATATATACCTTAAATTCAATGCTATTCTCTTGCTTCTAAAAAATTACCTCATGTTTATCCCTAAACGCTAATTAGTTTTAATTTTTTGAGCTTAAAAATACGGCCTAGCACTGGATTTACTTTTCTGTAATCTGCTTTTTTTTTCCTTTGAGACAGGGTCTTGCTATGTTGCCCAGGCTGGCCTCAAACTCCCAGGCTGAAGTGATCTCCCACCTTCAGGCTCTGAGTAGCTGGGACTATAGGCACACAGCATCGTGCCTGGCTTGATCTGCTTCTGAAACGCCTACGTTCCTAAGATTCGTCTACACTGCAGATTGTAGCTACAATTCATTCATCTCCAGTGTGGTCACATTCTATTCTGTGAATAGACCACAACTGATCCATCCACTCTTGCACCGAAGGACATCTGGGCTGTTCTCAGCTTCTGTTACCACCAAGTTGCTTGGAACATTCCTGAGCAGCAGGCGCGGTGGGTGGCGAAGGGCGGACAGCGTGAAGCTGATGCAGCTACCGTGAGCAGCACAGACACTGGCAGGAGGAGTGGGCGACCGTCACAGCAACAAGCAACTGAGGCGTGAGAAGACAGGCAGTGCCCCCACTCCCTGGGAAATGCAAATTAAACCACAGAGCACTACTAGGTACACACCTATCAAAACTGCTTAAAAAATAATCCCAGAACTTTGGGAGGCCAAGGTGGGCAGATGGCTTGAGGTCAGGAGTTCAAGACCAGCCTGGTCAACATGGTGAAACCCTGTCTCTGCCAAAAAATACAAAAATTACCTCGGTGTGATGGCGCATGCCTGTAGTCCCAGCTACTCAGGAGGCTGAGGCAGGAAAATCGCTTGAATCCGGGAGGCAGAGGTTGCAGTGAGCCGAGATCGCGCCACTGCACTCCAGCCTGGGCGACAGAGCAAGACTCCATCTCAAAAAAAAATAATAATAATAAGGCTGGATGCAGTGGCTCATGCCTATAATCCCAGAACTTTGAGAGGCCAAGGTGGGCATGTCACTTGAGCTCAGGAGTTTGAGACCAGCCTGGACAACACAGCGAAACCCCATCTCTACAGAAAATACAAAAGTTCTGCATTTTTTGTATTGCACCTGCAGTCCCAGTTACTCGAGAGGCTGAGGCAAGAGAATCGCTTGAACCCAGGAGGCGGCGGCTGCAGTGAGCCAAGATCACACCATGTATTCCAGCCTGGGCAACAGAGTGAGACTCCATCTCGAAAAAAAGAAAAAAGCTAATTTTAAAAAAGTAATAGAAGCCAGGTGTTGTGGGAAGTCAGGGACCCTGAACAGATGGACCGGCTGGAGCTGTGGCAAAGGAACATAAATTGTGAAGATTTCATGGACATTTACCAGTTTCCAAATAATACTTTGATAATTTCTTAAGCCTGTCTTACTTTAATCTCTTAATCCTGTTATCTTCATAAACTGAGGATGTACATCACCTCAGGGCCACTATAATTGTGTTAACTGTACAAACTGTAAAACGTGCGTTTGAACAATATGAAATCAGTACACCTTGAAAAAGAACAGAATAATCGTGATTTTCAGGGAACAAGGGAAGACAACCATAAGGTCTGACTGCCTGTGTGGTCAGGCAAAATACAGCCATATTTTTCTTCTTGCAGAGAGCCTATAAGCGGACGTGCAAGTAGGGAAGATATCACTAAATTCTTTTCCTAGCAAGAATTAATACTCTGGGAAAGGAATGCATTCCTGGGGGGAGGTCTACAGAAGGCTGCTCTGGGAGTGCCTGTCTTATGTGGTTGAGATAAGGACTGAAATACGCCCTGGTCTCCTGCAGTACCCTCAGGCTTACTAGGATTGGGAAACCCCACCCTGGTAAATTTTTGGTCAGACTGGTTCTCTGCTCTGGAACCCTGTTTTCTGTTGTTTAAGATGTTTATCAAGACAATACATGCACCGCTGAACACAGACCCTTATCAGGAGTTCCACTTTTGCCCTTTGCCTTGTGATCTTTGTTCTCCTTTTTGCCCTTTGAAGCATGTGATCTTGTGACCTACTCCCTGTTCTTGCACCCCCTCCCCTTCTGAAATCCTTAATAAAACTTGCTTGTTTTGTGGCTCAGGCGGGCATCGCGGCCCTACCGATATGTGATGTCACCCGGGGGGCCCAGCTGTAAAATTCCTCTCTTTGTACTCTTTCTCTTTATTTCTCAGCTGGCCGACACTTATGGAAAATAGAAAGAACCTACATTGAAATATTGGGGGCGGGTTCCCCCGATAACCAGGCATGATGGCTCATGCCCGGAATCCTAGCACTTTTGGAGGCTGAGGAATGCAGATTGCTTGAGGCCAGGAGTTTGAGACCAGCCTGACCAACACGGCAAAACCCCATCTCTACTAAAAATACAAAAATTAGCCAGGCATAATTAGCCAGGCATGGTGGTGCACGCCTGTAATCCCAGCTACTTGGGAGGCTGAGGCAGGAAAATCGCTTGAACCCAGGAGGCAGAGGTTGCAGTGAGCCGAGATCGCACCACTGCCCTCCAGTCTGAGTGACAAAGCGAGACTCTGCCTCAAAATATTAATAATAATGACATGGGTTTGTATTTTATGTTCTGTGATTTCCTTTACTAGCTAGTCACTTTTGTTGTAGTTTACAAAAATATCATCAGTCTGTGACACTGGAAATTTTAAAAACTTAAACCTTGTCCTTCAGCACAAACAGTCGAGGAAGAATTCTTCTGGTGTATACCTAAGAGTGGAACTTCTGGGTGCCCAAGAATGGGCAGGCTCAGCCTGAGGCGGTGTGCCAACTGCTCTCTGAGGACTGCACCAGTGGCCACTGGAACTTAGGGCTCCCTGCCATTCCTGCAGCCTCAACAATGACTGGTACGGCCAGGCTCCCCAGTGCTTGCCTGGCCTGATAAGGGTAGGCGTCTCCAGCCTACCTTCAAGGCCGTTCTGTCTGTGGTGCCCAGTGGACATATCCAGGACACCGACCCTTCACTGGTTAAAAATGTTACAAGTATCTTCCAGTTCACAGTTCTTTTTTTACTTATTATGGTGTGTCTTTTGATGAGCACAAGCTTTTTTTTTTTTTTTTACCAATTGTAGTAAAAAACATATAACATTAAATTCAGCATCTGAACCGTTTAAATGCCCCAGTGTTCACTACACGCCCGTCGCTGAACAACAGCCCTCCTCCAAGTCACCTTTGAGGTCACAGAATATATTACAGCTTTCTGAATCTCTCAATCTGTTTTTCCCCTTTTTTGTTCAAGAAATCCTTCCTGACCCTAAGGTCCTATTCTATCTTCTGACACTTGTCACCCACAGGAATCTGCTTCATCAGGAGTTGGCCTGGGCTTGGCAAGAGATACGGACCAGCTCCTATCTGCCTGAGGCCCACCCAGTGCCCCAGGTCCCAGGAGCATCCATGGAGCAGCCCGTCTCTCCCTGGGACCCACAGGTGCCTCTGGCTTACTGCAAACCTCCACGCAGGAGGCCTATCAGGGGCTCTCCATTTTGCTCCATTTTGAGCGTTCTTTATTTAAAAACCTCTGAAATTATCTGAGGCCATTTCCAAAACTTTTACAAAAGCTACACACTCTGGCCGGGCGTGGTGGTTCACACCTGTAATCCCAACATTTTGGTAGGCCGAGGAGGGCAGATCACCTGAGGTCAGGAGTTTGAGACCAGCCTGGGCAACACAGTGAAACCCCATCTCTGCTAAAAATACAGAAATTAGCAGGGCGTGGTGGCAGGTGCCTGTAATCCCAGCTACTCAGCAGGCTGAAGCAGAAGAATCGTTTGAACTAGGGAGGTGGAGGCTGCAGTGAGCCAAGATCACGCCACCACACTCCAGCCTGGGCGACAGAGCGAGACTCCATCTACCAAAAAAAAAAAAAAAGGCCGGGCACGGTGGTTCATGCCTGTAATCCCAGCACTTTGGGAGGCCGAGGCGGGTGGATCACGAGGTCAGGAGATCGAGACCATCCTGGGTAACGTCGTGAAACCCCGTCTCTACAAAAAATACCAAAAAAAATTAGCCAGGTATGGTGGTAGGCGCCTGTAGTCCCAGCGACTCGGAAGACTGAGGCGGGAGAATCGCGTGAACCCAGGAGGGGGAGCTTGCAGTGAGCGGAGATCGCGCCACTACACTCCAGCCTGGGCAACAGAGCAAGACTCCGTCTCAAAAAAGCTAAAAATTCTTTGGCATTTCTAACCACATCATAGATAATAGTACTTAAAATAATATTTCAACATAAGCATTCCATTATGAAGCCCAGAAGGGTTTTAACAACAATTACAAGGTAAACCCTGTGGGTCACAGCACCTCCACGGTTCTGAGTTCTGGGCTGTAAGGACTGAAGTCTGGGCGCCACTTTCACCAAGAGACAGAAGCAGGCGTCAGGGCTGCTCTAAGGTACTCGGCCAACGGTGAGCGTCCCGGCTTCTCACTACTGCCTCGCTCTCTCCCCAGCCTCCTGTGGTCCCCCCAAGATGGTGGCTGGGCAGGTGGCCTCAAGAGACACTGCCTGAGGGGTGGGAGGATGGAGTGCTCAGAGAGAGACATTCCAGGCCACAAAGATCACACATCCTGCAATGGACGGTCTGAATATACAGATGCTAAGAAGGTGGCTGTTAGGGCCTGGCGCGGTGGCTCACGCCTGCAATCCCAGCACTTTGGGAGGCCAAGGTGGGCGGATCCCCTGAGGTCAGGAGTTTGAGACCAGGTGGTCAACATGGTGAAACCCTATCTGTACTAAAAATACAAAATTAGCTGGGCGTGGTCGTAGGTGCCCGCAATCCCTACTGTAAGCTACTTGGGAGGCTGAGGCAGGAGAATCACTTGAACCCAGGAGGTGGAGGTTGCAGTGAGCCAAGATGGCACCACTGCACTCCAGCTTGGGCAACAAAGAGACCCTGTCTCAACAATAAATAAAAAATAAAAATACAAAAATCAGCCAGGTATGGTAGTGCACGCCTATAGTCCCAGCTACTCAGAAGACTGAGGCGGGAGAATCACTTGAACCCAGGAGGCAGAGGCTGCAGTGAGCTGAGACCGCACCACTGCACTCCAGCCTGGGCAACAGAGCGAGACTCTGTCTCACTAAAAAAAAAAAAAGAAAGAAAAAAAACAGGCTGTTAGGAACCCTGGACCCTGGGGCAAGGGGAACAACTCTAGAAAGAACAGATGACGTCTGAGGAGAAGCGGGAGGAGAGGGAAGGAGACAACAGGTGCTGCGGACTGCAGGGAGTGGGGCAAAGACAAGTCACCTAAGGAAACAAAGGAAACACGGAGGAACTACCAAGAGCGACAGTCACACTGGGATGGGGAAGACACAGCAGGGGCTGGGTCAGCAAACGGGCATGACACAGCACAGGGAACTGCAAAGAAGGCACCAGCAAACACCTCTGGGAGAGACAGTGCAGACAGGGAGATGGAGACGGGGCAGGGAACTACCTCTTTGCTCTAGATGCCCTTGGCTCATTCTATACAAAAAAAAAAAATTGCTAAAAATACAAATACGAAAAATAAAATACAACTGGCATTTCTTTTATCCTGCTGGGGAATCTTAATTTAAAATCTGTGATGAACCATGTAAAAACTGACTGCCGGCCGGGCACGGTGGCCAAACCTGTCATCCCAGCACTTTGGGAGGCCAAGGTGGCCAGATCACGAGGTCAGGAGATCAAGACCATCCTGGCCAACATGGTGAAACCCCGTCTCAACTAAAAAATACAAAAATTAGCTGGACGTGGTGGCAGGCGCCTGTAGTCCCAGCTACTCGTGAGGCTGAGTCACAAGAATCGCTTGAACCCGGGAGTTGGAGGTTGCAGTGAGCTGAGATCACGCCACTGCACTCCAGCCTGCAGCCTGGGCGACAGAGCGAGACTCCGTCTCAAAAACAAACAAACAAAAACCTGACTGCCAAAGGATACTCAGACAGGTAGGTCAGGCAAGGGAAGGACTGACAATCAGAGCATGCTAGGGACAGGGACTTGGAACACAGTTAAAAGGGTAAAAGCCCCACAGTTTGAATGTGTATTTCTGGATTTTTATTTGGAATAGATATTATCTATTCCAAAAAAAACCCAATTAACTCTGTAAATACATTTGAAGAAATTATAAACAAGAGTCAACAAAGCAAGCTAGAGAAAAGACGCTGTGTGCCACATCACAGGTGTCCCTCACCTTTACTCTTTTTTTTTTTTTTTTGGAGACCGATTCTCACTCTGTCGCCCACGCTGGAGTGCAGTAGTGCACTTTCAGCTCACTGCAACCTCCGCCTCCCGGGTTCAAGCGATTCTCCTGCCTCAGCTTCCCGAGTAGCTGGGATCACAGGCATCTGCCGCCATGCCCAGATAATTTTTGTATTGTTAGCAGAGATGAGGTTTTGCTATATTGGCCAGGTTGGACTCAAACTCCCGGCCTCAAGTGATCCGCCCACCTCAGCCTCCCAAAGTGATGGGATTACAGATATGAGCCAGTGTGCTAGGCCTTTCCTCCTAACTTAAAATGAATTTCAAATGTAAAGACTTTCCAGCCGGCCATGGCAGTTCATGCCTGTAATCCCAACACTTTGGAAGGCTGAGGTGGGGAGACTGCTTGAACCTAGAAGTTTGATCATTCTGGGCAACATGGTGAAACCCCATCTCTATTAAAAAAAAAAATACAAAAACTCGCCAGGCGTGATGGTGCACACCTGTGGTCCCAGTTACTCAGGTGGTTGGGATGGGAGGATCACTCGAGCCCAGGAGGTCAAGGCTGCAGGGAGCCGAGATCGCGCCACCGCACTCCAGCCTGATTGACAGAGCAAGACCCTGTCTCAAAAAAAAAAAAGAATTCCTAAAGTCCCTGGAAACACAGAAATCCCCAAAAGATTTCAGCTTTCCTCCTTAATTCTAAGAATAAAAAGCAACAGTGATGCTGAGCTTAACGCAACACGAGAACAGCAAGAGAAAATAAAACTGCTTCCACGACCATCACCAAGCATCCAAGTACGAGAGGAAGTGAATCTGAGCTGGAGCCATGGCAGCGCCCGGCCGAGCCAGGGAGGAGCAGACAGGCAGGGCAGCTGGCCCTTTTCACACAGTAACAAGCCCCATGCTCGCTCACACACAGAGTGCCACAGAAAACGAACGCCTGCCCTCGTGAGTCACAAAGTTAATGTCAAGAAGCAACAAGACCAGCGGCCACACCTGAGGAAGGATCAACTGCCTCAACCCATAGCTGCCACCCTGCCCAGAACCACGGTTTCCTGAAACTATAAAACCATTCCAAAGGTATGATTAGCTACAGAGAAACAAAACCAAACCCCACATGCTGAAGCCCTTTTAATTCACAGACTCATCTACTGCCCCAGGTCCTAATAGAGCATTCAGTGAATGTTTGCTGCATTAATTTTATTGGTATTGACTTGGGTCTGGAAACCTAATAAAGATTTTTTTTCTTGTAAACTGATGCTTAGAATACAGTAATTCAAAAAGAAAAGCAGATCAGAAGTTGAACAAAATAACTCCAGATATACATTTGAATACAAAGAATTGAACAGGCCGGGCATGGTGGCTCAGGCCTATAATCCCAGTACTTTGGGAGGCCAAGGCAGGCGGATCATGAGGTCAGGAGATAGACCAGCCTGGCCAACATGGTGAACCCCCGTCTCTACTAAAAATACAAAAATTAGCCGGGTGTGGTGGCGGGCACCTGTAGTCCCAGCTACTTGGGAGGCTGAGGCAGGAGAATCGCTTGAACCTGGGAGGCAGAGGTTGCACTGAGCCGAGATCATACCATGGCACTCCAGCCTGGGCGACAGAGTCAGACTCTGTCTCAATTAAAAAAAAAAAAAAACATTCTCAAAACCCTATTACTTGGAGAGCAGGTTATCCAACACGACACTCATGCCCTCCTGGGCATCGGGCACCCAGGTACCTCGGGCCTCGCCCTCCCAGTCCCAAGCGCACATCACTTTTTTTTTTCGAGAGGGAGTCTCGCTCTGTTGCCCAGGCTGGAGTGCAGTGGCGCGATCTCCACTCACTGCAAGCTCTGCCTCCCAGGTTCACGCCATTCTCCTGCCTCAGCCTCCCGAGTAGCTGGGACTACAGGCACTCGCAACCATGCCCAGCTAATTTTTGTATTTTTAGTAGAGATGGGGTTTCACCGTGTTAGCCAGGATGGTCTCCATCTCCTGACCTTGTGATCTGCCCACCCCCGCCTCCCAAAGTGCTGGGACCACAGGCGTGAGCCACCGCGCCCGGCCAGCGCACATCACTTTCGATGGTGCAAACAGCAGACAAAAAGTCCAGGTGACACCAATGAGGCCACAGGTTATGACACCTGGGTAGCGACTATTCAATCAAGGTTTGAACCTCTCCATACAAAGGGGGCCTAGAACAAGCAAGCACCCCCAGGAACAGAACGAGTCTGAAGACACGAGTGGTCTTCCGTTACCGCAGCACTGCTGGTCAAATCACTCAGGTCTGTGCAACACTAGAGAAGAAAGCTCCTAAAGCAGAATCGTTACTACAACCAAAAATATTCCAGAAAACCTTAACACAGTCCCAAATATGAAAGACAAGTGTTCTTCATAAGATCAGTAACCACGAGGTCATGCTGCTTGCTGGTCTTCTACCCTCACAATACTAAATCCGCAGGATTCTGGTCTGGTGCACGCCCTGGCCCAGGCGGGCCTCTGCTGCCCCCCGCAGGCTCTCCTGAGGATCCCCAGCCAGATGAGTCTGGACATACTTCCTATCACGGAAGAAAAGGCATAAAACCAGCAATCGATTCAGTAGAAATCTACTCTCACGGGGAAGACTTTTTTCTTTCTTTTTCTTTCTTTGAGACGGAGTCTTGCTCTGTCGCCCAGGCTGGAGTGCAGTGGCACAATCTCGGCTCACTGCAGCCTCTGCCTCCCAGGCTCAAGTGATTCTCCTGCCTCAGCCTCCAGAGTAGCTGGGACTACGGCACGCATCACTGCTCCCGGCTAATTTTTTGTTGTTGTTCTTGTTGTTGTTTTTGAGACGGAATCTCGCTCTGTCGCCCAGGCTGCAGTGCAGTGGCGCCATCTCGGCTCACTGCAAGCTCCGCCTCCCTGGTTCACGCCATTCTCCTGCCTCAGCCTCCCGAGTAGCTGGGACTACAGGCGCCCGCCACCACGCCCGGCTAATTTTTTTTTTTTTATTTTTAGTAGAGACGGGGTTTCACTGTGTTAGCCAGGATGTATCGATCTCCTGACCTTGGGATCCGCCCGCCTCGGCCTCCCAATTTTCACCATGTTGGCCAGGCTGGTCTCAAACTCCTGACCTCAGGTGATCCACCCACCTCGGCTTCCCAAAGTGCTGGGATGACAGGCGTGAGCCACCACGCCCGACTGATTTTTGTATTTTTATTTTTTTGGGCGGGGGGGACAGTGTGAACACAGTCCCTCCACTACCACAAATTACGCAGTCAAGTTTCCCACATTTGGGGAAAACGCAGGGCTCAGCACATCCGGAGTGCAATGGCTAAGCCTTGCCCTGGGAAAACCACCTTCGCGATCATGGTATCTCCCCTGCCGGGTAAGTATGATTTTTGTATTTTTAATAGAGATGGGGGGGTTTCACCATGTTGGCCAGGCTGGTCTCGAACTCCAGACTTCAAGTGATCCGCCTGCCTCAGCCTCCCAAAGTGCTTGAATTACAGGCCTGAGCCACTGCGCCTAGCCTCTTTTCTTTTCTTTTTGAGATGGGGTCTCACTCTGTCACCCAGGCTGGGGTGCAATGGTGGGACCACAGCTCCCTATAGCCTGGAAATCCTGAGCTGAAGCTCTCCTCCCACTTCAAGCAGCTGGGACCACAGGCACGTGCCTGCACTGTGCCAGGCTAGAACTTTATCTGGATATAATAATCACAACATTCAAATCCTCAACTTCACATAACACAAATTCATAAAAATACCTATGACCACAATCCTACTTGCAGTATCATATCTACTTAGTGACCTTTGCCCTGTTCATTCCGTGACCAATCAAACGGCACACCCACCCTGGCTGCGGCTCCACCCCACTGTACAGTGGACTGACAGGATGCTTCCACTGAGCAGACCACAGAGCAGAAGCTCAAGACACAGAGAGTGGATCCGCCACAGTTCATAAAATGCTACAGATGGCATCTGGGTATTTCCAGCACTTCCAGCGGGAACCCGCTCTGAAACGTTAACTGATGGAAACGGCCCTGACTTTCCCACACTCACCCCCTGGCCTAGGACTGCTCTTAGAGAAATTCACCCTGGGGTGATGGCTGGCCACCACCTCCCATGCGTGGGGCTGTCCCTGGTGAAGCACATACATAGGGTTTCAGAGTGCCTCTGCAACTATGACGAAAGTCAAATCATTCCAGTGAGTCTAGTATGCAACCAAGTATAAGGTGCACCAATTTAACCCTAACAAGCCAACCGTAAAACATGCGAAATTTCAGGGCCAGGCGCAGTGGCTCACGCCTGTAATCCCAGCACTTCGGGAGGCCAAGGTGGGGGGATCACGAGCTCAGGAGTTCGAGACTAGCCTCGCCAACCTGGTGAAACCCCGACTCTACTAAAAATACAAAAATTAGCCAGGCGTGATGGTGCACATGCCCGTAGGCCCAGCTACTGGGGAAGCTGAGACAGGAGAATCACTTGAAGCCGGGAGGCAGAGGATGCAATGAGCCGAGATCGCGCCACTGCACTCCAGCCTGTCGACAGAGCGAGACTCCGTCTCAAAACAAACAAAAAACCCCTAAATTTCAGAGGTAGTTAAGTAGTAAAACACATGCATTCACCTCAAAATTGAGACAGTATGATCTGACAAAACTTGTGATATCTGCTTTGAGTTTTATCTACACAGCAGCTGCAGCTTAGGAAACACTTACCACGTGCCTGCCATCTACTGAACAGAGCCCTTCCTAAGAGGCCTGTGAGACGGGCCTGGTCAGGGGGTGGGAGGGTAGCTCTGGGGTCACCTGTCTGAGCTGCCATTGACAGGGACTCAGTGGCCAGGCAAGTTACTCAACACCTCCCCATGTCGATCTCCTCTTTGTCGAATGGGCATTAAACAGTCCAGCAAGGTATGTCTGGGAGCTGGCTTGAATAAAGCGGTCAGACCCTATGCCAGGCACACAGTTAATGTTAGCTATTATGATGATGATCTGTGCTTTTCGGCTAAGAAGACTGAGACTCAGGAAGGTGGAGTAACCTATTTGCAGTCACCGTGCTAAGGATCAGCAGGGCTGTAACTGAAATCAAAGTCAGCCTCCCAAGCACCGTACATCGTAACTGATTCTCAGCATCCATTTCACAAAAGGCAGTAATTCTTCTCTGTCCTGATCACAAATAACTTATTTTCTTGTACATCAAGCCTTTTCTGAATAAGGTACTATATGGACCACTGTCATTTATTTTATTTTATTTTATTTTAGAGACAGAGTCTCACTATATCACCCAGGTAGGAGTGCAGTGGCTCAATCACACCTCACGGCAGCCTTGACCTCCTGGACTCCTGCAACCCTCCGAAGTAGTTGGGACTACAGGTGTGCAACCACCACACTTGGATAATTTTTTATTTTTTGTAGAGGCAGGATCTCCCTAAGTTGCCCAGGCTAGGCAAACTCCTGAGCTCAAGTGATCCTCCCACCTTAGACTCCCAATGTGCTGGGATTACAGGTGCGAGCGATGGCACCCAGGCCACTGTCATATTTTAATTAATTAATTAATTTTTTTTGAGACAGAGTCTCGATCACTCACCCAGGCTGGAGTGCAGTGGCGCGATCTCGGCTCACTGCAAGCTCCACCTCCCAGGTTCACGCCATTCTCCTGCCTCAGCCTCCCGAGTAGCTGGGACTATATACAGGCGCCCACCATCACACCCGGCTTTTTTTGTATTTTTAGTAGAGACGGGGTTTCATCGTGTTAGCCAGGATGGTCTCGATCTCCTGACCTCATGATCTGCCCGTCTCGGCCTCCCAAAATGCTGGGATTACAGGCGTGAGCCAGCGTGCTCGGCTATTAATTTATTTATTAAGACAGAGTCTTTCTATTGCTCAAGCTGGAGTGCAGTGGAGCAATGTCGGCTCACTGCAACCTCCGCCTTCTGGGTTTAAGCAATTGTCCTGCCTCAGCCTCCTGAGTAGCTGGAATTACAGGTGCCTGCACCACACCTGGCTAATTTTCATATTTTTAGTAGAGATGGAAGGGGTTTCGCCATGTTGGCCAGGCTGGTCTCAAACTCCTGACCCCAAGTGATCCACCCGTCTTGGCCTCCCGAAGTGGTGGGATTACAGGTGTGAGCCACCGTGCCTGGCCCCATATTTTTAAATAAAAGTAAAATAAGTACATATATAGACAAAGTTTACAAAGCTTAATACATGTTTTATTGGCTATATTTTAATTAATTCTCAGCTTGAAGACACATTAATTATTGTCGCGTAGAATTTTAGATGTAAAAAGTATTTTCCTTAATTAAAAAAAAAATCCTGGGCCGGGCATAGTGGCTCACGCCTGTAATCCCAGCACTTTGGGAGGCTGAGGCGGATCACCTGAGGTCAGTGAGTTCAAGACCAGCCTGGCCAACATGGTGAAACCCCGTCTCTACTAAAAATATAAAAATTAGCCAGGTGAGGTGGCACGTGCCTGTAATCCCAGCTACTCGGGAGGCTGAGGCAGGAGAATCGCTTGAACCCAGGAGGCGGAGGTTGCAGTGAGCCAAGATGGTGCCATTGCACTCCAGTCTGGGTGACAGAGCAAGACTTTGTCTCCAGAAAAAAAAAAAAATTAGCTGGGCAGGGTGGCACGCCCCTATAATCCCAGCTACTCGGGAGGCTGAGGCAGGAGAATTGCTTGAACCCAGGAGGCGGAGGTTGCAGTGAGAGCTGAGATCACATCATTGCACTCCAGCCTGGGTGACAAGAGCCAGACTCCGTGAAAAAAAAAAAAAAAAAATCTGCCATGTGCGGTCATGTGTGGTGGCTCACACCTGTAACCTGAGGTGGGAGGATCACTCGAGCCCAGAGGTGAAGGCTGCAGTGACTGCACCACTGTAAACCAGCCTGGGCAAGAGTGTGAGACCTTGTCTCTTAAAACAAAAAAATCCAGCCCCGGGTGTGGTGGCTCACACCTGCAATCCCAGTACTTTGGAAGGCTGAGGTGGGTCAATCACTTGAGGTCAGGAGGTCGAGATCGGCCTGGCCAACATGGTGAAACCCCATCTCTAGTAAAAATACAAAAATTAGCCGGGCATGGTGGTGCACACCTGCAGTTCCAGCTACTCAGGAGGCTGAGGCAGGAGAGTCACTTGAACCCGGGAAGCAGAGGTTGCAGTGAGCCGAGATCGTGCCATGGCACTCCAGCCTGGGCGACAAGAGCGAGACCCCATCACATACACAAAAGACAGGAAAAAAAAAAAAAAGCCAGGCACGGTGGCTCACCCTATAATCCTGACACTTTGGGAGGCCGAGGCAGGCGGATCACCTGATGTCAGGAGTTCGAGACCAGCCTGGCCAACATGGTGAAACCCCCGTCTAGACTAAAAATACAAAAATTAGCCGGGCGTGGTGGCGGGCACCTGTAATCCCAGCTACTCTGGAGGCTGAGGCAGGAGAATCGCTTGAACCCGAGAGGCAGAGGTTGCAGTGAGCCGAGATCGCGCCGTTGCACTCCAGCCTGGGGTACAACAGCGAGACTTTGTCTCAAGAAAAACAAAAACAAACAAAAAAACCCCCACAGTTTATTAATCTGCCTTATTGTCCTTTGCCTTTTAAAAATATAAGATAAGCCTGTTTAAGGCTTTACTGGGAGGCAGCTGTCAGTCAGCCAGCTGTTCTGGAGTCAGTCCAGGGCAAAGGCTGCTGTAGGAACAGCATTAGCACAACTTTGCCTATTTATCCTTAACCAGAGCAGGTTTACAAGGATGCCTATACCATGAACACCTGCACGCATCTCAGTCCGCCCACCTGGAGGTCAGACACACTAAGAGGCAGCTGGACCAGCTCCCTGTTCAAGGCCACTTCAGATTCTATGTGAGTTACAGTGCCCTTGTCTTAAAGTATTTTCATAAATGTGAATTAAGCAGTGCTCACACCAGGGAGAAGGATGCTGTGAGTCTGTCTGTTGGTCTGCTGGTGACAATCAGTTAGGGTTACCCAACCTGGCGGGATGATGCAAGAGAAAACAGCACCAACAGAAACCACATCGTAAGAGGTAATTTTGGGGAAAAAAGGGTAATTTTGTAAATCCTGTGTTGTCACTTTAACATGTATGATGACATTATTTGTGCTTATTCTTCAATATTATACCTTTATACTCGAGAATCTAAAAAACTGTTTAAGACCCACCCTGCATGGCTGTCCTGGGGATTACGGCTAATGCATATTCGGCAACCTTGTCCCAGAACACCTGTTCAACAAACCACGGTTTGCCTCATTTCAGAGTGTTTTGCTATTTGGACACGGGGTATTCTTTTTCATCCCCCACTGCAACCTCCGCTTCCCAGGCTCCAGGGATCCTCCCACCTCAGCCTGACCTCAGCCTCTCGAGTAGCTGGGACCACAGGCATGCACCACCACGCCCAGCTAACTTTTGTATTTTCTGCAGAGATGGGGTTTCCTCATGTTACCCAGGCTGGTCTCAAATTCCTGAACTCGAGAGATCTATCCACCTCAGCCTCCCAAAGTGTTGGGGTTACAGGTGTCAGCCACTGCACCTGCCCAAATTTTTGTATTTTTAGTAGAGACGTGGTTTCGCCATGTTGGCCAGGCTAGTCTCAAACTCCTGGCCTCATGTAATCTGCTTGCCTTGGCCTCCCAAAGCACTGGGATTACAGGCTTAAACCACTAAGCCTGGCCAAAAATGTTTTTAATTTTTTAAAAATTTCTATACGAAGAGCCTTATTAAAAGTTTGAGATGGGCCGAGCGCAGTGGCTCACACCTGTAATCCCAGCACTTTGGGAGGCCAAGGTGCGCAGACCATGAGGTCAAGAGATCGAGATCATCCTGGCCAACATGGTGAAACCCCGTCTCTACTAAAAAATACAAAAATCAGCCGGGCGTAGTGGCGCATGCCTGTAGTCCCAGCTGCTACAGAGGCTGAGGCAGGAGAATCGCTTGAACCCAGGAGGCGGAGGTTGCAGTGTGCCAAGATCGCACCACTGCTCTCCAGTCTGGTGACAGAGACTCCATCTCAAAAAAGAGAGTTTGAGGTGAGTCAGTGAGGTGGTGCGTGCCTACAATCTCAGTTACTGAGGGTTAGGGTGATTCTAATCTACTGAGACTGTAGGCATGCACCACCTTGGGAGGCTGAGGCAGGAGGATCGAGCCCAGGAAGGCCAACCTGGGCAACATGTGGAGGCCCCATCTCTACAAAAATTAAAACATTAGTCAACTGTGGTGACACATACCTAAAGTCCCAGCTACTTGGGAGGCTGAGATAGGAGGATTGCTTGGGCCTGGGAGAATGCAGTGAGCTAAGACTGTGTCACTCCTCTCTAACTTGGGTGAGAGACAGAGTGACACCCTGTTGTAAAAAAAACAGGATGTGGCAGGGCGCGGTGGCTCACGCCTCTAATCCCAGCACTTTGGGAGGCCGAGGTGGGCAGATCACGAGGTCAGGAGATCGAGACCATCCTGGCTAACACGATGAAATCCCGTCTCTACTAAAAATACAAAAAACATTAGCTGGGCGTGGCGGCGGGTGCCTGTAGTCCCAGCTACTCGGGAGGCTGAGGCAGGAGAATGGCATGAACCCAGGTGGCAGAGCTTGCAGTGAGCCGAGACTGAGTCACTGCACTCCAGCCTGGGCGACAGAGCAAGACTCTGTCTCAAAAAAAAAAAAAAAAAACAAGATGAGGCCAGGTGCGTTGGCTCACGCCTGTAATCCCAGCACTTTGGGAGGCCGAGGTGAGTGGATCACCTGAGGTTGGGAGGTCGAGACCAGCCTGACCAACATGGAGAAACCCCATCTCTACTAAAAATACAAAATTAGCTGGGTGTGGTGGCACACGCCTGTAATCCCAGCTACTCAGGAGGCTGAGGCTGGAGAATCACTTGAACCCAGAAGGCAGAGGTTGCGGTGAGCCAAGATCACACCGTTGCACTCCACCAGCCTGGGAAACAAGAGTGAAACTCCGTCTCAAAAAAAAAAAAAAAAAAAAAAAAGATGAGGCCAGGAGCAGTGGCTCACGCCTGTAATCCCAGCACTTTCGGAGGCCGAGCTGGGCGGATCACAAGGTCAGGAGATCGAGACCATCCTGGCTAACACGGTGAAACCCCATCTCTACTAAAAATACGAAAAATTAGCCGGGCGTGGTGGCGGGCGCCTGTAGTCCCAGCTACTCGGGAGGCTGAGGCAGGGGAATGGCGTGAACCCGGGAGGCGGAGCTTGCAGTGAGCCGAGATCGCGTCACTGCACTCCAGCCTGGGCGACAGCACAAGACTCTGTCCCCCACCCAAAAAAAAAAAGCATTATTATTTTAAAGAACACATCAAGAAAGAACTAACAAAATTTATTGCGACTGGCAAAAATGTAAAATCTCAGATTTTAACAGCTAGTCCTATCGCAGCAGCTAAAAGAACACCAAAGTGCTGTGGTAAAAGGCCCCGCAAGCAAAGGGGAAAGACAGACACCATCTGAGGGCTACGAACTTGGCAAGAGATGACAGAAGCTACAGTCTGTACTCCTGGACCCAGAATTTCCTTCGTTATTTGTCTTAGGGAAACCTTCTTACAATAAAACACAATCCTATTTAATAAAGAAAAATCCGATGGGACTGCTCAGCAAAGATCCAAACATTCGCTCTGCTGCTAATCCCTCCCAATAACAGGAGGAGCAAAATAAAAGCCAGGCAGGGCCGCACACTCCACACACTCCCTCTGCTGAGCTGCAGTCACTCCTCCCGTCAGGCACCTGCAGCCTCGTCCGGGGTAGAGGCCTCTGGCCTGGGCTCGCCTCCACTCTGAGACTGATGTGGAGCGCGCGGACGCAGCCTCTGGCACCTGAATTCAGCTCCTGCTTCTTCAAGGGTCAAGAGTAAGACGGGATATTTTCGTTCTGCAGTTTCACTAGAACACATTTCCACCCTACCTGGTGAAAAAATAGAGGCACAGGGCAGGGAGAGCTCTCCCCGAAGTCAGCCGCGCTCTAGAGACAGCAAGGAGGGCAGGGCACAGCCGATGGGGCTGGGAAGTCGATTCCATCTTCCGACCTGCCAGCATCATGATTTCATAACAGGCACAGAATGCCTCAGAACGCAGATTGAGCACAGTGGCTCATGCCTGTAAACCCAGCACCTTGGGAGGCCAAGGTGGGTTGATTACTTGAGTTCAGGAGTTTGAGACCAGCCTGGACAACATGGTGAAACCCCATCTCTACTAAAAATACAAAAATTAGCTGGGCGTGGTGGCACACGCCTGTAATTCCAGTTACTCAAGAGGCTGAGGCAGAAGAATCACTTGAACCCGGGAGGTGGAAGCGGCAGTGAGACACGATCGTGCCACTGCACTCCAGCCTGGATGACAGAGCGAGACTCCGTCTCAAACAAACAAAGAATCCCTGGACACAGCAATGCAGACACTACATGGCTCTGGACACTTCACCTCGTAAATGATTATTTCTGCTGGTGATACATGTTCAATGTAGAATATTTAAAGGGACAATACAATTATAAACCCATGAAAAATAAGATTCATTCACATCCATATTCAAGGAATCTTCACTAAGCACTCACAACACAACACAAAAATTTAAAAATGTCACTCAGGTTTAATATGTCAAGAATAAATGACAAAGTTCTCTGTCATAGAAATAAGTTTTTTGAAACCATTCATGCAAAATGTAGAATGATGTTGCAACAAAGTTAAATTGTGGCATATGCAGGTCTGTCCTGAGGAGGAAATTATTGATCAATACAGAACTTCCTTTTTTTTTTTTTTTTTTTTTTTGAGACAGTGTCTTGCTCTGTCGCCCAGGCTGGAGTGCAGTGGAGCAATCATGGCTTGCTGCAGCCTCAGCCTCCCAGGCTCAGGTGATCCTACCACCTCAGCCTCCGAGTAGCTGGGACTACAGCTGCATGTCACCATACCCGGCTAATTGTTTCTAGTTTTAGTACAGATGGGGTTTTGCTATGTTGCCCAGCCTGGTCTTCACTTCTGGACTCTAGCAATCCGCCTGCCTCGGCCTCTCAAAGTGCTGGGATTACAGGCATGAGCCACTGCACCAGCCCAGAATTTTCAGAGACATGTCCCAAACCTGGTCTAAGTACTTCTTTCTTTAGAAAATGAGATGCTGGTTGGACGATCACTTGAGTCCAGGAGCTCAAGACCAACTTGGGGCTGGGCTCAGTGGCTCACGCCTATAATCCCAGCACTTTGGGAGGCCAAAGTGGGTGGATCACCTGAGGTCAGGAGTTCAAGACCAGCCTGGCCAACATGGCAAAACCCCATCTCTACTAAAAATACAAAAATTAGCCGGGTGTCATGGCAGGCGCCTGTAATCCCAGCAACCCAGGAGGCTGAGGCAGGAGAATCACTTGAACCTAGGAGGCAGAGGTTGCCATGAGCGGAAACCGTACCGTTGTACTCAAGCCTGGGTGACAGAGTGAGACTCCGTCCCCCAACCAAAAAAAAAAAAAAAAAAAAGCCCAGGCGCAGTGGCTCACACCTGCAATCCCAGCACTTTGGGAGGCCAAGATGGGCGGATCACAAGGTCAGGAGATCGAGACCATCCTGGCTAACACCGCGAAACCCTGTCTCTACTAAAAATACAAAAAATTAGCCTGGCGTGGTGGCGACCGCCTGTAGTCCCAGCTACTCGGGAGGCTGAGGCAGAAGAATCACTTGAACCCAGGAGGCAGAGGTTGCAGTGAGCCAAGGTCACGCCACCGCACTCCAGCCTGGGTGAGAGAATGAGACTCCGTCTCAAAAAAACAAAAGAAAATGAAATGCTGTCCTAATTTCTGCAATTTCAATTTGAAATATCAATGCTTGCAAAACTCATACAAGTTAAAACAATTTTTATTTCTAATGACCTGTATCTATTAAATGTCTGTGATGTACCAAGAATAAAGCAGAACACACTTCCTCATTAACACACATGCACCCAAAGTTAATGCAAAGGGTGATGAGAGACAAAATCTACACTCAAGGTTGTTGGGTAATCTAATCCTTAAATCTTCTGGGTTGAACTGCCTGTGACTGATAACAGACTAGCTGCTAATCCTCTTCAGGGATGTCATTATCTGAGGGGTCCTGGCATGGCAGTCCCAGCTCCTAGATTAGGGGTGGCATTTTCATAAAACAAGACTATTACTGTTTTTCAGCCTCTTTGTCCCTTCTATTTAGGAAGCAGGTGATGAGACACCTTTCATTTACTGCCTCCTTTTTTCTCCCAGCAGGACGCAGGGGAAGCACCACTACCCTCATCTGACAGAACGCAGAGGCTCAGAGTCACAGCGGCCCCAGTCACGTGAGCCCTGATCTTGTCCTCTTTCACGAAGGAAGGCCTAGCACAGATTCTGCTGCCACAGTGGGAAGGCCTATGGCGGGGCAGGAGGTGTGTCTGACAGAAGACGGTGCTTCTTGGACACATCTCAGGACTTTGTGGCACGAGAACGTTCTAATCAGAACATCACGATGAGTCTCACCTTAGAAGCACTGCAGTTTGTTTGTTTGTTTGTTGTGAGAGGGAGTCTCGCTCTGTCGCCCAGGCTGGAGTGCAGTGGTGCTATCTCAGCTCACTGCAACCTCTGCCTCCCGGGTTCAAGCAATTCTCCTGCCTCAGCCTCCCTAGTAGCTGGAATTACAGGTGCCCGCCACCACACCCAGCTATTTTTGTATTTTTAGTAGAGACAGGGTTTCACCATGTTGGCCAGGATGGTCTCGATCTCTCGATCTCAAGATCTGCCCGCCTCGGCCTCCCAAAGTGCTGGGATTACTGGTGTGAGCCACCGTGCCCGGCCTAGAAGCACTCATTCTAACTGCCCACTTGGAGATAACTGGAGTGTTAAGGGTCTCTTCTCTATGTCTTGTGCAGGGCTAGCCACCATGTTCCATTTCTCTACAAATGGCTTTTTCCAACCCAGCCCGAGGACCCAGGGGTCTGTTTCCTTCCTGGAGAAATACTGCTTTCATTTGCTGTTACAGTTTACCTGCAGCATTACATACTCCTAACTGGGTATCACATTCACCTTACTGCCTGATTTCAGAAGCAAACTCCACCTCAGATAAAATTCTACCTTATCATGACTCCCCGCCCCACTGCATTTTAGTCATTCATTCAACAAACACCAACTGCTAACCCCAGGCACACACGTGAGCACCTCACATCTGGGCTCTAAGGATAAAACCACCAGCACCTTGTACAGGGCTCTTCCTGGTGATGCCAAATACTTAGAAGAAACCTGGTCTAGAGAAGACTCGAGTTCAAGTTCCAGCTCTGACGATTGTTAACAGGGAGACCTTGGGCAAAGGTGCTGGTCACGGAGGCAGCTGTACAACCAGGCTCAGTGGTATCCACCCTCCAAGCAAGGGGAACTGAGGAAAAATGCCTGAGAAACGTGCAGCGTCTGTTCAATCTCTGAACCACGTTAATACAACCATCTTCAGGGATGCAGGAAGGCCCTGAAGCCCACTCACTCTGAGTTAATGTAGGCATGAGGTGGAGGCTGTGGAAAGGACTCCAGAGTCTGCAAGTCACCAAGCAGCCTCTGTGGCTCTGTCACAGCACCACAGCTGAAGGGCCTCATGCTAAGGGGATCAGCCACAGTCACTCTCAGGCAGTCCTCCTGAATTAAGAGCCAGGGAGATCATTCCACCTCACTCTACTTAATTACCAAATGTCACGACGGAGTATAAGGACTAGCATGTAGGGTTTTTCCTGGTAATCAAAGACAAAATTTCTAAAAGCATTATTACCACTGGCAGATCTGACTTTTTATTTATTTTTATTTATTTGAGACTGAGTCTTGCTCTACCACCCAGGCTGGAGTGCAGTGTGGCGTGACCTTTGCTCACTGCAACCTCCACCTCCCAGGTTCAAGGGATTCTCCTGCCTCAGCCTCCTGAGTAGCTGGGATTACGGACGCCCACCACCACAACCAGCTAATTTTTATTTTTATTTTTTTTATAAGATGGAGTTTTGCTCTTTTTGCCCAGGCTGGAGTGCAGTGGCGCGATCTCGGCTCACTGCAACCTCCGCCTCCTGGGTTCAAGTGATTCTCCTGCCTCAGCCTCCCTAGTAGCTGGGATTACAGGCACACGCCACCACACCCAGCTAATTTTGTATTTTTAGTAGAGATGGGGTTTCACCATGTTGGCCAGGCTAGTCTCGAACTCCTGACTCCAAGTGATCCGTCCGCCTCAGCCTCCTAAAGTGCTGAGATTACAGGCATGAGCCACTGTGCCCCCAACAGATCTGACTTTTTAGAAACGTTTTAACTTCAAAATAATTATAGATTCAAAGTTGCGAAAAGATTTACAAGGGTCCCATGCACCCTTCCAAGCCACCCCTTACCTGGCTGTCTTTCCTCATTGGGCAGGTGAGAGATGGTGGCTCTCTGTCCTGAGGGCCAACACTCCAGGAACCCTTACCTCTACATGCTCAGTCCTCACCGACAAGGACTTCCGGGTGACAAGGCCAGCACCACGCACAGCTGCTGCTAAGCTCCTCACGTTCATTCACTGAACAAATATTTACTGGGCCCCGATCATGTGCCAGCAACTGTTTTTTTCACAAAACATTCTCTCCACGGACCTTACTAACTCACAGTAAAATATTAAGTATGATAAATGCATTAAGCAGGACACTAGGAGGATTCAGCGCTGTGGGAAAATTAAGCGAGGAAGGGAACTGGGTGGCAAGGCAGGCAGGCAGTCGCCAGGCTAGGGGGTTAAGGAACCAGGCATTCCAGGAAGATCCAAGGACAGAGCATGTGGCTCTGTTCAGAACTAGCAAGGAGGCTGATATGGCAGGTGCAGAGTGAGTCAGGGGCCAGTCTGAGGGTGGGTGGACTCAGACGCTGCAGGCTCATTAACACCCTCGCCAGGGGTGTCCCTCAGAGTCCACACAGCCAGCAACCAGAGCGGGCCCCTACAGCTCTCTGCTGGGCCAGACGCCAGCTGGAGCCACCCCGAGTCCTACAGCACCGACACAAGTGAAAGGGGAACTCAACCGAAACTTCCCCAAAGCCCTTAGATCCAGGCTTCTAATTTCATCTCTTGTTTGACAGACTACTCATTCCTGAAACTCAGCTGACATTTTTTTAAAAAGAGAAGCAAATAAACGAACATAAAATCTCAGAAGCTTTGAGTAAACTTTTGCCTTCAGGTAACCATGACAATAGTGGGAGCAATGTAACTGTTTTTGTCATTAGAATAGGTTTTTCTAAACAGGCAAATAAGGGCAGACGTGTCTAACCACCATCAAATCTTCCCAACCAAGCCTAAGCCGGAAAACAAAAATAAAGCTGAAATTTTTGCTTCCTTTTCCTGTATGACACAACTGAATGAATTTGAGAAATCATGGCTTCGGCACACGAAAAAGAGAGTCTTTAATCCAGACACTTAACACCAACAAGTTAGAACCTGAACGGACGAGTTCCTAATACTCTCCTTAAGAGTTCAATATAAAGCATGGCTTCAAATGTTTTTATAAAGCGGAGAAAACAGGTTTTTTCTAACAAACCAAATGCTTTTTGGAATTTACAACGTCGGAAAGATTAATTTACGATGCGTTACAGAACAATTTTCAATTCCCCGAGCTATAAACACAACGACCCAGGGACTAAATTATCTGCCTCCCTAAGACCAGCGATGGCCCAGCTTCTCCAGTCCCCCCGCAGGAGAGGAGACCCCGGGGGGTTGGGGGCGGCCGCGGGGACCTGGGGGAGCGGAGGGGGCGTCCGGGCCCGAAGAGACCCGCGGAGAGCGCCGCCCCAGCCCCCACCACGGTGCTCAGACCCCCGGCCCGGCCCGGCCCGGCTCCCGCAGGCCCCGGCGCCGACCTTCCCGCGCCCCCGCCCCGGCCCAGGCCGCGGCGTCGCAGCAGCTCCGGCCCCGAGCGCCCGCGCAGCCCCGGCCCGGGGGTCGCCGCCATTTCCGGCTCTGGAGTGCCGCCCCCGCCCCCCACCCGCGCCCGCCCGCCCGCCTGCCCGGGCCTGACGTGGGCCGATCCGCCCGCCCGACCCGCAGCGAGCTCACCTGCCCGTCCGCCCGCCCGCCCGCCCTCCCGCCGGCTCCGCGGCTCCGCTCCCCGATTCGCGGCGCTGCTGGGCAGCGGCCGACGCACTCCTCAGCCTGGAGACCCCGGGCGGCGGCGGCGGCGGCGGCAGAGGGCGCGGGTGCGGCACCGGCAGCGGCAGCGGCAGCGGCAGCGGAGACGAGCACGCTCACGCACGCACCCGCACCGGCGCGCGCGCTCCCGGAAGGACGTGGGCTCCGGCGTGTCGGAGCCGCGGGTGGGACCGGCTGCGCATGCGCTCAGAGAGCCGAGCGGAGGCTCCGTCCATGAAGGGGCGGAGTCCCGAGTGACAGCCCGGGGCCGAGGCGCCCTGTGGAGGCTCCGCCCATGAGTGGGCGGGGACGAAGCGCGGGGGCGGAGCCAGTCCTCCCAGTCTTCAGGTGGCCGCAGGTGGGTCCCGGGTGGACACGCCATGTGCTGCGGGGAACCGCGCAGAAAGAGAAGCGCAGGGCTTGCTGGTCTTGCAGGTGAGTTTACTCAGCGCTTTAAGTAAGACTGAGAAAACGTAATCGTTCTCATCAAAGAACTGAACAGGGAGCTGGTGGGAGACGGCTGCGGACCGTCGCCCCCGCCCCCACCCGGAGCCACCGTCCTGGGACTGACATTTGCTCAACCCTGGAGCGCCGAGATGGGACGTCCTTCCTTCCTTCCTGTCCAACCACTGAAATGCCGTCGCCAGCGCCCTCCCACCCTCCCGGAATCATCTCCAAACAGCAGCGTGGAGAGGCAGGACCACGAACGTCCACTCCACCTCCCTCTGCCCTTGCCCATCCCGTCGGCCACCCTTCCCTGTCCCTGTAACTGCAGGCGCTCCGCCACTCACTGACGGCCTGCCCCGCGTAGGCTGCCTGGGCCACTTCCCATCCTAGAAGCTCCCAGACCTCTGCGGCCGGTGCTCCTGCCTCCTCGCTTCCACCCTTGCCCGTTTACCTGAGTTCAGTGCGGTCATCTTTTTAAAACAAACCCAGTAGCATCCAAGGCTTCCCGTGACACACTGCGTGAAACCCAAATTCTCTCTCAACACGCTCTGGCCTCCTTCCTCTGCCCTCATAACTCACTGCCATAATGCCGGTCTTGAATTGCCAAGCTTGTTCCAGTCTCACAGCCTGGAAGTGTCAGAGCTTGGGAAGCCTCCTAGCAGTCATTAAGCTGCGCAACATCAAGCAGGCAGCAAGAAAAGGCCTATGGAACCCAAGAAGCAGAAAGGCCAGGTTCATATCTACAACTATAGATTCCAAGAGAATGAAATATTTCAGGCCAGAATTGGAGGGATGAGAGAATGAAATGGGCCTGGTACCGATCTCAGATTGAAGCTATATTCCACTTGTGCTGGGAGCTGCAAGAATGAATGAACCAGCCTTAAGTGAGTCCCTCTGAGACCTAGCAGTTCCACTTTAGGGACATTCTTCCAAAGAAAATATTCCTAAATACAGAAAAAGGTATATGCACTGAAATATTCATGAAGGCACTATTTTTAATAGCGAGAATGGAAACCTGCCCAACTGCACAAGTGAGCACTCAAATGGAATAATATAGTTACTGAAATGTATACAACGGGACCCATGGCTCACGCCTGGAATCTCAGCACTTTGGTAGACCAAGGCAGGAAGATCACTGGAGCCCAGGAGTTTGAGACCTGCCTGGACAACATAGTGAGACCACCATCTCTATAAAAAAAAATTTTTTTAATTGGCCCGGCCACAGTGGCATGCATGCCCCTGTAGTCCCAGCTACTCAGGAGGCTGGATCGGGTGGGAAGTCAAGGCTGTAGTGAGCCATGATTGTGCCACTGCATTCCTGCCTGGGTGACAGAGCAAGACCCCATCTCTTATTTAAAAAGAAGAAAAAAAGAAAGATAATGTGTAGAAAGGCTACACAGGAGCAAAGAACTCCTGAAACTAAAATGAGCACGATGCATGATATGTAAAAAGTATATTATCACACATATATCTATCCATGAACATTCCAGCCTGCTTGGAGAAAATAAGACAGGAAGGTACGCCCGGGCACAGTGGCTCACACCTGTAATCCCAGCACTTTGGGAGGCCGGGGTGGGCGGATCACCTGAGGTCAGGCGTTCAAGACCAGCCTGGCCAACATGGCAAAACCCTGTCTCTACTAAAAATACAAAAATTAGCTGGGCGTGGTGGCATGCCCCTGTAAATCCCATCTGCTCGCGAGGCTGAGGCAGGAGCATCGCTTGAGCCCAGGAGGTGGAGGTTGCAGTGAGCTGAGATTGCACCACTGCACTCCAGCCTGAGCGACAGAGTGAGACCCTGTCTCAAAAAAAAAAAAGAAGACAGGAAAGTTGACAGTGGCTACAGTTGGGAAGAGTCTGATGTTTACCTCTGATACATCAGGCCCTGTGCTAAGTGCTTTATAAGGTTAAGCCTTTCAATATGATGAGGCAGATACCATTACCCTCACTCTGAGAAGAGGGGACTGAGCCTTCAGGCATTGCTGCCCGCTCCTCAGGTCCACTTACTCCACTTGCTCCATCCTCGAAGCTCTCCAAGCGCTTCACCTCGTCAAACACAAGCCAGTGACTTAGGGGAATCTGTCTTCCCCAACAAACGGGTTGCAAAGTCCTTGAGCACTGGGTCCACATCAGATTCACCCTTGTACCCCACAAAACCTAGCAGACTCTTACCCGCAGGGCAGTTACAGTATCTGTTCAATAAATGAAGAACACATGAACTCATTCCAAAATAAATTAGTGTAAATCTTGACTGCAGGCGGCAATAGTGCATTTCACCCTTTATTGGTACCAGCTCCCTGCTGTATTGGGGCTTATGTACCATACAATTCGAGGTCACCTAACTTTCCCTGCTCTTACATCTGGGGTGAGCCCAGCTACCTCTGACCTCCAAAGGAAGACTGGTGCTCCCACTAGTTTTCCAGTGGGAACTCCAAAGACTAGGAATGGATACATGCAAAGCGCCAGACCAGGGGCAGAGTGGAGGTTCCCCCTCAAGGGTCTTTTCCTTTTTCTTTTTCTTTTTTTTTTTTTTTTTTGAGACAGAGTCTCGCTTTATCGCCCAGGCCGGAGTGCAATGGCGTGATCTCGGCTAACTGCAACCTCCACCTCCCGGGTTCAAATGATTCTCCTACCTCAGCCTCCTGAGCAGCTGGGATTACAGGTGTGAACCACCACACTCGGCTAATTATTTCACTTTTTTGTAGAGTCAGGGCCTGGCTACGATGCTCAAGCTGGTGTCAAACTCCCAGGCTCAAGTGATCCTCCCATCTTGGCCTTCCAAAGTCCTGAGCTTACAGACATGAGCCACCACACCCAGCCTACTGTTTTTAGTTGAGATGGAATCCCGGTATGCTGCCCAGGCTGGTCCTGAACTCCTGGGCTCAGGTGATCTGCCTCACCCTCCAGAATGGCGGGGACTACAGGTGTGCTCAGCAGCAGCTCAGTGCTTGCAGGGGCAGCTGGCGAAGCCTCTGGAGCTCCCGGCCCAACCTGGAGCCTGGTGAGCTCCTCCTCCGCCTCCTGGGGCTCAGTTTCAACTCCTCTTCCCAAGACGCTGGGTCTGACCTCACAGGTTGGCCATATACCATTCTCCCCTCACAGCTGGCTCCCCTTGTCCCAGCATTGAGGACCTGCCCTTTGTCTTTAGCACTGTCCCCTGCCTGCCTCTCCCAAGGGTGCGGACTCATTAGGGCAGGTACCGTGTGCCAGTTCATTTACCACTCTTATCATGGTCCCGAACGATACATCACACAAGCCGAGGCGGACTTTCCCCCAAAGGAATGCTTTATTGACAAATTACCCATTATTATAATAACTTTAAGGAAAAGATACATCGGTCAACACCCGCACAACCTGCCTTCTCACCACACCCCACAGGCCGATTTTAACCCTGGACGAAGGGCACCGAGCGCTGGGCTTCCCTGGCCCCTGCATCTCTGTCGTGTGTGGAGTGCCATCCCCAAGGGTGTCTGAACTGTCCGGGGACACGGCTGTCAGAGGACACTTGCTCTACCGAACAGGACACCTTGAGCTGAGCAGCCCTTCCCCTCCCGGGAGTGGCAGAGCCGGGCACACCACAGGCAGGCCCTCAGTGTCCTGCCAAGAGCCACTAAGGCACAGAGCTCCCCCTGCAGACCACGCCATCTGACATGCAGGGCCCCGGTGTGCGAGAGAGGCTGCTGGGGTGCGACTATTTAGTAACAGGAAGAGATCTTTGTAGCTCCTGAGAAAAAGACTGTAACGGCAATCCTGGCTGATGCCCACGCCCCACCCTCCACCTGACCTGTGGGGTCGTTTCATCCCAAGTACAGCAAGCAGGAGGGTTGGAGTCACTGACGAATGTGAGCCGGGCCAGGCCCATGCAAAGGCAGCACTGAGAAGGGGGGCACAGTTCTTTTAAAGGGTGCTAAAGACAGGGTTTTCCTTCTCTTGGCCCCTCCCATTCCCAGAGGCTCAAGAGCCCTTTAGGGCAGGGCATAGGAGCCAGCGGGAGCTGCCACGGTTGAGAAGAGAAGCAGGTTTTGTACACTGGGATGGAGTGTGCGTGACATAAAACACCTCAACTGGAAGAGGCTGCCACGCAGGCCAGGTGTAAAATTCCACACAATGCTCACAACCATTAAGGAACCCTCATCTATATACATATAAAAATTAGAAAGAAATAAAGCATAAGGCAATGTAAGGCTTGTATTTCAGCTTGAGTCCAAAGAAATAATATTCTATGAGGCTAAAGCTGCTTTGCCTAATTTAAACTTTTTGAAAAGTCCACTGCATTTAAAAAATAATGAATTTGCTTCCGTTAAAGCTAGATTCGCGTAACAATCAGGCAGCTGCTGAGGGTCAGTTTCCTTTCTGGGGGTCTCAGAAAATGGACAGTTTTCTCGTTCGGCATTTTGAGATAAAAAATTGCGTAACAGGTAGGACTTGCTGGGTGATTGCATTCCTTCTGTGAGTCAGGGAAGGAGGAGGAGGAAGAAGTCAGAAAATGCCACTTATTTTATGCTTAGAACTCTTCAATCCTTCAACATTCTGATGGGCTAACATGATTCCCAAAGGGAGCCTGGGCTTTGGCTCAATATTCTTTCAAACCCTCCGCCCTGTCCACTTCCTGCACCCCTAGGAAGGACAGCACAGTGATCTGTTTCATCTACAAACGTGAGTGTAAAACATCTGTGTACAAGCCTGTGTTCTTCAAATTCATGCAAACGCGGCAGCCACATCTCCGCGTGGATGGGCAGGACTGTCCTCAGGGCCGGCTCTGCTCATCCGCCCTGGCTGGCTGCTCCGCTGAACAGAGCTGCGGCTGTGATGCTGAGGCTGGGTTGCGTGTGCTCTGCAGCGGGTGAAGCAACCACAGGCTTAGAAAGGTGCGGGATCCGACAGGGGCTTGTCACCACTCCCCGCTGAGGAAGGGAGGTTGTCACTGCCGTTCTCTCTGTCACCCACAACCTTAGACTACAGGAGAGAAAAGATGAAGACAGAAAAACCTGAGACAGAGCACACAACACAAGGCAGATCCCAGGCCCATGCTCAATGCTCTACAAAAGCTTATGTAACACGAACACTGCTCAGCAGGGACAGGGAGCAAATCACGGACGGGCACCAGCCCCAACAGGTCTCCAGAGAACGATGCCAAATGAAGACAGTGAATGCCAAAAAGCTGCACACTGTATCGTTCCATTTACGTGACATTCTTGAAATGACACAATTATACAAAGGGAGAGTGGACTAGGGGTTGCCGGGGGTAGGGCGGGAGGAAGGTCAGCATGGCCAAGAAGGTACCAGGAAGGGCAGTGGGGACCAGGAAGGGCAGTGGGGACCAGGAAGGGCAGTGTGGAGGCGTTCTGTGTCCTGAGTCAGTGCCAATGTCCTGGTGGGGAGGCTGCACTACAGGATTTTCCAAGATGTCGTCACAGGAGAGAACTGTGTAAAAGGCACAAGGAACCTCTCTGCATTACTTCCCACAACTGTATGTGAGTCTACCATAACTAAATGACTAATAATAAACAAGTTGCTGTAACAGGTCACACCTTGCCAAGACCATCAAACAGTCCAGGTACAATTACCTTTATGGTCCCAACTCGGTCCTCAAACGACTTGAAGGTCGCAGAGTTCCTTTAAAGAGAGAGGGAAGAGTGTCGGTGTCAAGAGGAGAGGGTTGTGCTGCTCTCCTAACTCGGAAGGGCCTCAGGGTTAGGGCCAGCCTCCAAAGGGTCCCTAACAACATCCCAAGATCTCATGGCAAAACTGTGAGACAGCCAGGTCATTCCGGAGACTCCCCAGGTCAAAAGTGAGGTCGGCCATGCCCAACAACCACAGGGACAGGTCCAGACGTCACACAAGGCAACTGGAAACCCCTTGACTGTGCAGCTGGGGAGATGTCGGCCCCTCTCTGTCATACCCTACAGGGACATCCCGGGCTCTCGTACTGAGGTTATGAAAAGTCTGTGCAGTTGGGGGGCTGTCGGCCCCTCTCTGCTGTCCCCTACAGGGACACCCCGGGCTCTCGTACTGAGGTTATGAAAAGTCTGCGCAGTTGGGGGGCTGTCGGCCCCTCTCTGCTGTCCCCTACAGGGATACCCCGGGCTCTCGTACTGAGGTTATGAAAAGTCTGTGCAGTTGGGGGGCTGTCGGCCCCTCTCTGCTATCCCCTACAGGGACACCCTGGGCTCTCGTACTGAGGTTATGAAAAGTCTGCGCAGTTGGGGGGCTGTCGGCCCCTCTCTGCTGTCCCCTACAGGGATACCCCGGGCTCTCGTATTGAGGTTATGAAAAGTCTGTGCAGTTGGGGGGCTGTCGGCCCCTCTCTGCTATCCCCTACAGGGACACCCTGGGCTCTCGTACTGAGGTTATGAAAAGTCTGCGCAGTTGGGGGGCTGTCGGCCCCTCTCTGCTGTCCCCTACAGGGACACCCTGGGCTCTCGTACTGAAGTTATGAAAAGTCTGTGCAGTTCTTCATGCACATCTCTCAGAGAAGCAAACGGAAGACCAAGGACACTTCTGGGACAGCAGAGTGATAAGGAGACAAGAGGAGAAAGCAGGCCAGCTCCATCCCACTCAGTCCCTCCCACACAAACAGATACCCCTCCCAGGCCCGGGGACTCTAGAGGCCAGCACGTCTGCGACACCCAGCCAGAGTCCCCACAAGGAGAACAGGGCTCTCCTGAGAATCAGGGCGGTGCCTGACGGCGCAGGCACAGAATAGGGACCACAGTTCTGGGCTCTCCTGAGAATCAGGGCAGTGCCTCACGGCACAGGCACAGAATCCTGAGAATCAGGGTGGTGCCTGACAGGCACAGAATAAGGACCACAGCTCTGGGTGTTTCCGTGAAGGCTGAGACCGTGAAGTGTCCTGAGTGACAGCCCACCAGGGCAAGTGCCAGGATCTGTGTGCGAGCCCCTCGAACCCCACCCCACCCACTGCAGGCAGCCAGGGTCAGGACTTGGAAAGGACACGGCCCAGTTTGACACAAGGATCTCCTCTGGAGGCTGCAGGTGAAGAGCCTGACCCCCTACCAGCTCTTCCTCGTCAGCCTAGAGGGGGTTTTTACCGGCCCTTAGTCATCAGAGGTTGCCAAGGGAATGGAGTCCTCAATTAATCCAGGAATATGGGAAGGGCAAGGTGTAACCGGCGGGAGCTGCCCCAACCCCCACCAGAGACACCCGGCTCTGGAGCCGCAGCGAGCAGGCATACATTACCTCATGGCTGGCATACTTATTGAGTGGCGGATGGAGTAGCTGCTGCTTGGAAGCATGGCAGAAGCAGAGAAGGAAGCAAGAGTTAACACCAAGATCCACACACAACCCCAACTTGGCAGGGATGGGCAGAGCTGGGATTCCCCCACTCCCAGCAGTTGGAGCGAGCTGCCTGCCCCTCCACACAATGCCCCCGAAGGAAACTCGACCCCAGGGTCCTCCCTTGGCCTCATGGGGGGCACCCCAAGTTGCCCAGCGCATAGCACTGGGAGGGGGGAGAGCACTGCCATAGGAAGCTGTGAGGAGACCAGGCTTGGGCTTTTGAAAAGTATTTGGTACAAACAGCCTTCAGAAGTCAAGTAAGGACCTTTTGGCAAAAGAGAAACCACCAAGTCAAGTAAAAACACAAGAAATCACAGATTGTTCTGGGCCTGGCTCTAGACCTCCCGGTTCCAGCAGAAGGGCACGTGCTGGCGGCGCCCCGGCTTGGCCTAGAGGAGCTTGCTCTGGTCTGCAGGAGGGCCCTTTGGGAGGCACACCTATGGGCTCTCGGGTAGTAAACAAGACAAAACTCCATCTGAAGGAAAACAAGGAAACAGGACAGATGTTGAACAGGAAGGTGGTGAGAGTCGGCACAGCCCTCCCACGTGAAAAGGCTCCTTTGAGGGCCCGGCGCAGTGGCTCACGCCTGTAATCCCAGCACTTTGGGAGGCCAAGGCGGGTGGATCACGAGGTCAGGAGATCGAGACCATGCTGGCCAACATGGTGAAACCCCGTCTCTACTAAAAATACAAAAATTAGCCAGGCGTGGTGGCTCATGCCTGTAATCCCAGCTACTCAGGAGCCTGAGGCAGGAGAACCGCTTGAACCAGGGAGCTGGAGGTTGCAGTGAGCCGAGATCACACCACTGTGCTCCAGCCTGGTGATAGAGCGAGACTCCAACAAAAAAAAGAAAAAAAAGGCCGGGCGCGGTGGCTCACGCTTGTAATCCCAGCACTTTGGGAGGCCGAGGCGGGCGGATCACGAGGTCGGGAGATCGAGACCACGGTGAAACCCCGTCTCTACTAAAAATACAAAAAATTAGCCGGGCGTGGCGGCGGGCGCCTGTAGTCCCAGCTACTCGGAGAGGCTGAGGCAGGAGAATGGCGTGAACCCGGGAGGCGGAGCTTGCAGTGAGCCGAGATCGCGCCACGGCACTCCAACCTGGGCGACAGAGCAAGACTCCGTCTAAAAAAAAAAAAAAGCTCCTTTTCAGGAGTAAACTCAGGCCTGGACGCCAGGCCAGTTATTCACAGACCCGGCAGCAGGCGGTCTGTGAGCCTGAAGGGAAGCACGAGGAGGGGACACAGAAGGGCCGGGGGGTTCCGGGGGGCCTCTGCGTCGATCCCACGCTGCTGCTTTGTTCCCTGAGATGCAGCAACCACCTGGCTGGCACTGCTGTCCTGGAAGGGGTGATCCCACTTTCACTGCCCTCTACTAGCACAGCCGCCCAAGGGCCCTGCCGGAGTCCACCCTGCCCCAATTCAGAGAAAAGTCTTCCACAGGTGTGTCCAGGCTCAGCCTTACCTAAAGGAGTGTGAAAATGGATGAGCCCTGGAAGGTGGCAGCAGGAGAGAAGAGGAAACGAAGTGTAAGCAAGGGAGGCCAGCACCCACTCACAGCCCTCCTCGGGGAGCCCCAGGGGAGGCCCCCTGCTCGTGCTCAGTCAGGCCCAGCAGGGGAAGACCCTCCAGGACGGCTCCTCCAGTCCGCACACCACCGGGGACAGCAGCACTGTCTCCAGTCTCCTCAAGTCCTGACTCAACAGGAGGCTCTCGCAAGATCATGACTAGCAACTGCTCAGCCTCACGGCTGTGCCCAAGAGGCCCCTGGGTCCACGCCCTGTCCACGCCTTATGCCCCAAGGCACACCTGTTTGGAGAAGCCACAGCACCTGGAGCACAACCAGCCCCATCCAGCAGCGCAAAGGTGTGAAATGTGCCACAGCATGACAGCTGGGCTTGGCCAGCTCCACAGAACGAGAGCGGCCCGTGTTCCCCAAATCACGTCAGCTGAGGGAGCACACGCACCGTGGGAGGATGTGGGACACCCTTGGCGCCGAGCATTTCTGCTCTGCGCTCCATCCGTGCCCACAGACGCCAACCTGGAAACCTGTGTGTCCAAGGGCAGCTGCTGCCACTCACTGCAGCCAGGCCCACTCTGACATGGAGGGAGCCACTGAAGAACTGAGAAACACTCAACTCGCCCGAGGTCCTGAGAGGGCCGATGCCTCATCTGAGACCACGGAGTCAGACGGTGACCTGACCCTGCTGTAAACCCCCACTCTGACCTGAATCCAGTTCCCTTCCTCCCATCCCCATCACCCATGCCCCAGGGCACACCAAAGGCCTCACAGACCGGGGCTGCCCTGGGACAGGCCCATCATGGACACGGGCGTTGGGCAGCTGTCCAGAGGGGCTTCCGCCCAAGAGTTAGCAGGGGTCCGCCGGGGTTCATCCAGCCCTAAACTCATGACATAAACCTCCCAGAACCCAATTTTCACTTTCAGGAAGTAGTGAGCTCTCAACCTCAGTCTCTAACTCGAGGTGAATGGGCCCAGACCTCAGAAACCACCTGTGACTGCTTGGGGAGATGATGGGGATACACCAGGGGCTCCAGACGTCAGAGTTCCCACCACCACTACAAACATAAATGGAGGAGCAAGCAGGGCAAGACACACCAGCAAACAGGACCCTCCACGGGCACCGTGAACACGGCCAGCCAACTGGAGCGAGCTGGCTCGTCCCAGGTCAGCCTGAGGCCCCGCTCCCCCAGCTGGCCCCATGTACCAGGGCACACGTGCAAACACGTGGCACAGTGTGGCTGGGCACACTGACAGCTGTGCCAGCGTCACTGCAACAGGAACTCTGCTCACTGCCAGCCATGCCCTGAGGCTACACGACACGGGTCAGCTGCCAACCCCAGGACTGAGCAGAGAGCGAAAGCCTTTCTCCCCATCAGAGAAGGAGGAGCAGACAGAGAACCAGGACCGTGTCCCTGTGCTTCCAGAGAAAAACAGGCCATACAAACAAATGCCCAGATCAAAACCCTAGGACTGGCTTGTGCACGGCTATTCCAATCAGTGCCAAGGGCTCCACGTGCCCCTTGGATTTCCACCACAATGGTCTGAACAAACTCAAAAGGGAGTGTGGACACTAAGAGTGGGCAAACGCCTCCTGATGGCCGGCATAATTTAGGCACAACAAACACCTGTTACTTCCTGAAGATGCTCTGTGGTGAGACCAGCATTTTCGGGAAGAAAACAGCCCTGCGAGGCTGAGTTCAGCTGAAACTCAGGGGGTCCCTCCTGGGTCCAAAGCTCAGCAGTGGTAGGGAAGACCTGCATTTGTAGGGTGCCCCACAAGGACCCCCCCAAGTCACAGCTGCTGGGGAGTGTGGAGCCTTGGGCGTGTGAGGGTGCACAGAGGAAACACACACATTGCATACTGATGACTGCAGCTTCTCCAGAGGTTTAAAACTTCTCGAAATAGAAGTTGCAGGGATGGGAAGGTAGATTACCTCAAAAAAACAAAAATAAAAGTGGGCACAGCTCCTGGGCAGTGGCCATCCCCTCTGCTTGGCAGGGTGGGTCCCTGGGTGTGTGTGGCCGTCTGTGTCCTGGCCTGTGGCTTAGTGGTCAGGGGAAAGCACTGGCGCAGGACGACCCCCACCTGGCAACCACAGGCGGGGAGGCAGGACACACCTAACCTAAGGCAGGCAGGCAGGGAGGCAGGCAGGCAGGCAGGCAGGCAGCCCAGCAGGAGATGTACGTATCTCTGAATCCTGCAGGGGCCACAAGAGGGGAAGAGGGGAGGGCTGGGTGGGGTCAGCACTGTGCTCCACACACCGGTCCTTTAGGAAGCCTGCACCCATCTTTGCCAGGATTGGGTCAGAGCTACAGGGAGGCACTCCCTGAGATCCAAAAGCCAGAAGACCAGTTCTGAGAATGGGAAAGGGGTCAGGGCAGGGTGGGCAGCAGCACCCAGAAGTTGGGGCCAGGATGCTGTTGATGGTGACAACCTATATCATCCACTCCTACAACCCCTGTGAAAGAAGGCGTGCCTGAGGCCCAGCTGGGGTGCCCAGCCAGGAGGTAGCCCAGCCAAGCATCATACCCAGGCTTCTGGCTCAATCCCCTCATCACCATGCTGTAGTCAGGGAGCCTAGAACAGGGAAGGAAGAGCAAACATGCCAGCCACAAAGCGCCGGCCCCCTGCTCACTCCTTGGCCCCAGCCCTGCTTGCTGAGGGACCTCTGATGGCCAGGAGGCTTTCACCAGCCTCTGGGAGAGAAGGCTCATTCAGGGCCTCCTGGCGTCTGACTGCACTTTCTGAGACCTGGGAAACAGCCTGAGGAAGTACCACGCCGAGCCCCTGTCCTAGAGATGGTGGAGGACTGCCGTCCCACACTGACCTGACTCTGACCCCTGGGCTGGAGTCGCTGCCACTCAGTGAAGCTTCAAGGTGCAGACTCCTCCCTCACCAACCCCGAGCACCACAAGTTACCCAACAGCACTGGCAGCCAACCCTCCCTGAAGAACACAGCAACGGCAGAAAAGCAGCCAACGGGGATGGACGAACCTCCCAGGCAAGGGTCTGCACACAGACTGGTCGGGGCCATGATGGATGGCCACATCCCTGAGCCAGTGCATCTGAGCCCTGATCTCCAGGCAGGCTTCCTGTAGCACCTCCAACACCTCACCTCACTCCTGGCCAGGTCTCAGGGCAGCAGAGTCAGGGTTGCGTCTCACCTCATGTCTCCAAGCTTCCTGCTGATGGCAGAGCCCACTGTGGACAGGGCAGCTGAAGTCTTCTGTCCTGCCTGTGAAAGAGTTTCCTGAGTCTTCTTGTAGCTGGAAGACACACCAGTTAAATCAACCAGACAGCATGGGCGGGTCACCACCCACAGCCAAGCAAACAAAGCACTGGGAGCACGCCCGAGGAAAACTGAGGAAAGGAGCTGGGCCAAGGGGTGGACACTCGCCAGGTGTCTACAGAGGGGGTGCAGGCCCAGAGCCCCTCGGCCCCCAGAGGCCCCTGCGGCGAGGAGCCGCCTGTGCATTGCTCGCTCACTGAGCTCTCGGCGACCCTGCCGAGTCTCGGCCCCCCAGCCCTGCAATGACGCTGCTTTCTCATCTCACAACCCAATTTCACCCCCTTGCCTGATACCCACTAAGCTCGCTTTCCTGTCTTCTCACAGCCCCTCTGACTACAGAGAACACGCCCCATTTGCCTGCTAGAGCGGACGGGCCCCCTGAGGTGCACGCCTGGCAGGCAGTGCCAGAGCAGAAAGGCCTCTCAGTGCCCTGACCGGCCCATGCGTGCAAGTTTCCCTTTCCTCTTCCCAAATGAGACTGTGCTGAGGGGAGAAAATGCAAGCTCAACCACGTCTGTGGGGAACGAGCGTCACAGAGTGGCCATGCAGCCCGCAAGGTGCCCCTGCTCCAGACGGCGGGGCCCCGTGTGCCTTCAGAACATCGGACAGTTCCATTCCCAGGCCTCTTTTCACAGTGCAAGGGTCTGTCCTGGCCCCTAGTGAAGGCCCCGCTTCTATCCCCTCCAGCTCCCTCCAGTGTCCACCCACATGGGTACATCCCATCAAAGCAAAGCTCTAGGGCCTTGGCGTCTGCAGGACAGGCAAAGGGCAGCAGGCAGGATGCTGTGGCTGCAGGGATACTGTTGGGCCCACCATGACAGTCAACACCTGAAGTCGCTGGCCCTCATCCAGCTGCCACCATAAACACAAAACACAGCAGACTCTGACATAACAAAGTCCAAAATGCGAACCCACAGCCACCTTATCACGGCTCCTCCCTCAGTGAAGCCAGGGAACTCGAGGCTGAATGGAGATGGGCTCCCAGGACCATCTTGGCGTTACCAGTGCCAACCTGGAGAGCTGGCAAACCCAGCCAAGCCCTGAGTGGCATCTGGGATGACTGGCGCCAGAGAAGGCACAGGCTCCTCCTGCTCCCACTGGCGGCACCAGGTCCCAATGATGGGCCTTCCGGAGCCCTTACTCACAGGCCCTCCCACCACTCCCTGCAGAAGGCCCGTGTGAGCTGAGTGCTACTACTCTCCAGCCCCCAAACAGTTGACAAGAGTGTGTGACCCACCAAGTGTGCCCTGGCAGCGCATCCCAGCGCAGCTCTCTCATGCCCGCCCCCGGCCCAAGGCCTACCAGAGGATGCACTTTCTTTCTTTTTTTTTTTTTTGAGACAAAGTCTCGCTCTGTCACTCAGGCTGGGGGGCAGTGGTGCAATTTCAGCTCACTACAACCTCCGCCTCCGGGTTCAAGAGATTCTCCTGCCTCAGCGTCCCAAGTAGCTGGGATTACAGGCACCCACCACCACGCCCTGCTAAATTTGTCTTTTTAGTACAGATAGCGTTTCACCATGTTGGCCAGGCTGGTCTTGAACTCCTGACCTCAGGTGATCCACCCGCCTCGGCCTCCCGCAGTGCTGGGATGACAGGTGTGAGCCACTGCGCCCAGCCCGCTCGGATGACAGGTGTGAGCCACCGTGCTCAGCCCAGAGGATGCACTTTCCCATCCAGGCTCCGTGCAGCTGGAATCATGGCTGTTTTTAAATTTTTTCTTCTTTTATTAATAAAACACCAGTTATAAGTAACTAATGACCTGCTATATTTAGTTTCAAAAACACAAATTCTTTTTTTTTTTTTTTTGAGACAGAGTCTTGCTCTGTAGCCCAGGCTGGAGTGCAGCAGCACCATCTCGGCTCACTGCAAGCTCTGCCTCACGGGTGCACGCCATTCTCCTGCCTCAGCCTCCCGAGTAGCTGGGACTACAGGCGCCCGCCACCACATCCGGCTAATTTTTTTGTATTTTTGGTACAGACGGAGTTTCACCGTGTTAGCCAGGATGGTCTCGATCTCCTGACCTCGTGATCCGCCTGCCTCAGCCTCCAAAAGTGTTGGGATTACAGGTGTGAGCCACCGTGCCCAGCCCAAAAATACAAATTCTGAAGACATCTTTAACCTTGATTTTCCCTGAAATAACAAATGCATAAAACCATGTGAACATTCTGTGGTTCGCTGAAGCAAAGTCACCTGCAGCAGAGGATTCTAAAGCGCTCACAGCACCTGCATTTGTGCCTAAAGAGTGGGGATGGGGAAGCTGCACCTGCATTTGTGCCCTAAGAGTGGGGATGGGGAAGCTGCACCTGCATTTGTGCCTAAAGAGTGGGGATGGGGAAGCTGCACCTGCATTTGTGCCCTAAGAGTGGGGATGGGGAAGCTGCACCTGCATTTGTGCCTAAAGAGTGGGGATGGGGAAGCTGCACCTGCATTTGTGCCCTAAGAGTGGGGATGGGGAAGCTGCACCTGCATTTGTGCCCTAAGAGTGGGGATGGGGAAGCTGCACCTGCATTTGTGCCTAAAGAGTGGGGATGGGGAAGCTGCACCTGCATTTGTGCCCTAAGAGTGGGGATGGGAAAGCTGCACCTGCATTTGTGCCTAAAGAGTGGGGATGGGGAAGCTGCACCTGCATTTGTGCCTAAAGAGTGGGGATGGGGAAGCTGCACCTGCATTTGTGCCCTAAGAGTGGGGATGGGGAAGCTGCACCTGCATTTGTGCCTAAAGAGTGGGGATGGGGAAGCTGCACCTGCATTTGTGCCTAAAGAGTGGGGATGGGGAAGCTGCACCTGCATTTGTGCCCTAAGAGTGGGGATGGGGAAGCTGCACCTGCATTTGTGCCCTAAGAGTGGGGATGGGGAAGCTGCACCTGCATTTGTGCCCTAAGAGTGGGGATGGGAAAGCTGCACCTGCATTTGTGCCCTAAGAGTGGGGATGGGAAAGCTGCACCTGCATTTGTGCCTAAAGAGTGGGGATGGGGAAGCTGCACCTGCATTTGTGCCCTAAGAGTGGGGATGGGGAAGCTGCACCTGCATTTGTGCCCTAAGAGTGGGGATGGGGAAGCTACACCTGCATTTGTGCCTAAAGAGTGGGCATGGGGAAGCTACACCTGCATTTGTGCCCTAAGAGTGGGGATGGGGAAACCGAAGTTGGAGAGAAAACAACCGCCTGTGCCCGGCCTTCAGAATGAGATGTGGGGTCCTGAGCGTGACCTGTGGGTGGGTAAGTACCACCCACACAAGGAGGATCGGAATGAGATGCGGGTCCTGAGCGTGACCTGTGGGTGGGTAAATGCCACCCACACAAGGAGGAGGGTCCTGAGGGTTCCTGGCCACTGACCACTGGCCACTGACACCCGGTGCCACTGTGATCAGTCCCTGCTGTGCCATAAACCACACTCAAGCCCCTGGGGGCCCCACAGCCCTCAGCATTGCTCGGGTGTGGAAATGAGGGGGTCACAAGGGAACCTCCTCTAGAAACAGGAACCTCCAAACTGGGATGGCCCTGGAAACAATGGGCATCACCTGCATAGCCTGAGGCCACCACCAGCGCCTCCCTGGCCTTCTCTTCCTACAGCAGGTCCCTGCCCAACAGCTGTGGCTCTGACCTCTCCCTTCCCCTTCTCAGTCCCATCCTGGGCCTCCAAGGTGGCGGCAGCAGCTGTGAGGCCCCCTTCCAAGGCTCACAGCGCTGCAGGCCTGTTCTGAGAGCGTCAAACACACAGGCACACACATTCCTCAGTGGACCAGAAGGCTGGGTTGTTATTACTCCATGACAGATGGGGAAGCTGAGCCCGGGAGGAAGGGGCAGGGGTCAGAGCCAGCATCTGCACCCAATAACTAGCTTCAGCTCTCCTTGAGAGCACCGGGCCGGGCAACCCCAGCCAGCACCCATTTGGGAGTTCCTAAGACCTTCTAGGAAGAGAGCCCTGGACAGACAGCGGTTTCGTCCCACTGCCAGTGAGCTGTCCCCTGGGCAGCACAGGGCATCTGGGGGACATCCTTGCACTCCCCCTCTCCTGAGTCTGTCTCTGGGGGCTGCCCCCACTCCCACTCAGGATGGACAAGTGATCCAGGCCTGGCCAGAGCACACCACCTCCAAGGCCGCAGCCATTAGTCCAGGGAGACCCATATGGGGCCACACTGTTGGGCTGCAGCAGTGGGGGCAGGGACTTCTCTGCCTGGTGAGTGCTCCCACCTCCCTGTTTGGTTGATGCTACCTTGAGTCGTGCTTTCTGTCACCTGCAACCAAAACAACTCCAAGTGAACCAGCTCATAACTGCAGGATCTATATGATGCCCCTCTCAGCACTGAGGTTTTTAGTTACCTCTGCCTATAAATAGAATGCAACAGGCAATTGTTTCACCACTCGCAGAACACAGCTGCTCTCGCATTCAGACATGACCCACTGAGAATGTGGCCGCATTGCAGCCTCATGGGGCCAGGCACCAGTGCTATCCTCCACCCACCGGCCACGTTCTCCTTCCCGTCCATCCTCCAGGGCGCCAATAGCTGAAAGGATCTACAAACACGTGGGTCAGGATGCAGGGAGCTTTTACTGCCTTCCCCTGCAGAGCTCTGGGCAGTGGAGGTACATCTACAGCCCATCTCCTGAAGCTGACTAGGAGAGGCACCAGCCAGGAAGAGCACGCGCCATGGCCACATCCTCAGGCCCCACCTCCCAAGCCGCATCCCTTCCGTCTGGGCCGTCCCGGCAGAAACCACCGCCCTCGGCCTCGGCCGTCCCGGCAGAAACCATCGCCCTCGGCCTGGGCCTTCCCACCAGAAACCATCGCCCTCGGCCTGGGCCGTCCCGGCAGAAACCATCGCCCTCGGCCTGGGCCTTCCCGGCAGAAACGCTTCCACTCTGGAACCGTCAGTTGACAGCTCTCGCCACAGAACTCAGGGGAATGGCCTCGGCCAGGTGATGCACTGGCCATATGCTTCCATGCTGAGCCACAGGTTTCTCCAGAGGGGTCGGGACGCTGAGTGTTGTAATAAGCTCTCTAAAACACTATTTATTTGAAATAGGATCCCGGCAGCTTTATGTCAGTTGGTTTTACAAAACAGCACTGAAGTCTCCTAAGACTATTTTCAGACTGAGTCTGCACTGTGCGTCCGCCTGATGCCCAAACTGCAAGGATGACCGTCACTGTCCCAACCTAGGAACCATCTGCTGCCCAGCAAAGTCACTGTTCAACAGCCCGAGACACAGCCCACCAGGGTCCCTAGAACACCCTGCTCAAGCCGGGTGCAGTGGGTCACGCCTGTCATCCCAGCACTTTGGGAGGCCGAGATGGGCGGATCACGAGGTCAGGAGATCGAAACCATCCTGGCTAACACCATGAAACCCTGTCTCTACTAAAAATACAAAAAATTAGCCGGGCGTGGTGGTGGGCGCCTGTAGTCCCAGCACTTTGGGAGGCTGAGGCAGGCGGATCACGAGGTCAGGAGATTGAGACCATCCTGGCTGACATGGTGAAATCCTGTCTCTACTAAAAATAGAAAAAATTAGCCGGGCGTGGTGGCGGGCGCCTGTAGTCCCAGCTACTGGGGAGGCTGAGGCAGGAGAATGGTGTGAACCCGGGAGGCGGAGCTTGCAGTGAGCCCAGATGGCGCCACTGCACTCCAGCCTGGGAGACAGAACGAGACGTTGTCTCAAAAAAAAAACCAAACAAACAAAAAAAACCCAGGGCAACATGCCATGAACCACCCGGGTCCCCAGAGCACCCAGATGTACAGCTGGCTGCTGTAGCCATGCCCACAAACCGCCCGGGTCCCTGGAATACCCAGGGCAACATGCCGTGAACCGCCCGGGTCCCCAGAGCACCCAGATGTACAGCTGGCTGCTGTAGCCATGCCCACGAACCACCCGGGTCCCTGGAATACCCGGGGCAACATGCCGAGAACCGCCCGGGGTTCCTGACACCAGCCTCCCACCGTGACACCAGACGCAAAGGCTCCATGTGCACGCAGTGCCAGCCTGGTCCCCCAGGACCTTCAAGACAAGCTCGGCAGCAACTGCTTCCTTTCAGACCAACATGGGAGGACTTTCTGCCCATGTTCTGTGGCAACGATTACAGCGCTTCCTTCTAAATAACAGATGAAAAAATCCCACAGAGACTATTTAAAAATATTCCCCTCCTCAGTTTAAAGACGTTATAATCAGATCAGAGCACAAGTAAATGAAGTGCTATTATCTAGTTTAAGGATCTCCAAATATTAGGAGTCACTCTGAACAACACCACTGACACACACATACAAAACTATCCACACTTGATCCACACTGGCTGATGCTCTGACAATGCAGTGCCTCCCAGATCGTGAGGATTTCAAATTTCCACCAGCATATCCTACACCATGCCCTCCACTCAAGAACTACCCCTAAAGGAGGAAAGGAATTCTGAGAACCCAACAGCTGGAGCTAAGCAGGGAAAAGGGTTAGGGTTAGAACAAACAAAAATTCGCCACCAACAAACCCAGGCCAAGTGGTGTTGTCCAGCTTGTGCACTGCCGGAAGCCAAGGAGCTCTATTAGTTAGAGATACAGCCAGGACCAGTGCAGGCCTCTTACATAAGGGACGCATATCAGGCAGAGGGGAGTTTTAAGTGTGGTCAGGTGGCTGAGTGAGTTTCTCTCAGCTACTATTCCCTGTTCCACAAAAGTTTAAAGGATAGTTTACCTGAGAGAAGAAAAGTTATAGGAAGAAAAAATAGCCAGCAAATACCAAAACAAGCTTTGTGCCAAGTGTGCACAGCCCCCTTCCCCGACTGAGTGTCAGGAGGCGGAGAGGAGGAAGGAGGAGGTGCTGATGATACAGGCACTCACAGGTCTGACTGGGTCACTTTCTCATTCCACTCTCCAAGTTTCTCAGAAGTTTTCACATAGCTAAAAACAGAAAGTCTACAGTGAATTATTTAGAAGAACAATTTTAACTCAGGCATCAAACTGCAGGTGAAGTTCCAGGGAAGACAGAGAGGGACCAGCTGGCAGGAACATCAACTCCACAGACGGCCCAAAAATGGGGTCCACTGCCTCAACCAGGCCCTGTGCAGGCCCCAGGCCGCCAGGTGAGCTGTGGGTATAGCGGAACTGATGTTCCCTTTTCTGTCACCTGGCAGTAGCCCCTGGTCTCTCGCTAGGAGATTCTTGGGCAACAGCACTGCTGTGGGGGACTGGAAGGGCACAGCCCACAGCTCCAAAACACCCTTGGGATTCAAAACTTACGATGTCCTAGGACAAAAACATGGGCCTCTCATATGTGAGATTTATGAAATGTGACCTGTTCTGTCTTTGTATAGGAACATGTCTTCTGGGAAACATTCCACAGCCACCCCAACCTTGAAGGGTATGTTTCAGAGAAGCCACGTGGACAGGGCCAAGTGAGAAAGCAGCACTCCCCAAATTCAGAGCTGAGCGACATCTGGGACAGGTGTCCCAGGGTTATAGGACCACGTCGTCATGTAGGACCACGTCGTCATCGGGGAGGGTCAGAGTCCCTAGGGTTGTGGGACCATATGGTCCTATATATAAATATATATATATATATATTTTTTTTTTTTGAGACAGAGTCTTGCTCTGTCACCCAGGCTGGAGGGCAGTGGCATAATTTTGGCTCACTGCAACCTCCGCCTCCCGGGTTAAAGAGATTCTCCTGCCTCAGCCTCCCTAGTAGCCGAGATCACAGGTGCGCACCACCACGCCCAGCTAAATTTTTTTATTTTTTAGTAGAGACAGGGTTTCTCCATGTTGGTCAGGCTAGTCTTGAACTCCTAACCTCAAGTGATACACCCGCCTCAGCCTCCCAAAGTGCTGGGATTGTAGGCATGAGCCACCATGCCCGGCCCATATGGCCATATCTGGGTCAGAGGCTGTGACCATGCCACACCCACAACAAGGACCACAGAAAAACCGCTCTTGCCAAGGACCTGATCAGTGCTCTCTCAAGTCTGGACCCTGAAACAGTCTTCCTATCATTTTCCACCAGGACAACTAGCCAGTGTGTCTGCCTTTTTAGAACACGTATATAAGCCGGATGTGGTGGCTCACACGTGTAATCCCAAGCATTTTAGGAGGCCAAAACAAGAGGATTGCTTGAGCCCAGAAATTTGAGACCAGCCTAGGTAGCAAAGCAAGACCCTGTCTCTATAAAACGTGAAAAAATTAGCCAGGCATGGTGGCGCACGCCTGTCATCCCAGCTACGAGGGGGGTTGAGTTGGGAGGATTGCTTGAACCCAGGAGGTTGAGGTTGCAGTGAATCATGATTGCGCCACTGCACTCCAGCCTGGGTGACAGAGCGAAACCATCTCAAAAAAGAATAATAATAAAAAAAAAAAAAAGGCCAGCGTGGTGGCCAGCACTTTGGGAGGCTGAGGTGGGTGGATCACAAGGTCAGGAGTTCAAGACCAGCCTGGCCAACATGGTGAAACCCCATCTCTACTAAAAACACACACACACACACACACACACACACAAAAAAAAAAATCAGCCGGGCGCGGTGGGAGGCGCCTGTAATCCCAGCTACTTGGGAGGCTGAGGCAGGAGAATCGCTTGAACCCGGGGGGCAGAGGTTGCAGCGAGCTAAGATCACGCCACTACACTCCAGCCTGGGCGACAGAGTGAGACTCTGTCTCAAAAAAAATAATAATAAAGTACACAAAAACTTAAAAATAAATAAAACACATGTAGACACCAAGCTTTTTGAACAAACAAGGCACAGTCGCTGGGCCAAGGGCTCAGAGCCTCTCTCTGGATCCTTCCAAACAGGCCACTCAACTCCACGGCTGCAACTCGTCCCTGGGCATGACGACGCCCCCCCACATGCCGGGGCACGTGTGGTGCCCGTTCTCTTCAGCCCCCAGGGGTGCGCCTGGGGCAGGTACCTACGCGCTAGAGACCTGCACGTCATGCCAGCTCCTGGACAGGTTCTGTTTCAGCTCCCCCAGGGTGGAGAGGCCCAGCCTCCTCTTGAGCTCTCCACAGTGCCTCTCCTTGGCTGCCAGGACCTGGCGCAGAGTGACAATTTCCTCTTCCACCTGCAAAGCATGCAGTTGACATGATGAGCCATCACTACTGCAGGAAGTGACTAACATCCTCATGCACAGTGCCATGAGTTACACAAGAACTTTCCGCTTACCAAAGCATTAACTCGTCCTAGGAATAACAGCATCTACAGCAGACATCTGATTTTTGGGTTTTGGTTTTTTTTTTTTTTTGAGATGGAGTTTCGCTCGTCGCCCAGGCTGGAGTGCAATGGCACGACCTCGGCTCACCGCAACCTCTGCCTTTCAGATTCAAGTGATTCTCCTGCCTCAGCCTCCCAAGTAGCTGGGATTACAGGCGTGTGCCACCCTGCCCGGCTAATTTTGTATTTTTAGTAGAGATGGGGTTTCACCATGTTGGTCAGGCTCGTCTCAAACTCCCAACCTCAGGTGATCCTCCCACCTCAGCCTCCCAAAGTGCTGGGATTACAGGCGTGAGCCACCGCGCCCAGCCAGCAGACATTTGTTTTTATCTGGTACTAGGAACTTGACTCCAGGGAACTATCCCATGCCCCACAACTAAATGGTTCTGGGAGAGCTACCAATCACCATGTCCATTTGTGGTCATGAGGAATGGCCCAGGATGACCATGCCAGGTTTGTCCGAGCTCTTTACTAGGACTGGGCATGGTATTAAAAAGGTGAAGACCGGCCGGGCGCAGTGGCGCATGCCTGTAATCCCAGCACTCTGGGAGGCCAAGGCGGGCGGATCACGAGGTCAGGAGATCGAGACCATCCTGGCTAACACAGTTAACACAGCGAAACCCTGTCTCTACTAAAAAATACAAAAAATTAGCCAGGCACGGTGGCGGGCACCTGTAGTCCCAGCTACTCGGGAGGCTGAGGCAGGAGAATGGTGTGAATCCAGGAGGCAGAGCTTGCGGGTGAGCCAAGATTGTGCCACTGCACTCCAGCCTGGGTGACAGAGCGAGACTCCATCTCAAACAAAACAAAACAACAACAACAAAAAAATGGTGAAGACCCTGGCCGGGCACAGTGGCTCACGCCTGTAATCCCAGCACTTTGTGAGGCCAAGGCAGGCAGATTATCTGAGGTCAGGAGTTTGAGACCAGCCTGGCCAACATGACAAAACCCCGTCTCTACTAAAAATACAAAAATTAGCCAGGTATGGTGGTGCACGCCTGTAACCCCAGCTACTCGGGAGGCTGAGGCAGGAAAACTGTTTGAACCCAGGAGACAGAGGTTGCAGTGAGCCGAGATCATGCCACTGCACTCCAGCCTAGGTGACAGACCGAGACTGTTTCAAAAACAAACAAACAAACAAAAAACAGTGAGGATCCTTTTCCCTCAGGGCTCTCAGTCTGGGCTTGGACAATAGAAGCTGGAACTGTTGGCAGCCGGGCACCGTCTGCACTCATAGAATTCCATATGCAGAGAGGAGGAGGCAGATGGACAGTGACACAGGTGACAGAAAAAAACACCCTTAAGAAAACACTTGTGTTCCTGAGGTCAGTTCCAAACCTTGGCAAGAGTCAGTTACACGAACCAAAAGGTAAATTATCTTTTGTGCTTAACGTAGTTAGAACTGAGCAACAGAAAGATTCCTGATCATGAAGACTTGAACTTTCTCAGGTCTTTAAAAAAAAAAAAAAAAAAAAAGAACATGACCTCTGAAAGGGGCATCATTCAAAGCTTTACCACTTTAGAATGAGTTCTCAGTATCTTCAGCTCATATATGACTAGCTTCTCTTTAAAAATTCTCTTTCTTGGCCGGGTACGATAGCTCATGCCTGTAATCCCAGCACTTTGGGAGGCCGAGGCGGGCAGATCACCTGAGGTCAGGAGTCCGAGACCAGCCTGACCAATATGATGAAAGGCCGTCTCTACCAAAAATACAAAAATTAGCCAGGCGTGGTGGCATGCACCTGTAACCCCAGGTACTCGGGAGGCTGAGACAGGAGAATCACTTGAACCTGGGAGGCAGAGGCTGCAGTGAGCCAAGATCGCACCATTCCACTCCAGCCTGGGCAACAAGAGCAAAAAGTCTCAAAAAAAAAAAAAAACTCTTTCTTGCGTGTAATCCCAGCACTATGGGAGGCTGAGGCAGGCAGATTACCTGAGGTCTGGAGTTCGAGACCAACCTGGCCAACGTGGTGAAACTCCGTCTCTACTAAAAATACAAAAATTAGCCAGGCATGGTGCTGTGCGCCTGTAATCCCAGCTACTCGGGAGGCTGAGGCAAGAGAATCACTTCAACTCAGGAGGTGGAGGCTGCAGTGAGCCCAGATCACGCCACTGCACTCCAGCCTGGGCGACAGAGTGAGACTCCGTCCTTAAAAAAAAAAAAATTCTCTTTCTTGGCTGGGTACAGCGGCTCGCATTTGTAATCCTAGCACTTCGGGAGGCTGAGCCAGGTGGAGCTCTTGAGACTCGGAGTTCGGGACCAGCCTGGCCAACATGGTGAAACTCTGTCTCTACTAAAAATACAAAAATTAGCCAGGTGTGGTGGCAGGCGTCTGTAATCCCACCTACTTGGGAGGCTGAGGCATGAAAATCACTTGAACCAGGGAGGCAGAGGCTCCAGTGAGCTGAGATCACGCCACTGCACTCTAGCCTGGGCGACAGAGCAAGACTCTGTCTCAAGAAAAACAACAAAAAAAAGCAATACAGAACTTCACCTTGTAGGGGCCGGGCACAGTGGCTCACACCTGTAATCCCAGCACTCTGGGAGGCCAAGGTGGGTGGATCACAAGATCAGGAGTTTGAGATCAGCCTGGCCAACATGGTGAAACTCTGTCTCTACTAAAAATACGAAAATTAGATGGGCAGGGAGGCACGCGCCTGTAATCCCAGATATTCGGGAGGCTGAGGCAGGAGAATCGCTTGAACCTGGGAGGCGGAGATTGCAGCGAGCCGAGATCACACCATTGCACTCCAGCCTGGGCGACAGGGCGAGACTCTGTCTCCAAAAAAAAAAAACAAACCCCATCTCGACTAAAAACACAAAAAAATTAGCCGGGCGTGGTGGTGGGCGCCTGTAGTCCCAGCTACTCAGGAGGCTGAGGCAGGAGAATGGCGTGAACCCGGGTGTTGGAGGTTGCAGTGAGCCGAGATTGCGCCACTGCACTCCAGCCTGGGCGGCAGAGACTCCGACTCAAAAAAAAAAAAAAAAAAAAAAAAACTTCACCTTATTGTAATTCAACTCTGAAAAAAACCTTGTGGATTTAGTTTCTAAACTCACATATTCTGAAGTTAAATGGAAAGCAAAGTGTCCTTGGACTTCCTGCTACTCTCCTTTAATCTTCTAGGCTAGAAATAGCTGTGTGATGTCCTCAGGATCTGAAACCTGGTCCTCAGACTCAGCGGCACAACCAACCTTACTCAGACCTAGGCCTGGACCCAGATTCTGGAATTAAACCACATCACAGGGTGAAAAGAAAACTCTTGGCAGTTGGTTTGACTAAAAATTATGGTTGGAGGCTTTTGTTCTTAATTCCTACATTACTCTTAAGGGACTCTCACTTAAAGAAGATCACATAAATACTTTTTAGAAAAGAAGTTTTTGTTTTGTTTTTGAGACAGGGTCTCGCCCTGTCACCCAGGCTGCTGTGCAGGATGCAATCACAGCTCACTGAAGCCTTGACCTCCTGGCCTCAAGCAATCCTCTCACCTCAGCCTCCTGAGTAGCTGGGACTACAGGCACATGCCACCACACCTGGCTAATTTTTGGGGGTAGAGACAAGGTCTCACTGTGTTGCCCAGGCTGCTCTCAAACTCCTGGGCTCAAGTGATCTTCCCACCTTACCACCCTGTCCTCCTAAGGCGCTGGAATTACAGGCATGAGCCACTGCATCCAGCCAAAATAAATATGTTTAAAAGAAAACTTAAGATCCAGGACAAGAAAGATTCATGGGGTCTTAAAAATGATTATCAAGTGTTAATTCCAACAGAGACACTCCCAGCAGATGGCTGCTCAGAGGCGGTTCATGTGTGAACACTCCTCAGGGAGCACTTAGGAAGGGCCAGGCACAGAGGTATGGGAAGGGAGTCATGCCCTGTCTCCACTGCCAGGTGGCTCTGAGTCCAGTGCATGGAGCTGGGCACATACAAAGAGAACCCCGTTATCAGTCGGAACACAGAGCAGGGTAGGTGACCACCCAGGGCAATTCCTCCCGAGCGTGGCCAGTACCCTGGCCTCTCACTAATCCAAGAGGGCCTTAACTCCAATTCACCCCAGGACAGACAGCCAAGCCACAGCACCTTGGTAAGCTCAGCCCTGAGCTCCTCCTCCTCAGCCTCTGTCAGACCCTCAACAGCAGGAGTCCGGGCAGCCACACCTGTGTCGACAGGAACATCCGTCATGGAGTCAGACAGCAGACCTTTGTTAGGAGAATTCAGGTTGATATCTGCCAGAGACAAAATGAGGCCACAAAGTGTCAAATAAGTTAGTTCCAAGTAAATACGGTAGAGGTCTCTAGCAGGACAAAAGCACAGGTGGGAGTGGGTGAGACCCTGGAGACTAACACCTCTTCTCTGAAAGGTCTGTGAGGACAGCATGGGCAGTAGACGAGGGCAGCCACACCTCAGACCACCTGAGCTGAAAAGCCAATGCCACTTGTGCTGCTTCAGGGCACGACAAATGCCGGCCCAAGGCAGGCAAACCCGAATTCTGGCTTCCCAGTGAGAATACTATCGTCAGAGGCAGGAAACCCTTGCTACAGAGAAAGCAGCTCAATCTAACAGACCTTCCACCTTTTTTTTTTGATGGAGTCTCACTCTGCCTCCCAAGCTGGAGTGCAATGGTGCGATCTCAGCTCACTGCAACCTCCGTCTCCCGGGTTCAAGTGATTCTCCTGTCTCAGCCTTCGAGTAGCTGGGATTACAGGCGCACGCCACCACGCTGGCTATTTTTGTATTTTCAGTAGAGACGGGGTTTCGTCATGTCGGCCAGGCTGGTCTCCAATTCCCGACCTCGGGTGATCCGCCCGCCTTGGCCTCCCAAAGTGTTGGGATTACAGGTGTGAGCCACCATACCCTGACAAATTTCCACTTTTTTTAAAAAAAGGAACCTAATATGGTTAATATACACAATAAGCATCACTTTCCTCTCAACACATCTGACAGAGCACATGCTAAAATTACGTACTAGGAGCACATGCTGCTCATTCAGCTCCTTCAGGGAGGCAGCAAAACAAAATTCCCTTTACTTACCTCCCGATTCTCATCCCACTGCCAGAAGGCCGCCAGCAGGCAGAGAGGTGCAGAGCGGTGTGCTGCCACCACACACCTCAACTACACCCAGATCACATTCAAATTCCTGCAGCCACTGTTTTTTCTTCATGTCAAATGCATCTTCCTGACTACCCTAAAAGTCTACAAGATTTCACATAAAGAAAAACAGTCTATTTCGATTCTCTCCAAATCCAAGCACATGACTATTGTAACACTTTCCCTGTTGACCAAAACATTCTGAAAAGAAACAGGCTTACTGCCAGGCGCAGTGGCTCATGCCTATAATCCCAGCACTTTTGGAGGCCGAGGCAGGTGGATCACATGAGGTCAGGAGTTCGAGACCAGCTTGACCAAAATGGTGAAACCCCGTCTCTACTAAAAATACAAAATTAGTTAGCGTGGTGGCACGCGCCTGTAGTTCCCAGCTACTTGGGAGGCTGAGGCAGGAGAATCACTTGAACCCGGGAGATTACAGGCGTTGAGCCACCACGCGCGGCCAAAAAAAAATTCTTTAAAAAAAAAAAGAAAAACTGGTCGGGCGGGGTGGCTCATGCCGGTAATCCCAGCACTTTGGGAGGCTGAGGCGGGCGGATCACCTGAGGTCAGGAGTTCAAGACCAGCCTGGCCAATATGGTGAAACCCCGTCTCTTTTTTTTGAGACTGTCTCAAAAAAAAAAAACAAAAGAAAAGAAAAAGAAAAAAAAACTATGCCTTTTAAAAGACAACACAAAGACACCAGATTAAATGCACTTAACAAAGATACTCTTCTTAAAAGCTGGCTGCATCTCACTCCCTTCAAATGTCCCATAGGACTGGAGCCGTGTGCACTTCCTTGGCGCTCCACAAACGCTTACTAAACGAAGCGTATCCACTTTTTTATCCACTGATTCTCTTTTTTTTTTTTTTAGACGAGTCTTACTCTGTCACCCAGGCTGGAGTGCAGTGGCACGATCTCCGCTCACTGCAACCTCCACCTCCTGGGTTCAATCGATTCTCCTGCCTCAGCCTCCCAAGTAGCTGGGACTACAGGAGCACACCACCATGCCCGGTTAATTTTTTTATTTTTAGTAGAGACGGGGTTTTGGCACGTTGGTTAGGCTGGTCTCAAACTCCTGACCTCAAGTGATCCACTGGCCTCGGCCTCCCAATGTGTTAGAATTACAGGCGTAAGCCACCGAGCCCAGCCTTTCTGTTCTATTTAAAAAAAGACAAATGAGGCTGGGCACAATGGCTCACACCTGTAATCCCAGCACTTTTGGAGGCCAAGGCGGGCAGATCACCTGAGGTCAGAAGTTCGAGACCAGCTTGACCAACATGGAGAAACCTCCATCTCTACTAAAAATACAAAATTAGCCGGGCATGGTGGCGCACGCCTGTAATGCCAGCTACACGGGAGGCTGAGGCAGGAGAATCGCTTGAACCCAGAAGGCAGAGGTTGCGGGAAGCCATGATCGCGCCATTGTACTGCAGCGTGGGCAACAAGAGCGAAAATCCGTCTCAAAAAAAAAAAAAAAAGTAGAAAGACCAATTAACCTGGCATGGTGCGCCTGTAGTCTTATAGTCCCAGCTACCTGGGAGGCTGACGCAGGAAGATCGCTTGAGCCCAGGAGTTGAAGATTGCAGTAAGCTATGATTGCACCACTGCACTCCAGCCTGGGAGACAGAGGGAGACGCTGTCCCCAAAAAAAAAATTAAAAAAAAAAAAAAAAAAGGCCAGGCGCGGTGGCTCACGCCTGTAATCCCAGCACTTTGGGAGGCCGAGGTAAGCAGATCACGAGGTCAGGGTATCAAGACCGTCATGGCTAACAGTGAAACCCCGTCTCTACTAAAGATACAAAAAATTAGCCGGGCATGATGGCGGGCGCCTGTAGTCCCAGCTAGTTGGGAGGCTGAAGCAGGAGAATGGCAGTGAACCCGGGAGGCGGAGCTTGCAGTGAGCCGAGATCTAGCCACTGCGCTCCAGCCTGGGCGACAGAGTGAGACTCCATCTCAAAAAAACAAAAACAAACAAACAAAAAACACCCTCCAGAATAATGCAGCACCTAGGAATTATAAAGCTTAATATGTAGCCGGGCACAGTGGCTCACGCCTGTAATCCCAGCACTTTGGGAGGCTGAGGCGGGCGGATCACAAGGTCAAGAGATCGAGACCATCCTGGGCAACATGGTGAAACCCTGCCTCTACTAAAAATACAAAAATTAGCTGGGCCTGGTGGCGCGTGCCTGTAGTCCCAGCTACTCAGGAGGCTGAGGCAGCAGAATCGCTTGAACCCGGGAGGTCGAGGTTGCAATGAGCTGAGATCGCGCCACTGCACTCCAGCCTGGCGTCAGAGCAAGACTCCGTCTCAAAAAAATAAAGAAAGAAAGAAAGAAAGAAAGAAATTTAGCATCCCTCTCTAGAGCCCCAAAATGCAAGGCAGACTTTTATCATCTTCTCAAGATTTTAATCTCCTGGGCTCGCTCCACGCCCCTCAGTGGCCATCTCATACTGCTCTGGGGAGACTGTTCTGGAAACAGGCCTGGTATGCTGGGTGTGCCCCTGACTCACTCCACCCCCTCTCCATGAGGCAACCCCTAAGCAGGCTGAGCTCCGAGCAGAGTTGCTGCCCAAGGGGAGCTCTGCTGAACGCGAAGACCCCTTCTCTGCTCGGGAGCCGCCCTCAACACCTCGGACTGGGTCCAGGGCCAGACAGCGTGAACCCGAGGGCCCCGCGCAGGGACCGGGGGGTGGCAGAGCAAGCAAGAGCAGGGCACGGGGTGGGCGGCATAAGCGAGACCTGCTGGGAGCGACAGAACCCAAACTACGGGAGCAACGGCGGGCGCCAGGGAACCACACCTCGGAACGGTCCCAGGGGAGACCAGGAGGGCGGCTGGAGAGAGCCCAGGAAGCGGTCTGGGCCGCGGGCAAAAAACACACCACGACCATCATAAGCTTCGAGGTCAGTGGCCCCGGGAGCTGAAGAGGGGCCGCGGGGTGGGTGAACCGAGACCGAGAGGACAGAGAGTCGCAGACGCGACCCCGGGAGACGGAGAACAACGGGCAGCCTGGGCCCATCTGCGGCGAAGGGGCCGGGCCCGGCAGGTACCTTGGCCGGCGGAGTCCATGTTCGGGCGGCGTCCGGACCGCTGTCGCGGGCGCTATGGGAGCCGAGCGGGCGGCGCCGGGAGAAGCTCGCCGCGTACACACTAGCCAGCGGAACTGCCTCAGCTCCGCGGCGTTTCGTAATCCGCGATGCGACGGCTACTTCCGCCCGGGCACGTGCTCCGCCTTCTTCCCGCCCCCACCAGTGATATCCAATGAGAGTGCCGCTTGGCCCGTCCTGGTTTACCCGACTCAACCTGATAGGCCGAAACTGCGGGCGAACCAGGAAAGGGAGGCGTGGTTCGGCGGGAATCCATTCCAGGTTGACTCCACCAGCGAGAATCACAGGTAGAACGGTCAGAGTAGCGGGAGGACTGGGAAGGTGGGAAGTGGGAGGACCGTCCAACATGGCGCTGTGGAAAGCCAGCGCAGGGCCCCAGGGGATCTTCCGGGGCGGATGCAGCTGCCTAGGAGTGCTGGGGCTCGCGCGCCTCGGCGGCTCAAACTCTGACCCCTTGAGATCCTTTCCAGCCCGACCCCTTACTTTAGGGGTCAGCCTGCCCCCGTAAGTCCTGTTATTTATTGTATTTATATTCTTTTTTTAGTTGGTCCTTTTTTGTTTGTTTTTGAGACGGAGTTTCACTCTTGTTGCCCAGGCTGGAGTGCCATGGCGCGATCTCAGCTCACTCCAATCTCTGCCCTCCGGGTTCAAGCGATTCTCCAGCCTCAGCCTCCCGAGTAGCTGGAATTACAGGCGCGCGCCAACACGTCCGGCTAATTTTCGTATTTGTAGTAGAGACGGGGGTTTCGCCACCTTGGCCAGGCTGGTCTAGAACTCCTGACCTTAGGTGATCCACCCGCCTCGGCCTCCTAAAGTGCTGGGATTACAGGCGTGAGCCACCGCCCCTCACGCCTGGCTAGTTTGTCCTTTTCATGGGGACTTTTTATTGTACGCGGGTTACTCTGAAAAAGATCGCGATTCGTCCCCTCGCCCTGCAGGCGCCGCTGCCGCCTCGCCTCGGGCGTGGACCCTGCGGCTCGGGCCTGCGCGTGTGCACCCCGAGGTTGTCTCACTTCCTGTTCAGGGCGACCAGCGCTGCGCCCTCCCCACTCCACAGATGAGGAAGCTGAGGTTAAAGTCACTTGCCCCAGGTCACTCCGCAAGTTGAAGCGCAACCAGGATACTCTGGAACAGGATGCCTGACTTCAGAGGAGAGGCGCGTAACCACCAGGCAACTGGCCCCACGAAAACAAGTCCCGCAACTTCCCTTCTTTGGCTCCTACTTGCTCCCGGAAGAAAAGCCTTAAACGGTATTCAAGCCCTTTAGGATCTGATGTCCTAGGACTCCACTCTGGGCTTCCAGCCTGGGGTGGTACTGGTCCCTAGGCATGGAAGCTCCTCCCACTGCCCCTTCCTTCACCCGGCCACCTCCTCCCACAGGTGTCTTCCTGGTACTCTTGCACAGGCCCGAGTCCCTTACCACCACGGCCTTAGCCTGCTCTCGTGCTCTCAGTAATGTTTTCTCCATTTGCTGCCTTTCATTCTTTCCAGAGATTCTTGCTCAACCCAACCAGGCCAGCCCGGGGACTAGGGACATGTAGGGACAATAGTCCCTGCTTCAGGCAGTTCAGGGCAGACCACAGAGATGTGACATTACAGACCATTGTGAGCAGAGGCCTTGTCCCATTCTGTGTTGCATCCCTAAGCCAGGAACAAAGTCCAGCCCAGGCCTGGCTCCAGGGGACACGCAGTAGTATCCTCTGGCCTGTGCAAGTGTATCTGTAGCCTCACATGCCACCATGTGAGTCTGCAATCTGTCTGTGAATGCCCTGGTGTAGAAGCCAGGAGTTTGGAGGTGGGAGGGAGCCCTACAGAATGATAGCCAGTGCTAACTCCTGGGAATGTCCAGCCACTAAGACCTGCCCACAGCCCTGCCATGCCAATGTCCTCCTTTTCACGGGAGCAGCTTGCACAGACTTTCAGCGCACAGCTGGCATTGTCTTCCCAGGAGCCATCCTGTAACCCAGGCCAGGTGAAGGGCTCCTCCCTGGGACCCCACAGCCCCGTTCCCATCATCCTTTTGTGGTGATCAAGGCACCCATCACACAGTATTGCCATAAACCGGGTCAGGTTAACCTTTCATTCCCTTAGGAGCTGGGTGGGGGCAGCCAAAAGTATTTGTAGGAGGAAGAGAGAAAGGAGGGGACAGAGCTAGGAAGAATGGGAGGACGGTCAGAACGCCCCTGTGAAGGAAGGAGAGCACCAAGTCCCCGTGTTCTGCCTACCCTCCCCCAGACAGCAGATCAGGAGCACCCCGCGCGCCCCCCCCCGCCCCGCCCCGCGTCGGCGCCGGCCCCCTGCAATGGTTGGCGGTATGGGGAGGTGAACCAAGAAGGCCAGGAGTTCAAGTGCGTGATCCCCCACTGGGGCATATAGGTTACAGCCGCCAGGGCAACTGAAACTCCTCAGGCTCCAGAGGGCTGAAGTGAGTCGCCTCCACGTTCTTGAGGTGCTTCCGAGCCAGGAACAGTGCGAGGCGCCGGCGCCGCCGCGAGCTCAGGCCCTGGCCCACCAGCCATGGGAAGGCGGGTCCGTGTGGCCCCAGGGCCTCCTCGCCCTCCAGCTCCTCTTCGCAGCGTGCACGGTAGGAGCGCAGCAGCGCCAGGCACCAGTCCTCGTCCACGCGGTAGCGTGCATAGAAGGCGGCCTCCTGCGCCAAGCTGCCAGCGCGCAGCCAGCGGGTGACGACGGCGCGGCCCTCTCGCGCCATCACGACGGGGTAGCGGTGCTCCAGCAGGCGCAGCAGCAGCTCATTGCCCCGGTTGCCCTCCACGTCACCAGGTGACAGGGGGCGCAGGCGGCCCGAAGTGCTGACCACGTCATCCTGCGTGCGTCGGAGCAGCAGCACCGGCCCCGGGTAGCAGCACAGCTGCTCGGCCACGTTGAGGTTGAAGTGCTCGCGCACGGTGCGCACCACCAGCCCCTTCCAACTGTGGGGCATGACCTTCAGCGCCAGCGGCACAAGGTCGTCGAAGGTGGCGTCCAGCACCAGTGCACCCAGCTCCGGGTAGGTCATGGTGGCCCAGGTGGCCGTGAAGCCGCCAACAGACCAGCCGTAGACCACCAGGTGCGCGGGCGGGAAGTGCAGGCGGTGCAGTGCGTACTCGACCACCACGTCCATGGCGTTGGCGTCGTGCTGAGGGAAGGGCACGCCAGTGCTGCTGCCGAAGCCGGGGTGGTTCCAGCCCAGCACGGAGTAGCCGGCCTCGAGCGGTGCAGACAGACAGCCCATCTCGTAGAAGCCCGCGTTGCCTTCGCAGCAGATGACGAGGCGCGGCCCGTGCACGTGGCTGCCCGGGTGCTGGCGGCGGTCCATGAACATAGTGTCGATCTCGTTGCCGTCACAGGCCACCAGCTTGGCGCGCCGGCCGTGGTAGCGCTCCACGAGGCGCTCTTGGCCCTGCTGCAGCAGCGGCAGCAGCGCGCGCGTCATCAGGGACACGGAGCCGGGGTACACGAGCCAGCGGCCCAGCGAGTGGGCCAGCGCGTAGCTAGCGAGCTGGCCGGGCAGCTCGCGGAGCTGCTGCAAGAGGCACTGCGCCTGGCTGCGCGCCCCACGTGGAGGCCGCCCCAGCGCATCCCCGCCCAGCGTCTCGTCCCGCAGCAACCACACGCCCGCCGCGGCTGCCGCGCAGGTCAGCGCCCGGTGGCTGCTGCTCCGGCCCACGGCGCGCACGTCATCCCAGCGGAAGGCCACGGGCCAGCCGCGGAATGGGTAGGTGTAGCTGGCGGTCAGGTAGATCTTGAACACGCGCACCAGCGCCTTCACGAAGCAGATGACGCACATGAGCGGTGGCCCTAACGCCCAGCCGCTGGGCCGGGATCGCCGCGAGAGGCACAGGGCAGTCTTAGGGGATACCGGCTCCCGGACAAGCCCTGATGGCCTTTGTGACCTGGCCTTCCAGGGCGGAGGGAAGGCTGCATCCTGTTGCTAGGTGATGGGTGCACAAAGGGTTCCCAGAGATGATGAACCCAAGGTTCTGCCCGTCCCCCGCCTTCGCCAAGACCCCACCAGCTAAACGCTCCCAGGCCCAGCTTTCCCACCCATGATTTGAGCAGCTACTGTCTCCCTCTTTCTTCCTTATTTATTTATTAAATTGAGATGGGGTCTCACTATGCTGCCTAGGCTGGTCTTGAACCCCTGGGCTCAAGCGATCCTCCCGCCTCCACCTCCCACAGTGTTGGGATTACAGGTGTGAGTCCCTGCACCCCGCCTCCACCTCCCACAGTGTTGGGATTACAGGTGTGAGTCCCTGCACCCCGCCTCCCTCTTCCTTAAATTTAAGATGGACAGCCCCACGGGCCAAAAAGGGACAGCAAGGCCTCCTCCGCCTGTACCAGGCTTGCTGTGGGTCCTGCAAGTTTCCCTTCAGGGTCTGCTGGTTTAAACCTCATCTCCCCAGGACGGCCGGGGTCAGAGACAGGGCTGCTGCTGCACCAAAAAGGCGGTATTTGCTCTCGGCCCGGCCCCTCCTCTCCACACCTTCCTTCTTCGGTGCTGACCAGAAACAAGCCCTCTCCTTTTCTGGATCCTCTTTTCACTGGCTGCCAGCAACAGCAGTGACCTTCTGGGGCGGGTCCTGCCTGGCTGGGGTTCCTCTTTCTCGCTCCTGGGTCGAGCCCCCACTCCCAGGCTGCGCCTCCCTCTTTTCTGGAGAGGTATCTTTTCTCCTGCCCTGGAAAGGGCCAGCCCACCTGAGGGCAGGGTCGGAAGCCGCCTGCCAGGAGGAGCCCCAGGGAAGAGGGCAGCTCCAGGTACTCAACAGCTCCCCAGACCAGAAACAAACATGCTACAATCAGGGAGTTTGGCAAATCCAGCCAGAGCCTCTGAGCCCAGGTGCCAGGCCCGCCTGGGACCCCAGCCTTCTGGGGAAGGGGTAGTTTCAGGCTGAAGCACCCCCTCTCTGCTCTCCTGCTCAGCGTCTGGGTTAGAGGCACTGCCTGACCCTAACAGGCCCCGCCCCTAGTTGGGGGAGTCAGCTGCTGCCTTTAGGGGTTGGGGGACAGAAGACAGGGACCAATTAACAAAGGGAGCGATTTGGGGGGCTATTACCCCCATTCTAGGTTGCCAGATAAAATACAGAATAATATGCCAGTTAAATTGGAATTACAAATAAACAAATACTTTTTGGGTATAAGTATGTTCCAACTTCTGCTTGAGACATTATTTTAAAATTGTTTATCTGAAATTCAAATTTAACTGGATATCCTGTTTTTTCTGTTTGTTTGTTTGTTTGTTTTTGAGACGGAGTCTCACTCTTGTCGCCCAGGCTGGAGTGCAATGGTGCAATCTCAGCTCACTGCAACCTCTGCCTCCTGGGTGTTCAAGCAATTCTCCTGCCTCAGCCTCCCAAGTAGCTGGGATTACAGGTGCCCGCCACCATGCCCGGCTAACTTTTTGTACTTTTAGTAGAGATGGGGTTTCACCACGTTGGTCAGGCTGGCCTCTAACTCCTGACCTCAGGTGGATCACCCGCTTTGGCCTCCCAAAGTGCTGGGATTACAGGCAGGAGCCACCGCACCCGGTCTAGATATACCCTGTTTTTAAATTTGTTTTTGTTTTGCTAAATCTGGCAGTCCTACCCCCAGGCACACACACAGTTGAGATCCAGATTTTCCTGGTTATCCAGCTTTGATCTCCGATTGGCTACTGTGCTCATTGGTCAAAGCCTGAGGACAAAGAGGGTGTCTCAGGGTCCACTGGTGCACCTGTCACACCATCCTTTCCACTGGGTCCTGGGCAGCAACAGGAGCCCTGCCCCAGGAGGAAACACACAGGGTACTGCCCCTGCAGCCAAGGGATGGGCAAGGCTTCCCCTGGGGATTGGTGGTTCTGGTCCTGCTCAAGTGTCCACCCCTGACCCTGTGGGGAAAGGAGCCTGGTGGATAGGGGTGGGGATGGAAACTTCTGCAGAGGGTGGGAGATGATTCCTTTCCCAGGAGCCTCTTTCATAAACTCAGCGGCTGCCTACTCTAGGCAGGTTGGGGCTGTGGGCCCAAAGGCTACCGGCCCATTTTGTGTGAGACCACAGGAGTGAACCCAGCAGCAGAGCCGAAGTTCTGACAGGAGGTGTCCCTGCCACCTCAGTTCAGATCCTGGCAGCGGCAGGAGTCCTGGAGGACTGTCCACGCAGGATGTTGGACGCACTAAACCTTATTTTGATTCCCCTGAGCAGATCCTGCTTGGAGGAGCCTCGTCCTCCTGGGGGCAGTCTCCCAGCTTGATCTGCTCTGGGACTTGTTTGGAAATGCAGGCTTTTCTTTAGCCAGGCCCACCTGCCCTTAGCTTCCCCCACAACAACCCACCCACACACACACACAGAGCAGGAAGTTCTTGAGAGGAGGAGGGGAGAGCCTGGGACCGGATTCTGAGGGGCAGAGGTCAGCGGGCTGGAGCCGCTGGCCCCCAGGGGTTCCATGCCTCATCCTGTGTCTGGCCCAGCCCCTGATCCCACCAGCCCACGGGAGTCCAAGTGCCCCAGAACCCCCGGCTCTGTTGAGACAGGAAAGCATGTGACAGGAAGGGAGCTGTCCCCTCTCCAGAAGAGCCCCCAGACGACCAGCTGCAGCAGCCATGACCTCTTGTGCCTCCACCGCCATCAGCTCAGGGAAGTGTCCACAAGGTGGAGGTGGGGGCTGTGTCCCTGCTGATCTGTTTGTGGAGGCAACCCCCACCTCCACCCCGGTGCCCTCCACGCCGACATCTGAGCGTGCACCCACCCCCACAGGGCCTGCCAGTCTCTGAGCCCTCCACCCCTTGGTTCCCACCCTCCTGCATTGGGCCCTCCTGCACTGGGGCAGGGCTCTCCCCCTGGCCAGTCCTGCCAACCCTCCTGCACTGAACCCTCCCTGGAGGCCCTTGATTTATGCCAGTGGAGCCTGCAGAGCCAACCTTGGAGAAGGAAGGAGAGGAGAGAGAGAAAACCAGTCCCAGAGGCCGGAGGGGCAGGAACCAGGATCAGAGCCCCTGGCAGAGGGCATCCGTCAGGGAGTGAGCCGACCCCAGCAGCCCTGGACTCAGGGAGCAGTGCCCAGGCCTTGGGAAAACTGAGGCTACCCTGGTGGGTGCGGGAGCTGAGTCTGCACAAACGCCTCTGCTCAGGAAATGGGGTGCAGGGAAGGTGGGGGTGGCTTGGAGCCCAAGGACAGGAGGGGATGCTTCCTGGAGGACGCAGGGTCAGGAGAAGGGGCGGAAATGGCCAAGACAGCTGCTGAACATCTGGAGTCACAGAGAATTAATTGCTCAGAGCCCTCAAGGACGGTGGGGTTGGTGGGGGAGTGGCGTACACTGGAGCCTTCTCCGTCCTGGCTCCCTGCAGGGCCTGTGCTCTGGGCCTCTCTCCTGCCCGGGATGAAGGACACCAGTGAGCAGCCCTCCCCAGAGTACCCCCCAACACCCATCCCAGTACACACCCCTGGGGGCCATGCTATGTATATGTGGAGGGCTCACTGTCCTCCCTGCCTACAAGCACTGCCACTGCAGCCTCCGGCCCCCCGACACTGGCATTTGGCTCCTCCCCAGGCCTGTTCCCCGTCTCCTGTGGGAATGAGCCAGGGTCTCTCCAGAATCCTTGACACAGTGCCCTGCATTGTCAGGGGAGGGAGTGGGGACAGCTCCCCACATCAAGGTAAAGTCTGGGTTGGGGTCAAGAGCCCTGCAGGGGCCAGGCCTGGTGGGTCGAGCCTACAGTTCCAACCACTTGGGTGACTGAAGCGGGAGGATTGCTTCAGGCCAGGAGTTCAAGGCTGCAGTCAGCTATGATCGCACTGCTGCACTAAAAAAAAAAAAAAGTCCTGCTGGCCTGTGTGATGTAGGCTGAATTCTTCTGGGGCAGTCTGCACCATTTCTGCAGACTCCAGTGCAGAAATGGTAGATCGTCCCCTGGGCCCCATACACACACTTTGAAGGGTATGTTCAAGGCCCAGGCTCACCCCGGCTTGGAAGACCCTAGAGCAGGGTCCTTTCTCTCACTGCAATAACCAGTTTTTGATATAAGTGCTCATTTTTGTTATTCGAAATGTAACATTCTCATCATACACAGTGACGCAGGGATGTGAAGCGATTAACCGTTCTTCCCACACTCCTCGTAGACATCCAGACTTGCTAGTCGGGACCGTGTCTTTCTCACCTTCCATTTGCCTACAAACATATACGTACAGAGAGTCTTATCTAGGGGTCTTCTGTCACTGGCTCGTACAGAAACAGACCTGGTGTTCATGTCACTCTGCAGCAGGCTTGCTCTTCTCCGAGGTGTGTCCTGAGCGCCACTGCAGTCTCGCAGCACAGGCCTGCAAATGCCCCCAGGGTTCCTGCCCTGGCACCACTGTGTCCACTTCTGCTGTCGGACACACGGGCTCCAGACCTCTCCCCGCTGCAGACACAGGGCATCGCGCACTTTTGTTCAAGGACCCTGGCCTCTAGGGGCTTTTCTTTTCTTCTTTTCTTTTCTTTTTTTTTTTGAGACGGAGTCTCGCTCTGTCGCCCAGGCTGGAGTGCAGTGGCATGTTCTCAGCTCACTGCAAGCTCCGCCTCCCGGGTTCACGCCATTCTCCTGCCTCAGCCTCCCAAGTAGCTGGGACTACAGGCGCCCGCCACCACGCCCGGCTGATTTTTTGTATTGTTAGTACAGACGGGGTTTCACCGTGTTAGCCAGGATGGTCTCGAGCTCCTGACCTCGTGATCTGCCCACCTTGGCCTCCCAAAGTGTTGGTATTACAGGCGTGAGCCACCGCGCCCGGCCCCAAGGGGGTATTCTTAAAGCCAAGAGCTTTGCCCCAGTTGCTTTTCCACAGGTTGTGGTTGTGTCGCCTGCCAGTCTTTGAGGGAGCTTCTCCGCAGGCTCTTCTGCCACGCCGGCGGCTCCGTGCTTTTCTCTGTATTTTTATTGGTCCCTCTGTGTTGTATATTCAGCAAATACCGATCCCGGCCTCTGACCAGGCCGGCACCAGCAGCCATTCCGCCCCGTGAGGCGATCCGCTCCGGCTTTTCACGCGTTGCCCCTCGGAGACCCTCACCTGGGGGGGCGCGTGGTGACCAGATGGAAAACACAGCCTGTATCTCGGACAGTCAGCCCCGGGTGTGGGTGAGGAGGGGGGATGACGCTGGGCCTGGATTGGGGGACACATGGAAAGGGTGGGGGTCCCTTGGCTCTTGGCCTAAGAGCCAGTTTGGTGCTTCCTGGCCCCTGCATTTGGCCTCTCCAGCCTGCGTCCCAGGTGGACCAGGGGCCCAGCCCAGAGGGCCTAGGATGTGTTTCCCCACAGGAGTCTCTCGTGAGGATTCCGACTCCACCAGGGGTCCCAAGTCCACGGGAGGCCACAGAAGTTGCCCCTTTTTCCTGGCTCCCCCAAGTCGTGGAACCATCGAAAATCCCTCAGGGCGACGGCCCGTGTGCCCCTGCACCTTCTCCCCTCCCCGTCTCCACCGCACCTGCAGCTCGGGTGGTGGGTGGTGGGGACGGGCCGCAAGCAGGCAGCGGAGTGGTCAGAAGGACTGGAGACCCAGCCCTCCCTCCCTGCGCCCAAAGACCGAGGGAGGCGCGCCCAGCTTGTGTCAGCAGGGGTGGGGTGGTCGCTGGCAGCCAAGTCAAGGTCCTTGGTGGGGACCCCGGCGAGCTGGATGCGCAGCCCACCCCCAGCCCTTCCTTCCTGGGGTGGGTGGCTCCCAGCTGCCGGGTGGGTGGGCTGAAAGCCGGCATCTGCCAGGGTCCGGGCGTCTGTGCTGTGAGCTCAGGGACCGGGGCTCCTTCAAGGCCCTAGATCTGGGGGAGCCTCCGGCCCTGAAGCTGGGCTGGGCGGCGGTCCCTGGATGCCTGAGAGTAGAGGAGGAGGGGAGGGGAGGGGAGAGGAGAGCCAGTCCGGGACAGGATGGACAGACTTCGGGCATGCAAGGTCACCATGAACCCGGGTTCTGGCTGGCAGGAGAGGAGGAAGCTTCGTCCGGGGTCCCCACTGCCCTGCGGCCACAGCTCGGGGAGGAAGCTTCGTCCGGGGCCCCCACTGCCCTGTGGCCACAGCTGGGTGGTGGAAGCTTCATCCAGGGTCCCCGCTGCCCTGTGGCCACAGCTGGGGGGAGGGCACAGTTCTTGGGCCGCGCCTCCCCGCACTTCCCGAGCTGGGTCTGAGTGGATCTAGGTTGCAGCCCTGGCGGCTCCTTCTAAATCACTTGTGCAGATTAAAAACGGCAACTGTCCCAGAGCTGACCCCAGGGGACCCTGAAAGCTGCCCCCCGCCCCCCAGGCACTCTCTGTTCTCAGCGTCTGCCGGACTCTGGGGCGGCTGCTTCTAGGTCCCCGCCCCCAATACCTCCGCCCAGGCCGTCCCTGGGGAGCTGGCGCCAGGTCAAGCCCACCACAGCCCGAGGCCTGGACAAGGAGCCCCTTCTCCTTTATGGCCCCTCCCCTCCCGCCCCCCTTCCAGTTGGAAAGTGGGGAGGAAGGAAGAGAGGAAAGGAGTAAGAAAGAGAGGCTGTCCCGAGGGGTCCCGCAGGGGTGCCCCCACCACGGTTCCTGTCGCTTCTCTGACTGGGACTGACTCCGTGGCCAGGCCACCGAAACCCACAGGCACCAAGCAGAGACGCAGGTACCCCTAAAGGTGGCCCCTGCCTCAAGACAGGATCTGGGGGCCAGGAAGGTACCTGGGCCTTTGCCCTGAGCCAACCCAGGAAGGCAGTGGGACGGGCAGCATAGGAGCAGAGGAGGGGCTCTGCCAGGGCCTCCATTACCGCCTTGTGTCTCCCGTCCCAGCCCTGGGATCCGTGCTAATCACGGGGGCTGCCCACCCCTGCTGCTTTGAAGCTGCCCTGAGGGGAGGGGGGGCCAGCTGCCAGGGGTGCGTGTGCCCGCCCAGCCCCTCCAGCTGCGTGGGAGCCTGGACTGACCACAGGGCGGCCAGCAGCCTTTGAAGTACTGGGGTGCGGCCACAGGAAGTGGGCGGCAGCCCACCCAGGCCCTAAGCCCCACCTCCCCAGGGTAAGCGCCTGGTCCACCAACTGGGCTGGGAGCCCAGCCTGCAGCGTCCCCTCTGCACTCCAGGTGTGCCTGGGCTGGGGACTGCAGCCTCTCCCCCAACCCCTAGACCCAACCCCAGCCCCAGTTTAGCCCAGGCTCCTTCAGGGCGGCAGTGGGGCCAGGAACTGGGCCCTCTCCCTCAGCTAAAAATAGCAGGCCTCAGGCTTTGTGGAAAGCCCCTGGGGCGGAGGAGGAAGGAGCAGGCCAGGAGCTGGGGCTGCAAGGAGGGAGGCCTTGCAGGAAGTGCCCGGGTGCCCAGGCCGCCCCAGCAAAGGCTCCTGGTCAGCCGCTCAGCCCCCTGGAAAGTCCCAGGCAGTGCTGACCTGAGTGGAGGGTGAGGGTGGCTGACCTGAGTGGAGACAGGGACCAGGAGGGTGAGGGTGGATGACCTGAGTGGAGACAGGGACCAGGAGGGTGAGGGTGGATGACCTGAGTGGAGACAGGGACCAGGAGGGTGAGGGTGGCTGACCTGAGTGGAGGCCGGGACCAGGAGGGTGAGGTTGGATGACCTGAGTGGAGACAGGGACCAGGAGGGTGAGGGTGGATGACCTGAGTGGAGACGGGGAGCAGGAGGGTGAGGGTGGCTCACCTGAGTGGAGGCCGGGACCAGGAGGGTGAAGGCGGCTGGAGCCTGTCACATTCCAGGTGGGCTTCCCCTTCCACCAGCTGATGTCCTTCTGGGCCTGGGTGGTCTCCCACCATGGATACCAGGAGGGCAGGATGAAGGCAGTTCTCCCTACCTCAGTCATTCTCTGCATCTGGTGATGACCTGATCTCCCCACCTTCCCCCTTTACCATCCCTAACGGGAATCATTCATTCGGCGGACGTATGTCACGGGCCTGCTGGGCTGGACGAAGCACTGGCCGGTCCCATCCTTGCCCTCAGGGTATTTGCTGTGAGCAAGTAGGGATTTAACCCAAAGAGGGGTTTTATTTTATTTTATTTTTATTATTTATTTATTTATTTGAGACGGAATCTCGCTCTGTCGCCCAGACTGGTGTGCAGTGGCGCCATCTCGGCTCACTGCAAGCTCCGCCTCCCGGTTTCAAGCCATTCTCCTGCCTCAGCCTCCCAAGTAGCTGGGACTACAGGCGCCCCTCACCATGCCCGGGTAATTTTTGTATGTTTAGTAGACACGGGGTTTCACCATGTTGGCCAGGATGGTCTCAAACTCCTGACCTCAGGTGATCCACCCACCTCGGCCTCCAAAAGTGCTGGGATTACAGGCATGAGCCACTGAGCCTGGCCTATTTTATGTTTTAATTTTATTTATTTATTTATTTTGAGACAGAGTTTGTTCTGTTGCCCAGGCTGGAGTGCAGTGGCGCGATCTCCGCTCACTGCAACCTCTGCCTCCTGGGTTCAAGCAATCCTCCTGCTTCAGCCTCCCGAGTAGCTGAGATTACAGACTCGTGCCACCAACTCCTGACCTCAGGTGATTCTCCCACCTCAGCCTCCCAAAGTGTTGGGATTACAGCCATGAGCCAATATGCCTGGCCTAATTTTTGTATTTTTGGTAGAGACGGGGTTTCACCATGTTGGCCATGGTTGCCCAGGCTGGTCTCAAACTCCTGACGTCAGGTGATCCACCCACCTTGGCCTCCCAAAGTGCTGGGATTACAAGTGTGAGCCACCACACCCAGCCTAATTTTTGTATTTTTAGTAAAGACAGGGTTTTACCATGTTGGTCAGGCTAGTCTCGAACTCCTGACCTCAGGTGATCTGCCCACCTCAGCCTCCCAAAGTGCTGGGATTATAGAAATGAGTCACTGCGCCCGGCCAAGAAGGGTTTTGCAGGAAGCAAACACCAGCAGCTGCCATCCTGGAGGGGAGGTGGATCAGGAGCTGAGACCAGAGAGATGGGTAGGAATTCACCCTGTGAATTAGGCTGTGGAGTTGGGGCTGACCCTGGGAGAGGCCCTAGTGCTGAAGGAATAAGAACAGAGGCCAGAGTGGCTGGGACCTTAGGGACCAGGAGGAATGAGGCTAGGGATGGGGAGTGGGGAGATGGGTAGGGCTTTGCAAACTGGTGCAAGGAGTTGGAAAGGAAGCCAATTTTTTTTTTTTTTTTTTTTTTTGAGACGGAGTCTCGCTCTGTCACCAGGCTGGAGTGCAGGGGCGCCATCTCGGCTCACTGCAACCTCTGTCTCCCTCGTTTAAGTGCTTCTCCTGCCTCAGCCTCCTGAGTGGCTGGGAATACAGGCGTGTGCCACCACGCCCGGGTAATTTTTGTATTTTTTTTTTTTTTTTTTTTGAGATGTAGTCTCGCCCTGTCACCCAGGCTGGAATGCAGTGGCGCGATCTCGGCTTACCACAACCTCCACCTCCAGGGTTCAAATGATTCTCCTGCCTCAGCCTCCCCAGTAGCTAGGATTACAGGCACACGCCACCACACCCAGCTAATTTTTATATCTTTAGTAGAGACGGGATTTCAGCATGTTGGTCAGGCTGGTCTTGAACTCCTGACCTTGTGATCCGCCCACCTCGGCCTCCCAAAGTTCTGAGATTACAGGTGTGAGCTACCGTGCCCGGCCTAATTTTCGTATTTTTAGTAGAGATGGGGTTTCACCATGTTGGCCAGGCTGGTCTCAATCTCTTGACCTCGTGATCCGCCCACCTCAGCCTCCCAAAGTGCTGGGATTACAGGCGTGCGCCACCGTGCCCGGCTGAAAGGAAGCCACTTCTAAGAAGCTCCTGAAAATTTCTCAGCTAAACATTTCTCAGCTCCTGTCTGCATGTCAGCGAGGTAATGGGTGGTAAATGCTGGTGGGAAGGCTGGAGAGCAGGGAACAGCTTAACATACAAACCATCCAGAGACTAAGTCCGGAGTGCTTGGGAAAGACCACGGCGTGCAGCGGGTGGGGACTGAGTGGATAGACGTCTCCGTTTGCCAGGTGTGGACTCCCCAGGACCGGGTGCAGCAGAACGTCCAGACATGGGTTTTGGGTGGCCCCCATCTTCCTGGCTTGATTTTCCCTACAATGGGCAGTGGTTTAGGTGCTGGCAAGGCTGAAGTTCTCAGAAGGGTGCCACAAAAGGAGGGACATTTGAAGACTTCCCACATTTTCGAGAGAGTGACTAAGAGTGGACCACAAAATCTGAACTGGATAAGAAGGAAGCCAAAGAAAGGGGAAGGCCGCCTGTTTTGGAGAAAGGAGGGTTGTCCTGGAGCGAAGCGCTTGGTGAGGTGTAACAGCCGGGGAGGGGGGCAGTTGCACCACAGAGGGGGAAACTGCAAGTAGTCATTTCAGAGTGCGTGGGTTTTGGTGACAGCTGGCTCCAAGGTGTGAGTGAGCATGGGTGCCTGAAGTAGGGGGAAGTGGAGGGGCCACATGACATCTCCCCAGGTGAGTTCAGTTTCAAGGAGGGCTGAAGCAGGCGTCTCCAGGCTATGTGAGGTCTTCCCCATTACGACCATCCACCCACGGCTGCATCACTGCTGACGGCCGCGGTCGCTGCCACCTCATTTACCGCAGTCACCGTTGGCATCTTCTGTGGTGCCTCCAGCCCATCGTCACCTCCCCATTGGCATCACCAGGACCCACTGTCCTGGCACCGCTGCCATCCACCCATTCACCCAGTGGGTGAGTGTCTGTTCAGAAGATCCTCCAGGCGAGCAGTCGTGTTGAGCTCTGGTCACTGCAGCAAGCAGCACAGGCAAGGTCCTTGCTCTTAGGGATGCAGTCATGGGGTGACCAAAACATATAAAGAGATTCAGGCCGGGTGCGGTGGCTCACGCCTGTAATCCCAGCACTTTGGGAGGCCGAGGCGGGCGGATCACGAGGTCAGGAGATCGAGACCATCCTGGCTAACACGGTGAAACCCCATCTCTACTAAAAATACAAAAAATTAGCCGGGCGTGGTGGCGGGCGCCTGTAGTCCCAGCTACTCGGGAGGCTGAGGCAGGAGAATTGCTTGAACCCGGGAGGAGGAGGTTGCAGTGAGCCCAGATCGCGCCACTGCACTCCAGCCTGGGCGACAGAGAGAGACTCCGTCTCAAAGAAAAAAAAAAAAAGAGATTCAGGAAAGGAGACGTAGCGTGACTCAGCATCCCGCGCCCAGGTATTTACCCAGAAGAGATGAAACACGTCCGCAGGAAGACTCGCCTCAAACCTTTGTAGCAGCAGCGTTCGCAAAGCTGAGAAAACCAAGTATCCATCAGCTGGCGAGTGGATAAGCGAACAGTGGCTCATCCCTACGGTGGGAAGACAAGGCCGCCGCTACGGGGTGAATCCCAAAAACAGGATGCTAAGTGAGAGAAGCCACACACAAAAGACCACGTGCTTAGGGCCTCCTTTACGTGAAATCCTAGCAAAGGCCAAACTATCCTTACAGAAAGCAGATGCGTGGTCGGTCGGCGGGGCAGGGGACCCGGCGGCAGCGGAGGTGGCAGATGCGTGGTCGGTCGGCGGGGCAGGGGACCCGGCGGCAGCGGAGGTGGCAGATGCGTGGTTGGTTGGCGGGGCAGGGGACCCGGCGGCAGCGGAGGTGGTTTCCTGCTTTCCCTTTGTCCAGGCTCTTCAAGTAGGATGCTTAAAATTGGTAAATATCGTTGTATGTAAAATTATGCTTCAATAAAACTCAATTTTTATTTTTATTTTATTTATTTTTATTTTTATTTTTATTTTTGAGACGGAGTCTCGCTCTGCCGCCCAGGCTGGAGTGCAGTGGCGCGATCTCGACTCACCGCAAGCTCTGCCTCCCGGGTTCCCGCCATTCTCCTGCCTCAGCCTCCCTAGTAGCTGGGACTACAGGCGCCCACCACCACGCCCGGCTAATTTTTTGTATTTTTAGTAGAGACGGGGTTTCACCATGTTAGCCAGGATGGTCTCGACCTCCTGACCTTGTGATCCGCCTGCCTCGGCCTCCCAAAGTGCTGGGATGACAGGCGTGAGCCACCGCGCCCGGCAAAACTCAATTTTTAAAAACATGTAAAGATTTTGAGTCGAACCTCAAAAAACACAACGGGAGAGGTGGCGGAGGAAGGAGACGGCGTCCCTGGCAGAGGTGTCATCTGGAGCACCTCACTTCGGGGCAAGCATTCCTGTTGTTTGGATGCGGGGAGCAGAAATCCTGGGTCAAATGGTGACTGTGCCCACGATCCCCTCTGGTAATTTTAACTCCTAGGGAAACAGAGGCAAATTGACACTCAAGGTCTGTGTTGAGGTCATTCTTTTTTTTTTTTTTTTTTTTTGAGACGGAGCCTTGCTCTGCCACCCAGGCTGGAGTGCAGTGGTGTGATCTCGGCTCACTGCAAGCTCCGCCTCCCGGGTTCAAGCAATTCTCCTGCCTCAGCCTCCTGAGTAGCTGGGATTACAGGTGCGCGGCACCACACCGGCTAATTTTTTTTTGTATTTATAGTTGAGACGGGGGTTTCACCATGTTGGGCAGGCTGGTCTCGAACTCCTGACCTCAGGTGATCCACCCACTTCGGCCTCCCGAAGTGCGGGAATTAAGGTGTGAGCCGCCGCGCCCGGCCTTTGGTCATTCGTTTGAAAGGCTGCTTTTAGATGACATTTAGCATCATTTGCTGCTCAGGTGATTGGGACAGACTCTGGCAGAAGCGCTCACAGATGACCAGCCAGCTGGCGTGTTGGGCAAGAAGTTGCAGCCAGGAGATCATGTGGGAGCAGGGGTGGAACCCTCCAGGCCTCCCAGACCGGCAGGGTCTCCTGGGTCCTGGCTGAACCGGTGAGGTGAGCGCAGGAGGTCTTTCTCCTTCTAGTGCCTTCAGGCCCCTCCAGGGTCCCTCATCTTCCAGGGCAGTGAGCAGAGGTCGGGTTCTACTGCTGCTCAGCCCCCAGGAGCTGGGGTCCCCATGGCTGTCACCCCATCGACTGTCCCTGGGCTTCCTGTCCTGGGCCTGGGAGGGCCAGGGCCAGCCTGAGGCCTCTCCTGGAGGTGGCGACCCCAAGATTTGCAGAGCTGAGGACAAACCCAGGCCTGCCGGTGCCTCCCACACACGTGGGGCCCCTGGGGGCGGGGGCGGCCATTCCACTCCGGCCATGACAGGCCTCATCCGCCAACACCTCCAGCCCCCACTGGAGGTGACCTGGACTGTCTGTGGACACTGCTGGCTGAGGGTGGAACTGGTGAGCCCCAGGCCCCAGTGACCCTTTCCCCCGTGGCCTTGCCCGGGGCTGGGAACCTCCGGACTGGGCGTCCTGTGTCCTGCCGAGAGGATGTCCTGTCCCCTCCCCTGCCCTCCGCATTCCTCTAGGAGCTGCCCTGGGCCTCCTGGGGTGGAGGTGGGGTGTGAGGTGGAAGCTAGCCCCTGCCCCTCACCCTGGCACCTGAGCCCCAATTCTCCCAGCCCCCAGCTCCCTCCTCTCGCTGGATCCGGAGGCAGTGGCCCCAGCCAGCACCTGGGGTTTTTTTCCAGGACTGACTCCAATTCCCTCAGCGGGGGTCAGGGGGCAGTTGCTCCACGGAACAAAGGCTGGGGGAGGAGAGGGGAAGTGGGGAGCAGGGAAAGGAAGGGGCCGGGCTGAGCACATTCTGAGGTCAGCTCTCCGCTGCCTCCCCTGCAGCCATCCTCTCCTGGGGCTTCCTGCCCTGAGAGTGTGGGGGCGAGCATGGGGGAAAGGGGAGGCCACAAGCCCGCCCTTCACAAGCCCGCCCTTTGGTGGGAAGGGTGTGGAGACCCCTGGAGCTTGTCCGTCCACTTCAGGGGGATTCAGGGACATTGGGCTGGTGCTGGGGGAAGGGGCAGAGCAGGCAGCATGGGCAGCTCCACCCCCAAGCTTCCCCCACCTCGGCCTCCGGGTGTGACCGGAGGGTCCGACCCTCCCCACAAGCCCCACAGCTGGTGGTCTCTGGGCATCTGTGCCTGTGTGTGTCCATGAAGGGGTGGGGCTCGCCTTCAGGGTGTTTGAGTCTCCAGGCATCTGGTGAGGTCTGCCCACAGCGTCCACACACATCTGCCCTTGTGTCCTGAGGGTCCTTGAGTCTCACACACTCCTCAGCTGTCCCTAGGCAGAGTGTGTGTGTGTCTCTGTGTATGTCAGTGTGTGTCTCTGTGTCAGTGTGTGTGTCTGTGTGTGTGTCTCTGCTTGTGTGTGTCAGTGTCTATGTGTGTTAGTGTCTGTGTGTGTCAGCGTCTGTGTGTGTGTCTCTGTGTGTCAGTGTGTGTCTGTGTGTCTCTGCATGTGTGTGTGTCAGTGTCTGTGTGTCTGTGTGTGTCAGTGTCTGTGTGTGTGTCTCTGCATGTGTGTGTCTCTGTGTCTGTGTTAGTGTCTATGTGTGTGTCTGTGTGTGTCAGTGTCTGTGTGTCTCTGTGTGTGTGTCAGTGTCTGTGTGTGTCTCTGCGTGTGTGTGTCTGTGTGTGTCAGTGTTTGTGTGTGTGTGTGTGTCTCGGTGTGTGTGTGACAGAGTGAGCCTGGGTGTACCCCCAGGTGTGTTTTTGAGTTTGTGTCTCAGGCTTGTGTCTGAATCTTGGAGTATCTGTGTGGCCTCTGAGTGTGACTATATTTGCAGAGTGGAATGAATGATGTTTCTCCTCTAAGGTCAAGAATGACCAGCACCCCCAACCCACCCAACTAGAAAGCCTGAACCCTGGGAGGGGTGGGGGCGGGACGGCAGCTGCAGCTCCTCCCTCCTCCCCACTCCCTGCAGGGCTGGGTCCACCTTCGGCTCCGGCTGCTAAGCCAAGTTAAAAATAGCCCGGGGCCTCTGGAAGTGAAGGGTTGGGATGGAGGGAGGAGAGCAGGAGGCATCCTGGCTGTCCAGCGGAGGGCGGGTTCCCCAGGTCCCGAGCCAGTGCTCCCCGGCCCGCCGGCCCGGCTCCAGCAGGGTGAGCCCCCACATCCGCAGCCCCACCTGCACGGCTGTGGGACACCCCCACCCCACATGGCTCCTCCAGACTCTTCCAAGAAAGGCAGAGCGGGCCCCGGGGCGTCAGCCTGGCTGCCCTGCTCTGAGCCCAGCCCCACCCGCACCTCCCTCAGGGGCTGCTCTCTCCTGCCGCCTCCTCTGCGTTCCCTCCACGAAGGGTTGGGGCCATGACCCGGCAGTCTCTCCCTGGCTTTCAGCCCAGTCCGCCCTGCGACTTCCCTGGAGGGAGCAAGGTCATCTTAGGGGCCCAGATGGGACAGGGCAGGAGGAAGGCAGGGGCCTCAGGGAATGAATGCTCCTCCCTCTGGAGGGGTCAGGGGAGGGTTTCTGCTTGTGTGTGTAACTTTTTTTTTTTTTTTTTTTTTGAGACGCCTCTCACTCTGTCGCCCAGGCTGGAGTGCAGTGGCACAATCTCAGCTCACTGCAACCTCCACCTTCTGGGTTCAAGCAATTCTCCTGCCTCAGCCTCCCAAGTAGCTGGGACTACAGATGTGCGCCACCACGCCCGGCTAATTTTTGTATTTTTAGTAGAGACAGAGTTTCACCATGTTGGTCAGGCTGGTCTTGAACTCCTGACCTTGTGATCCGCCCACCTCTGCCTCCCAAAGTGCTGGGATTACTGGTGTGAGCCACCGCGCCAGGCCTGTGTGTGAAACTTTTTTTTTTTTTTTTGAGACGGAGTCTCGCTCTGTTGCCCAGGCTGGAGTGCAGTGGCGCGATCTCGTCTCACTGCAAGCTCCGCCTCCTGGGTTTATGCCATTCTCCTGCCTCAGCCTCCCCAGTAGCTGGGACTACAAGCGCCCGCCACCACACCCGGCTAATTTTTTTATATTTTGGTAGAGACGGGGTTTCACCGTGTTAGCCAGAATGGTTTTGGTCTCCTGACCCTGGTGATCCACCCACCTCGGCCTCCCGAAGTGCTGGGATTACAGGCGTGAGCCACCGCGCCTGGCTTGTGTGTGAAACTTTTTATTGAAGTTTCACATACAGGCAGAAAAGCATCACAGAAGTATCACATACATGCAGAAAAACATACTCATCCTAAGTATGTGGCTTCCTGAATTCCCATAGACTGAATGCCTCTTGTCACCAGCACCTGGATCAAGAAAACAGGACATTGCCAAACCCAGGTGGCCCCTAAGGCACTGCTGGCCAATGCCCCAGAGGCCATCATTCATGGACCCCATCCACCTGCACTGGTCCTGCCTGTTCCCGAACCTAATCCGTGCTGGGCACCAGCTCTGCCTGTGCTTCTGGCCTCTGCTTCCCGTTGTCTGAAGCAGGGGCCATGGTGGAAGCCAGGTGGTGCCTGGCGTTGAAGGTGGCTCCTCCTGGCTACAGTCACTGTCCCCTGGATGACAGGCCACACCCAGCACTGATGGGCATTTGGGTTTTCCAGGTTGGGGCTATTATGAAAAGGGTCGTTTGGAACATTCTTGCTTGTTTTTTGGTGCCCAAGTATAGATTCCCACTGGACATATCCCTCGGAGTGGAACTGCCCGTGAACTGGCTGCAAATTCCTCTGAGCCTCGGCTGGGGGAGCCAGGCACACTATCCCGGAGGATGCTGGCATCTGCTGTGATTTCAGGGAGTTCACACCCCACCCTGGGCCTGAGCCCTGGACCCACACGCTACTGGGTCCAGCCTTTGCAGTCTGCTTGTCTCTGGTGGGGCAGGGCCTTGGACTGGGGTCCCCCAGGAGGGATGGGCAGTGCATGTGTGCCCTCCACCAGGCTGGGCACACCCAGAGGAGGCGCCCATCCTGGAGGCCCACACCCACCCTTCCTTCCTCAGGAAAACCTGTGGTCTGATAAGGCCTCCAGTCTCTGGTTTTCAAAACCACCCCGGCACCAGGACCCCCCAAGGGAGGAGGGGCCAGAGCCCGCCCAGCCTGTGGCAGTGGGGGCTACAGAACCCAACTCTTGGTGGTGTCCACCAGCCCCTGAGCAGCAGGGCCTCCCGCAAGGCTCCGAAAGAAGAGGGGAGCTCTGAGCACCCTGGGTCTGGGGGCTATGAGGCAGGGGCGGCCAACTCAGGTGGAATGGCCGCTCCTTCCTGCAGCCCCACCCCTGGGCAGGGCACCCCCTCACCCAGGCCTTGGCCAAGTCCCCAGTCCCCCTCCAGTCCCTCATCCTAGGTTTTCCCTTTGATGCTCCCTGATTCTGTACCATGATGGTCCCTCAGGGGCGGGGGGCCCAGATGAGAAGCCCTCCCAATTTTTGCTCACCACCCACGTATCTGCCCAGCTCCCAGGACCAGGCAAGCCCCTTTCCTCCAACCCAGCCGTCTTGCAGGGTCCTTTAGCCCCCAGGGTTCCCAGAAGCAGCCAGCGATAAACCTGAGCCCAAATCCCAACAGAAAGGAAGTACCCACAGGGCATCCAAGACGTGCGAGCACAGCCCACAGCCAGGGAGCGGCCCTCGGCGCCCGCCCCACCGTCCACCTTGCAGTTGCCGACCCACTTAGGGTAACAACGCCCACGAGAAAGGCAGTGTTTCTGCAGCTTTGCTCCATGAGGTGGGTTCCCTGGTGCAGCCTGGTGCTCAGAGCAGCGGGAGACTCGCCCCGCCCCACAGCGGGTGGTAACTCCAGTTCTAGCCAGGACAGATTCAGAGCCCTCAGGACTCAGGGGCACACACAAGCCACACAGGTGGGGCTGCAGATGTGGGGCTCACCGTGCTGGAGCCAGGCTGGTTGGCACTGGCATGGGACCTGGGGAATCAGCCCTCGGCTGGGCAGCCAGGATGCCTCCTGCTCTCTTTCCTCCATCCCACCCCTTCCACTTCCAGAGGCCCCGGGATATTTTTAAGGGGAAGGGGAAGGATAGAGAGAAAGTGCAGGCAGGGCTGGGGTCTGGGCCTGTGGGATCCTCAGGCAGGAGGGGAGGGCTATATCATGATGGCCTGGAGCTGGGGCTGGAGGTGAGTCTTCCCGGATGCTGGGAATCACCAGGCGGGCAGGAGGGCTGTTCCAGGCTGAGGGAAGGGCAGGTGCAAAGCCCAGAGTGGGGAAGACGCTGGGCAGCAGTGTGGGTGGTGCAGCCGGACTGGTGGGAGAGACGGAGGCTGCGGCCAAGCGGGCCACGAACAGCGGCTCAGCCGGCCACCTCTCTCAACAGAAGCAGGTTGTGCAGGCCTGGCATTCATGTTTCATGAGGCGTGCACAGGTACAGATCAGAGGTGGAGCCAAGGCCATCCGAGCAGGTGGATGGGCAGCAAGGAGAGAGAGGTGGTGTTCTGCTTTTTTTTGTTTTTTGGAGACAGGGTCTTGCTCTGTCACCCAGGCTGGAGTGCAATGGCGCAATCTCACCTCACTGCAAACTCAACCACCTGGGTTCAAGTGATCCTCCCACCTCAGCCTCCCAAGAAGCTGGGACCACAGGCATGTGCCACCACACCCAGCTAATTTTTATATTTTTTGTAAAGACCGGGACTTACCATCTTGCCCAGGCTTGTCTCGAACTCCTGTGCTCAACCTCACAAAGTGCTGGGATTACAGGCGTTCGTTCTATTTTCAATTCGGGTGTTTTCTTCTCCCATCAGACTGTGCTAATCTGAAAGGGACCCCAGAGTCCGAGCTGTGTGGGATATCTGGGGAGGGAATATCACCTGCTTGGGGGTGGAGGCTTTAGCCAGAACTGTGCAGGAGAAGAATGGGCTAGTCTTACCTGACTGGGGCTGCAGGTCACTTTGTTCCATTTTGATGGGGACCCAGAAGCCCAGAGCACAGATTCTGCCGTCCCAAACCCCAGCCAAGGTAGGGAGAGAGCCCTGGGTCAAGCTATAATCTGGACTGGGTGCTACATCTCCATCCTCCGGAAGCAGCTTGTGGAAGCCCCACTTGGGGCCTAGGTGTCCTAAGGATGGGGCTCTGCCCTAGCCCCTGCACAAGGGACCTCTGAAACCCCAAACAGGGAAGAGGAAGCAGTGCTCTGAGGTCCCCTCACCGCTGCACGGCCTCCCCGACCCCAGCCCCTGTGCACCCCGGGGGTCACGGCTCTGCTCCCTCTGGCTTCCTCCGGGGGCTTCCCCAGCCTCTTCCCCCCAGGACGCACCTGCAGCCCTGGCCTCTCTCCTCCAGCCTGGGTACCATGTCCACACCCCTCTGTTTCCTGTACCATGAACCATCTGCCATCACCCACACTGGCTGTGAAGAGATGTTGGCCCTCCTTTGACTTCTCTCCCATCTCCTACTTCTGCACAATCCCAGGGCATATCGGCCCTACGTCCTAAAAATTTATCTGACTAATCATTATTAGATCAAGTCTGTCTCTCGTTCTAAAGTCCTAATAGCGGCCGGGCGCGGTGGCTCACACCTGTAATCCCAGTACTTTGGGAGGCTGAGGCAGGCAGGTCACCTGAGGTCAGAGGTTCAAGACCAGCTTGGCCAATATGTTGAAACCCTGTCTCTACCAAAAATACAAAAATAAGCCAGGGATGGTGATGTGTGCCTGTAATCCCAGCTACTCAGGAGGCTGAGGCATGAGAATCACTTGAACCCAGGAGGTGGAGGTTACAGTGAGCTGAGGTCACGCCACTGCACTCCAGCCTGGGCAACAGAGTGAGACTTTGTCTCAAAAAATAGGCCGGGCACGGTGGCTCACACTTGTAATCCCAGCACTTTGCGAGGCCAAGGAGGGTGGATCACGGGGTCAGGAGATCGAGACCATCCTGGCTAACATGGTGAAACCCTGTCTCTACCAAAAATACAAAAAATTAGCCAGGCGTTGTGGCGGGCGCCTGTAGTCCCAGCTACTCGGGAGGCTGAGGCAGGAGAATGGTGTGAACCCGAGAGGTGGAGCTTGCAGTGAGTCGAGATCGTGCCACTGCACTCCAGCCTGGACGACAGAGCGAGACTCCATCTCAAAAAAATAAATAAATAAATAAAATAAAATAAAATAAATAAGGGGCTGGATGCAGTGGCTCACACCTGTAATCCCAGCACTTTGGGAGGCCAAGGCAGTCAGATCATGAGGTCAAGAGATTGAGACCATCCTGGCCAACATGGTGAAACCCTGTCTCTACTAAAAATACAAAAATTATCTGGGTGTGGTGGTGGACGTCTATAGTTCCAGCTACTCGGGAGGCTGAGGCAGGAGAATTGCTTGAACCCGGGAGGTGGAGGTTGCAATGAGCCGAGATCGCGCCACTACACTCCAGCCTGGCAACAGAGCGAGACTCCATCTCAAAAAATAAAATAAGTAAATAAATAAATACCCTGGATGTGGTGGCTCACGCCTGTAATCCCAGCACTTTGGGAGGCCAAGGCGGGCAGATCACCTGAGTTCAGGAGTTTAAGACCAGCCTGGCCAACATGGTGAAACCTCATCTCTACTAAAAATACAAAAAAATTTAGCTGGGTGCGGTGAGGGGCGCCTGTAATTCCAGCTACTTGGGAGGTTGAGGCAGGAGAATCGCTTGAAGCTGGGAGGCGGAGGTTGTGGTGAGCCGAGATTGTGCCATTGGCCGGGGCAATAAGAGCGAAACTCCGTCTCAAAAAAATAAATAAATAAATAAATAAATAAACATAGTCCTAATAGCATCTTCAGCCCAAGGAAAAGCCCAGAAGCCCTGGCTTGACATCAAGTTGTTGGAAACTGGCTCATTCCCATGGTCCCAGCAAGGCCTCTGAGCCTCATCTGTACTCCTCGTGCACGTGCTCAGGGCTTGGCCCAACCCTGTCCAGCTCAGGCTGGGCACTCCCCATCCCCCCGCATCTCCATGGCCACGGCCCCCAAGCTTCCCAGAGCCCCACCTCCCTCCAGAGGGGCACCTTGCCTTCGATCCTGAGACTTGGTTCACGGCTCACCCTTGGTAGGGCGGGCCCCTGAAGGGCAGGACCATTTTTTGCCCAATGTCCTGAACTGGACGTGGCTGGCAGATGACATCAGAAAGTGCAATGCAGTTGGCATGACACGCTCACAGACATGGTTAGCCACCAGCAAGCAAGCACACAGACCCACTACACATGGGTGCACACAGGCAGACACAGTCACCATCCACAGACACACATGAGCAAGCATACGCTGGCAGGAGCACAGACACGCGGCTGAGACTCAGGCAGAGGCATGGGACCCGGAATGAGACCCAATCCCAGACACCTGAAGGCGGAAAGACAGGTTTTACTCAGATTGCGGTGTGGGGGCAGACTGCAGTATTTTTTTTTTTTTTTTTGAGACGGAGTCTTGCTCTGTCCCCCAGGCTGGAGTGCAGTTGCAATCTCGGCTCATTGCGAGCTCTGCCTCCCAGGTTCACACCATTCTCCTGCCTCAGCCTCCTGAGTAGCTGGGACTGCAGGCACCCACCACCACACCTGGCTAATTTTTGTATTTTTTAGTGGAGACAGGGTTTCACCATGTTGGCCAGGCTAGTCTCAAACTCCTGACCTCGTGATCCGCCCGCCTCGGCCTTCCAAAGTGCTGGGATTACAAGCGTGAGCCACCGCACCGGGCCAACCCAGGTTTTTAAAGGGAGAACAGAAAAGGAGCAAAAAAGGGGTATGGGGAAGTAACGAAGGGGTAACCCAAGAGGCGCTGGGGAAATGGAAAATCACAGAAGGACTGAGTGGAAAACAGGGAAAGTGCTTTAGCTGTGGAAAGTTTGCACTGGGATAGAGTTTGCACTTTGCATTTTGGCAGCACTTTGTTACCTTGAGCAGAGACCAACACAGAGCTGGAATCACCTTTAGGGATGAGGCTCCTGCAGGCCGATGCCAGGCTGAGCTCTGTCAAAGTCTCTCAGGACGGCGTTCTGGTAGGTCTCCTCCGCAGTGTGAGGGCTCACAGTTCGTAACACGCAGGTGTGAACGCGGGGACCAACCGTCCTTCCACGGGGCGTACCCTGACTCAGCTTGGAGGTTCTGTGGTCCCTGTGGCCTGTGTGTGCTTCCAAGCTGGGCAGAGCCAGGAGCACCCTGAACCCCCGAATTCTAAAACCAAAAATGAGCATCTTGCCTGAGACAGGCCTGGAGAGGCTGCTTAACTCCCAACGCCAGGGTCAAAAGAAGGTGGTTTTCTTTGATTGTTTGGTTTTGCATTTTCCCCTTTTAAAAAACAAACTTTATTTTGGAATAATTTTAGATTTCAGAAAATGGGCGACATTGCAGGAGGGGTGCGGTGGGTCACACCTGTCATGCCAGCACTGTGGGAGGCCGAGGTGGTGGATCACTTGAGGTCAGGAGTTTGAGACCAACCTGGCCAACATGGTGAAACCCTGTGTCTACTAAAAATAAAAAAATTGGCCGAGCACAGCGGCTCACACCTGTAATCCCAGCATTTTGGGAGGCCAAGGCGGGTGGATCAAGAGGTCAGGAGTTCAGGACCAGCACGGCCAAGATGGTGAAACCTCGTCTCTACTAAAAATACAAAAATTAGCTGGGCGTGGTGGCGGGCGCCTGTAATCCCAGCTACTCAGGAGGCTGAGGCAGGAGAATCGCTTGAACCCGGGAGGCGGAGGTTGCAGTGAATCGAGATCGTGCCACTGCACTCCAGCCTGGCCAGTAGAATGTGTGACACTGCAAAGCACAGAGTCCTATGCACCTGTCACGAAGCCTCTGTCTTCCCTGACGTCGCCATCCTGTGTTGCTGGGTTGCCTTAGGAAGCCCACGTTGGGGTCCGTTTATCTCCCCCGCAGAACGGACTTTATTTGAAGTCTACCAGTCCTGCCATTGATGGCCTTCTTCGGCTCCAGGGCCCTATCAGGTGCCACAATGTTTAGAGCTGTCCCGTCTCCTCGGGCTCTCCTGTCTGACAGTTTCTCAGATTTCCTTGTTCTTGGTGACCTTTGAGGATCACCGACAAGGTGTTTTTGTAGAAAGTCCCTCAGTTTGTGTCCAGGCACAGTGGCTCATGCCTGTAATCCCAGCACTTTGGGAGGCCGAGGCGGGCAGATCACTTGAGGTCAGGAGTTCAAAAACGGCCTGGCCAACATGGTCTTGTTACTAAAAATCCGTTTCTACTAAAAATACAAAAAACAGCCAGGTGTGGTGGCAGGTAACTGTAATCCCAGCTACTTGGGAGGCTGAGGCAGGAGAATCACTTGAACCCAGGAGGTGGAGGTTGCAGTGAGCCGAGATCTTGCCACTGCACTCCAGCCTGGGCGACAGAGCGAGACTCCGTCTCAAAAACAAAAGCAACCACAACAAAAGAAAGCCCCTCAGTTTGGGTTTGTCTGATGTACTTTCTCAGCAGTAGACTGAGGTTTTGGGTTTGGGAAGGATTTCACAGAGGTGGGGTGCTCTTTGAGTCACCTCTTATCAGAGCTGTGGGGCATCCGTGCGATCACCTGGCGACGCTCACCTGGTCACCTGGCCAAGGTGGTGCCTGCCAGTCGCCTCCTCGGCCAAGTTCCTCTTTGCCTGTCTTGACTCCGCTCTTTGGAAAGGAGTCCCTAGACCCAGTCCTCACTCATGGTGTGTGCATAGGGGTAATCTCTGCTCTCGGAACCTACAGGTATTACTGGGAATTCTTTTGTAGGGGAGGTTGGTGTCTTTCTTGCATTTAATTGTTCTTATTTTTTATATCAGCACGCGCTCCAGCTTGGGGTCATAAGCCAGCACTATATGATTCTGCTGTTCTCCTCTCTGGCCCTCCTGCCCCCTGTCATCCCACCATGGCCAGGAGCTCAGCTTGCCTTTTCCTGCTCTGCCCCAGCACCAGCCATGTCCCCAAGGGGCCCATTCCCAGTTCCTTTTTATCTCAGAAGAGCTCGTTTATGAATTTGCTGACCTGTCACCGACTCTCCACTCTTGCAATACAAGGGGTTTTTTCTGGCTCTCCAGACCTAGCACGTCCTGGCACGCGGTAGGTGCCATGATCCGTGAATGCTACCCTGCAAGTGAGTGAGTGAGTGAATGAGGCTGAGGCAACAGGCTGGCCTTGTGCAGGGCTGGGGCCTCTCCATATCCACCAAGGGAACCCCAGCAGCCCCCCTCTGGTGGAAGGGGACGGGCCACAGCCACCTCCCTTCTCTCTCCTTCCCAGGCCCCAGCACCGGAGGTGGGACCAGGTGACCCTGGAGAGTCCTTCCCCTCACTGTTCCCCAAGTAGGGAGATTCCTGGTACACCATAGGTGCAAACCTTCCTCCAGGGCCAGCCCGACTGACAGGCTGACATGGCCCCCCGTGCCTGCTCCACTATGTCCCATCCTGGAAGGCGGACTGCCCAGTGACAGCTCCTGGAGGGGACACCAGGGAGAGCCAGGTGTCCATTTCACCTGCAGTGGCTATCTGCAGAGCCATCACCCGCCTCTGCAACGCGAGCCCTCAGAGGCCAGGGGCCCCTGGGGAGCAGCTGTGTCCCTTCAGCCGGGACTGAGGCCCCGGCCCCCATCACCTCCTGGTGCTGACCGGCTGGTCCAGAGCCTGGGATGGAATTACAGCCCCAGGTCTGACCCGCAAGGGCAGCCGTGCCTCCCCTAGGCCTGGTGAGCCAACTTGCAGGCACCCGCTGTGTTTGAGGGATACGGTCTAGCGGGCTGGGGGATATGGAGGGGGGTCCTATGTTGGAGGTGGGGATCAGGGACCACTGGGATGAATGCAGAGAGAAAGCTCCAAGGAGGGAAGGGGCAGCAAGGCCAGGGCTGGGACTGAGAAGCCACACGTTGGAACTTAAAGGGACTCAGGCCGGCCCCGGGTGCCAGGTGGTGAAGCAGGAGGGAGTCCAGGATGGCCTGGGACAGCTGAGGCCTGGGAGCTGGTTCCACCCTGAGCTGTGCAAGGCTGGTAGGGAGGGGCCCGTTCCCCCCAACATGGCTGGGAGGACCCTCCCGGGGTCTGTGGTTAGGCCAAGCTGTTCACAGACCCTCTGAGGGAAGGTCCAGCTCCGCCCTGCAGCTCCCAGGGCCTGCTCCAGCTGCGCTCTGGTTGCCTTCCCACCCCTGCGCTGGGCCTGACGTGGCCCCTGGCACTGAGGATGGGCTGCCCTGCCTTCTCCCCTGCCCCTGCCCCTGCCCTGCCCGCGCTCTCCCTGCCCTGCCCGCACTCTCCCTGCCCCTGCCCTGCCCGCGCTCTCCCTGCCCCTGCCCGCTCCCCTGCCCTGCCCGCGCTCTCCCTGCCCCTGCTCTGCCCGCGCTCTCCCTGCCCCCTCCCCTGCCCTCGCTCTCCCTGCCCCTGCCCTCTCCCCTGCCCTCTCCCCTGCCCTGCCTGCGCTCTCCCTGCCCCTGCCTTCTCCCCTGCCCCTGCCCTGCCCGCGCTCTCCCTGCCCCTGCCCTCTCCCTGCCCCTGCCCTGCCCACGCTCTCCCCTGCCCCTGCCCTGCCCACGCTCTCCCTGCCCCTGCCCTCTCCCCTGCCCTGCCCGCGCTCTCCCTGCCCCTGCCCTCTCCCCTGCCCTGCCTGCGCTCTCCCTGCCCCTGCCTTCTCCCCTGCCCCTGCCCTGCCCGCGCTCTCCCTGCCCCTGCCCTCTCCCCTGCCCTGCCCGCGCTCTCCCCTGCCCCTGCCCTGCCCACGCTCTCCCTGCCCCTGCCCTCTCCCCTGCCCTGCCCGCGCTCTCCCTGCCCCTGCCCTCTCCCCTGCCCTGCCCGCGCTCTCCCTGCCCCTGCCCTCTCCCCTGCCCTGCCCGCGCTCTCCCTGCCCCTGCCCTCTCCCCTGCCCTGCCCGCGCTCTCCCTGCCCCTTGCCTTCTGTCTGCTGGGGCCTCAGGTCTCAGACCTTCAGTGCAGTGCCTCCCCCGCCCCATCCCATCCCATTAGGGACACGGCAGGTGTGGCCTGGCCTCTGTCCCAGGGAAGGTCTGGAATGCAGATCCCTGGTGTGGTGGCCTGGAGTGGTGGTGGGAGCCAGGGCTCAGGAAGGGAGGGGGCTGGCAGTTGGCAGCAGCATTTTGGAAGGACGATTGGGGGTGAGCAGGCGCTTGGAATGGAGACCGGTCGACAGTTGGCTGTGGCAGCTGGAGCGGCAGTTGGGGCTTGGCAGGGGCGCAGGCCCGGAGGACAGTTGGGGTGGGGCAGCCGTGGGGTTGGCAGGTAGCCCCTGGCCCCAGAGCAGCTCTGGAGGGTGGTCCTGGGGAGGCCTGGGTGGGAGGGCAGGGCCAGCTGGCACTGGACCTGGCCAAGCCAAGCCCGAGAGGAGGCCCACCTCTATCCAGCCTCGACAAGGCCACCTCCCCCAGCCCGTGGGTGGGGCTCTCCTGCAGCCCACGGCCGGCCTCCAGTCCACCCGCAGGACCCAGGATGACGTGTGGTGGGCGGCTCCCTGGACAGCCCCAGCATCCTCAGGCTGGTGGCGGGCCTCTCTCCCCGCCCTGCCCTCTGCCTCTCCCTCTGTCTGGGCTCCCAGCAGAGGCCTGGAGAGGGCAGGGACAGGTTCTGGGCAGTTCCCTGGGAGGGGGCAGGACTCCCAGGGCTGTTGCCATGGGGACGACTGAGCAACACCACTGGCTGGTGAATAAACAGGCAGGTTCCCTGACCAGTGACTGAGACAAAGACAACCACAGAAATCCCAGCTGGGGGTGGACAAGGAAATGCCTCCTTGGGAGAAGAGGGGGTGGCAGTAAAGGCCCTGGCGAGGTTGGGGAGCTGCTTGGGGGGGGGTGGGGACACAGACAGGAAGGGGTATCTTGTTCCTCGGGAATTTTCTTTCCCAAAGCTCCTCCCAGGCCATCCTTCCTGAGGATGAGAGGCAGATCCCTACTCTCTTGGTGGTGTCAGAGCACCTGGAATGGGGCTGGGTCCCCTCCCAGATCCCCATCCCCTAGAAGCCACACAGTGAGGGTGGAGGGCAGGTGGCCGGCTGGCAGGGTAAGTGGTGCAGGGAGTCTGTGAACACAGGTCTGCGGAGAGGCCATAAGCGCGAGGCTGTGCCAGGACCCTCGGGGGGCCCTGCCAGCCAGATGGCTCTCCATTTGTGTCTCTGGTTGAGTTTTCCCAGGGGTTTGTGGGGGGCACGTCCCTCAGCAGGTACATCCGTGGGGCTGCCCAGCCTCTGCACCTTGCCCTGAGCCCCCCGTCCTCCAGAACTCCTGGCCTGCTGCCGCTCATCCCTCATAGGCCTCAGGGTCCCTTGGACAGGCTCCCAACGTGCTCACCCAGATGGCTGGGGGTGACTTTCAGGAATGACCACGTAATGCAGCGTGGACAAGTGTGCCCTACAGAGACCTGACCTTTTGTTCACCTGTCTTGTTCACCCACTTGGCGAGGTCAGGGACCATGTCCAGTTCATCATGTCACCCTCAGGGGCCCCACCCTCTGGACCCTCCCAGACACCCATGTGCTGGCCTCCCAGCCCTGATCCCAATGCTGCTGAGGCCACACTTCACATTCTCTGTTCCCAGAGCTGCCTCCCAGCCGGCTGTCAGGCGGCAGATCCCTCCTTGCATCTGTGGCCCCCAGGCCTGGTGTGCGTCACCTGCACAAGTGTCCCGGGGCCCTAGGAAGAGGGGGCACCGCGGCCCAGCCTGGCATCCCCCCGTCTCATGTCTAATCCCAGCAGCAGCTCAGTAGATGCTGGGCTCCAACAAACCTGAGGTTCCTGGGCCACGGGGCCAGCATGCCCGTCGGAGCAGACACTCCACGTGGCTGTAGGAGTCCAACTACTCCACCCTCCTCGTCCTCCCAGTTCGGCTGAGAGGCTGCAGCTGCTGCTGCTGGTTTTTGTTTGTTTTTCTTTTAAATAGTAATGGGGTTTATCAGCTCTTGGAATAACGGTCTGTAGGACTTAATCAGGGCGCTGTCTCTGAGACCGGTCTTGGTTCTTCCTTTTTGACATACTGTCTTCGTCTCCAGGCTGCTTGACCTTCTGTTGGTTCTTGGAGCAGAAAAGTCAGGAGTCTCTGTCCCGTCACTGGCAGTGTTGCCGAGGGGGAAGCGGGGAGGAGTGGGGCTCCCAGGTGAGAGGGGGCCCAGAGCCTCATCCGCCCCGTTCATTCTAGAACTCAGCACGTTTCTTTTTTTTTCTTTTTTGAGACAGAGTCTTGCTCTGTCGCCCAGGCTGGAGTGCAGCGGCACGAACTTGGCTCACTGCAAGCTCCACCTCCCGGGTTGACGCCATTCTCCTGCCTCAGCCTCCCGAGTAGCTGGGACTACAGGCACCTGCCACCACGCCTGGCTAATTTTTTGTATTTTTAGTAGAGACGGGGTTTCACCGTGTTAGCCAGGATGGTCTCGATCTCCTGACCTCGTGATCCGCCTGCCTCGGCCTCCCAAAGTGCTGGGATTACAGGCGTGAGACACCGCGCCCGGCCCTCAGCAAGTTTCTACCAAGACAGGCAGCCCTAACCTGGCAGGTGGGGTTGGCCTGGGTCGTGGTGAGATCAAGGTTTGGTTCTTATGGGCAGGCCTCCTAAGCGATGACTGAGTGCCACTGTGTGTTCCGCCAGGCAGCTGCTGCTGCTCTCCATCCCTGCATGGACAACGGACATGGCAAACCATCAACACTGCTCTCCTTGGAGGCTGTCTAGGGAGGTCCAGACATCTTGGGAGAGACTGGGGTTCTCTTTTGCGCAAGAGAGCATGGGCAGGCTCTGCGGGAGGCCCTTGGGGCAGGCATCAGGGCTCTGGTCCTCCTTGCTTTGGCTCGGTGGGCCCGAGCTCTCCTGTCTCCCCAGGCCTCCTTTCCTCCGTGGGGTACAACTGGGCTCTGGGTGGGCAGGTGGGGGCTCCTGCAGGCAGTGCTGTTTTCTCCAAGGGGGATGCACGTGACCCGCCAGACCCTCCTGGAAGCCGCCTCTTCTCAGGGTGGTTGTGCTCAGCCCCCACTTCCCGAAGGTCGGTGAGGCTGGGGCTACAGTTTCAGACCAGAGCAGGCAGTGCCACCGAGAGGGTGCCGCGCGAGGTAGGCCGGCGACGGGGCTTCCTGGGCCGCAGTGCCATCCCGGCGACCTTGGCGAGGGGATGGGAACGGGGTGTCCGCACAGCCATTTCCAGGCGCCCGCGACGGCAGTAAGGGAGTGTCCCAGGCGTTGGTCCCGGCAGCCACACCTCGCTTCGCCTTTGCTCACTCATGGAGAGCCCTCAGCCGCCTCCCACTGCCGCTCCTGAATGCGCCTCACACATCCAGATTTGAAAGCACCCATAGGGCCGCCGCCTCCCACCTCCCGAGGAATCCGCTGCGCTGGGCCCGCAGGGAGGCAGGCTGGACGGCCCGGGCGCCTCCCCATTGGTTGGCCGGGCCGGGCTCGACTCCCTCGCGCGGCTGCCGGCCACAGGCTCACCTCCCTTCCCGCCGCGCCCGGGGAGAGGAAGCGAGGTGGCCTTTACCCCTGCGCAGGCCGGCCAGGAATGCGGGGCCGCGCTTCCCACTCTACCCGCCCGAGGGCTGAGGACGGCGGAGGCGAGAAGCGACGCGCAGAGTCCGGGCGCCGAGTGGTGGAGACGCGTCCCAGGCCGTTCGGATCGGGGCTGCACACGGGCTGGGGCGAGGCCCGGGCCGCTGGTTCCCGCCCCCTCCCGGAGCCATTCGTCCCCCGCAGACAACACGACGGGAGGGACCCACGCGCGGCCGCCGGTGCCCCTAGTCAGCCAAAAGCGAGCCCCACTGGCGGGCACCCCCACGAGGCCTGCGCCCGAGGTGCGCCGATCTCCGGGTGCGCCGAGGCCCCCGAGGGTAGGCGCGCGCGGTGCCCAGGCCCTTCCAGACCCCGCACCCCGGGCGGCCTTCCTTGGGGGCGCCTTTTCCGCACCGCGAGCGGCCCGCGTTGATGCCCGGCCGGGCTGGGGGAGTCGCCAAGTTTGCGAGACGCGCGCAGTGCAACCGCGCGTCAGGCGCGGGGACGGCCGGTGACCTGGGCACCCGCGCGCCCCCGAGGAACCTGCGCGTGGGCAGCGCCCGGTGCGCGGCCCGGGAAGGGAGCGGGTGCCCTCGCCGGGGTCGCCGCTCCCGTGGGGTGTTTCCAGGCTGCTCCGCGCTCGCGGGGCAAGGGCGCAGCGGGGGCCAGGGGGACCCCCGCGCCGCGCCGCCCCAGCCCCCCGCCAGCCCAGGGGAGGGGGCTTCCCACAATGCCCAGCGAGCTCCAGCCCGCACTTCCGCTGTCCGGCTGCCCGCGGGGGGGAGAACGGACCCCCGGCGCGGCCCCCTGCGACCCCGCGGCGCGGCGCCGGGAGCCGAGCGAGGGGCGGGGCCGGCGGCCGGGCCGGCGTGGGCGGGGCCCGGGGCGGTGGCCGCGGCCGGGGCGCGGCGCGGGCCAATCAGCGGCGGCCGGGCGCGCGCCGGGGGGCGGGGTCAGGGTCCGCGGGCGGGGCGCGCGCGCGCGGGCGGCGGGGGCCGCGGGGTTGGAGCGGGCGCGGGGGCGCGCGCCGGCCTGACGGACCGACGGACGGACGGACGGACCGAGCAGCCCCGGCGAGCGCGCAGCTCGGACCCGCCCGGACGCAGCGCCCTCCCGGCGGCGGCGGCGATCACCGGCGCCGGCCCGGCGGCCGCGGCGCCCGCCCTCGCCCGCGCCCCATGGGGTCACAGGTAAGCGGCGCCGGCTCATTGTCCGCGCGGCCGGGCGGGCGCATCGCGGCGGGGGCCGGGCCCGGAGCCGGGAGCCGGGAGCCGGGGCCGCTGCGAGCCCGGGCGCGCCCCCGCCGCCGGCCGCCCCGCCACGCCCCGCCCCGCGGGGGCGCCCTCCCGGGGGCCATCGGCGCTCCCAGCTGCGGCGCGGGCTCCGGGGGCGGCGGCGGAGACCCCGGCCCGGCCCCCGCGGGTGCCCCCCAGGCCGGCGGCGCGGGGCGGGGCGCGCGGGGGCGGCGCGGGTTCCCCGCGGGGCTGAGCGCGGAGGCGGCTGGGCTGCCCCGGCCCCTCGGCCCCCGGCACCTCCCGCCGCCGCCGCGCTCCCTCCCCGGCACCTCCGAGAGGGGAATTTTCCAGCTGGTAATTTCTGCTGCGTCAACGCCTGGCCCCGAGGCAGCCCGGGGGCGTCTTGGCGCCCCCCGCCCGCGCCCCCCGCCGGCACAGCCCAGCCGCACCCGGAGCCGCCCGCGCCGAGTTTGCCAAGAGTCGGAACTGCGGGAGGTGGGCGCGGGCGGGTCCCGGCGCCCTGAGGCCGGGGGGTCATTGTCTCCCCGGACGCCGGGCGCCGGCCTGGTCTCCATCTTAATCGCCGGCCGAACCGGGGCGCAGGGGCCTCGGGGCGGGGCGGCTCGGGGCGCGGAGGGCTCGGGGCGCGCGGGGCGGACGGGGCGCGCGGAGGAAGCGGGGTCCGCTGCGAGCCGCGTCTTTGTTTCTCTGTAAATAGACATGTCAGTTTCGCGGGGGAGCGCGAGCCGGTGTCTGACAACTCAATCCCTAAGGCAAACGGGGAATTCTCTGCGCCAGAGGGAGGGCTCCTGCTAGTTGGGGTTCCCCTGGCCCCGCTGACAGATTCACTGTTTGTAGGTTTAACGAAGCACACACAATAGGGCTGGACCGAGGAGCCAGGGTACAGACCAGATGGGGCGAAGAACGGATATTTTCTGACAGCGAAGAAATATAAACAAAAGAAAGTTTGAGATTCGCAGCGAATTTCCTCTCTCGCTTTCCGTGCTGCAATCTCAACGATGCATTTGGAGTGGATTACGGTGGCAAGATTGTGATCAGCATTGTTTAAAGAAATGCTAATTAGAAACGTGTTTAGCGCGCGGCCTGGGCGCAGACACCTGTGCGCCGAGAACTCACGGGCATTTTAATTGTATCGATTGTAGAATCTTTCATATTGGCTCTATTATCAGAGCTAACTTCCCGTTTGGGTAACAGACTGGATACATCTCTGCTGCTGGCACTCACGCTGCCTCTGCAAGGCACTATTTCACTCTACAAGAGTGGAAAATAGTTTGTTCATCAAAAGGAAATGTATAGAAGGGGTTTTTCACATGAATAATGAAGCAAGCGACAGTATTTATCAGAGTAGAACCTTTCTGCTCGGTGTGTTTTACGTGTTTCCAACTGGCACTTTTGGGCACCTCAGCCTGGTTACCACTGCAGAAAGGACTGAGGAGTGAGGGGAGTACTTGGGCACAAGTTACTGCAAATTTAGGTGGGAACTTACTGTGTCCCCTAAAAAGCTAGACATCTTCTCCGTAACTGAAGGAAGAGGGCTGGGGAGTTACTGTCAGATTTCTCCTTGGGGCGTGGAATGCACTCACTTTGAGGTGTTTAGAAATCCGAAATTCCGCCTTGCCTTCAGGCCAGCCTGGGGACAAGCATTTAATTAAGCCTCTCACTGACAGCATTATCCTGAACGTGAGAGTTTTCTTTTGCTTAGATGAGGTGATTTCTGTTCGGGTTTAGCTGTTTTGTGTGAGGATGAGTCGTTCTGTGCTCAGACCTGAGTTCCACTCCTGTTTCGGATGTTCGGGTTGGGTGGACTGTTACCTAAGGGCCCCCAGGTCAGTTCCACCAGGGCCAGGCTGACCCAGTGCCCTGCGTCCTCCGTCCCTCCCCAGCCCCTGGTGGTCACAGAGGTCAGGAGGTAAACCCTGTGAACGGTGAAACTGCTCCAAGGATTTAGAGGAAATGCCGTGGGGGGTACACAGTTGTTATTGTCAGACGATGTACTATTTACAAACACTGAATTAAATTTTAGCAGAGTGAACTTTCCAACACTGCCCTGACGTGGGGTTTTTAAATTAAGGGAAATTGGGCCACTCTGTCCCTGTGGCCTGTGTTTCTGGGACAGCGGTGCAGCTCCAGTGCTCTGTTCTCCATCAGAGGTCTTAGCCCGGCCTCTCAGAGCCCTGGAGACCCACTTCGTGCACGGTGCCTAGACGGCTCCACAGCCTGAGAACTGGAGCCGGTTCCTCCCACTGCCGTGACTGGTGCCCAGGCACCCGCTCCACTGCTGAGTTAAAGTGAGAGGAAAGGTCTAGAAGTCCTTGCCCCTTCCCATCCGCACACCCAGTGTCACGGCGTCTGCCGTGGTAGGTTCCCTGTCCTGGGGACTTCGTGTTCTTGCCTAAGTACCGTTCTTGTAAAAACTCAGGCTGCTGCTTCTCCCTGGGCTTTGCATGTTTTACCTGGAAGTCTCATGAGTGACCTTGAGTGATGGTTGATACTTCCCTCTACTGGTTTTTCTAGCAGATTTAAAAAAAAAAATACCCTTTGAATCTGTCCCCTCCCCTGGGGGAAAAATTCATCTTGTTGCTGCTAAGTTTGCTTGAATGGCCTGACTCCTAAGAATAAATGTTTGATTCAAAATCTCTATTAAGGCCACAGACTTATTCAGGGCTTTGAGAGGCCGCCGCCTTATCCTGATTGTGGTCCTCTTGCCGTCTGCCGCGGCTGCGGCGTAGCTGTGAACTTGTGCGGAGTGCTGGGGTCTTAGGCCATGGGGTCCATGGGAGGGATTTTCCTGCTTTTCTGTTATCACTTAGACCCTTTGAGTGCCTCACATATACAGACCCAGGCTTGGTGTTCTGGTTTGCTGGTGATGACAAAGGGCCCCAATGGTGTTGTTTATAGATGGAAAAGAGAAAGGATGTTTTTTAACAACCTAAAAGTGGTTCTGAGGCTGGGCGTGGTGGCTCACGCCTGTAATCCCAGTGCTTTGGGAGGCTGAGGCGGGCGGGCCGCTTGAGGCCAGGAGTTTGAGGCTGTAATGAACTATGATTGTGCCACTGGACTCCAGCCTGGGCAACAGAGCGAGGCCTTGTCTCTAAAACAATAAAATTAAGTAATAAATAAACAAATAAAACATTGTCCTGTTAAAGCATAAAAACAAATGAAACCAGTGAAATTTGACCTAAGTATGATTTATGCAAAGTGTTCTGTTGAATGGTTCTGTTGCATAGTTGAGTATCAGCAGTGCCGTTTTACTCTAATTTACAATTTAAAATTATTAAATGCTTCTAAACATCATTATCTGGATTAAAAATTTGCTACCATAGCTATTTTACAATAGAAAGTTGAGAAACATTAGTGTATTTTTCAAAAGCATTTGCAGATCTTTTGTGGTTTTTTTTTTTTGTTTTTTTTTTTTTGAGACGGAGTCTCGCTCTGTCGCCCAGGCCGGACTGCGGACTGCAGTGGCGCAATCTCGGCTCACTGCAAGCTCCGCTTCCCGGGTTCACGCCATTCTCCTGCCTCAGCCTCCCGAGTAGCTGGGACTACAGGCGCCCGCCACCGCGCCCGGCTAATTTTTTTGTATTTTTAGTAGAGACGGGGTTTCACCTTGTTAGCCAGGATGGTCTCGATCTCCTGACCTCATGATCCACCCGCCTCGGCCTCCCAAAGTGCTGGGATTACAGGCGTGAGCCACCGCGCCCGGCCATCTTTTGTGTTTTGACAGATGGGCTTTTGCGTCTTACCGGAGACACTCGGGGTTTCCTATTCATGACAGCTCTTTGGTGTTACTGAGGGCCTGCTGTGGACCAGACTTTGGGCCAGGTTGGTGACAAAGTTCCCACGGAGGTGGGTTGGGGGCACGCAGAAACCACTGATGTGACCCAGTGTGGTGGCTGGCAGAGGCTGGCAAGAAACGGCCCAAGGCTGGGAGGAGGGTGCCTGGACTGCTGTGTGGACTGCTGTGGGGACTGCTGTGGGGAGTGGCACCGGAGCCCAAAGGTGACTCGAGGGAAGGGAGTCCACTCGGAGATCCACCCGCACGGTTCCAGACCTGGCAGTCATCCGGTCCTGGTGGAGCGAGTCATATTCCAAACCCTGCTTCCCGGAGAGTGGATTGCTGGCCGGAGGGCAGGGCCACTGTACGTAGGAGGCAGCTTTTGGGAGCTGGTCAGCTGTGGGGGTAGGCATGAGGAGCAGTTGAGTTTCACGTTGTACCTTCTGAAGACTTGGTTCAGCACACATAATGCCTTCCCAAGGACACTCGCTGTCTTTTTGGAAAAGTCATCCGTGAAGCATTTCTTTTTTTGAGAGGGAGTCTCGCTCTGTCGCGCAGGCTGGAGTGCAGCGGCGCGATGTCGGCTCACTGCAAGCTCCACCTTCCGGGTTCACCCCATTCTCCTGCCTCAGCCTCCGGAGTAGCTGGGACTACAGGCGTCTGCCAACATGCCCGGCTAATTTTTTTTTTTTTTTTAAGTAGAGATGGGGTTTCACCATGTTAGCCAGGATGGTCTCGATCTCCTGACCTCATGATTCACCCGCCTCGGCCTCCCAAAGTGCTGGGATTACAGGCATGAGCCACCGTGCCCAGCCAAAGCATTTCTTCTCTGGGCCTGTCATTGTCGGCCCAGGTGTCGCCCCCGGGCTCCTCTTGGTTTCTCTTTGAGCATCTCTGACTTACTAGCGACTCAGTCCTTCTCAGTTTCCCCCAAAATGGAAAAGAGCCACATATGTGTGTGAACAATCAGTTTCTAAAAATGTCTTCATTTATCTGAAAGTCGGGCAGCATTGCTGCTTGCATGGGACACACAGATACTTTGTTTGTAAGACATTTTCGTTTACAAAAGTGCATCACATCATCTCTTCCAACCACTCTGAAGAAAATGAAGAAAATGAAGCCTCTTGCACAGAAAGCCTTCCCATTCGCTGGCATATCGCTGCACACGAGGCCTGCGTCGGTGCTCCTCTGTGGAGATGTGGAGAGGGGCACTGCTGTGCCTTGGGCTACGTGCAGAGGGCTTAGGAACTCCCGGTGTTGACAGCTGCCTTTGTGAGAGGTGGACACACCTGGACCGCGTGGCCCACGTTACTCTGGGCAAGTCGTCTTCTTAGTGTGGGTCACCCGCCGGATGGACAGAGGCTTTGCTTATCTGCTGGGGCATGGGGAGCAAAACTATGGCTCTTAACTGGGCAGAAGAACGAGAAGTCGGCCCAAGCTAAGCATTACCTGTCGCAGTGTTGATTCGCCGCTTTCCCAACTGACTTCCCTGAAAGAATCCCACAAAAAGTCACAGAGATTAGAAGCTTCTGAGTTATGAAGAAACTCGAAGGCCTGGTTGTTGATTTCTGGGCTGTGGAGGGGCACATCCAGACACACAGGCTTTCTAGAAACACACTCATAATCCACTCATTGGCCATAGCCAGCCGCTTTGCAGAGGCTGAGAAGTGGAGCAAGGCTGTTCTGGTTGGAGGAACAGCAAGTGCAGGGATAGAACCAGAAAACAGAGTTGTTGACACAAAGTGCCCAGGGCTGTTTGTGCAGCATGGGGACAACTGGCCCTGGGAAGCCGGGAGGGAGGGGTTTGATGGTAGTGAGATGGTGGGCGGGAGGGAGGGTTTTTTTTTTTTTTTTTGAGACGGAGTCTTGTTCTGTCCCCCAGGCTGGAGTGCAGTGACGAGATCTCGGCTCATTACAACCTCTGCCTCCCGGGTTCAAGCGAATCTCCTGCCTTGGCCTCCCTAGAAGCTGGGATTATGGGCATCCGCCACCACGCCCGGCTAATTTTTGTATTTTTAGTAGAGATGGGGTTTCATCATGTTGGCCAGGCTGGTCTTGAACTCCTGACCTCAAGTGATCCGCCTGCCTCGGTCTCCCAAAGTGCTGGGATTACAGGCATGAGCTACTGCACCCAGCCAGGAAGGGTTTGATGATGGTGAGATGGGGGTGCAGTGATGGGAAGATGGGGGAGGGAGGGTTTGATGACGGTGAGACGGGGGTGCAGTGATGGGAAGATGGGGGAGGGAGGGTTTGATGACGGTGAGACGGGGGTGCAGTGATGGGAAGATGGGGGAGGGAGGGTTTGATGACGGTGAGACGGGGGTGCAGTGATGGGAAGATGGGGGAGGGAGGGTTTGATGACGGTGAGACGGGGGTGCAGTGATGGGAAGATGGGGGAGGGAGGGTTTGATGACGGTGAGACGGGGGTGCAGTGATGGGAAGATGGGGGAGGGAGGGTTTGATGACGGTGAGATGGGGGTGCAGTGATGGGAAGATGGGGGAGGGAGGGTTTGATGACGGTGAGATGGGGGTGCAGTGATGGGAAGATGGGGGAGGGAGGGTTTGATGACGGTGAGATGGGGGTGCAGTGATGGAAACATCACCTCTCAGAGCACCCAGAAGAACGGGGGTGGGGGAAGGCGGTAAGTGTTCCTTGGCCACGTGAAATTTTGGGTGGGATTAGAACCTCTGAGTTGTCCTGCAGACCCTGAGCTTTCAGGAAAAAGGGCGTGGTTCAGGGCTTTTGTGGCAACCGCCAAGTGAGTTTTTCTGATATTTGCTAAATTAGCTTTCAAGACAACATGGTCTGTAGTCTTTCTTGTCTTGGTGTGGCCCTATTTGAATAAAATGGGTGTTCTCTTTCCATGCCATTTAAATTATTGAATCTGGTGAATGGCAGTATCCTTTTATTTGGCAAGTTCAAAGCCAGCTTAGGTATTTTCGAAAGAAGTAGAGATTATTCAGCTCCTTTAGGGGTGGAGGACAGACTGGCTGAAGAAGGCACTTGTTTGTCCAGGTCCAGCCCCATTTCTTCCTCCTCCCATTTCAGTGTGGAATCTGCAGACCCACAAGACTCGGAATTTCCCATGCTTCAGGGAGGCCGGCTGCTCAACCTCGAAGGTGGCCCTGATGCTTAGGTGGGACGTGTCTGCTTGTTACCCATTCAAGGAAACAGAGGACTTTGGCCAGCGACCCTGCCCTGAGCCTCTGGTCTCTAAAGAAGCCTTGATTCGCCTACAGCCTCCTCTCTGCACTCAAAATCTCCACTTCTCAAGTGTAATCTGGTCGTTTACGTTAGTCCTGTGGGGAGCCCATTCAACGGTTTACATTTCCTTTTACAAACAGAAAACGGAGCAGTCCCAAAGAACACACACACACACACACACACACACACACAAGGTTCCTAGAGGACAAAGGTCAGGACAGGAATCAGGACAGAGGAAAAGGAATTGGAAGACACCACAACGAGAAAACTTGTTCTGGGAAGTGTGTGGTCAGGGATGCAGTGTGACGTGGATATTGTCCTTTTTTCTGGTCTGAATTATTTAATTTTTTTTTGAGAAGGGGCCTCGTTCTGTTGCCCAGGCTGGAGTGCAGTGGCACAGTCATGGCTCACTGCGGCCTCGACCTGGGCTAAGGTGATCCTCCCACCTCTGCCTCCTGAGTACCTGGGACTACAAGCACGCACCACCACACCCGGCCAATTTTTTTATTTTTGTTTTATTTTTATTTTATCTTATTTATTTATTTATTTTTTTGAGACAGGGTCTCACTCTGTCGCTAAGGCTGGAATGCAGTGGCGTGATCTTGGCTCACTGCAACCTCTGCTTCCTGGGCTCAAGTGATTCTTGTGCCTCAGTCTCCTGAGTAGCTAGGATTATAGGCGTGTGCCACCACACCCTGCTAATTTTTGTACTTTTTTTAGTAGAGACCAGGTTTTGCCATGTTGCCCACGCTGGTCTTGAACTCCTGAGCGCGAGTGCACCCCCATCTGCCCACCTGGAACCCCCAAAGTACCGGGATGACAGTGAGCCACTGTGCCTGGCCTTTTGTTCCCATTTTTATTTTTATTTTATGTATGTATTTTTGAGGTGGAGTCTCGCTCTGTCGCTCAGGCTGGAGTGCAGTGGTGCAGTTTTGGCTCACTGCAATCTCCACCTCTCGGTTTCAAGTGATTCTCCTGCTGCCTCAGCCTCCTGAGTAACTGGGATCACAGGTGCGCGCCACCATGCCCAGCTAATTTTTTTTTTAAGTTTTAGTACAGACGGGGTTTGTCCATGTTGCCCAGGCTGGTCTCGAACTCCTGAGCTTAAGTGATCCACCCGTCTCGGCTTCCCAAAGTGCTAGGATGACAGGTGTGTGCCACCGCTCCCGACTTTTTGTTTCCATTTTTAAAACATGTTTTGTACAGACAGGGTCTCGCTGTGTTGCCCAGGCTGGTCTCAAACTCCTGGGCTCAAGCATTCATCCTGCCTCAGCCTCCCAAAGTGCTGGGACGACAGGTGTGAGCCATAGCACCTGGCCCGTGGTCTGGAATTCCGAGACTCACTGTAGGCTTCACTCTCATGTTTTCGTGCTTGCCGGGTTGGCCGTGTCCTGTGCTCGCCGTGTGGTCAGTGCTGTTCCTGTTTCTCCTAACAGCAGCCGTTGACTGATGGTGCATCTTCCTGTGGACATGTCTTTAAACCCAAGCGTGGGAGGGTGAGGAAGCTGTCAGTCTGGTGTAGGACTGAGCCCAGCCTTGGCCAATCACGGAACCCATTGTACTGAAATGGAATAGGCCTCCTGTGCTCCTTTGTCGGGGCCTAGAGCCCATCAGTCCCAGGGCTGGGTTTTGCATGCGTGTACACGTGTCAGCTCTAGGGAGAGCACCCCAGGCTTTTCTCATTGGGGGCCCGTGTCACATACAAAAGTGCCCGTCTCCCCCATGGGTGTGCTGGTGGGTGAATTCAGGGCGCTTGAACTCAGGAAGGCTGGACGTGTGTCCCGTCGTTTATTCCCGGTTCTCCCAGCCACCTCCGGTTCCCGACGCTGTGAGTGCAGCTTTGCTGGCTGGTGCTGCAAGTGTGTTTAGGATTTTCTGCCTGTTTCGGGAGTGTATCGGTTCCGCTTGATCAGGGCTGTGTTCATGTTTCTAAAATGTTAATGGTAAGAGCTCACTATTGAGTAAAAGCACAGATGGTAATTTTTCCCGCAAAAAGCTTCTTAGATAGGGGAAGTTAAAGGTGTAAGTTCTCGCAGTGTGCTGAGTGACTGGCTGGGTTTTTCTGGTGAGTAAGTGCTTGGGGCAGGCTGCGGGACAGCCTTGTGCTCTGAGAATTGTTAGTGATATCACAAAGGTTTTTATTTCTGAAGGGAAACTAAGGGAGTCAGGATATTTAAAACCGCCTCGGTGCTTCCTAAACAGTGGCTGTTGTTTTTTTCCAAAGTGAATGAAACATTTCAGGTTAATGTTACTCTGTACTTTAAGTATTTCTGTTTAGCATCACCTTATTAAAAGTGAGCCTGGACCAGACATGGTGGCTTACACCTGTAATCCCAGCACTTTGGGAGGCCGAGGTGGGCAGATCACCTGAGGTCAGGAGTTTGAGACTAGCCTGGCTGACATGGTGAAACCCCATTTATACTAAAAATATATACACAAAAAAATTAGCTGTGCGTGGTGGCACACACCTGTAATCCCAGCTACTTGGGAGGCTGAGGCAGGAGAATCACTTGAACCTGGGAGGTGGAGGTTGCAGTGAGCTGAGAGCGCACCATTGCACTCCAGCCTGGGCAACAAGAGGGAAACTCCGTCTCAGAAAAAAAAAAAAAAGCGTGCCTGCTTGTAGTCCCAGCTGCTCAGGAGGCTGAGGCAGGAGGAGCGTTTGAGCCCAGGAGTTTAAGGCCACCCTGGGCAACACAGCAAGACCCTCTCTAAAATAAAAAATAATAATAGTAATAATGGCCAGGCACAGGGGCTCAGGCCTGTAATCCCAGCACTTTGGAGGCTGAGGTGGGTGGATCCTGAGGTTAGGAGTTTGTCTTGGCCAACATCGTGAAGCCCTGTCTCTACTGAAAAAAAAAAAAAAGGCCGGGCGCAGTGGCTCACGCCTGTAATACTTTGGGAGGCTGAGGCGGGCGGATCATGAGGTCAAGAGATTGAGACCATCTTGGCCAACATGGTGAAACCCCGTCTCTACTAAAAATACAAAAATTAGCTGGGCGTGATGGCGCATGCCTGTAATCCCAGCTACTTGGGAGGCTGAGGCAGGAGAATCTTTTGAACCTGGGAGGCGGAGGTTGCAGTGAGCTGAGATCGCACCATTGCACTCTAGCCTGGGCAACAAGAGCGAAACTCCATCTAAAAAAAAAAAAAAATTAGCCATGCATGGGGGCAGACACCTGTAGTCCCAGATCTTCGGGAGGATGAGGCAGGAGAATCGCTTGAACCTGGGAAGCAGAGATTGCAGTGAGCCGAGATCGTGCTGTGGCACTCCAGCCTGGGCAACAGTGTGAGGCTCCATCTAAAAAAATAATAAATAGGCTGGGCGCGGTGGCTCACGCCTGTAATCCCAGAACTTTGGAAGGCCCAGGTGGGCGGATCACCTGAGGTCGGGAGTTCGAGATCAGCCTGACCAACATGGAGAAACCCGGTCTCTACCAAACATTCAAAATTAGCTGGGCATGGTGGCGCGCCTGTAATCCAGCTACTCGGGAGGCTGAGGCAGGAGAATCGCTTGAACTGGGGAGGTGGAGGTTGTGTGAGCCGAGATTGCACCACTGCACTCCAGCTTGGGCAACAAGAGCAAAACTCTGTCTCAAAAAAAAAATATATATATATAATATACTTCTTAAAAAGTGTGCCTGTTTACATTGGCCAGGCGCGGTGTCTCATGCCTGTAATCCCAGCACTTTGGGAGGCCGAGGCAGGCGGATCATGAGGTCAGGAGATCGAGACCATCCTGGCTAACATAGTGGAACCCCGTCTCTATTAAAAATACAAAAAAACAAAATTAGCTGGGTGTGGTGGCGGGTGCCTGTAGTCCCAGCTACTCAGGAGGCTGAGGTGGGAGAATGGCGTGAACCTGGGAGGCAGAGCTTGCAGTGAGCCGAAATCGTGCCACTGCACTCCAGCCTGGGTGACAGAGCGAGACTTCGTCTCAAACAAAAAAAAAAGTGTGCCTGTTTACTGTTTTTATGACTTTTGCTTTCTTTTCTTCGTTATACGTTGCTAACGTCATACACTGGGAGTTTGCATGTTTTTGCCTGAGGAAATGGTTATGTTTCGCTGCCTACGGTGATATATGGAAATACATCTATAGTATTTCGTTGCTTTTATTTTAGTTTGTATGTAGACTTGTTCTGTACTTCGGAGTGTTTTGAAGAACTTTTCGGAAATCATTAGCAGACACCCTCTGCTGGACGGTGAAATGCGTGTCCCGTGACTGACAAAGCGGCTGTCAGTGCTCCGAGCGTCCCAGTTGCTTTTCTTACTTGTTGGCGGAGTGAGGCAGGGAGTTACGAGGTGGCACTAACTCTGATATCCCATCTAGTTAAAGCCATTTTCACGGCTGCTCACTGGATTTCACTAGACGTTGCAGTAACATTCAGGGAGGCCGAGAAGTGGTTGTTTTAATCCGTTTACCTCTGGTCTGGCCCCTGGGACACTGTTGCTGTTTTTGCTTTCTTCAGTGTGGAAATTGCTAGAGACCTTGGGAGAAGGGAGGGTAGGAGGTCCCATCGTCTGTGGGACCCTGTGTCTGTGTAAGGCCATGTCGAGTGCCCATGGCAGAGCCCTCACAGGAAGCAGAGCTGTGATCACAGACGCCTCCGGGTGAGCCTGAGATTCAGGGTCAGGAAGGGTCTGAGTGAGACACACACCTGCACCCTGGTGAGGGCTGGCTCGTCTTCTTCGGGATGCGCTCCTGGAGGGAGCAAAGCTGGCAGGCAGCATCCATTAGCATCCCGGGTGCGCTCTCTGTTCGCTTAATGTTATTGATAACAACCTCATTTTGTACTTCACCTAATTTTTGCCTTGTCTTAAGAAGGAAGCGCATCCAGGAAGTCATGAGTTGGTGTCTCAGTGATGCTCTTCTCTTCTCAGACAGAGTCTCACTCTGTCGCCCAGGCTGGAGTGCAGTGGCGCGATCTCAGCTCACTGCCACCTCCATCTCCCGGGTTCAAGCGATTCTCCTGCCTCAGCCTCCTGAGTAGCTGGGATTACAGGCGCACACCACCACGCCTGGCTAATTTTTGTATTCTGTAGTAGAAACGGGGTTTCACCATGTTGGTCAGGCGGTCTTGAACTCCTGACCTTGTGATCCGCCCACCTTGGCCTCCCAAAGTGCTGGGATTACAGGCTTGAGCCACTGCGCCTGGCCTTCTTTTTTTTTTTTTTTTTTGAGCTGGAGTTTCGTTCTTTCACCCAGGCTGGAGTGCAGTGGCGCGATCTCGGCTCACTGCAACCTCTGCCTTGCAACCTCTGCCTTCCAGTTTCAAGCGATTCTCCTGCCTCAGCCTCCCCAGTAGCTGGGATTACAGGTGTCTGCCACCATGCCCGGCTAATTTTTGCATTTTTTTTTAATAGACACGGGGTTTCACCATGTTGGCCAGGCTGGTCTCGAACTCCTGACCTTGTGATCTGTCCGCCTCGGCATCCTAAAGTGTTGGGATGACAGGCATGAGCCACCGCGACCAGCCAGTGATGCTTTTCTTGACATGCTGACATGAATACATAACTATCAGGAGAGATGGCGAGTGCCCAGGTGTTGGCTGGAGCTGTGGCCACTGTTGCTGTAGAACATGCCCTGGGGGTCCGCACTGGCCTGGCCCACCCTCCCTCTGCAGAACTGACTGCGGGGCGGCACTGCGCTGCTCTCCTCCTCACGAAGACCCAGGGTTGGACCTCCTTACGCAGCCCAGCTGGAGGGGACCGTGACTTGGATGCAGGGGCTGCACCGAGGGCTTCTGGGCTTTGCATCTGGTTTCTGGGTGGCTTTGCCACGTGCTTTCCAGCAGGACCGTGGTCAAGGCATGCCTCACCTGGCAGGGGCAGCGTGGATGGCGCCAGTGGCTCTCACCCCAGCGCCCTTGTCCAGCTCTACAAAGGGCCCCTTGCAGTGTACCTCAAAACTACAGACTCAAAAGGCAGGGTCCCTGGCGGATGGGACCATGTGAGTCCTGGGTGAAGACCCCCAGTGCCACCACTCAGAGCGTGGTGCCGTGCAGTCTCTGTAGGTGAGCTTGCTGTTTGGGCGAGTTCCTGGGGCTGCGTTACATGGGACCATGGCCTGAGTGGCTGAAAACGGTAGAGCCTTATTCTGTCACAGGGCTGGAGGCTGACACCCAGCATCGGGGTGGACGGGGCCACTCTTCCTCCCAAGGCTCCAGGGGAGGGTCCTCCTGCCTCTTCAGCTGCAGGTGTTGACCACAGTCCCTGGTGCCTCTTGGCTTATAGACGCCTCGCTCCAGCCTCTGCCTCTGTCTTCACACAGTCTCCCCTGCGGGTGTCCAGGTTTTTTCCTCTTCTTTCTTCTTCTTCCTTTTTTTTTTTTTTTTGAGACAGAGTCTCACTCTGCTGCCCAGGCTGGAGTGTAGTGGCACCATTTCAGCTCACTGCAGCCTCCACCTCCCAGGTTTAAGCGATTCTCCTGCCTCAGCCTTCCAAGTAGCTGGGATTACAGGCGTGTGCCACCACGCCTGACTAATTTTTTGTATTTTTGGTAGGTACAGGGTTTCACCATGTTGCCCAGGCTGGTCTCGAACTCCTGACCTCAGGTGATCCGCCCACCTTGGCCTCCTGAAGAGCTGGGATTACAAGCCTGAGCCACTGCACCCGGCCTCTTTTTCTTTTTCTATTTTTTTTTCTTGAGACAGGATCTCACTCTGTGGGCCAGGCTGGAGTACAGTGGCACAAGCACAGCTCACTGTAGCCTCCTTCTCCCAGACTCAAGGATCCTCTTGCCTCAGCCTCCCAAGTAGCTGGGACTACAAGCATGCACCATCATACCTGGCTAATTTTTTTACTTTTTGTAGGGACAGGGTCTCCCTATGTGGCCCATGCTGGGCTCAAGCGATCCTCCTGCCTCTGCCTCCCCAAGAGTTGGGATTACAGGCATGAGCCACCACATCTGGCCCTTTCCTTTTCTTTTCTTTTCTTTTTTTTTTTGAGACTGAGTTTCGCTCTTGTTGCCCAGGCTGGACTGCAGTGGCGCGATCTTGGCTCAACGCAACCTCTGCCTCCTGGGTTCAAGCGATTCTCCTGCCTCAGCCTTCCTGAGTAGCTGGGATTACAGGCATGCGCCACCATGCCCGGCTAGTTTCGTATTTTTAGTAGAGATGGGGTTTCTCCATGTTGGTCAGGCTGGTCTCGAACTCCTGACCTCAGATGATCTGCCCGCCTCAGCCTTCCAAAGTGCTGGGATTACAGGCGTGAGCCACCGTGCCAGGCCTGGCCTTTTCCTTTTCTTTTAAGGAAGCTGGTCCTATTGGGTGAGGGCCCGCCCTAATCCACTATGACCTCATCTTAACTTGATTATATTTGCAAAGACCCTATTTCCAAATAAGGTCACGTTTGCAGGTTTAGGACTTCAGCAGACACATTTCAGCCCTTAACAGCATCACAGCTTGGGTTTTCTTGATGCATCTTTCACACGTATTTCTCTATGGAGGCTTCTCCACACATCAGCAGCTGCTACCTCTCGTGGCCACTGTATCCTTGACGCTGCTGTTATTTACAGCAGAGGTGGCAAGTAACCAGCGTCACCAAAATATTAACTAATGCATTCAGCCAGTGTGCACGCAGCCCTGGGCCTGTGGCAGGTCAGGTTCCTGGCCTGGGTACACAGCAGGTCATGGAGTCCTTGCTTTGCTGGGTTATGCAGATGGGGGAGATGCTTTGAGTATCTTGGGTGATGTGAGCCTGTGAGGAGAGACACGGGGTGGGTGGGGAGGGAGTCATGTTGAGGGTGAGCAGAGATGGAGCCAAGAGGGGCAGCTGAGTGTTGCGGCTGCTTGTGCCTCCCAATCCGAAGCAGGACTCGGGCCCTCCTCTGGGCACCCCCTTTGCCTTGCTCACTGCACCTGTGCCCACTGCATCTGTGCCCACCGCACCTGCACCCACTGCACCTGCACCCACTGCACCTGCGCCCACCTGCGCCCACTGCACCTGCGCCCACTGCACCTGTGCCCACCTGTGCCCACTGCACCTGCGCCCACCGCACCTGCACCCACCGCACCTGTGCCCACCTGCGCCCACTGCACCTGTGCCCACCTGTGCCCACTGCACCTGCGCCCACTGTACCTGCACCCACTGCACCTGTGCCCACTGTACCTGCACCCACTGCACCTGTGCCCACCTGTGTCCACTGTACCTGTGCCCACTGCACCTGCACCCACTGGACCTGCGCCCACCTGCACCTGCACTCACTGCACCTGTGCTCACCTGCACTCACTGCACCTATGCCCATCTGTACCCACTGCACCTGCACCTTCTGCACTTGTGCCCACCTGTACCCACTGCACCTGTGCTCACCTGCACCTACTGCACCTGCACCCACTCGACCTGCGCCCACCTGCACCTGCACTCACTGCACCTATGCCCACCTGCACTCACTGCACCTATGCCCACCTGTACCCACTGCACCTGCACCTTCTGCACCTGTGCCCACCTGCACCCACTGCACCTGTGCTCACCTGCACCTGTGCCCATCTGCACCCACTGCACCTGCACCCACTGGACCTGTGCCCACCTGCACCTGCACTCACTGCACCTGTGCCCACCTGCACTCACTGCACCTATGCCCACCTGTACCCACTGCACCTGTGCTCACCTGCACCTGTGCCCACCTGCACCCACTGCACCTTTGCCCACTGCACCTGCACTCACTGCACCTGTGCCCACCTGTACCCACTGCACCTGCACCTACTGCACCTATGCCCACCTGCACCTGTGCCCATCTGCACCCACTGCACCTTTGCCCACTGCACCTGCACTCACTGCACCGGTGCCCACCTGCACCCACTGCACCTGCACCCATTGCACTCACTGCACTTGCACTCGTGCCCACTGCACCTGCGCCCACTGCACCTGGGCCCACTGCACCTGTGCCTTCAGCTCAGACTTGGGCTCTCGGCCTTTTGTGTCTTCTCAGCAGCTGGTGAGCTGTGGCCCCTTTTCAGAATAGCATGTTTTGTTTGTTTATTTTGAGACAGGGTCTTGCTCTGTCATCCAGGCTGGAGTGTAGTGGCGCAATCTCAGCTCACTGCAGCCTCGACGTCCTGGGCTCAAGCGATCCTTGTGCCTCAGCTTCCTGAGTAGCTGGGACCCCAGGCATGTGAGACCATGATCAGCTCACAATAGCATTTTTAGTGCATCCAGTAAGATCCCTGGAAAATGAAGGGTAGCAACTACTGAAATATCATTGCTAAAATTCAGGAAAGTTTGATTTGTGAGGTAGTAACATGTGGAACTTTAATTTAGCACATAGCATTGTGAATGGTGCATCTGATATTCCTAATTCCGAAGTAGGGTGAGTATCGAGCATTCTAAGTTGCCTGCGGTGGCCATGGTGCGATGTGGACATGGCTGTGTCTGTGGCTTGTCACCCACAGTCAGACTCCTGAGGCCCAGGCTTGCTGCACTCCTCTGGGAGGTCAACCCCAAATGAGGACCCTTGCCTGGGGGTGGGAGGAGGCAGGTCTTGGGGTTCTCTCCCCCTGCAGAGGCAGGTCTTGGGCCTCCTGTTGAGGGGTGGGGCTGCCTGTGGGTTTCCAGATGAGATTCTCTCTCACCGCATTTGCACCGCTGGATTGTATATTTTCCCAGTTTTGTAAAAGTTATATTATTATTTTAAAACCTAATTATATTTTTAAAAACTTATTTTGGAACTTTTCAAACATACACAAAATTAGAGAGAACGTCCACGTCGCCTGGCTGCGGGAACCCCCAGTGCTCTGCTCTTGTCTTACTCATCTCTCCCACTCTCTCCCACTGTTTTTTCTTTTTCCTTTCTTTTTTTCTTTTCTTTTTTTTTTTTTTTTGAGACGGAGTCTTGCTTTGTTGCCCAGGCTGGAGTGCAGTGGCGTGATCTCGGCTCACTGCAAGCTCTGCCTCCCGGGTTCATGCCATTCTCCTGCCTCAGCCTCCCTAGTAGTTGGGACTACAGGCGCCCACTGCCATGCCCGGCTAATTTTTGTATTTTTAATAGAGACAGGGTTTCACGATGTTAGCCAGGATGGTTTTGATCTCCTGACCTTGTGATCCACCCGCCTCGGTCTCCCAAAGTGCTGGGATTACAGGCGTGAGCCACCGCGCCCGGCCCTTCCCACTGTTTTTTCTCTCAAGTGTTTTAAAGCAAATCTCAGTTTTACCCTCGGTGCTTCGTTGTGTGTGGCTCACACGCAGCCGGGCACCCCGCAACACTTCCTCAGCGTCGCGATGCTGGGCTGGGCTCAGCGTTCTTGACTGTGGCCTGCACATTTTCACTGTGGCTTTACTTGAATCAGAGTTGGGATGAGGGCCATGTGCTGCTTGTGGGTGGTGATGTCCCTGAAGTTGCGTTTCTTCTCTCTGTTTCATGCTACTTATTTGCTGAAGGATCAGTTTTGGTTCTGTGACACTTCCTACCTGAAGGTCTGGCTGGGTGCATCCTTGTGACCTTGAACTCCTGCCTGAGCCGTCAGTAGAACCAGGTAGAGGCGGGAGGGCTGGGACTCGCCCGCGCAGGGCAGTGGCAGGGGAGCAGTTACTCTGGTGTGTAGCCACAATGCTTACATTGGAATTTCCAACTTAATGTATTTTATTTATTTATTTATTTTTTTTTTTTGAGATGGAGTCTTGCTCTGTCTCCAGGCTGGAGTATAGTGGCACAGTCTCAGCTCACTATAACCTCTGCCTCCTGGGTTCAAGTGATTCTCCTGCCTCAGCCTCCCGAATAGCTGGGATTACAGGCGCGCTCCACCACACCCGGCTAATTTTTGTATTTTTAGTAGAGACGAGGTTTCACCATGTTGGCCAGGCTGGTCTCGAACTCCTGACCTCAGATGATCCACCCGCCTCAGCCTCCCAAAGTGCTGGGATTACAGGTGTGAGCCACCGTGCCTGGCCCCAACTTAATGTATTTTAAAACACGGGTTGTTTCATATTTTGATGCCTGTTTTTGTTTTGTTTTGTTTTTTTGAGACGGAGTCTCACTCTCACCAGGCTGGAGTATAGTGGTGCGATCTCGGCTCACTGCAACCTCCGCCTTCCGTGTTCAAGCAATTCTGCTGCCTCAGCCTTCCAAGTAGCTGGGACTACAGGCACGCGCCATCACACCCAGCTAATATTTTTCTCTATTTTTAGTAAAGACGGGGTTTCACCATGTTGGTCGGGATGCTGTCAATGTCTTGACCTCATGATCCACCTGCCTTGGCCTCTCAAAGTATTGGGATTACAGGCATTAGCCACCACGCCCAGCCGTAGTTTTTGTTTTGTTTTGTTTTGTTTTTTGTTTTGAGATGGAGTCTGGCTCTGTCACCAGGCTGGAGTGCAGTGGGGTGGTCTTGGCTCATGGCAACCCCCACCTCCCGGGTTCAAGTGATTCTCCCGCCTCAGCCTCCCGAGTAGTTGGGATTACAGGCGCCTGCCACCACACCCAGCTAATTTTTTGTATTTCTTTTACTAGGGACGGGGTTTCCACATGTTGACCAGGCTGGTCTTGAACTCCTGACCTTGTGATTCGCCCGCCTCCACCTCCCAAAGCACTGGGATTATAGGCGCGCACCACATTGCCTGGCTAATTTTTTGTATTTTAGTAGAGACGGGGTTTTACCATGTTGGCCAGGCTGGTCTCGAACTCCTGACCTCGTGATTCGCCCGCCTCCGCCTCCCAAAGTGCTGGGATTACAGGTGCACACCACATTGCCCGGCTAATTTTTTGTATTTTTAGTAGAGACGGGGTTTCACTATGTTAGCCAGGATGGTCTTGATCTCCTGACCTCGTGATCTGCCCGCCTCAGCCTCCCAAAGTGCTGGGATCACAGGCCTGAGCCTCCTTGCCTGGCCTTGTGAAAAATTTTAATGTTAATTTTCTTATTTCAAGTTGATTTTCATTTAGTTTTTACTAAAAATGCAAATGTAGTTTACCGTTGCTTCTCTTTTTTTTATGTAGGAAAAGTTGATGCAAATTTTGCCTGAATTTGGAGTTTTCCTATTAGTGAGAGTTTTGTTCCGAAAAGATCGCCGCCACTTTGGTGGGTCAGCACTAAAGCCTTGTTTCAATATCTGCAGGGTCAGTTCTTTTGAATATTTTAATGCTTCCACGTTTGGAGTCTAAGAGCTATTTTTACTTTAGTTTTTTTTCCCAGGCAAGTACTTGGTCTGAACGATGTATGAGCCAGACCTGGCAGAAAAGTGGGAGTTGGTGAAATAGATGTGCTACTTAGTGACAGGGACTGTGATTCTAACATTTTGTCTTATGGCAGAGTTGGATGAAAGGGGTTTGTTCCTGCACCATGGCTCACCTGCCCAGTGAGTCCTGAGTCCTCATGTGGCAGGGAGTCAGACAGCAGCAGCTCTCTTCCCAGCGGGGTAGAGCTCACCTGGCTGCAAGGTGAGCCGGCTGGCCCGTCGCCCAGCTCAGAGCTGACCCTCACACGTGCAGATCTCTGCTGGGCCCAGGGGTCAGGGTCAGTTGTCTGCGTCACCTATGGGCCACCCCCTCTCTGCACCCCCGAGATCTTCCTGCTCTCTGCGTTGCCTATGGCTATGAGCACAGTGGGCTTCCTGGAAATACTTTCAGAGGAGGTGACAGTCGTATCCTTCCAGGGCCCCTCCTGCCCTGTGGAAGAACTTACTTCTGCTCCTGGAAGTCAGAAGCTGGGAGGCCTGGGGCTGTAGTGTCTTCTGTATGAGAGGTGGGGTGGGGCTGGGGAGAGGAAGGCTGCTTGACTCTTCTTCAGGGAGACCCACCCCATGGCAGCTCCGAGGTCCTAGTGGGCTGGTGGCTCGCATCTTGTCCACCTGTTGTCGTCTCTTGCCCCTAGGGGGGCTCATGCCCATCCTGTGGGGTTCTGGGACCCAGACTCGCCCCTGTGGGCTGGGCGGGGTGGGGCTCATGCCCATTCTGTGGGGTTCTGGGACCCAGACTCGCCTCTGTGGGCTGGGCGGGGTGGGGCTCATGCCCATCCTGTGGGGTTCTGGGACCCAGAGAGGCAGACTCTTCGCCTGCCTGTTGGGTTTGTGAAAAGTCAAAGAGAGTGGAACACGGACGCCGGCTGGTGCTCTCCAGTGTTCTCCGGCTCTGCCGCTGGAGCTCCTCGTAGGAGTGAGGAAAGAGAGTGGAGCCTGGACGCCAGCTGGTGCTCTCCGGCTCTGCTGCTGGAGCTCCTCGTAGGAGTGAGGAAAGAGAAACGTAGATTGCTCTCATGTTCGCGCTCTGTTCACCTCCTGGGTGCTGATTTCCTGTGGCGTCATCCTACCCTGCATCTGTGCTGGTGGGCACGTTCTCGCGTTTGTGTTTTATTTTTATTTATTTTTTTGTTTTTTGAGACAGAGTCTCACTCTGTTGCCCAGACTGGAGTGCAGTGGCACAATTTTGGCTCACTGTAACCTCTGCCTCCCATGTTCAAACGATTCTCCTGCCTCTGCCTCCCTAGTAGCTGGGATTATAGGTGCGTGCCACCACGCCCAGCTAATTTTAATATTTTTAGTAAAGACAGAGTTTCGTTATGTAGGCCAGGACGGTCTCAAACTCCTGATCTCATATGATCCACCTGTCTCAGCCTCCCAAAGTGCTAGGATTACATTTGTGTTTTATGAATAAGGACCTTGGTTTGCGAGGGGAAGGGGGGTTTTGGTGCCTATCCTGAGTGTGGTCGGTGTGTGTGAGCTTGTGCAGACACGACCAGCTGGGCTTTCTGTTCTCATTTCTTCCCGTTAATTTCTGATAAACTTCTAAGCATCCACGTGACTGGCATTTTTAATGTTCCTGGAATTGGGTTTTGCTCAGTTTTAATACTTGACGGTTTTCTGGGCCATCTTCGAATTGTCGAGTGTTTGGGTCTTTTTCTGTTTGTCACTGTTAGCCATAGCAGTGCTTGGAACATCTTGGAACCAATTAGCTTTTTGGGTTATTTCCTTGGGGCAGAGTCTCAGAAGTGGAATTAGTCAAAGAGGCAGAGGCATCTGTAGGCCTCATCCCCACGCTGCAGGCTGCTTCAAGGGCCGCCCCACTCTGGGCCTCCTGTGTCACGGCCACCTTTGTAATTGACATTACGTTAATGTTTGCCAGTTCCATGTATTTAGAGTTTTCTTTTCTTTTTTTTTTTTTGAGAGAGGGCCTTGCTGTGTCACCCATGCCGGAGTACAGTGGTGCCATCTTGGCTCACTCCAACCTCGACCTCCCGACTCAAGGGATCCTCCCACTTCATCCTCCAGAGTCGCGGGGACTACAGGTGTGCACCACCATGCCCGGCTAATTTTTTCTATTTTTTGTAGAGATGGGGTCTCACCATGTTGCCCAGGCTGGTCTTGAACTTTTGGGCTCAAGCCATCTGCTCGCCCCGGCTTCCCTCAGCGTTGGGATTTCAGGCATGAGCCACCATTCTGGCCTGGCCTTGAAATCTTTTCTCAGAGTTAAGCACGTGTCTTTTAAGTCCTTTCCAGAAATCTTTAAAATTGTATCATTGAGTTAAGCCACACTGGCCACCACACGGCTAACTTCGTAAGGGAGAAGAGGGGAGAGGAAGGGAGGTCGCGGAGCTCCTGCTGTCTCCCGGAGTCCTCTCCACCTGCTGGGCTCTGGCAGGTTTGCTGAGGACCGCGTGAGGGCGCTGCTGTCTTCTGGGCTCAGGGCTCCTGTGAGCTCCTGAGGCCTGGACCCAGGGGTGGCCTTTGTTGCTCCCTTGGGCATAATATGGGGGGACACAGGCAAGATGTGGGGCCACCACCCCAGCAGGCCTGTGCCGAACCCCAGGACCCCATTCCTGGAATAGACGCGGCCATGAGGACTGGACGCGCTGGGCGTGGCCCACGGCGGGGCCCCCAGGGCTGCGCCCCCAGGGCTGCTGACCTTGCCCCCCTTGGCTCCACCGAGTCTGCACCTTTAGTGCCCACTTCGGCCAAGCCCATGGCGAAGTGCCCCAGGCGCTGCGGTCCCTGCGAAGGGGAACGTGGAAGGCGAACGTGGAGAGCCCCTTGAGTGCCTCTGCAGCACCGGAGCACCGAGCCGCCAGCTCCCAGGTCTTACCTCATGAATCATGGAGTTTTCTTTCTTTTTTTTTTTTCTTTTTCTTTTTTTTTTTTTTTTTTTTTTTGAAGCGGAGTCTCGCTCTGCCGCCCAGGCTGGAGTGCAGTGGCGCCATCTCGGCTCACCGCAAGCTCCGCCCCCCGGGTTCCCGCCATTCTCCTGCCTCAGCCTCCCGAGTAGCTGGGACTGCAGGCGCCCCCACCACGCCCGGCTAATTTTTTTTTGTATTTTTTAGTAGAGACGGGGTTTCACCATGTTAGCCAGGATGGTCTTGATCTCCTGACCTCACCATCCGCCCGCCTCGGCCTCCCAAAGTGCTGGGATTACAGGCGTGAGCCACCGCGCCTGCTGGTTTTATTTCTTAAGGCGGCCTTGGCGCCTGTCCTGGCCGAGCGCTGGACCGAGGAGGGCCTTCTCTGGGGGAGGCTCTGTCCGCCTCCCACCCACGCTGGAGGAGCTCAGGTCTCATGGGGAGGCAGGACTCGCTTAGGGGCGGGAGGTCACACTGCCCCGGAGCCCAGGCCCTGCCCTAGGAGGAAGAGCCTGGCTTCCCCCTTCCCTCCCGCCGGGCCCGGGGCTGAGACTCCTTGTGGGTCCGGATGACCCTGTCCGTGACCTCCGCCCTGGCCCCGCTTCCGCCCCACGCCCCCCTGAAGCCCCGGGCTCCGTGGCGTCTGCCTTCCGGGCCCTCCCCTGCGCTCAGCCCCCGGGGCAAGGGCTGGGAAGGATGGCTTGACTGGCCTACAGGGTACAGGGGACCCCTGACAGGTTCATCGCTGGGGCCCCATGGGCCCCCCCTCCGTCTGTGCCGTGCGGATGTGGAGACTGAGGACTCCTCCATCGAAGGCGGCCGGTGGTGAAATCCAGTAATCTGGGTGGGGTCCTTACCGCGCTGTCCGCGGGGTTTCCTCACTGCTCAGGCGGCTGCTGCTCATCCACGCCACCTCCGTCGGTCCGTTCAGCTTCCGTGAGTGTCCCCTGTGGGAAGGTCCGTTCAGCTTCCGTGAGTGTCCCCTGTGGGAAGGTCCGTTCAGCTTCCGTGAGTGTCCCCTGTGGGAAGGTCCGTTCAGCTTCCGTGAGTGTCTCCTGTGGGAAGGTCCGTTCAGCTTCCGTGAGTGTCCCCTGTGGGAAGGGCCTGTGCCGCACAAGGTGGGGACTTGGGCACACGGCCTCGGAGGCCAGACACCGGGCGAGCCCCGCTCTGGGAGTGAGACCCGCTCGGAGGGGGAGCGAGCCCTGAGGCGCCGCCTGTAAGCCAGACCCGCTGCCTCACACAGACGGGTGCTTCGCTTGTTTTGGCCTAGTACAGCTTTTAAGCAAAAAGTAACTGGTTAGGGATTCTATCATATTGCTTGATGTAAACAAATGCGGCAAAATGTTAAAAAATGGAGTAGCTGAAGGCCGGGCGCGGTGGCTCACACCTGTAGTCCCAACACTTTGGGAGGCCGAGGCGGGCAGATTGCTTGAGGCCAGGAGTTCGAGACCAGCCTGGCCAACATGGTGAAACCCCGTTCCTACTAAAAATGCAAAAATTAGCCAGGTATGCTGGCGTGCGCCTGTAGTCCGAGATACTGGGGAGGCTGAGGTGGGAGAATCACTCGAACTCGGGAGGTAGAAGTTGCAGTGAGCCAAGATGGCGCCACTGCACTCCAGCCTGGGTGACAGAGCGAGACCAAACTGACTCAAGAAGAAACAGAAAATCTGAATAGACCTATAACAAATAAAGAATCAGTAGTCAAAAAACTTCCAATGAAAGAAAAGTTCAGAAACTTTCACTACAGTTATTGTACTTTTTAGCTTCCAAAAAGAAAAGTCAATTTCAATAAAGAAATTGAATCAATAGTCAATAAACTTCCAACAAAAGAAAAGTCCATCTCTGTCTCTCTCTATATATGTATATGATTGTATATATCACTTCACTGTTGAATTCTATCAAACATTTTAAGAATTAACACCAATCCTGGCCAGGCGTGGTGGCTCACGCCTGTAATCCCAGCACTTTGGGAGGCCGAGGCAGGTGCATCATGAGGTCAGGAGATCGCGACTATCCTGGCTAACACGGTGAAACCCCGTCTCTACTAAAAATACAAAAAATTAGCCGGGTGTGGTGGCGGGCGCTGGTAGTCCCAGCTACTCAGGAGGCTGAGGCAGGAGAATGGCGTGAACCTGGGAGGCGGAGCTTGCAGTGAGCCGAGATGGCGCCACTGCACTCCATCCTGGCCGACAGAGCGAGACTCCATCTCAAAAAAAAAAACCAAAACAAAACAATTAGCTGGGCGTGGTGGTGGGCGCCTGTAGTCCCAGCTACATGGGAGGCTGAGGCAGGAGAATCGCTTGAACGTGGGAGGTGGAGGTTTTAGTGAGCCAAGGTCGCACCGTTGCACTCCAGCCTGGGTGACAGAGCCAGATTCCATCTCAAAAAAAGAGAAAGATTCCATCATATTCCTTGAGAGCATAGTGTTGCCTTTATTTTAAGCAGGTATTACAACCTTCTTATTTAGGTTCTATTTTTTTTGAAGTTACCATTTCAGGTCAGAGTTAGCCATAGCAGTATCTCAGATTTAAAATGTACACAAATAGTTTTCTTGCCTTGTTAAGCTGATTAGCTTTCTTTTCTTTCTTTTTTTTTTTTTTTTGAGATGGAGTTTCACTGTTGTTGCCTGGGCTGGAGTGCAGTGATATGTTCTCGGCTCACTGCAACCTCTGCCTCTCGGGTTCAAGCAATTTTCCTGCATCAGCCTCCCGAGTAGCTGGGATTACAGGCACCCGTCACCATGCCAGGCTAATTTTTTTTTTTAACTTTTAGTAGAGACGGGGTTTCACTATGTTGGCCAGGTTGGTCTCGAACTCCTGACCTCAGGTGATCCGCTCGTCTCAGCCTCCCAAAATGCTGGGATTACAGGCGTGAGCCACCTTTCCCAGCCAGCTGATTAGCTTTCTGAGAAAATTATAATATTTTTAAAAGTTGGGGCCGGGCATGGTGGCTCATGCGTGTAATCCCAGCACTTTGGGAGGCGGAGGCGGGTAGAGCACCTGAGGTCAGGAGTTCGAGACCAACCTGGCCAACATGGTGAAACCCTGTCTGTACTAAAAATACAAAAAAATTATCCGGGTGTGGTGGCACACACCTATAATCCCAGCTACTGGGGAGGCCGAGGCACGAGAATCACTTGAACCCAGGAGGCGGAGGTTGCAGTGAGCCGAAGGCTTCAGTGAGCCGAGATCGTGCCACTGCCCTCCAGCCTGGGCGACAGAGCGAGACTCCGTCTCAAAAAAAAGGAAAAAAAAAAAAAAGCTGATGCATGGCTTTGTGTATTAGTTTCCTGGGGCTGCTGTGAAAGTACCACCTGCTGGGCAGCTCGCGGCAGCAGAGGTGTCTCCTCTCAGTTCCAGAGTCCAGCGCTGGAACTCAGGGTGTCTCAGGGCCATGCTCCCTCTGGAGACTCCAGGCAGGGTCCTTCCTGCCTCTTCCAGCTCCTGGTGGCTCCAGGCATCCTTTGGCTTGTGACTTTGTCACTCCAGTTTCTGCCTGTGGTCACATGACCTTCTCTCCTCCCTGTGTCTTTTTTTTTCCTTTAGAGATGGGGGTCTTGCTCTGTCACTCCAGCTAGAGCACAGTGGTGCAATCGGAGCTCACTGACTGCAGCCTGCAACTCCTGGGCTCAAGTGATTCTGCCGCCTCAGCCTCTCAACGTGCTGCGATTAGAGGTGTGTACCACACTGCCCGGCTGCTGTTTCATTTTACCTTCTATCAGCACTTAGTATGAGACATTTTTGAAATACTGTAAATCAGTATTACAGATTTAATTTTCAAAAGGTACTGTAGGTCGGGCGTGGTGGCTCATGCCTGTAATCCCAGCACTTTGGGAGGCCGAGGTGGGCGGATCACGAGGTCAAGAGATCGAGACCATCCTGGCCAACGTGGTGAAACCCCGTCTCTACTAAAAATACAAAAATTAGCCAGGCATGGTGGTGTGAGCCTGTAATGTCAGCTACTCAGGAGGCTGAGGCAGGAGAATCAATTGAACCCGGGAGGTGGAGGTTGCAGTGAGCTGAGATCGTGTCACTGCACTCCAACCTGGCAACAGAGCGAGACTCCTTCTGAGAAAAAAAAAAAAAAGTCATGTAGGTTTTTTTTGTTGTTGTTTTTTTGAGACGGAGTCTCACTATGTTGCCCAGGCTGGAGTGCAGTGGTGCCAACTCAGCTCACTGCAACCTCCGCCTCCCAGGTTATAGCGATTCTCCTGCCTCAGCCTCCCGAGTAGCTGGGACTACAGGCGCCCCCCACCACGCCTGGCTAATTTTTTTAATTTTGGTAGAGACGGGGTTTCACCATGTTGGCCAGGCTGGTCTCGATCTCTTGACCTGGTGATCCACCTGCCTTGGCCTCCCAAAGTGCTGGGATTACAGGCGTGAGCCACCGTGCCCGGCCTGGTACTGTAGTTTTGTTGACCCCAAGTGTATGTGTTGGGCCTGTCCAGCATTGAGATGTGGTCCCTGGGCTGAGAGGAGGGCAGGGCAGTGTCAGGCAGCGAGGTGGCATGTGTGCTGTCAGTGTAAGAACAGTGACGCCCGGGAGGGCTTCCTGGAGGAGGGGGAGGCTGTGTCCATTGGCTGAGAGGGCTCAGGACTGCTGTTGTGATTCATGGCAGGATTCGCCTTTACAGATCTGACCTGTTCCACTGTGTCATCTATAACCCAAATGACAGACTAGGAGCTCAGCTGCCCCGGCCCCCTCCTGGGTGCCCAGAGCACCTTGTGCCCATCTGGAGGCACCCCTGCCACCCTCACACATGGCCCGAGCCAGGCACTGCTCCAGGCTTCCCCTGCGTGTGACTGGTGGGCACCTGGCTGGAGCTGGAGGGATGCTGAGGCCTGGAGCTGCTGAGGTGGGAGTGGAAGCCCCTCCATTCAGGGACCCCACAGCCCACCGAGACCCTGGTGGCTGGGGCTGAGATGGGACAGCGCAGGGCAGTGAGAGGTGTTTGGAAAGGGGAAGCGTGCTGGGCTCTGGCTGGGGACGCCCGACAGAAGGAAGTGACGTTATGTCGGTGCAGTGGCTCACGCCTATCATCCCAGCGCTTTGAGAAGCCAGGGCGGCAGGTTCGTTTAGGAATTCAAGACCAACCTGGGCAACACGACAGAACCCCGTCTCTACAAAACAAAAAAATTAGCCCGTGTGGTGGCGTGCCCCTGTGGTCCCAGCTGCTCAGGAGGCTGATGTGGGAGGATGCCTTGAGCCTGGGAGGTTGAGGCTGCAGTGAGCCGAGATTGCGCCACTGCACTCCAGCCTGGGGGACAGAGTGAGACCCCATTACAAAAACAAAAAGAAGGAAGTGACGGTAGCCAGGTTCGGGAAGGCGGAGGAGGCGGCCTGGGCGTCAGAGCCGGGCTGGAGATGAAGGAACTGAAAGGGGCCAGTGGGCAGGGAGGGGCGGGGCTGGCAGGGCCTCCGACAGAGACCTGGGCAGCCCGGGGCCTGGGCAGCCCGGGGCCGGCAGACATGGCTTTGCATCTTCAGATGGCCACATGGGGGCTGCCATGTGGAAAACCTAAAGTCCTCATCGCCAGCACCCACTTGCTCACTGGAGATGATGTGGATAGTACCACCGGTCTCGCTGTCGAAAGACGACTCTGCTAACATGTCTTGGAGTGTTTTCTAGTCAGGAGCTCACTTAAAAATTTTGAAATGCGACCACGAACAATGGTAATATGATGTATATGAAATTTAATTTGTACGACAGTTTCACAGTATTCATGTCTTAACCTTAATTTTTTCAGAAGAAGGTAAACCATGAACGCCTTGGTGTGAGGGGAGGTGCCTGGTTCCTGCTGGTGAGGCGCCCTGGGGGATGGTGCCCACACTGGTCCCTGCCTGGATGGCATCCTGGGGGATGGTGCCCACGCCTGGTTCCTGCTGGTGAGGTGCCCTGGGGGAGCCGGGTTGGTGGGTTTCTTCGCAAGAGTGGGCAGAGCTGCCCAGAAACGTGTTTCCTCCTGTTGGCGTCTGTGGCATCGCGCTCTTTGGTGGTAGAAACGGGGCGTCAGTGACCTGGGGCTGCCATGTCAAAGGGCCACAAAGGGAACGTCGTAAACAACAGACATCTGTTCCCTCCAGTCCTGGAGGCCGGAGGTCTGAGGTTTGGGCATCAGCCCGCCGCGGTTCCTGGGAGGGTGCTGGGGGCCTGAGGTTCGGTCGTCGGCCGCGGCGGTTCCTGGGAGGGTGCTGGGGGCCTGAGGTTCGGTCGTCGGCCACGGCGGTTCCTGGGAGGGTGCTGGGGGCCTGAGGTTCGGTTGTCGGCCCACCGCGGTTCCTGGGAGGGTGCTGGGGGCCTGAGGTTCGGTCGTCGGCCGCGGCGGTTCCTGGGAGGGTGCTGGGGGTCTGAGGTTCGGTTGTCGGCCCACCGCGGTTCCTGGGAGGGTGCTGGGGGTCTGAGGTTCGGTTGTCGGCCCGCCGCGGTTTCTGGGAGGGTGCTGGGGGTCTGCTCCAGGCCTCTCTCCAGCCTCTTGCCGGGGCCTCCGCCGCTGCCGCTTTGTGCCGACCTGTGTCCAAATTTCTTCCCCTTTTAAGGGTACTTATCATACTGGATTAGGGGCCCCCAGTAACCTCATTGTTTTTTTTTTGAGAGGGTCTCATTCTGTCACTCAGGCTGGAGTGCAGTGGCGCAATCTCAGCTCACTGCAGCCTCCGTCTCCCGGTTCAAGTGATTCTTGTGCCTCAGCCTCCTGAGTAGCTGGGATTACAGACGTGCGCCACCACACCCGGCTAATATTTGTATTTTTAGTAGAGACGGGGGTTTACCATGTTGGCCAGGCTAGTCTCAAACTCCTGGCCTCAAGCAATCTGCCTGCCTCTGCCTCCCAAAGTGCTGGGATTACAGGTGTGAGCCATCGTGTCCAGCCCCAGCGACCTCATCTTAATTAATTGCATCTGCAATGACCTATTTCCAAATAAGGTGGAATTCTGAAATATGAGGGGTTAGGGCTTCAACATGAATTTGGGAGGCGGGGGCGGGGGGTTCAACCCGTAACAAATGGCAGTGAGGTCCTTGGATAAGCACAGGATTATAGCTGAGGAAAAATATTTTTACAAAAACTAATCCTTTATTGAGGCATAATTTACGTGCAGCAAACAGCACTTGTTTAACGAGCATAATCTGATGAGCTCGAACTCTTGGGTGGAGCTGCCGGTGGCTTTGGAGACACAGGCCGTCCCCATTGTGTCTGGAATTGGTGGGTTCTTGGTCTCACTGACTTCAAGAATGAAGCCATGGACTCTCGCGGTGAGTGTTACAGTTCTTAAAGGCGGCGTGTCTGGAGTTTGTTCCTTCTGATGTTCAGACGTGTTTGGAGTTTCTTCCTTCTGGTGGGTTCGTGGTCTTGGCTGGCTTCAGGAGTGAAGCTGCAGACCTTCACGGTGAGTCTTACAGCTCATAAAGACAGTGTGGACCCAAAGAGTGAGCAGCAGCAAGATTTATTGCAAAGAGCAAAAGAACAACACTTTCAATGTATGAAAGGGGACCCCAGCAAGTTGCCACTGCTGGTTGGGGCAGCCTGCTCTTATTCCCTTACCTGGCCCCACCCACATCTTGCTGATTGGTCCATTTTACAGAGAGCTGATTGGTCTGTTTTAGAGAGAGCTGATTGGCCCATTTTGACAGGGTGCTGATTGGTGCGTTGACAATCCTTGAGCTAGACACAAAAGTTCTCCAAGTCTTCACTAGATAGCTAGACACAGAGCACTGATTGGTGCATTCACAAACCTTGAGCTGGATACAGGGCGCTGATTGGTGTGTTCACAAACCTTGAGCCAGATACAGAGTGCTGATTGGTGTATTTACAATCCCTCAGCTAGACATAAAGGTTCTCTAAGTCCCCACCGGATCAGCTAGACACAGAGCACTGATTGGTGCATTTACAAACCTTGAGCTAGACACAGGGTACTGATTGGTGCATTTACAAACCTTGAGCTAGACACAGAGTGCTGATTGGTGTATCTACAATCCCTTAGCTAGACATAAAGGTTCTCCAAGTCCCCACCAGACTCAGGAGCCCAGCTGTCTTCACCGAGTGGATCCGGCACTGGGGCTGCAGGTGGAGCTGCCTGCCAGTCCCGCTCTGTGCACCTGCACTCCTCAGCCCTTGGGCAGTTGATGGGACCCAGCGCGGTAGAGCAGGGAGGGGCACTCGTCAGGGAAGCTCTGCAGGAGCCCACTGCGGGGAGGGGGAGGCTCAGGCATGGCGGGCTTCAGGTCCCAAGCCCTGCCCTGAGGGGAGGCAGCTAGGGCCGGCGAGAAATCAAGCACAGCGCCGGTGGGCCGGCACTGCTGGCGGACACCCTCCGCAGCTGCTGGCCCGGGTGCTAAGCCCCTCATTGCCCTGGGCCGCTCCGAGTGTGGGGCCGCCAAGCCCACACCCACCCGGAACTCTAGCTGGCCCGCAAGCGCCGCACGCAGCCCCGGTTCCCGCCCACGCCTCTCCCTCCACACCTCCCCGCAAGCTGAGGGAGCCGGCTCCGGCCTTGGCCATCCCAGGAAGGGGCTCCCACAGTGCAGCAGCGGGCTGAAGGGCTCCTCAAGTGCAGCCAGAGTGGGCGCTGAGGTCGAGGAGGCGCCAAGAGTGAGTGAGGGCTGTGAGGGCTTGCCAGCATGCTGTCAACTCTCACCATCACCACAGGAGCTTCCCGCAGCCTCTCCCCCTACCCCAGCCCAGGCAGCCCCTGGCCGGTTGTCTGCCACTGTGGACTCACTTCTGTTGTCTAGAGTTTCCTATAAAGGGAATCACACGCTTTCCTTGGTGACTGTCTTCTCTTACTCAGCGTAACTGTGGGATAATCCGTGTGGCGTGGATGTGACCTGTATAGGGGGACGGAAGGCTGAGCAGGGAGGTGCCCCAGGGTGCCGAGGCCGGGACGGAGCCCAGCAGCCCCTTCTTGTGCCTGAGCTGCCTCTGCAGTTTGGAAGCATCCCGTGTTTACCTGCTCACCTGTTGATGCACATTTGGACATTCGGGTTGTTCCCAAACCTTGGCTGTTCTGAGCGAAGCTGGTGTGAACGTTCACGCATGAGTCTGTCTGGACAGGTGGTTTTGCTTCTCGGGTAGGTACCGGAGTTGTTGGGTCCTGTGGAGTTCAGCTTTGCTGAACTGTTTTCCACAGCGGCTGCACCGTTCCATGTGCCCTCAGCAGCTGAGCAGGCTCCAGGTGCTCGTGTCCTCGAGGACACATGGTGTGGCCTTGCCTCTTAGTCCTGGCCACTCTCATGGGGGAGCTTGCTGTGGTTCCGGGCGCACTTCCCCGACAGCTGGGGAAGCCTCTGTCCATGTGTGCCTGCTGATGCTTCTTCTTTGTGATGTGTCTGTTCAAAACGTTTTCCTGCTAAAAGATTAGTTTCACCAGGCTACACGTGGTGGCTTGTGCCTGTAATCCCAGCACTTTGGGAGGCTGAGGTGGGAGGATCACTTGAGGCCAGGAGCTCGAGACCAGCCTGGCCAACATGGCGAAACCCTGTCCCTACTAAAATTACAAAAATTAGCTGGGTGTGGTGGCACACACCTGTAATCCCAGCTTCCCTGGGAGGCTGAGGTACAAGAATCGCTTGAACCCAGGAGGTGGAGATTGCTGTGAGCTGAGATTGCACCACTGCACTCTAGCCTGGGCGACAGCAAGACTCCATCTAAAAGAAAAAAAAAAGTTAGTCTCACCAGGCCACACGTGATGACTCACGCCTGTAGTCCCAGAACTTTGGGAGGCTGAGGCTGGTGGATGGCTTGAGCCCAGCACTTCGAGACCAGCCTGAGCAACATGGTGAAACCCTGTCTCTGTAAGAAATTAAAAAAAAAAAAAAATTAGCTGAGTGTGGTGGTGTGCACCTGTGGTCCTAGCTACTCAGGGGGCTGAGGTGGGAGAATTGCTTGAGCCCGGGAGGTGGAGGCTGCAGTGAGCCCTGATCATGCCACTGCACTCCAGCCTGGGTGACTGAGTGACACCTTGTCTGAAAACAAAACAGTTTCACCAAAATAATTGTGGAGAGCAGTTCTTAGAGTAGGTGAGTTAAACTTGATCTGGACAGATGGCTGCGGCCACCTTTGTCTTCCCCAGAGCCCTCCTGGCCACTGGCAGTTTGATTCTAGAGCCAAGGGTATCTTGCTTCCACTTTAAAATGGTGATTTATCTGTTAATTACATTTTTTTTTTTTTTTTTAGACAGAGTCTCGCTCTGTCACCCAGGCTGGAGTGCAGTGGCACCATCTTGGCTCACTGCATCCTCTGCCTCCCAGGCTCAGGTGATTCTCCCACCTCAGCCTCCTTAGTAGCTGGGACTCACAGGTGTGCACTACCATGCCCAGCTAATTTTTTTTTTTTTTTTTTTGAGACAGAGTCTAGCTCTGTTGGCCAGGCTGGAGTGCAGTGGCATGATCTTGGCTCACTGCAACCTCCACCTCCCAGGCTCAAGTGATTCTCCTGCCTCAGCCTCCTGAGTAGCTGGGATTACAAGCATGTGCCACCATGCCCGGCTAATTTTTGTATTTTTAGTAGAGACGGGGTTTGACCATGTTGGCCAGGCTGGTCTTGAACTCCTGACCTCAGGTAATCCGCCCACCTCGGCCTCCCAAAGTGCTGAGATTACAGGTGTGAGCCACCACGCGCGGCCAACGCCCAGCTAATTTTTGTATTTTTTGTAAAGACCGGGTTTCCAATAGAACAGAACAGAGCCCTCAGAAATAATACCACACATCTACAACCATCTGATCTTTGACAAACCTGACAAAAATAAGGAATGGGGAAAGGATTCCCTATTTAATAAATGGTGCTGGGAAAACTGGCTAGCCATATGGAGAAAGCTGAAACTGGATCCCTTCCTTACACGTTATACAAAAATTAATTCAAGATGGATTAAAGACTTAAATGTTAGACCTAAAACCATAAAAATCCTAGAAGAAAACCTAGGCAATACCATTCAGGACACAGGCATGGGCAAGGACTTCATGTCTAAAACACCAAAAGCAATGGCAACAAAAGCCAAAATTGATGAATGGGATCTAATTAAAGAGCTTCTGCACAGCAAAAGAAACTACCATCAGAGTGAACAGGCAACCTACAGAATCGGAGGAAATTTTTGCAATCTACTCATGACAAAGGGCGAATATCCAGAATCTACAAAGAACTTAAACAACTTTACAAGAAAAAATCAAACAACCCCATCAAAAAGTGGGCAAAGGATATGAACAGACACTTCTCAAAAGAAGACATTTATGCAGCCAACAGACAGATGAAAAACTGCTCATCATCACTGGCCGTGAGAGAAATGCAAATCAAAACCACAATGAGATACCATCTCACACCAGTTAGAATGGTGATCATTAAAAAGTCAGGAAGCAATAGGTGCTGGAGAGGATGTGGAGAAATAGGAACACTTTCACACTGTTGGTGGGACTGTAAACTAGTTCAACCATTGTGGAAGGCAGTGTGGCAATTCCTCAAGGATCTAGAACTAGAAATACTATTTGACCCAGCCATCCCATTACTGGGTATATACCCAAAGGATTATAAATCATGTTGCTATAAAGACACATGCACACGTATGTTTATTGTGGCACTATTCACGATAGTAAAGACTTGGAACCAACCCAAACATCCATCAATGATAGACCAGATTAAGAAAATGTGGCACATGTACACCATAGAATACTATGCAGCCATAAAAAAGGATGCGTTCATGTCCTTTGTAGGGACATGGATGAAGCTGGAAACCATCATTCTGAGCAAACTATCACAAGGACAGAAAACCAAACACTGCATGTTCTGACTCATAGGTGGGAATTGAACAATGAGAACACTTGGACACAGGGTGGGGAACACACCAGGGCCTGTTGTGGGGTGGGGGGAGGGGGGAGAGATAGCATTAGGAGATATACCTAATGTAAATGACGAGTTAATGGGTGCAGCACACCAACATGGCACATGTGTACGTATGTAACAAACCTGCACGTTGTGCACATGTACCCTTAGAACTTAAAGTATATATAAAAAAACAAAAACAAAAACCGGGTTTCACCATTTTGCCCAGGCTGGACTTGAACTCCTGACCTCAAGTGATCCTCCTGCATCAGCCTCCCAAAGTGTTGGGATTATAGGCCTGAGCCACCGTGCCTGGCCTGTTAGATTACATTTTAAGCAAAATTTTATTTTATTTTATTTTTATTTTATTTTATTTTTTTGAGATGGAGTCTTACTCTTGTTGCCCAGGCTGGAGTGCAATGGTATGATCTCGGCTCACTGCAACCTCCGCCTCGCAGGTTCAAGTGATTCTCCTGCCTCAGCCTCCCAAGTAGTTGGGATTACAGGCGCCTGCCATCACGTCCTGCTAATTTTTGTATTTTAGTAGAGATGGGGTTTCACCATATTGGCCAGGCTGGTCTTGAACTCCTGACCTCAGGTGATCCGCCCGCCTCGGCCTCCCAAAGTGCTGGGATGACAGGCGTGCGCCACCGCACTCGGCCTTAAGCAGAATTTTAAATGAAAGGTTTAAGTGGAGCCTAACGGAAATGCAGGTTTCAAGTCAGAGGCAAAACAGAGAGATCAAGTGTGAATGTGGTAAAACAGTGTGAGTTGATGTTTGAGAGGGTCGTTCTTGCCCGCTGAGTGGTTTGGAATTAGACGCAGGGATGGGCCCTAGGGGAGGAGCCGGAGGCCCGGGACGCCGCGTGCCAGGCGCTGCCAGCAGGGGGCACCCGAGGCCTCCCGCCCTCCCTGCCTTGTGCCCTACGCGGATCGGGCGTCCGGTGGATGCGGCAGACACACTACCGCCTGAATCACGCCTGCTGTTTTACATTTTTATTAGAACAAACAGCCTTCCGGGCAGAGCTCCTTAGGGACGCGGGGAAAAATAACCCCAGTCTGCCCCCTAAATTAATACTTTGAACACACAGTGCAGCAAATGGAGTATATTCATCGCGGTCTTCAGATTTCCTTGGTCTGCGTCCTGCGACACAGGCATCTATCCAGGCTGTGGCCAGGGCACATTCGTCCTCAAATGAGAGGATTGGAGTGAGTGGGAAGTGTGCGTCCTCAACAGCAGCGCGCCTGTTTACAGTCTTCAAAGGCGCTCAATGATGGACACCCGTCACCTTCCGGGAGTCTGTTGGAGAGAGGATTTGGGATGGGCACCGCCACTTCCAAGATGGCCCTAGAGGCTGGGCCGTTCCTATGCGCATTCGGCAGAGGCCACTCTTCCTTCACTCCAGCTGACCCAGGGAGGAGGAGGATAGAAGCCACGTTTGGCGGAGCCTGTTTGCCGGTGGTCATTCTGCTGGGGACACAGGTGCATGACCTTGCTCCCCGGATCCCAGGGAGGATTGGCCGACCTGGTGCCAGCACAGGACGGCACGATGGGTGGGAGCACCCGGGCTTTGGACCTAGAAGCACAGGCTCGCCGCTGAATCCCTCCCAGCTGTGCTGGTTTTGAGGCCCTCAGTTCGTTAGCGTGCACTGTGGAGACCACCTCTCCCTCTCCTGGTGGCTATTGGGGTTTGAAATAGCCCCCAAAAGCACAGTGTGCTGGCGCATTGCCTGCCTGGCAGGACAGGCCCCACGCAGCCCCCCTCACTGCCTGCACAATGTAACTGCACCGCGTCCTGTGCACCTGGGGCAGAGCCTGCACGGTGTAACTGCGCAGCGTCCCGTGCACCTGGTTGTCGGCGGTTGAGGCAGAGCCATGCGTGGGTTTGTGCCCCCAGCACCTGCACGGTGACGCGGCTTGTGAGTTTGGAGCATGGCTTCAGGTTGTTGTGGTCACCAGAGTGGTTATGCTGATGCCCGTTTCATAAGCGATTCTGTTTGAAGGGAAGGATCTTGAGATTCGTGATATATAAGTAAAGCAGATACCAAGAAGCCTCAGAAAAAGCTGAGGCGGTGTTTGGAGGAGACAGCAGAGGCGGCGTCCCTCTGAGGGTCTAGGGTAGCTATTGGGCAACCTGACATCAGTGCAGCCGCGGGTGCCCCTTGGTCCCTGCAGCCCGCAGCACCCACTCTTTGGAGACTTGGCACCTGTGCCCCAGTGTGGATCGGGAGCTCCTCTCTGAAGGGGCACCTCGCGCACGGGGGTGCCACACGGGGACCTGAGATGTACCAAGTGCTTGTGAGCCTTTGCCGCAGCCACAGGTGTGCCCAGCAAACAGGTGTGTGTCCTGTGGATGCAGCTGTCTGCCCACAGGTGTGTCCTGTGGCCAGGGGTGTGTCCGTTAGATCTTGTGCTCCTCCAGGCCAGGGCAGGTGCTTCCCACACAGAATACGGGTTGTGAGCTCAAGTCCGCTGCTTGCGTGTCGAGCCTGAGTAGCCCCGGGTGCTTCTGTTTTGGGGTTGCAGCTGCTCTTCTACCACAGTGGGGTTGACGTGGCCCCACGAGCAGATTTCTGATGCTGAGAGATTATTGAATTTGAAATGTAAATTCAAATATTCTCCTAGAACTTCCCTGTTCTGGGCTTAGAGAGATTATGTGTATTCTTAATATTTCCGTAGCTGACTAATCTCTTTTGAAGATTATCGTTTTTTGTCAGGGTGTGGTGGTTCACGCCTGTAATTCCAGTGCTTTGGGAGGCCGAGGTGGGAAGATCGCTTGAGCCCAAGAGTTTGAGATCAGCCTGGGCAACAAAGCAAGACTCCTGTCACTACAAAAAATGAAAGAGTTAGCCAGGCATTGGGGTGTGCACCTGTGGTCCTAGCTACTTGGGTGGCTGAGGCAAGAGGATTGCTTGAGCCCAGGAGTTGGAGGCTGCCGTGAGCCGAGATCGTGCCACTGCAAAAGATTGTTACTTTTTTCCTTTTAGTGGATAGATAACTTTTTTTTTTTTTTTTGAGACGGAGTCTTGCTCTGTCACCCAGGCTGGATGGAGTGCAGTGGCTCGATCTCAGCTCACTGCAAGCTCCGCCTCCCGGGTTCACGCTATTCTCCTGCCTCAGCCTCCTGAGTAGCTGGGACTACAGGCACTCGCCATCACGCCCAGCAAATTTTTTGTATTTTTAGTAGAGACGGGGTTTCACCGTGTTAGCCAGGATGGTCTCGATCTCCTGACCTCATGATCCACCCGCCTCGGCCTCCCAAAGTGCTGGGATTACAGGCGTGAGCCACCGCGCCTGGCCTGACAGATAACTTTTTTCCCAAATGAAAATTTTATTTATTTATTTTTTTAACTATAAAATCTCTGAGTATATAACTGATTTTAAGCTGCCCTGATTGGATTGAAATACATTATTAAATGTATTTCAGAACTTTTGATTTAAGTTGAACTTATGTGGAGATGTGAACCGTTGTGAGGTAGCCGCTGCTTCTATAAAATCTTACGTGGAGGTGTGGACCGTTGTGAGGTAGCCGCTGCTTCTATAAAATCTCTGGCATTTTTTTTGTTGTTGTTTTCATAGTTCTCCTTAATTCTTACAGGCTCTGTTTTCCTGATGAATAAAGAGACGTTTTATTCACGTAGGAAATTAAATATGATCGGTCAGCTTCCTAGCCTGGATACAGGGTGCCTGGAGCTTTTGACGGTTCCCATCACGTGGCCCGGAGCCAGGTGTCACTTGTGGACCCCCCAGCTTCGGGATTGAATGGTTGTTTTCCTGGGTTTGAAGTGTGTTTTGGTCACTTCCCCGATGCCTAGTTAATCTGGGTGAAGCTGTGCCTGGTGGGACACCTGCCCTGCCCTCCTGGGGCTCTGAGATGCTCTCCGGTCAAGAACCACTGGGCGGCCTCAGCACATGACCCCCTCCCCACAGCCTGCTCCGAATGTCATCTCTTCCTTTTCGGCAGCTCCTTGTTCTGCTCGCACCCACACGCGTTTGCCTCCAGCCCTCAAGCCCGGGGCCAGTGTGGGGCGGGATGGGGCCTTTGTTCTCTGCCGCCGTTGAGGCAGCACCTGGAGTCAGGCGGGGGCCTGGTCTTGGCATCTTGGGGGCTTGAGGCCCTTCCTGTAATGGTCAGCGGTCACCGCCGTCACAGCCCTCGTGCCCGGCGGGCAGGAAGTGAAGGGGAGGCTGGGCCCGGTCTTCTGCAGCGCGTCTCCCGGCAGGCAACACCGGCTGTGGGGGCCTGGGAACCCCACACCATCCAAGGAGGGGATGGCCCAGGACCCTGAAGGCAGAGACAGGCACAAAAGCTTCTCTCTCCTTTCTACCTCATCTTCCCGGCCTGTGAAATGTGAGACAGAATAATTACTTTTCTCAGGACATTTTAGGCTGGGCGTGGTGGCTCACGCCTGTAATCCCAGCACTTTGAGAGGCCGAGGCGGGTGGATCATCTGAGGTCAGGAGTTTGAAACCAGCCTGGCCAAAATGGTGAAACCCCATCTCTCCTAAAAATACAAAAATGTCAGCCAGGCGTGGTGGCGGGTGTCTGTAGTCCCAGCTACTCGGGAGGCTGAGGCAGGAGAATGGCATGAACCTGGGAGCGGAGCTTGCAGTGAGCGGAGATCAAACCACTGCACTCCAGCCTGGGGGACAGAGCGAGACTCCGTCTCAAAAAAAAAAAAAGAAGAAAATATTCTGTCATGACTAAGTGAAGGTGTGTATGTCGTAACCAGTCGGAGCCCAGGAGTGTGTGATACAAAACTGCTGAGCCCCCGACCCCGTCCCCCATGAGGGCTGCATGTGGGGGCTCCTTGCCGGAAGGACATGTAATACTCCCACGCTCGCTTAGTTTTCTCCTATTAAACACATTTAGCATTTCAGGTGAGTCCTACTTGACTTATCAGCTGGAGAATGGGGTTTGTAACGGGAGAGACCCAACCACTGTTTCTTTCCCAGGCAGGGCTGTGGGGTGAACGTGTCCCCTTACGATTTGTCTGTGGAAGTTCTAGCCCCCTAGGACCCCAGAATGTGACCTTATTGGAAACAGGGTCACTGTGGATATGATTAATTAAGATGAGGCCGTGGGGGTGGGCCCCTACTCCCGGACGACTGGTGTCCTTGTGAAAGGGTGACATTTGGACACAGACGTGCACACCGGGAGAAGCCGTGTTGAGACAGAGGCAGAGCTCGTGCGATGCCTCCACACAGAACGCCGGCTGGGGGAGGGGCTGGAACAGGCACCAGCTCGGCCGACATCCTGATTCTGGACTTGAGAATACGTTTCTGTTGTTTGAGCCTCCCAGGCTTGATAGGGCGGCCCCAGCAGACGAGAACAGGCGGAGGACTCACATCCCTGAGTCTAAGGAGAGACAGGAGAGACTCCGGGACGGGGTGTACCCAATTCAGAAATGATTCTGTGTGTCCTGTGACTCTGTGAGGCAGGGCTGTCTTCTGATGAGGGGGACCCAGAGACCAGTCGTGTCTCAGACGTCCAGGGCGCTGGCAGCCGCAGGGCCTGAGCTCCCTCCTGCCCTGTCCCAGTGCTGGGCAGGGACCCAGGCCTAAGCCAGGAAGCCTCCCTCCTCCAGAAGACTTCAGCTCGTTTGAGCTCAGAGTTTTGGAAATTTTCAGGACTAAGGCTATGAATGCTTTAATTCCTTATTCTGTGGTTTTTTGTGTAAGAAGTTTTTTTTTTTTTTTTTTTTTTTTGAGATGGAGTCTCGCCCTGTCGCCCAGGCTGGAGTGCACTGGCGCGATCTCGGCTCACTGCAGGCTCCGCCTCCCGGGTTCACGCCATTCTCCTGCCTCAGCCTCCTGAATAGCTGGGACTACAGGCTCCCGCCACCATGCCCAGCTGCTTTTTTTGTATTTTTAGTAGAGACAGGGTTTCACCATGTTGGCCAGGATGGTCTCGATCTCCTGACCTTGTGCTCCACCCTCCTCGGCCTCCCAGATTGCTGGGATTACAGGCATGAGCCACCGCGCCCAGCCTGGAAGTTTTATTCTTTTTCCTTAAGAATGTTTCTTCAAGCGTGAGGGATGGCCACAGTGTAGGTCATTTAACCGAGTTCTCAGTTTGGGTAAGAGTTGCTCAGCCACGGCTGGGTGTTCTCATCGTTCCTGGGATATGCCAGTTGCCGTATGTGGGATTCTGTTCAGAACCCCATTAGCCTCGAGCACGGAAACACGTGGCAGACGTCCCACCCTGGACGCACTGGTGCCCTCCGGTGTTTGCTGCCCTGCTTCAGGCGGAGACACAGGCCTCCCGCTGCACACCTGTGGATGGGCTCTCGCGTGGGTCGTCCTCCCACTGGCCGCACTCTGTGCCCCATGGCCCTCCTGCGCCCCGCCCGGCGTCCTCTCACGGCCTCTGTCTGTGCTGAGCTTGGGTAACTCTTGTTCTTACCTCCACAGAGTCTGTAGAAGAGGCGACACCAGGGCTTCCAAATGAACAACCGAAAGGAAGATATGGAAATCACGTCCCACTACCGGCACCTGCTGCGGGAGCTCAACGAGCAGAGGCAGCACGGCGTCCTGTGCGACGTCTGCGTGGTCGTGGAGGGCAAGGTCTTCAAGGCGCACAAGAACGTCCTGCTGGGCAGCAGCCGCTACTTCAAGACGCTCTACTGCCAGGTGCAGAAGACGTCGGAGCAGGCCACGGTCACGCACCTGGACATCGTCACGGCCCAGGGCTTCAAGGCCATCATCGACTTCATGTACTCAGCGCACCTGGCGCTCACCAGCAGGAACGTCATCGAGGTGATGTCAGCCGCCAGCTTCCTGCAGATGACGGACATCGTGCAAGCCTGCCACGACTTCATCAAGGCGGCGCTGGACATCAGCATCAAGTCGGACGCCTCAGATGAGCTTGCGGAGTTCGAGATCGGCGCCTCGTCCAGCAGCAGCACGGAAGCTCTCATCTCGGCCGTGATGGCTGGGAGGAGCATCTCCCCGTGGCTGGCACGGCGAACGAGTCCTGCCAATTCTTCCGGAGACTCGGCCATCGCCAGCTGTCACGACGGAGGGAGCAGCTACGGGAAAGAGGATCAGGAGCCCAAGGCCGATGGCCCTGATGATGTTTCTTCACAGCCTCTATGGCCTGGAGACGTGGGCTACGGGCCTCTGCGCATCAAGGAAGAGCAGGTTTCACCGTCTCAGTACGGAGGGAGCGAGCTGCCTTCTGCCAAGGACGGTGCAGTACAGAACTCTTTCTCAGAGCAGAGTGCTGGTGATGCCTGGCAGCCCACGGGCCGAAGGAAGAATCGGAAAAACAAAGAGACCGTCCGGCACATCACACAGCAGGTGGAAGATGACAGCCGGGCCAGCTCCCCGGTGCCGTCCTTCCTGCCGACGTCGGGGTGGCCGTTCAGCAGCCGAGACTCAAGTAAGCCTTTCACTCGTTACGGGGGCTCAGCTGCCCCAGTGTGTCCAGGCCTCACGGCCGCGTGCTGTGCGGAGGCAGTGACGCATGTCCAGGCTCACACTGGTGGCTTTCTAGGGTCACTTCCTCTTACAGGAGGTTGTCGTGACCGCTGGGAATGCAGCCAATGCATCTCAAAGGGCAGGGCATCACCAGGGCCCTTGGAGACCCTGTGTATCTGTCCCCATCAGCACGGCACTGGTGTCACCCACACACGGGGGCTGCCTGGGCTGGGCCCCTCTGAAGCCACAGGGACGTGAGCCGGGGGGTGGGTGACACCGGGAGGGGACCCCTCAGCCCTGGTGAGGGCGTGGCCTGCAGGGTCGGCTTCCCCTGGCCTGTGGGACCCTCCCATGAGCCCTGACTGGGGTAACTCGACTGGCCGCTTGCCAGGGTGGCCTTCAGCTCCAGGCTTTTCATCCTGGACTTCTGCCTTTGGTCACTGTTGCTATAGTGAATGTTGAATGGAAACACCATGTGAATGTACTTTGTCCTTGGTGGCTCAGCTTGCCTTGACCTGGGGACCTGAGAGGTTACAGCCAAGAAGCAGCCTTTCCCGGCAAGTGGATTTTGTGTCTGCTGACACCTGTGGGTTCTGCTGTTGAAGCCAACAGGCGATGTTTGTTTCCTCTCTTTTCTCTTTTTCTTTTTTTTTTTGAGACAGTCTCAGCCAGGTGTGGTGGCTCACGCCTGTAATCCCAGCACTTTGAGAGGCTGAGGTGGGTGGATCACCTGAGGTCGGGAGTTCAAGACCAGCCTGACCAACATGGAGAACCCCGTCTCTACTAAAAATACAGAAAAGTAGCCTGTAATCCCAGCTACTTGGGAGGCTGAGGCAGGAGAATCGCTTGAACCTGGGAGGCGGAGGTTGTGGTGAGCCGAGATCGCGCCATTGCACTCCAACCTGGGCAACAAGAGCGAAACTCCATCTCAAAAAAAAAAAAAAAAGAGACAGTCTCACCGTGTTGCCCAGGCTGGAGTGCAGTGACGTGATCTCGGCTCACTGCAACCTCTGTCTCCCGGATTCAAGTGATTCTCCTGCCACAGCCTCCGATTAGCTGGGGATTACAGGCACGTGCCACCACGCCCAGATAATTTGTGTATTTTCAGTAGAGACAGGGTTTCACCATGTTGGCCAGGATGGTCTCGAACTCCTGACTTCAGGTGATCCACCCACCTCAGCCTCCCAAAGTGCTGGGATTCCAGGTGTGAGCCACCGCGCCTGGCTGATGTTTTTTCTTACACCTCATGATACAGGGTCTCCCCTTGGGTCCTGCCTATTACTCACTGCAAAGGGGCTCTGAGCTTAGCTCTGTTGAAGCTGGACGTCACCACCTGAATGGTTGTCCCTTATGTGTCTTCCATATTTGTAAATAATAAATTAAATGTTTGCTGAATACTGGCCACCATTCATGGTGCTGGGCATGTGATATTAATAATAATTGTGGGGATTTGGCCTCTGCTCTTTTCCCCAGGCTGTGGCCCAAGTCAAGGAAGGATATTTGGAGTTGGGTGTGGTGTTGCCTGTGCCTGTACTTCAGCTACTTGGGAGGCTGAGGCGGGAGGATGGCTTGAGCCCAAGATGTCCAGGCTGCAGTGAGCCGTGATTGCACTGCTGCCCTCCAGCCTGGACGACAGAGCCAGACCCTGTCTCTTAATTAAAGGAAAGAAGAAATGGAGGTGTCCTAGCAGGTGCTGCCCGTGGGGAGGTTCCTCCAGGATGAAGCCTGGAAATGAACGTGGGAGGGCGTGAGTGGACAGAGGAGGACGAAAGACAGCAAGCCGCAGGGTGGGAGGCCCTGAAAAATGTCGCAGATGCCGTGTGTGGGTGGCGCAGTGGGAGACGCTGCCTGCCCCCCTGGCTGGAGGGCTTCCTGGGCAGGGCGGGTGTGGCCTCTTCTCCTGACCCTGGTCCCTCCTCTCCGTCGCTGAGAGATCTGCGAGAGCCGGGAGTGAACACAGCTCGATAATACGTTAACTTTTATCATTGTGGTAGAACATACATAATGTAAACCTTACCATTTTAACCATTTTCAAATGTACATTTCACTGGCATTAAAGTCACGCGTTGCTTGATGACAGGGATAGGTTCCAAGAAACGCATCGCTAGGCGATTCTGTTGCTCTGGGAGCGTCATGGAGCGCCCGTCACAAAACTAGAAAGTGCAGCCGGTTATAGGCCCAGCACAAACCTGCCAGTGTTAGTTACGGTGCTGAGCACTGCAGGCAGCTGTGGCACCATGGGAAGTGTTTGTGTGTCTAAACATAGAAAGGGTGCTGTAAAAATAGGGTATACAAGATAACGGCATGCCTGGGTAGGGCCCCTGCCATGCACAGAGCTTGCTGCACTGCAGGTTGCCCTGGGTGAGCGAGTGCTGAGGGAACATGAAGGCTGAGGACAGAACTGTGCACTGCTGCAGACTTTATAAACACTTGGCGTGGCCTACACTAAACTGATTTTTTAAAGTTGTGCTAGGATGTGGCGATGGCTAGGATGGCGATGGCTAGGATGGCGATGGCTATTCCTGTCACGCCACCAGGTGACAGGAATTTCCCGGCTGCGTTCTAATCTACGGGACCACAGTGGTTATCTGTGGTCCATCCCTGACCAAAATGCCCTTCTGTGGCGCATGAAGTTCTGCGATCACAACTTTTCCATCATCCCAAAGGGAAACTGTATCCGTCATACAGTACCTTCCTCTTGCCTCTACCCCACCTGCGGGTAAATGCTGTTCTACTTTGACACAATGTAGATTTTATTCATTCTCATCTGTTGTTGCTGTGCGTCCTGCACTGAGCTACGGCCAGACCCTGGATGTTCAGTAAAAGTTGGTGACCACGTGCAGTCGCTCAGGCCCAAAATCCCTTTTGGAGGCAATTTGGGAGGCCGAGGCATGAGGATCCCTTGAGGCCAGGAGTTTGGGACTATCCTGGGCAAAGTAGTGAAATCCCATTTCTAATACAAAAGTTATCCGAGGCCGGGCGGGGTGGCTCACGCCTGTAATTCCAGCACTTTGGGAGGCCAAGGCGGGCGGATCACAAGGTCAGGAGATCGAGACCATCGTGGCCAACATGGTGAAACCCCGTCTCTACTAAATATACAAAAGTTAGCTGGGCGTGGTGGTGCGCGCCTGTAGTCCCAGCTGCTCAGGAAGCTGAGGCAGGAGAATCTCTTGAACCAGGGAGGCGGAGGTTGCGGTGAGCTGAGATCGCGCCACTGCACTCCAGCCTGGAGACAGGGTTGAGACCCTGTCTCAAAACAAAACAAAACAAATCAAAAAACCTCAAAACAAACAAAAAACAGCAGTTGGTTTAACTCAGCCTCGGGCTGAGTTGTGCTCCATCGTGAGGCTGTCCTGGGTACTGCAGGATGTTAGCAGCAGCCGTGGCCTCCACCCACAGATGCCAGGAGCACCTGCCTTTGGATCCCCCGTTGGTACAACCAAAAATGTCTCCAGACATTAGCAGTTGGGAAAATCGTTTCTCTATGTGCTGCTGTGCGTGTGGAGAGTGTACAGGCAGCAGGTCAGGGCCAGTGGCCTTTCCATCTGCTTGTAACTGTTTATAATCTTCCACTAGCTCCAACTAAAATCTGAGAAGCAGTGGTCCCTGGCAAGAGACACGGCTTTGGGGGGTTTATTCTGATGTTTACAGATGCGCTGCAGGGTCCGTTGTCAGCACAGCGAGGCCCCTCCCAGTGGTCCCAGGCCACCTCCCTGTGCGTGCACGTAACTCGCTGGCAGGTGCCCGTGCTGGAGGCCTTTGTATTATGAGAGTCGATGCAGGCACTGAGAAATAGTGCACTCCTTAAGCCTGTGGGCTGAATGCTTTAAATGCAGTTGTCGAGCAGAAGGTGTTTTTAGAATCCAACAAGTGATTTTGGCTGTGTACTTTTGTTAGAGTCTTAAATCCCTTGGGTTTCCAAGGCAACTGTGAAACTCTTCCATTAGATTATTCCGAGTTGCTAAGATGAGGACACAAGGCTGTGAGCTGTGTGAGGATGGAGGATGGTTCTGCCCACGCTGTGGCGGCCAGTGACTCCCTGAGCTGCGTCCTCCGTCTGAGCCCTCAGGCTGGGATTTGGAAGCTTGGGGTTTGGAAGTAGATCATGATCCCATGGAGGTCAGTTTGTTTCCATTAAAGATTTATTCTATCTTAGAGAAGAGGATTTTTAATTTTCATCCCATTTATAGAAGCAAAGGCCCTTTTTTAAATTTTTTTTATTTTTGAGACAGAGCGTCACTGTCACCCAGGCTGGAGTGCGGTGGTGTGATCTCGACTCACTGCAGCCTCCGCTTCCTGGGTTCAAGTGATTCTCCTGCCTCAGCCTCCGAGTAGCTGGGATTACAGGCTCCCGTGACCACGCCCGGCTAATTTCTGTATTTTTAGTAGAGACGGGGTTTCACCATATTGGCCAGGCTTGTCTCGAACTCCTGACCTCAAGCGGTCCGCCCGCCTCAGCCTCCCAAAGTGCTGGGATTACAGGCGTGAGCCAGTGTGCCGGGCCACAAAGTCCCTTTTCCTTCTTTCTTTTTCTTTTCTTTTCTTTTTTTTTTTTTTTGAGTCTCGCTCTGTTGCCGGGCTGGAGTGCAGTGGTGCAATCTCAGCTCACCGCAACCTCCACCTCCCAGGTTCACATCATTCTCCTGCCTCAGCCTCCCGAGTAGCTGGGACTACAGGTGCCCACCACCACGCCCGGCTAATTTTTGTATTTTTAGTAGAGACGGGGTTTCACCATGTTGGCCAGGACGGTCTCGATCTCTTGACCTCGTGATCCGCCTGCCTCGGCCTCCCAAAGTGCTGGGATGACAGGCGTGAGCCACCACGCCCGGCCACAAAGTCTCTTTTCTAAGGACACATGTCAAGTGGTCACCGTGGATCATTCGACGCCGATGCCCCAACCCCTCTGTGCATCATCCCGGCCCCTGGTGACCCTGAGGCCTGTTTGCTTTTAAGAGTGATTTTCTAGGCAGGGAGGCCAAATTCATTCTAACTGAGCAGCTTCCAAGAAACAGTATCCCTTGAAATTTATTTCTGAGTTACAGCAGTTCACTTCTATGAGAGCTTGTGGGAAATAGCATTAAAATGTTCAGATTCATGTTTGCAGCTATGGGGCAGGCAGGCAGGCCCGTGCCTCCCCAGGCCCTGGCGTCTCCTTCTCATCTGCGGAGGGAGCACAGTAAGGACCTGAGAGGTGACTGGTGAGGCCTTGACAAAGTGGATGTGTAGCTACTGCATGAGAAGATGGTAAAGAAACAGCCCAGGTGCCCCAACTAAATGGCCCCACACATGCCTAAGCGGTGCTGCTACAGGAGGATCTGTGTGTTCTGTGAAGTGTGTACTTGAACCCTGGTGAGGTGGGAGCTTGACATGTTGGGATTTTTAAGCGTACATCAGAACTGCGGGAGCTCCAGATGGGGGACAATGGCCTCTCGGGTGCCTAGCACTGCCTGCAAGCCTCCTGTCTGCTCCGGGAGGGGAGTGAGGGTCCCAGCTCTCAGGGTAGGGTGGTCTTCGAGCTGCTTCTTGGACCAGGCCGGCCTGCCTCCGGCGGGTCTCAGGGTTTCTCTCCCTTGTGCTGACAGCAGCTCCTCACCGCCCCCAGAGCTCTTTGCTGGGGATAAAGCAGGAACTGGTGAGCGGAGGGGGCCGTGGCTGTGTCCCCTTCTGGTGTTCCCTCTTTCTCTCCACGAAGGTTGGGGAGGAGGACCCCCACCACGGTCTCAGCCGTCCTGATCACACGAGGGCAGGGAGTTACCTCTGAGGTTACGTCCCTGCAGGGACTCCTGTCCTGAGTGTGCGTGGCATCTCGGCCCTCCTGGTGCCCGACGGAATGTGAGGTTCCCCCACCTGGCCTCCTGAACAATGTTTCGCCTCCTGAACACCTTTCACAGCCTGTTTCAGCAGCACGGCAGATCTGATTGTTCTGTTGAAGAAAATTTCCTGCACTTGGGATGGTCTTTTTATTTTTTGGGTGGAAGGGTTTCAACCAAAAGATGACATCATGTGCTTTGGTCAGTAGTGGGGTGGGAAGGGCGTCCGGCTCCGCACCCCGATCCCACAGCTGCTCGGGAGATGCTTGGCTTGGCCTCTTTTAATCCACTCCCCTGTTCAGTCCTGTCCTGGGAAGCTTGAGAACTCAGCTGCGCCTTCTCTAGATGTTTTTGCTTTCAGGTATGAACAGAATTACCTGCAATCAGCTTTGATCACATTACAGTCTGTTGGGGAGCAGCTGGTGACGGGGACAGAGACAATAACACCCTTCACAGGAACGTGCTGTTTTTTGTTTTTGTTTTATTTTTAAAAAAATTCTGCACTCGGCACTGGACAGAGTATTTTTTGTTTTTGTTTTTGTTTTGAGACGGAGTCTCGCTCGGTCGCCAGGCTGGAGTGCAATGGCGCGATCTCGGCTCACTGCAATCTCTGCCTCTCGGGTTCAAGTGATTCTCCTGCCTCAGCCTCCCGAGTAGCTGGGACTACAGGCACGTGCCACCACGCCCAGCTGATATTTTGTATTTTTAGTAGAGACGGGGTTTTGCCATGTTGGCCAGGCTGGTCTCAATCTCTTGAACTTGTGATCCACCCACCTCAGCCTCCCAAAGTGCTGGGATTACAGGCATGAACCACCACGCCCAGCTGTGTTTTTTGTTTTTTTTAAGACAAGGTCTCACTCTCTTGCCCAGGCTGGAGTGCAGTGGTACAATCTCGGCTCACGGCAGCCTCAACCTCCTGGGCTCAGGTGATCCTCCCACCTCAGCCTCCTGAGTAGCTGGGACTATGGGCGTGCGCCACCACGCCTGGCTAATTTTTAAAAATGTTTTTTATAGAGATGTAGATCTCACTATGACGGGAGACGGGATCTCACTATGTTGCCCAGGCCAGTCTCAAACTCCTGGGCTTAGCGATCCTCCCGCCTGGGCCTCCCATGGTGCTGGGATCACAGGTGTGAGCCACTGCCTGGCCAACTGAACTTTTAACGCAGCCACTCGGCAGGGTGTCCTTGCATCTCTGGCTTTGCTCCTTGTCCTGGTGTGGGAGGGACTCACGGCCGCAGCCAGCAGCAACACTGCTCCTCACCTGTGGGTGTGGGGCGTGGGTCGTGGGGCATGGGGCGTGGCTGCAGCCTGTTCTGTGGTTGTCTGGATGTGGGCGTTTGGGTGTCAGGCTCAGGGCTGTGAGGCTCTCCTGCAGGTGTCTTTTGTGGCTTTTGTGCTTTTGGCAAGCACCTGGCTCCTGATGGCTGCTGTAATAAATGACCAGACTTATTGTCAGAGCAATGCACGTTTTGTCTCACGGTTCTCTGAAGTCTGAAGCAGCCGGCAGGGCTGCATCCCCTGGAGCTCCAGGGGAGTCCATGTGCCTCTTCTGGCTTCTGGAAGCCATAGCATCCTTGGCTCGTGGCCCGACATCATTCCTGCCCCTTCCCATCCTCGCTTCTGTCACCCTCCTGCCTCCTTCTCTGCTGACGGGGCCCTGGTGGGTCCGTTTAGGGCCCACGTGGCTCATCCAGGACTCATCGTGAGATCCTGAACCGAATCAGGTCTGCGGAGTCGTTCTGCCACAAGGTGGCAAAACCACGGCTCGGGGGTTGCAGCCTGGGCGTCTCTGCAGGAGTCATTGGCTCACCACTGGGGGTTTGCATACAGTAGCCGGGGATTTTGGTGAAAATCGCCACGCCTCTTTTCTTTTTTTTTTTTTTGAGACGGAGTCTTGCTCTTTCACCCAGGCCTGAGTGCAGTGGCGCCATCTCGGCTCACTGCAAGCTCCGCCTCCCCGGTTCATGCCATTCTCCTGCCTCAGCCTCCTGAGTAGCTGAGACTACAGGCACCCACCACCACGCCTGGCTAATTTTTTTTGTATTTTTAGTAGAGACGAGGTTTCACCGTGTTAGTCAGGATGGTCTCGATCTCCTGACCTTGTGATCTGCCCACCTCAGCCTCCTAAAGTGCTGGGATTACAGGCGTGAGCCACCGCGCCCGGCCTCTATTTTTTTTTTGACAGAGTCTCGCTCTGTTGTCCAGGCTGGAGTGCAATGGCACGATCTTGGCTCACTACAACCTCTGCCTCCTAGGTTCAAGCAATTCTCCTGCCTCAGCCTCCCGAGTACCTGGGATTACAATCACCCAGCACCACCCCTGGCTGATTTTTTGTATTTTTAGTAGAGACGGGGTTTGGCCGTGTTGGCCAGGCTGGTCTCGAACTCCTGACCTCAGGTGATCCGCCTGCCTCGGCCTCCTACAGTGCTGGCATGACAGACGTGAGACGCCACACCTGGCTTCTCTATGGTCTTTGATTTGCATTTCTTTGATGGCGGATGATGCCATTCATATATCTTTTTTGGTAAAGTGTCTGTCCAGGTCTTTTTGCCGTGTTTCGATTGGGCTGTCTACGTGGTGACCGTGAGGCTCTGGCCGAGTGAGTGTCGTGGCTCAGCTGGCGGTGATGAGCATCGGGCACCTGCTCCACATCTGGGTCTCTTCCTTGGGGAAGTGTCTGTTCAGATCTTCTGCCCATCTTTTATTACTGAGTGGTGAGAGTTCCTAGGTGTTCTCGTTCCAAGTCCTTCATCAAGTATGTGCTTTGAAAATATTTTCTCTTGGCCTTTGGCTCCTTTTTTCTTTCTTTTTTTTTTTTTTTTTTTTTTTGAGGCAGAGTCTTGCTCTGCCACCCAGGCTGGAGTGCAGTGGCACCATCTTGGCTCACTGCAAACTCTGCCTCCTGGGTTCACGCCATTCTCTTGCCTCAGCCTCCTGAATAGCTGGGATTACAGGCACCCGCCACCGCGCCCAGCTAATTTTTGTATTTTTTTTTTTTTTTTTAGTAGAGATGGGGTTTCACCATGTTGGTCAGGCTGGTCTTGAACTCCTGACCTCATGATCCACCCGCCTTGGCCTCCCAAAATGTTGGGATTACAGGCGTGAGCCACTGTGCATGGCCTCCTTTTTTCATTTAACAGTGTCTCTTCAGGAGGATCCTTTTTTTTTGAGACGGAGTATCATTCTGTCGCCCAGGCTGGAGTGCAGTGGTGCAATCTCGGCTCACTGCAAGCTCTGCCTCCTGGGTTCACACCATTCTCCTGCCTCAGCCTCCCGAGTAGCTGGGACTACAGGCGCCCGCCACCACGCCCGGCTCATTTTTTGTATTTTTAGTAGAGACGGGGTTTCACCATGTTAGCCAGGATGGTCTTGAACTCCTGACCTCGTGATCCGCCCGCCTCAGCCTCCGAGAGTGCTGGGATTACAGGCATGAGCCACCGTGCCCAGCCAACAAAGACTTTCTCCTATGGTTTTTCTTGAGTTTTTATCAATTTAAGTATAACGCATAGCTCCATGATTCAAGTTGGTTTTTTTGTATGTGGCGTGAGATCAGCTTGAGGTTCACTTTTTACATAGGATTATAAGGTTGTTCCAGTGCTGCTTGCTAAGAAACCTGTCTTTTATCCATTGAGTTACCTTGCTAACTACTATATACATAAAATTAATGAGAATTTCTTTTATCTGTCTTTTTTTTTTTTGAGATGGAGTTTCACTCTTGTTGCCCAGGCTGGAGTGCAATGGTGTGATCTCGGCTCACCGCAACCTCTGTCTCCCTGGTTCAAGCGATTTTCCTGCCTCAGCTTGCCGAGTAGCTGAGATTACAAGCACGCACCGCCATGCCTAGCTAATGTTTTGTATTTTAGTAGAGACGGGGTTTCACCGGGCTGGCCAGGCTAGTCTCAAACTCCTGACTTCATGATCCACCCATCTCGGCCTCCCAAAATGCTGGGATTACAGGCATGAGACACTGTGCCTGGCGGAAACCCAAATTTTAGCATTTCACACAAGGGAGAGTTCTTTCAGCTTATCCTGATTTCTTTTATGTGTTTTTCACCTTGATTTGTTACAATAATTTAGATTTAAAATTTGGCTTTAAAATTGGGTGATTTTGGCCAGGCATGGTGGCTCATGCTTGTAATCCCAGCACTTTGGGAGTCTGAGGTGGGCAGATCACCTGAGGTTGGGAGTTTGAGACCAGCCTGACCAATGTGGTGAAACCCCGTCTCTACTAAAAATACAAAAATTAGCGGCCGGGCGCGGTGGCTCACAGGCCTGTAATCCCAGCACTCTCGGAGGCTGAGGGGGGCGAATCACGAGGTCAAGAGATCGAGACCATCTTGGCTAACACGGTGAAACCCCGTCTCTACTAAAAATACAAAAAATTAGCCAGGTGTGGTGGCAGGCGCCCTGTAGTCCCAGCTACTCAGGAGGCTGAGGCAGGAGAATGGCGTGAACCTGGGAGGCGGAGCTTGCAGTGAGCCAAGATCATGCCACTGCACTCCAGCCTGGGTGACAGAGCAAGACTCCGTCTCAAAAAAAAAAAAAAAAAAAAAAAAAAAAAAATTAGCCGGCGTGGTGGCACGCACCTGTAATCCCAGCTACTCAGGAGGCTGAGGCAGGAGAATCACTTGAAGCCGGGAGGCGGAGGTTGCGGTGAGCTGAGATCATGCCATTGCACTCCAGCCTGGGCAACAAGAGCGAAACTCCGTCTCAAAATAAATAAATAAATTAATTAATTAATTAAATAAAATAAAATTGGGTGATTTTTTTTGAAGCCTGTTATGAGCTGAATGTGCACCCCCACACTCATGTGTTGAAACCCCAGCCCCCGTGTGGCTGCGTCTGGGGAGGGCCTTGAAGGAAGTGATAAAGTGAAGTCACAGGCGGGGCCCTGATCCCTGAACACGCTCGTGAGCACACAGCACCCACCACCCACTCTGCTCCCAGACTCTGAGGAGGGGCCCCCAGGGCTCACCTGCCGCCATCTGCAGGTCAGGAGGGGCCTCACCAGACAGCAGATCTGCTGGCACCTTGACCTTGGACTTCCCAGTCTCCAGAGCGTGAGGAAACTAATTTTCGTTGTTAAGCCGCCCTGCCTGTGGTATTTTGTCATGGCATCCCAAGCTAAGACAAAGCCTTAACATAAGTTTGGATATAACCTGTATATTTAGTTCCTAGAAATGCACAATTAATATGATGTGTCATCGAGGGATTTGTAAAAAAATATAAAAAGGAGTATAGTTTGGAAAAAGAGTAGAGTTTGGAAACATATCCCTTAGAGGCCTCCAGAAGAAGTCATAGGTAGCTCGACGGTCCGAATGTCACTGTCCCTGGAGACTCCCACCCGCTCCTGCCAGGCTGGACTCACCCCGTGTGCTGCCTGACGGGGGCCCTGCCCACCTGCCACACCCAGCTCTCAGCTGCTGGGCCTCACGTGTGCATGTTTGTTCCAGGGGTGTTTGCAGACGTCACCTCTGCCCCTGCTCCAAGTGCCCCCTGCCCCATGCCCCTGTGTTTCTGTGGTTCTGATCCCGATTCCTGTCAACGACCACGGTGGAAAATCCATTCTCTTGCTGTGGGAAAATATCTGCAAATCATCATCGCTCAGCGTGTTCTGGGGGTGTTTTGATATCGTGCATACAGCCCCACTAGAGGGAGGGTACTCCACAAAGCCCTGGCTGGCCTGAGCTGACACTCGGAGGAATCCGTTGAATTCATGACTCAAGTCGTCACCTTTTGTTGTTTTTGTTGTTGTTGTTAAATAGAAGCTTTACTGAGAGATGATTCACACCCCACTCACCCATTTAAAGTCTGCAGTTCAGAGGTTTTTGGTATGGTATATTCACAGCATCCTGTAGCCATCAGCACAGTCCCCTTAGAACATTTTCCTCGGCTCAGAGGGAAACCCTGCACCACTTAGCCCTCATCCGAGACCCCTCCCCAGCCCCTTTTTGCAGCCACAAACCTACTTTCTGTCTTGATTTGCCTGTTCTGGATATTTAATGGAAATGAAATGGCATGTGGCCTTCTGTGTCTGGCTTTGTTCACTCAGCAGTTTTCAAGGCTCCTCTGCGTGGTTCTGTGTCTGGCTTCGTCCGCTGAGCATGTTTTCACGGCTCCTCTGTGTGGTGGCCTGTGTCTGTTCTTCATGCCTTTTCATGGCCACATAATATTCCATTGTGGGGATGGACCTGTTATGTTTATCCATTCGTCCATCGATGGACTTGTTGGCTGTTCCACCTTTTGGCTGTTATGGATAACGTGCTACGCGCGTCCTGGACGAGGTTTTCTGTGAGCTTTTGTGTCTTCATTTCTCGTGGGTATCTGCATGCGTACATGTGGAACTGCTGGGCCCCGTGGTGATTCCTGTACCTGATGTTGTGAGGACCTGCCGACCTGCTCCGCAGGAGGGCACCATGTTACACTCTTACCAGCAAGGTTCCAGGGTTCTGATTTCTTCCCATCCTTGCCAATATTATCTGATCTTTTTTGTTGTTGTTTTTGAGATAGGGTCTCACTCTGTCACCCAGACTGGAGTACAGTGGCTCGATCACAGCTCACCACAGCCTCAACCTCTCAGGCTCAAGTGATCCTCCCGCCGCAGCCTCCTGAGTAGCTAGGACCACAGGCACAACCCACCACACTCAGCTAATTTTGTTTTATTTTAACTTTTTGTCCTGCTGTGTTGCCCAGGCTGGTCTTGAACTCCTGTTCTCAATAGATCTTCCGGTCTTAGCCTCCCAAAATGTTGGGACTGGAAGCGTGAGCCACGGTGCCTGGCCTTTTTATATCCAGCCATCCCAGTGGGTGTGTGCTGGAACCGTGGCGTGTGCTGGAACCGTGGCGTGTGGTGGAACCGTGGCGTGTGCTGGAACCGTGGCGTGTGGTGGAACCGTGGCGTGTGCTGGAACCGTGGCGTGTGGTGGAACCGTGGCGTGTGGTGGAACCGTGGCGTGTGCTGGAACCGTATTGTGTGGTGGAATCGTGTTGTGTTTTGCGTTTCCTTAGTGATGGGTGATGCTGAGCATCTCTTCCTGTGCGTCTTGGCCATTTATACATCTTCTTTGGACAAATGTCTAGTAAGATTTTTTGCCCATTTTTATATTGAGTTACAGTATTTGCCTTTTTATTATCAGATATATAGGTTGCAATTTTTTTTTTTTTTTGAGACAGAGCGTTGTTCTGTCGCCCAGGCTAGAGTGCAGTGGTGTGATCTCGGCTCATTGCAACCTCCACCTCCTGGGTTCAAGCGATTCTCCTGCCGCAGCCTACTGAGTAGCTGGGATTACAGGCACGTGCCACCACGCCCGGCTAATTTTTGTATTTTTAGTAGAGATGGGGTTTCACCATGTTGGCCAGGCTGGCCTTGAACTCCTGACCTCAGATGATCCGCCCGCCTCGGCCTCCCAGAGTGCTGGGATCACAGGCTTGAGCCACCGCACCCGGCGTCACTTTCTTGGTAGTATCCTTTGAAGCACAGACATTTAATTTTGATGAGTCCAATTTATTTTGTTGCTTGTGCTTGGTTTTGTATCTAAGAACCTATTGCCAAATCTGAGATCATGCGGATTTTCTTCTAAGAATTTTATAGATTTAGCTCTAACGTCATTGATCCATTTTGAGCCTCTCCTCGTCTTTGCGAGATGGAAATACTGCCGCCCCAGGAGCCTCTGACTCTCAGGCCCTCGGCCCTGGAGCAGAGCAGGTACCAGGTCTGCAGCGCCTCGTCCAGGGAGGGCAACCCCGTTGTTCTGAGTTGAGCCGTCCTCCAAAGCCTTGGCTGAGACTCCACCGCAGCCATGGGACCTGGGTGGGCAGGAAAGGCCGGGCTGGGCCGAGGCTGCTGCATTGCTGGGGCAGGTGCCCGGCTCCCAGGGTGGGCTGGACTTGATGCTGCTCTGTAGCTCAGGCAGAAGCTGGTCGCTGTCCTTCTAAATGTGTCGCCTGTCCCACTTGGAGAGTCTGGGAACGACCCGTGTCTTCTGACGTGTGTCCCTCTGTCCCCAGATGCGGACCTGTCCGTCACCGAAGCCAGCAGCTCCGACAGCCGAGGAGAGAGGGCCGAGCTCTATGCACAGGTGGAGGAGGGTCTCCTGGGAGGAGAAGCCAGCTATCTGGGCCCTCCCCTCACCCCAGAGAAGGACGACGCCCTGCATCAGGCCACCGCGGTGGCCAACCTGCGCGCGGCGCTCATGAGTAAGAACAGCCTGCTGTCGCTGAAGGCCGACGTGCTGGGGGATGACGGCTCCCTGCTGTTCGAGTACCTGCCCAGAGGGGCCCACTCGCTGTCCCGTAAGTGCAGGCCCTGGGGGCCGCTTGGCTTTGGTGTGGTTTTGAAGGCTGAGGGTTGCAGGTCCCGGGCCAAGATGAGATGAGGCTGAGGGTCTGTCCCTGCTGCTCGGCCGCCTGCTGACCTCCCTGTTGCGGGAGGTGAGGATGCGGCGTCACAGCCTGGACTGGCCTCTCAGGTGCACGGGGGGCTGGCTTTAGAGTGAGGAGGGAATGGACGCGGTTGTGAGCGCGGCGGGCAGGGGAGCAGCCGAGTGCTTGCTGGAATGTTTCTCACAGGAGTCGTTGGCTGAATGCGAGCTCGTCCGGGTCGCGCAGGGGCCGGGGGTCTTTGTGCTCCAGAGACGGGCTCGGGCGCCCCCTGCCGGCCCCTCTGTCGCCTTCGTGCTGAGGCTCGTTTCGCGCAAGGGAGATGGGGGCGGCCGCTGCGAGCCGATTGCACTTGGGGGCCTCGCCTTGCGTTGCCTTCGCTGGATGATGCTGGTGGCGTGTGACTTTTAAAGATGCGTCGGAGGTTGTCTTTAAAACGTAAATGTCCCCAGCTGAATCCAAACGACGACGCGCCTGCCGAGATGTGGCCAAAAGTTCAGCCACTGCTGCGTGTCGGGCTCACCCCAGACTGACTGACTTCCTGACAAGACGGGGGCATTCAGCTTTCGGAGTTTAAAAAAACAAAGGGGCCGGGCGCGGTGGCTCACGCCTGCAATCCCAGCACTTTGGGAGGCTGAGGCGGGCAGACCACGAGGTCAGGAGATCGAGACCATCTTGGCCAACACGGTGAAACCCCGTCTCTACTAAAAATACAAAAAATTAGCCGGGCGTGGTGGCGGGCGCCTGTAGTCCCAGCTACTCGGGAGACTGAGGCAGGAGAATGGCGTGAACCCGGCAGGCAGAGCTTGCAGTGAGCCGAGATCGCGCCACTGCACTCCAGCCGGGGCGACAGAGGGAGACTCTGTCTCAAAAAAAAAAACAAAAAAAAAAACAAAAAAAACCCACCGCAGCCAGCCCCCAGCCAGCTGCCTTCTGGTCTCGCGCTCATGTGGGCCCCCGGGCAAGGCCTGGTGCTGGCACCTAGCACATAGCTGGCACTCAGCATGCGGCTGAGAGTGAGTGAGGCGCCTCCCGTTTCTCTCCAGGGGAGGAGGGAGCGAGTCCGGCATGAGATGCCCCCACCTCCGCGGCTGGGGTCCAGGCGTGCTGAGTGGTGTGGACACATTGTTTGCTGAGTATTGAGGGAAGTGAAGGAAGGAAACGTGCCAGCTGTCCTTGATGCTGGGATTTGGGAAGTATATCTGTTTCTCTGTTTCTTTACGCTGCTCTAAAAAACAATATTTTTACAACTTTGTTTTCATAAGCACTAAAATATTCTTTCGAATTTTCGCGTTGGTGTGAGCACTGATGCCAACTGTTTGTGGGTAATAAAGACTACATGTGGAAAGTGGTGTTCACCTTCCCTTTATTCCGTGTACTCAGTGAGGAGCCGTGTCCGTCGAAGGGTCTTGGCCCTGAAAGTGAGGCTCAGGGCTGAGCACTGCACAGACGGGACAAGCTGTGGGTGCTGGGCTGTCACAGACATCCTGAGGCCTCACTTCCCACATCTGAAAAACTGGGGGGGGGGGGGGGGGCGGGGGGTGCCACTTACACAGCTGTTGTGAATTCAAACAAAATAGCGTTTCTAAAATATCAAACACGGTGCAGGCAGAGTGTTTGTGATTTATGCTCCAAGATGTTGGCCCCGTCCCCTCTCAAATGCAAAAGTGTACTTGTCAGCAGAAATGGTTGGATTTGAGCAAACCCCGGGGTACTGGGGCCTTTCCAGGAGGCGGTGGCAGGGCATGTGGGCATCCTGCAGTCGGCCAGCCGGTCAGATGGAGCGCTGGGCACGTTTCGTGGGCGTCAGGAGGGACAGGCTGGGTGCGGCCAGCGGCGCATGCCCGTGGGTGCGGTCGGAGGGGGATCCCGGGCCTCCCTCACTACCCTCCCCTCCGACCGCCTTTTCACATGAGCAGCTTGGGTGCGGCCGGTGGCACATGCCCGTGGGTGCCGTCGGAGGGGGATCCCAGGCCTCCCTCACTACCCTCCCCTCCGAGCGCCTTTTCACATGAGGGGCTTGGGTGCTGTTTCCTGTGGATCTCTCAGACCGTCGTATACACTCATTCAGGGCAGGGACCCCAACACACCCAGTTCCTTTGCAGCACCCCAGGTACAGCTGGTGTGTCTTGGTCATTAAGAACGACTTTGGGAGCCTGGGCAACGTGGGGAAACCCCATCCCTACAAGAAGTTAGCCCAGCATGATGGTGCCTTGTGCCCGTAGTCCCAGCTACTCAGGCGGCTGAGGTGGGAGGATCGCTTGAGCCCAGGAGGTTGAGGCTGCAGTGAGCCATGATTGCATCATTGCCCTCCAGCCTGGGTGACAGAGTGAGACACTGTCTCAAAAAAAAAAAAAAAAGCCATTGGACTGAGGGGAAACAATTTGTTTGTGCTTTTTCTACTGTTTCTGCGTCTGACAGCCCTCCCTGGGTGTGGCTCCGTCCATGAAGCCTTTGCTGGTTTGTGTGTGCAGCAGATGGGGTCGGAGGGCACGGCTTGGCAGAAGATGTCGATTTCACCCGTGGCATACGAGCTGTGGGCCCTGTGGTGCCAGGTCTGACCTTGGGGAACACATACCCCAGCTCGGCCTTGGTGGCCCTGGCAGTTTCTCCCCTTCCTCGGGGCTTTTCTGTTCTGGGCCCCTCCTTTCCGGAAGCGAGCCCCGGAGCACGTGGAGGGAGTGGCCGCGGAGCCTGAGGCTGGGACCTTGAGTGGTTCTGGCTTTTTCCCAGGGCCTCTCCCTGCAGTGAGAGTGCTGTGTCCTCTGCATCCTGAGTGTGTCCTAAATCCTGAAGGTGGGGTGAGGGCACACCCCGCACTTCTGTGTGTGTGTGTGTGTGTGTGTGTGTGTGTGTGTGTGTGTGTGTTTTTGAGACAGGGTCTCGCTCTCTTGCCCAGGCTGGAGTGCATTGGCACTATCTCAGCTCGCTGCAGCCTCTGCCTCCCGGGCTCCAGCAATTCTCCTGCCTCAGCCTCCCAAGTAGCTGGGACTACAGATGGGTGCCCCCACACCCCACTAATTTTTATATTTTTAGTAGAGACAGGGTTTCACCATGTTGGCCAGGCTGGTCTCGAACTCCTGAGCTCAGGCGATCTGCCTGCCTCAGCCTCCCAAAGTGCCGGGTTTATAGGCGTGAGCCATCCCGCCTGGCCCCATCTCACTCAGTTTTTAGTTCATCTGTGACTAATTCCAGGTGAAGTTGGCTGGTGGGTCTTTTGTTATTTCTCTTAAGTTCTAACCTCATTTTTAATATTCTAAATTTTCTATTTCTCTTGTAAGAATTTGCCCTTTTGGGCCAGGCATGATGGTTCACACCTGTAATCTCAGCACTTTGGGAGGCCAAGGCAGGTGGATCACCTGAGGTCAGTAGTTCAAGACCAGCCTGGCCAACATGGCGAAACCCTGTCTCTACTAAAAATACAAAAAATTACCCGGGTGTGGTGGCGGGCACCTGTAATCTCAGCTACTTGGGAGACTGAGGCAGGAGAATCGCTTGAACCTGGAAGGAGGAGGTTGCCGTGAGCCGAGATCATGCCATTCCAACCTGGGCAACAAGACCGAAACTCGTCAGAAAAAAAAAAAAAAAAGAATTTGCCCTTTTGTTTTCTGTAAACACGGTTTAGAAGTTGTCAGCATCCTTCGCCTGTCGGGCTGTGAACTGGATGCCCCAGACGCCTGCCCAGCAGAGTGGCTGTAGAACTCGGCGGGGGACAGGTTATTTTAAAACGTAATTTTCTGGCATCCTGTGTGGCCCCTGCCTGTTTCCGGCATGCACTGAGGTAAATAATGGAAATACTCAGAAAAAACTTGGATTTTCCAAAGTTCTGTGGTCCTCCCTCACTGCCGTAGGCCTTCTGTCCCCGACAGGTGGTCCCGTGGAATCCGCGCGGGAGTAAACCGTGGACACCAGCGCCTGCGTCCAGGGAAGCCTTAGCCGAGGCGCCTCGGTGTGATCTGAAGGTGGGGTCCGGGGGCCTGGCCTCTCGGGGGGCTGCCGCGGTGGAGGAGCGCCTCAGAGTTCACGGCGTAGCCCCACTCGCCGGTACCCAGGTGGACGCTGATCGGGGGAGAGAACTGAGCCCCGGGGTCTGACGCCGTCTGCTGATCTGAAGCGTTGAACTCACGGACTTCTAAGTCTCTCAACACCGTGCGGGAGCGCCAGGCCCGGCGGGACCGCGTGGCCCCCCTCTCTCCCTCCCCTCCTTCTGGAGGGTCATGGACGCAGAGCCGTGTCCTCCCATTGCTGAATGTGGGGGTGACTGTGGGGGCCGGAGAGTGGGGGCAGCTCATTGCAGCTTGTGGCGTAGCCCCCCCGCCATCTTGCAGCTCTGGAAATGCGCCCCTGAGCCCCGGGGGCCGCCGGCTCCTCTCTCCTCCGCTCCCTGTCGGAAGAGAGAAGAAGACAAGAGCGGCCTCGGCTGGGCGAGGGTCCCCGGTACCCAGCCCTCAGAGCAGGAGGAACGCAGCTTCAACTCAGGCCAGCTCTGAAGAGGGCCTGGGAGGGCGAGTAGCCCCTGCTGTGGTTCGAGCGGCGTGGCTGCTGTGCCGGGCGTGGCCGGTGCTGACTTGCGACCTCCTGCTGACGTGGCCCCTGCTGTGGTTCGAGCGGCGTGGCTGCTGTGCCGGGCGTGGCCGGTGCTGACTTGCGACCATCTCCATGTGCTGGTTGCAGGCGATGAGCATTTCCAGGGCTGGGCCTCTTGTTAGCGTGGTCTCTAGGGTGTCCTGTCGAGTGTACCTCCCCGTGGGCTGGCGCATCGTGCAGGAAATGGGGACACGGCGGTCCTCACTGTGTGTCCACTGCCCCTTTGCGGTACGGGGTGCCGGGTGGGGATCCCACCGCCTGCCCAGTTCTCCTCGTCATGAATGCGCCGTGGTTCAACAAACAGCGTCCGGCCGTGGCAATTCTGCACAAAAATGGGATGGTGGTCGCAGATTTCTGAATTTAGAGAACCATTAAATATGCAGGCAGCAGGCCAGCAGCACAGAGCAGCCGACACTCAGAGGGCCTTTGGGGATGGGTTCTGGAACATTCTAGAAAAACTGAACTAGTTTCCTTGGATTTGTAGGACCAGTAACCTTGGCTTGGCTGTTAAATTAAACAGATGGCAGTTTCATTACTAGACCATCAATCTCTGACATCCCTGTCAGAGGACTTGCCATACTTCTCATTCAATTCTGTTGAACTTCGTGCTTACTTTTATTCCTTTTTCAGCAGTAGGCGGGCCTCCTCTCTGTTACTAGACATTGTTCTCCCAGTAGAAACCATGAAAACTGTCATTTAGGCTCAGAACATGGCTGCCCACAAGTTGTGCTGGGCTGGCGCTGATCTCCTGGGGCCTTGAGGTGTGTGCTGCCTTCGTGTCTCCAAACAGCACGAGGAAGCCAACTTCACACTGACAAGCCGAGGATGCGCCGCCGGCCGGTCGGCCGGGGACAGGAGACTGTAAGCCCCGCATCAGCCGTGCCCGGAAATGTGGGACGCGGCCTCTGGAGCGTTGCTGGTGTAACCCCCCTCACTCTTTTAAAGAGTCAAGGATTCTAGGGACAGCCATGGCGGTGCGGTGCCGCCTCCCGTGAAGCTCACCCCAGCTCCCTGCAGTCCTTTCCTGCGGGGACGGCTTCTGACCAGCTCGTTACTGGAGAAGGTGGCCGTGGAGATGGCGGAGCGGCTGGGCCCGGGCGTCAGGAGGCGTTTTGCAGAGAACAGTTGCAGCTTGTCTTTGTTTTGGTTGTGGTTTAAAGACTGTTTCCCTGTGGTATTTAAAGGATGAATCGAGAACTTTAACTTGATTCTGGATCGAGACTGGAATTGTGAACAGTTGCCGACTAAAGGGCATTTGGTGGACATGGTGCTGCACTTTCAGGTGGTCCAGGCCAGCGTGCCTTGGCGTTCTCATCAGGAGAGCATTTCTGCAGTCCAGAGGTGTTCACGCTCCGACTTCCTCCACCAAAACCCTCTGTTGGAATCACTTGGCTCCTAGGAAAGAGACACACCGCAGAGAAGTCATGGGTGGAGACCTCGGGCATTTGGGGTTGGCCAGCTGATCAAAGCGTTCAAACACCTGCCTCCAGCGAGACCCTTGGGGCATCACCGGGCTCACACCGCATGCCGGGAAGATCGTCAGTGCTTCTGGAACTCTCTAGAACCCAGCAGCTGGTGCGCGTTCCTGTGGGTGAGACTCCTCCTTTCCTGTGTTCCCAGGGCCTGGGTCCCTTGTGAGGGTCGCTGATGGCAGAACAGAAGCCCCTCCACCCTCCACCCTCAGAGCCACAGGATGAGCTCTGGGGAACCGCCAGACCCAGCCCAGGGAGCCGGCACAGCCTCCCCCAGCTCAGGTAAGACACCAGGGTGGCCAGCTTTGTCTGGGGCAACTGGGCCAAACACTTGGGGCATGGTGTCCCTGACACCCATGTGTGCGTGGCCACGGCCCAGATGAGCCCGGGCACCTCCGAGGAGGCACTTTGGTGGCACCTGCTCTCCATGTGCCCTCCTCTCCCACCCTCAACTCAGCCAGGTACAGAGAAAACCCATTTTAGGTCAGCCGAGTTATTCGCTTTTGCAATAGTAATTGTTCCACTCCCACAGCAACAGGTTGTATGAAGTTGAATTGGTTTTTATATTTTGAGCAATTTTTTTCCCTTAATGTAAAGACATTCAATTCATGTTGCAGTGGGTTGGAAACATCAGTTCCTAGAGCTCAGTGGTGGTGGCCGGTCCCTTCCAGGCCTGGTCACTGCACATTTCTGGCCAACCCCCGACTCGGAGGCCACTGCCCCAGTCCGAGCCTCACAGAGCCCTGGTGGAAGCCGTTCCACTGCCCCAGCCCGAGCCGCGCAGAGCCCTGGTGGAAGGCATTCTCCTTCCTGTGCCTGAAGTCGCGGAGTCTTTTCTATAAAGAAAGGGCCATGGGGTGTGTACCTCCCTGGAGAAAAAAAAATTCTTTAACAAGAGCTCAACCACTTTTTTTTTTTTTCTTTTGAGACAGAGTCTGGCTTTGTCACCCAGGCTGGAGTGCAGTGGTGCGATCTTAGCTCACTGCAACCTCCACCTTCGGGGTTCAAGAGATTCTCCTGCCTCAGCCTCCCAAGTAGCTGGGATTACAGGTTAGGGTATCCCGTTGGGCACACCACCACGCCTGGCTAATTTTTGTGTTTTTAGTAGAGATGAGGTTTCACCATGTTGGCCAGGCTGGTCTTGAACTCCTGACCTCAGGTGATCCGCCTGCCTCGGCCTCCCAAAGTGCTGGGATCACAGGCATGAGCCTCCTTGGTCTCCCAAAGTGCTAGGATGAGCCTCGGTGCCCAGCCTTAACCACACATTTTGGATTTTGAAATTAATTGCTATTCCCACACGAGTCGTTTCTCATTTCTCACAGGATAGTTTTGGTGGCAGGTGTTAATGTTTTGTTAATGCATATATTTTTGAGTGTCTCTTTATTGAGAATTAATTACAGTCTTCCTTTCCAGATGGCTGTTGACAGGCTGTCTTAGTAGTGATTGGACAACATCCCAGGTGAGTGAGGGCAGCAGAGTGTCCACACTAGAAGTCTTGCTGCTTTTATCCCATCCTGACGGTCTGTAACTTGTCTGTCTCTGGTTCCAGATCGACACCTCTCATGGCGTGGAGAGCTGGGCGGAGCAGTCCTCTTCCAGAGTTGGCTCCCGCTGGCATGAGGGTGGGTTTCTGCAGGGCCTGTGGCCTGTCCAGGATGCCTGAGGAGTCTTCTTCCAGCCCAGGCCTGGATGGACTTGCCCAGCCCTGGATGGACTTGCCCAGCCCTGGGGGCAGCCAGTGCCAGGACGGCTTGGCCTCGCCTGGAGCTCCTTGGGCGCTGACAGCTTTACCCTGAGGCCAGCTAAGGAGCTCTGTGAAGCAAGTGACAGCAGCGAAGGCACCTCCCCTGCTGGAAGTGGTTTGGGACAGAACTGCGGGTGCCTCTGGTCTGTGCGCTGGAGCCGGCGTTTGCTTTGACCTCAGTGCTGCGGCCAGAGCTTTGGCGTCCGGGTCCCGGGCTCCAGCTGGGTGCAGCTGCCCAGGCGAGAGAGCTCTCAAGTGTGTGGGAGCAGGAGGGGAACTGGGTGACCGAACAGCCGCGTCGGAGGGGGATATCTGCGGAGAGCTGTGACTGGGAGCCGGTGTGTGCCTTTCTGTGGTCATTTCTCGAGTCCTCTGCCGGCTGCTGCCAGGTGAAGGCATCTCCATGCCCAGCCGGTGGGCAGCTGGGGCGGGTGGACCTCCAGCTTCTGCCCGACGGGGTTCAGATGACCGAGATCCTACGGGATTGCCAATGTGTGGGGACGGGGGGCTTTCAGGGGCGGGAAAACATGTCCCCATCCGTGGGAAGTGGAGCCACGTGGCTCCGACCCAGCAACTTTCTAGGGAGATCGAAAGACAAAGCCTGCCACGGCGTCCTTGGCGGTGTGTGCCTGGCATGTGCGCGGCGCTCCACGTGTCGGCGTGGAATTACGGGAATGTGCTGCTTTTCAGAAAGAGCGCCCCGCGGTGCCCTTGCCCGTCCTCGTCGGACGTGTTAGGTTCAATGTCAGCTTTCTATTCAGAGCAGGTGGTTGTGGACTTGGTGGGCTCCAGGGACCCAGAGCAGCAGGTGGGCTCAGGAGGGGGATAGGCATCCCCCATTCCAGATTCTGGAATACCCAGAAGCACCATCTGGCAGGGAAGGTGGCGTGTCGGGGGAGCCCGCTCCCAGGCCAGAGACGCGTCCCACCATCTGCCCAACAGCCCATCCCCTTTCCGGACGGTCCCCATCTCCACTGCAGCTGGAACCATCTGCTGGAGCCTCCCCTGGTTCCTCAAATCTTTATGTTCCTTTATGTTCCTGAGATGAGTTTCTGAAGATGGAGAAAAGTGGGATTTCTAGTGAGGTTTGGGGCATTTTACCAAAGGTGACCGCGCTCTGCTGGCATCTGTGAGGGTCGGGAGAGCAGTCCACACAGGCCGTGCCTTCTGAGCTGCCAGACGCCTCTTTATGCAAATGCCTGTTGGAGTTTTAATATCAGTTGTAGAGAAAATGAAGCTTTTTTTTTTTTTTTGGTCAAAATGGGATCTCTTGGCCAGGTGCAGTGGCTCATGCCTGTGATCCCAGCACTTTGGGAGGCCAAGGTGGGCGGATCACCTGAGGTCGGGAGTTTTAGACCAGCCTGGCCAACATGGCGAAATCGTATCTCTACTAAAAATAGAAAAATTAGCTGGGCGTGGTGGCGGGCGCCTGTAATCCCAGCTATTTGAGAGGCTGAGGCAGGAGAATCACTTGAACCCGGGAGGCGGAAGTTGCAGTGAGCAGAGATCATGCCATTGCACTCCAGCCTGGGCAACGAGAGCGAAACTCCCTCTCAAAAAAAAAAAAAAAAAAAAAAAAAAAGGATCTCTCAGCTGTTGGGCCTGAGATGATATGTCTCAACCTGGGCACCATGACAGAAGAAACTTGTGGCATCTGACTGTGAGATTAGTCCACGCCTGGGCTCTGCGTTCATGGGCAGGGCACACCCTAGTGCTGTTGAAGCAGGTACATCAGAGGCCGCATGACAGCTTTGCCTTTTGCTCTCCAGGGTGGGCAGCAGGTGGGCCCAGCGGGGAGAGAGTTGTCTTGGGGGTTGATAAGGAGGCCTGGTTGTAGAGATTCTCTCCGTACCATTTTGCTGAAAGAGTTTGGTTAACTTTTTGAAAACAATTTAAAAATTGTAGACATGTGCCATAGAACCTAAAAAAATATGCTCGTGGCAGATAGTAAAATGATAAGGGCTCTAAGAACATTTTTAGAATAGATAGCAGTATGACTTTATCCCTACTTCTAACATTCTTTCCCCTGAAACTACACAGACATTCATTCAGCATATGAAGTGGGTGCAATGGCTCATGCCTGTAATCCCAGTACTTTGGGAGGTTGTGGCGGGAGGATTGCTTAAGCCTGAGAGTTCAAGACCAGCCTGGGCAACATAGGGAGACCTTGTCTCTACAGAAAAAGTTTAAAATTAGCTGAGCGTGGTGCTGTGCACGTGTGGTCCCAGGTACTCGGCAGGCCGAGGAGGGAGGATCGCTTGGGCACAGCAGGTCGAGGCTGCAGTGAGCCATGATTACACCACTGCACTCCAGCTGGGCCACAGAGTGAGACCCTGTATCAAAAAAGAAAAGAAACGCCCACACATAACCTACCCGGGAAGGGGGCCAGTGCAGGTGGGACAACGCTGTGATCCTTGAGAGAAGAGAGAACACAGATGAGCTGCCCTTCACCCCAGTGGTGTTGCTGGCATATTTCCCAAACCCTGGAGCAGGAAGTGGACCCTGAGCGGACGGCAGTGTACAGATAGAGATTGTCCTTCGGGGCAGCCAGAGGAGCCGGGACTTGAGGGGCAAAATCCCAAGAAGCAAGAAACAAAGAGGAGGACCCCAGCTTCTGCATACAACTGCCCCCCACCCCAAGCCTCTAAGCCCCACACACACACACACGCACACACACACACAACCACACATACACATGCACACATGCACACGCACACATGCACATACAAACATACACACACACGCACGCACACACACACAAGAATCACTTGAACCTGGGAGGTGGAGGTTGCAGTGAGCCGAGACCGCGCCATTGCACTCCAGCCTGGGTGAGAGAGCAAGACTCCGTCTCAAAAGAAAAACAAAAAAAAATCTTAAAAGCAGCCAGAGGGCCAGGTGCAGTGGCTCACACCTGTAATCCCAGCACTATGGGAGGCCGAGGTGGGCAGATCACCTGAGGTCAGGAGTTCGAGACCAGCCTCAACATGGAGAAACCCCATCTCTACTAAAAATACAAAATTAGCCGGGTGTGGTGGCACACACCTGTAATCCCAGCTACTCGGGAGGCTGAGGCAGGAGAACTGTTTGAACCTGGGAGGTGGAGGATGCGGTGAGCTGAGATCGAGCCATTGCACTCCAGCATGGGCAACAAGAGCGAAACTCCGTCTCAAAAAAAAAAAAAACAGAGAAAAAATGCTTAACATTCAGAAGAACAACAGTGATGGCTGACTTTCCCAGAAACTACAGAAGCTAGAAGACAATGAATGACGTCTTTGAAGTACTGGAAAGCAAAAGATGCCAACCTGGAACTCTATACCCAACAAAAATATTCATCACAATTTTTTTTTTTTTTGAGACAGGGCCTCGCTCAGTCACCTAGGCTGGAGTGCAATGGTGCGATCTCTGCTCACTGCAACCTCTGCCTCCCGAGTTCAAGTGATTCTCCTGCCTCAGCCTCCCCAGTAGCTGGGATTACAGGCGTGAGCCACCATGCCCAGCTGATTTTTTGTATTTTTAGTAGAGACGGTTTCACCATGTTGGCCAGGCTGGTCTGGAACCCCTGGCCTCAAGTGATCCACCCATCTTGGCCTCACAAAGTGCTGGGATCACAGGCATGAGCCACCGTGCTTGGCCTATAAATTTTTTTTTTTAATTAGCTGGGTGTAATGGCTCATGCCTGTAGTTCCAGCCACTTGGGAGGCTGAGGTGGGAGGATCGCTTGAGCCCAGGAGGTCGAGGCTGGTGTGAGTTGTGGCTGCACTGCTGCACTCCAGCCTGGATGACAGAGCAAGGCCGTCTCTTATTTAAAAAAAAAAGAAAAAGAAAAAAGAAAGCACCAGATAAGGCAACTGTGTGAGTAATAGAAAATAATCTTGATTGTTTAAAGCAACAATTATAATTTGGGGGATTTTTAAACCTAAATAGAAGCAAAACATATGACACTATTAGCATGTGGGGTGGATGAGAGTTAACTGTCGTGTGGTTCTGACTCTTTATAGTCACAGGAATGATGACTGAAAATAGGAAAAGTGGTGTGATTCAAAGGCTCAATGAGGAGAAGAAATGGAATAATTCTTGATACAGTTTGGATCTCTGTCCCCACCCAAATCTCATGTTGAACTGTGATCCGCAATACTGGACGTGGTGCCTGGTGGGACCTTCCATGGATGATTTAGCTCCCTCCCCTTAGTGCTGTCCTCATGATAGTGAGGTCTCACAAGATCCGGTCGATTAAAAGCGTGTGGCACCTCCCCCATGACCCTCCGTCTTGCTCCTGCTCCTGTCCTGTGAAACGCTCGCTCCCTCTTCGACTTCTGCCATGATTGGAAGCTCCCTAAGGTCTCCCCAGAAGCTGATGCCACCATGCTTCCTGTAGAGCCTGCAGAACCGTGAGCCAATCAAACCTCTTTTCTCATAAATTATCCAGTTGCAGGTATTTCTTTATAGCAGTGCAAGAATGGCCCGATACAATACGTGATTAATTTGAAAGAAGGCAAGAAAGGAGGAATAAGAACAAAAAGCATAAAGGACAAATAAAAAACAAGATGATAGCCTTACACCAGCCACATCAATAATTACATTATTAAAAATGAACAAAACACATAGCCTGTTTTTAAAAACTATTTATTGGCTGGGTACAGTGGCTCACACCTGTAATCCCAGCAATTTGGGAGGCTAAGGTGGGAGGATCACTTGGGGCCAAGAGTTTGAGACCTGCCTGGGCAACTTAGCAAGACCCCATCTCTAAAAGAATTAAATAATTAGCTGGGTTTGGTGGTGCTCACCAGTGATTCAAGCTACTTGGGAGGCTGAGGCAGGAGATGACTTGAGCCCAAAAGTTTGAGGTTACCATGTGCTATGATTGTGCCACTGTACTCCAGCGTGGGTAACGGAGCAACACCCTATCTCTACAAAAGAAAAAAAGAAAAGAAAAAGATGAATCAAGCAAACACTAACCAAAAAGAAAGTCAGTATAGCAATCTTAATATCAAAGTAAACTTTGAGAAGTATTACTCAAGAGGGACTGGCATAATGATAATTAGTCAATTCAGTAGTAAATATAACAATCCTAATGCATATTGCTCCTAACAGCTCAGTTGGTTTTTTTTTTGTTTGTTTGTTTGTTTGTTTGTTTTTTGAGAGAAGTCTCACTGTTGCCCAGGCTGGAGTGCAGTGGCGCGATCTCGGCTCACTGCAACCTCTGTCTCCCAGGTTCAAGCAATTATCCTGCCTCAGCCTCCCAAGTAGCTGGCAGTACAGGCGCGTGCCACCACCCTGGCTCATTTTTTGTGTATTTTTAGTAGAGACAGGATTTCACCATGTTGGCCAAGATGGTCTCGATCTCCTGACCTCGTGATCCACCCACCTCGGCCTCCCAAAGTGCTGGGATTACAGGTGTGAGCTACTGTGCCCGGCAACAGCTCAGTTTTAAAATACATGAGGTAAAAGCTGGCAGAACTAAAAAAAGAGATAACTTCACAATTACAATTGGGGGTTTTAAAACACTTATCTCAGTAATTGATAGAACAGCAAACAAAATCTCAGTAAGGATAGAGAATATTTGAACACAGTTTTCAAATGTTAAATTCACCTTGAATTCCTGGAAATAAACACATCTGGTCACAAGCTGCTATTCTTTTTCTGTATTATTGGATTCAGTTAGCTAATGTTTGGTTTGAGTCTTGCATCTGTGTTCATAGAGATACTGGCTGTAACAGCACAATTAGCCCAGTTTGAACGTTACACCAAAAGTGCAGGATATTCCAAATGGACAGGAAACATTTACCAAAATAGACCAACCAGGGCCATAATTCAGGTTCAACAAATATCAAAGGATTGAAATCAGAGAGTATATTCTCTGACCTTAGCAAACTGGAATTAGAAATCAGTAACAAGAAGACACTAGAATATCCCCAAATGCTTGCAAATCAAATAGTATACGTTTACACAACCCTCAAGTCAAAGAATAAATCCCTATGGAAATGATAAACTTTTTTTTTTTTTTTTGAGGCAGAGTCTCGCTCTGTCACCCAGGCTGGAGTGCAGTGGTGCGATGTCTGCTCACTGCAACCTCTGCCTCCGGGGTTCAAGTGATTCTCCTGCTGCAGCCTCCCGAGTAGCTGGGATTACAGGCACCGGCCACCACGCCTGGATAATTTTTGTATTTTTAGTAGAGACAGAGTTCCACTATATTGGCCAGGCTGGTCTCGAACTCCTGACCTTGTGATCCACCTGCCTCGGACTCCCAAACTGCTGGGATTACAGGTGTGAGCCACCGTGCCTGGCCAAAATATTTTTAACTGAATGATAATGAAAAAATGCTGTATCAAAACTTTTAGGCCCACATCTAAAGCAATATTTAAGGGAAACTTACAGCTCTAGTTATATATTAGGACAGAAGAAAGGTTCTAAATTTCTTTGTCAAGAAGAAAAAGCATAGCAAATTAAGCCCAAAGAAAGTAACAGAAGGGAAATAAAGAATAGATATCAGGGTGAGTGTGGTGGCTCATGCCTGTAATCCCAGCACTTTGGGAGGCTGAAGTGCGTCAATCACTTGAGGTCAGGAGTTCGAGACCAGTCTGGTCAACATGGTGAAACCCTGTCTCTACTAAAAATACAAAAATTAGCCGGGTATGGTGGTGGGTGCCTGTAATCCCAGCTACTCGGGAGGCTGAGGCAGGAGAATTGCTTGAACCTGGGAGGCGGAGGTTGCAGCGAGCCGAGATCATGGCACCACACACCAGCTTGGATGTCAGAACGAGACTCCATCTGAAAAAAAAAAAAAAAAAGAGCTATCAATGAAGTAGAAAGCAGGCATACAAAAATCAACAGTGTAGCTGGCATGGTGGTGCACACCTGTAATCCCAGCACTTCGGGAGGTTAAGTCAGAAGGCTCGCTTGAGGCCAAGGAGTTTAAGGTTACAGTGAGCTATGATTGCACTGCTGCATTCCAGCCTGGGCAAACCCCAAAACCGAAAGTGAACAATGCCCAAAGCCAGTGTGTTGAAAAGATAATAAAACTGATATAACTCGGCCTGGCGCGGTGGCTCACGCCTGTAATCCCAGCACTTTGAGAGGCCGAGGCAGGCGGATCACGAGGTCAGGAGATCCGAGACCATCCTGGCTAACACGGTGAAACCCTGTCTCTACTAAAAATAGAAAAAATTAGCCAGGTGTGGTGACAGGCGCCTGTAATCCTAGCTACTCGGGAGGCTGAGGCAGGAGAACCCAGGAGGCGGAGCTTGCAGTGAATCGAGATTGTGCCACTGCACTCCAGCCTGGGCAACAGAGTGAGACTCTGTCTCAAAAAAAAAAAACAAAAACACTGATATAACTCCTGTGAAAAGTGATCAACGGATATTGGATAGATAAGATTATTATACACAACTTTATGCGAATATATTTGACACATTGGAGGAAATGGGAAAATTCCTGGAAAACAGAATTTATCAAAACTGGAGCAAACAGGAAGAGCTCAATGGTTTTATGATCTGCTGAGAAAATTGAATTAATAACTTTAAAGCCTTCCCACAGAGAAAGCTTCAGGGCGAGTGCCTTTACTAGTGAATTCTTTCCAATTTTAACGGAAGAAAATGACGCCAACGTTAGACATATCTTCCAAATACTAGAAGAAAGGAACAGTCTCCAGCCTATCTAAGCTGGCATGGTCTTGATCCCAGAGCCTGACGTGGCATTTCAAGAAAGGAAATTATCACTCAGCAGAGATGTGCAACTATTAAAGTAAATACCAGCAAATTGAATCCAGTGAGACAGAGGAAGAACCGTGTTGCATGGTCCGCAGGCTCATTCCAAGAACTCAAGGTTAAGTGAGTGTTTGGAATCAATGTGTAGAATTTACCACATTAGCCGAATAAAGGAGAGAACCCGCTATATCACCTCAATAAATGCAGGAAACACTTTTGATAAAATTCAGTAGCCTTCGTGATAAGAATCGGCAAATTGGAGTATAAAGAAATGTTCTAAATCTGACAAAAAGTATCTACAAAAAAAAAAGTTAACCTTTTGGTTAATTGTGAAATCATGATGACTTAGCCTCTGAGCACGGGAACGATACACAGACGCCCATCGTCACCACTTATATTCAGAGTTGGCTGGAGATCCTGCCCGGGTTGTGTGTGCAGGGCTGCCCCTGAGAGCTCTTGCCTTCCTAATGTTTGTGTCATGTCAGGAACCTCCCTTGCCCCCCTCCTCCCTGAGTCCTACCCCTTGTCCCAAGCTGTGCAATACAGTGATAAATGAAAGGGGCCAGGCACTGTGGCTCATGCCTGTGATCTCAGCACTTTGGGAGGCTGAGGTGGGTGGGTCACTTGAGCTCAGGAGCTCAAGACCAGCCTGGGCAACATGGCAAGACCCTGTCTTTACTAAAGAAAAAAAAGAAAAAGAAATGAATGGAAGGGAATAAGTAAAAGCATCATTTGTAGGTGACATGACTATGCATATAGAACATTCAAAAGAATCTAGAAACTTAGATTTTTAACAGGATAATTAAATATACTGGATATACAGCCAATGTACGAAACTCAATATACAAAAGTCAATTGTATTTCTATAAATAACAGAGTTTCATTTTATAGGACATCAAATGCCTAGGAATAAATTAAACAAAAAATATGCAAAGACCTCTACACAGAAAACTATAAAATATTGCTGGGAGAAATTAAAGAAGATAATGATAAATGAAGGGAGATACTATGTTCATGGAGGAGAAGACTCACTATTGTTAAGATGTGAATCTCCGCTGGGCACCATGGCTCACGCCTGTCATCCCAGCACTTTGGGAGGCCGAGGCGGCCGGATCACGAGGTCAGGAGATTTGAGACCATCCTGGCTAACACAGTGAAACCCGTCTCTATTAAAAATTCAAAAAAATTAGCCGGGCGTGGTGGCGGGCGCCTGTAGTCCCAGCTACTCGGGAGGCTGAGGCAGGAGAATGGCGTGAACCCGGGAGGCGGAGCTTGCAATGAGCTGAGATCGCACCACTGCACTCCAGCCTGGGCGACAGCAAGACTCTGTCTCAAAAAAAAAAAAAAAAAGATGTGACTCTCCTTAAGTTGATATATTGGGTCAGCACAATTCTGGTTAAGATCCCAGCAGAGGGGTGTGTGAGTGCCCGTGCGCGTGCGTGTGTGAGTAAACTGACTGCTAAATATATTTGGAGATGCAAAGGATCTAGGATAGGGATCTAAGGGCACCTGGGGATTTGTGTTAATCTGGTGTCGTAGGACACAGACACAGAAATAACTCATAAAGGGAAGAAGTTTGTTACACTCACCAATTTCCAGAATAGCAGGCCCACCAGCCCAGGCAGAGACACATGGGGAAGCACCAGGGTCAGTCAGGAGGCAGAGGGAGAGGGGGAAATGCAGGCCGGAGCCTTGTTTGGTTTCTGTGGGGAGGAACGGGCAAGGCAGGGTAAGCTGGTTTGGGATTGTGTGATTTGAATAATTTCAGCAGGCTCTGGGCATAGGAGCTGTGTCTAGTTGTATGGCCCAGGGGTGATTAGGGGAGGGGATACTGGCTGTAGTGTGAGAACCTATGGAGCAGGAGGAGGGAGTGTGAGCTCTGGACGGGGCGGGTGGGGGGAGTGTGAGCTCTGGACGGGGCGGGTGGAGGGAGTGTGAGCTCTGGATGGGGCGGGTGGAGGGAGTGTGAGCCCTGGATGGGCAGGTGGAGGGAGTGTGAGCTCTGGATGGGCGGGTGGAGGGAGTGTGAGCTCTGGATGGGCGGGTGGAGGGAGTGTGAGCCCTGGATGGGCAGGTGGAGGGAGTGTGAGCTTTGGATGGGCGGGTGGAGGGAGTGTGAGCTCTGGACGGGGCGGGTGGAGGGAGTGTGAGCTCTGGACGGGGCGGGTGGAGGGAGTGTGAGCTCTGGATGGGCGGGTGGAGGGAGTGTGAGCCCTGGATGGGCAGGTGGAGGGAGTGTGAGCCCTGGACGGGGCGGGTGGAGGGAGTGTGAGCTCTGGATGGGTTGGTTCACCTGTGAAAGGTGCACTCAAAGGTGATTCCGACTGCTATCTCTAGGAACTGGGAGGGGAAGTTCCTGCAGGGTCATGGAGACCCCAGATGTCAGGGCATCAGAAACCTGGAAATAAAAGCCAGGGTTCCTACACATGGCTAAGGTGATCTTGGAAAGGAAGGAGAAAGCTGGAGGACTGACAGATGCAGACATCAAGGCTTCTAGTGCTGCCGTCGTGGAGACGCTGTGGTGGTGATGCAGGGTAGACACGCCGCCAGGGCCCGTGAGGCACCAGAAAGCCCACTCTGCAACTCAATGTGGGACAGATGGTCTTTTCAAGATATGGTGCTGAGTGACTGGACATTGACATGGAGGAAAAAAGTGAATCGTGGCCAGGCGCGATGGCTCACACCTGTAATCCCAGCACTTTGGGAGGCCGAGGCGGGTGGATCACCTGAGGTCAGGAGTTCGAGACCAGCCTGGCCAACATGGCGAAACCGCGTCTCTACTGAAAATACAAAAATCAGCCTGGTGTAGCGATGAGTGCCTGTAATCCCAGCTACTCGAGAGGCTGAGGCAGGAGAATCACTTGAACCCAGAGGCGGAGGTTGCAGTGAGTTGAGATCGCACCACTGCACTCCAGCCTGGGTGACAGAGCAAGATTCTGTTCCCCTCCCCAAAAATAGGGAATCTTGACCCCTAGTTCTGACCAAGCACAAAAATTACTTTGAGAGGAATCATAAATCTTTGGAAAATTGGCAATATCTGCGGAAGCCAAGCAGGTGAACACCCTGTGGTCCAGAAGCCCCCCTTCCCCGCCAGGGCATGCCCAACAGAAATAATGAGAACTTAAGTCACCAAAAGACACATGTAAGAGCCATCAGATCTCCATTGTTCAATAGGCCCAAACTGGTATCTACAGGATGGACATGTGGCTTAGTGGTGTCATGGAGTACCACGCACCACAAACAACCACATCCTCCTCCAGGCAGCAGTGCGGGCCACATCTAGTGAAGAAAGCCCAACACGAGGGTAGGATCCCACGTATACGAAGCCCTAGGGCAATAAAACGTGTGGTGATTGAGGGCAGAGGGTGCTCTCTGGGGGTTACAACTAGGGGAGGGCCAGAGGCTTGTTCGAGGGTGCTGGGAACACGCAGTGCCTGTTTGGCGATGTGTGGTGTATGTAGATAAAGTTCATTGAGCTGTATACGTATTTGCACTTTACATAAGGCTTAAAACGTTTTTGAAAATAATCTGGACAGATCACAATTTCATCACATTCTAACACAGAGTTAAGTGACAGCCTAATACATTTGTAAACAAAAAAACAAAGAACAGTTGATGTTTGGATCCCTTTCGGAGATGCTCTCAAAGTGCAGTCTTTTGAAAATTATATCCAGACCAATTCAATATCCAGATGGTTTTGTGATGAAGACTCAGGAAGCAGCAAACTTGAACCCTCCGAAGATGCCTTGTCCCCTGTCTGCCCGTCTGAAGCCAACTGCCAGTCCATTTGCTTCACGGCTGGTTTCTTGCAGTCTTTGACACTATCATGAAAAGGTTCTGGAATGTTCCCTGGTACAGTGGCTATTTAGGACAGGTCCGATTCTCCTGGAGCGGAAAGCGCACTGGGAGGGGACAGAGGAAGGGCCAAGGGCAGGTGGCCATGCAGCCGACTTGGCTTGGTGCAGGGAGGCCAGAGACCTCTGCTCTTCCCTGAGCTTAGGGGAGGCCTCCAGTCCGGCACGAATGACTGCAGTGTTTTCACAGGGGCAATTCTGTACAGTCGCAGCCGGATGTCGCTGAATGTCCTATTTTAGGGGGTCCACGCCAGCTCTGATAGCATCGCTTCTCAGTTACTCTTTTGGAAGTTGGCCTTTTCCTTGCGAGAACACCTGATTCCTGGCAAAGGGTTCCGTTTTTAGGACAGGTCGTGAGAGTGCCCGTTTCCGTGTAATGATCTTTATGCTTTTTTATTTAATTCCTGTTACCAAATGGACTTTAAAGGCTTCCCAGTGTTTATGAGAATGAAGCTACGTGATGTAAGTTTTTTCTAAGATATATAGACTGTAAATCACAAATAAATCATGGAAGGTGTTGTTTCCAGTAAGAAATTATTTTAGTAATGACAGCCAGTGAAATTCCCTCAATGATCACAGTACTGTCAGTCAAATGTCGTGGGTTGAGCAGTGAACACTCCGTCCTGATCCTCAGAGCTTGTGGATGTGACTCTTTGGAAAAAGGTCTTGCAGATGTGATAAAGGATCTCAAAATGAGGTCCTCCTGCATTGTCCAGATGGGTCCTAAGTCCAATCACAAGTGTCCTTCTAAGAGAAGAGGAAGAGACACAGACAGAGAAAAGGCCACACAGATGGTGGCAGAGACTGGAGCGATGCGGTCACAAGCCAAGGGGCAGCTGGAGCTACTAGGAGCTGAAGAGGCCGGAGGGACCCTCCCCGGAGCTACTGGAGAGAGCCAGCCCGTGCTGATGCCTTGATCTCTGACCTTTGGCCTCCAGAACTGCAAGAGAGTGGACCGGGCTGTTCTGAGCCTCACGCTTTGTGGTGCTGTGTTATGGTAGTGACCGGAAAACAGAGCATTAAGAAGAAGCCGAAGTGCATCGCAGGCAGCTTCAGCACATGCAGGTGGTGAGGGGACCGTCCGCAGCTGCGGCTCTGCCCTGGGTCCGTGGCGTTTATTCTCACGGGGTTATTAACGCTGAGTCCTGCTCATGTCCATTCTAAGTTGTTTTTCTAGGTAAAAAAATACAGGGTTTCTATACAGAGATAAATATTTAACATGTAGGTCTGAATTAAATAAAAATGGCTAAAATATATAATTCAAAATTTTAATTTTCATGTTTATATAGGAAGAGTAGAAACCATGAATGAATATATTCTCAAAAGAGTTTTGGCCAGGCGCGGTGGCTCACGCCTGTAATCCCATAACTTTGAGAGGCCGAGGCGGGCGGATCACGAGGTCAGGAGATCGAGACCATCCTGGCTAACACGGTGAAACCCCGTCTCTACTAAAAATACAAAAAATTAGCTGGGTGTGGTGGCGGGCGCCTGTAGTCCCAGCTACTCGGGAGGCTGAGGCAGGAGAATGATGTGAACCCGGGAGGCAGAGCTTGCAGTGAGCTGAGATCGAGCCACTGCACTCCAGCCTGGGTGACAGAGTGAGACTCCGTCTAAAAAAAAAAAAAGTTGTTTTGGGCCAGGCACAGTGGCTCACACCTATAATCCCCATCACTTTTGGAGGCCAAGGCGGGAGGATCGCTTGAGCCCAGGAGTTCAAGACCAGCCTGGGCAACATGGCGAGACCTCATCTTGTTTAAAAAAAGAGAAAAAAAATGCTGTTTTAAATAAACTAATAGAAAAACTCATTTCCTTGCTCTCCTTTTCTAGCCTAGAATGTGTGGAGCGTTTGCTCTGTTGGGTGTGATAATGCGAGAACCAGGCGCTGTCAGGGTGAGAAGGGTGGCCTGGGGGACGGTGGCGGTAAGGAGAAGTCTCTTGTTACTGACTCACGGAGGAGAGCCAGGGGCACAGTGTGGCTGACAGAGGACAGGCCAGGAAGAGCTTGGGATTTCCTCGTCAGGAGCCACTCGGGGGATGTGCGGCGGGGACATGCGTCCGAACACAGCCAGCTGGTCAGAGGTGCTGCCGTGCCAGGCGGGGCCTCCGGGGTTTTCTGTGTCTTGGCCACACAGACATGCTCCAGTCTCACAAAATGAGCGCTCCTGGCAGATGCTGAGTTTCCTGTTAGAGCTGCCTTTTGGGAGATCCTTGTCATGGGGGTGTGCCTGTCCACTGGAGCCCCCAGAGCCTCAGTAGACCCTCCCTGCAGGGCAAGTGGGGACTGCTGGTCAGGAGGGCAGGTGCTTATCCCACTTGTCAGAATTTATCTTCAGGAGGTGGCAGAGGGCTGCAAAGACCCATCTGTAGGAGCCTCACTGAAGGGTCCACAAGGGTGAAAACACAGAAACGTGTTCAGCAGTAGTGCCTGTTTAATTAATTATGATGTGTTCAGACATCCAAAAGCTGTGTAGTTAAAAATCCCAGCACTGAAAGGTGGTCACAGTATGCAGAGGGGAAGATGTCCTGCACAGCAGCAAGTACATGGTAATCCCAGGGTGAGCAGCCCTCGGCACATGCGTGCACCGGGCTTCAGGTGGGTCTCCCGTAGGGTCCCGTGGACGTGGCTGCTCCGGGCTCTCTCAGTGGCCCATGCCCAGGTCTGACGTGCTGGTATCTGGGCCTGAGTAGCATAACGGCACTGGGCGTGCTGAGGGTCCCCCAGGTTTTTGAGCCTGGCCCCAGGGCACGCACCATGGAGATGGTGGTGTGGAGTTCCTGCCACTGAGTGACGTTGGGTCTCAGGGTTGGGGGAAAAGAACTTGATTAAATGGGTCTGGCTGCTTCTCCGGCGTCCAGCAAGAAGAGCCCAGGACTTTGAGTTGCACCCACATCTCCCATTTCGCCTGCACACTTTTGGGTCCGTATTACTCCACAGTGTTTGTTTCTTCTCTGCCTCCAGGGAGGCGTCTGATCGGACACCACGCCCAGGGCCTGCTACCCACACATGCCCAGTGGGGTCTGAGGGCTGGAAGGAGGGTCCTGCAGGGACCGGGCACTGTGTTCAGCATTGGCCGTTCTTACCCCTTGCCTCCTGCCTTTGGCCTGGATGGAAAGATCTCCTGAGAGCTGGGGCTCCTGAGCTCCCTGGGGCTCAGCCTTGCTGGCACCGCCCCTGCCAGACAGTGGGTGGGACAATTTATGCAGATGGTGGGGGAGCCTGGCCTGTCGCAGTGCTGACCAGCCCCCAGTGGGTGGCCGTGGGAGACAGCCCGTCCTGGCTGCTGGGCTGCGGCGTGCAGCCGTGGTCTGTGGGCCGCAGGGCGGTACATCCCAAGCCCTGCTGACGCCTCGCGGGTCCCTCTCTTTCAGTGAATGAGTTCACGGTGATCAGGAAGAAGTTCAAGTGTCCGTACTGCAGCTTCTCGGCCATGCACCAGTGCATCCTCAAGCGACACATGCGCTCGCACACGGGAGAGCGGCCCTACCCCTGCGAGATCTGCGGGAAGAAGTTCACGCGGCGCGAGCACATGAAGCGCCACACGCTGGTGAGTGCGGGGAGGGTCCGCGTGCCGCGCGCTGCGCGTGGCCACGATGTCCGGGCAGGCGGGTCCTGATGAGGGCGCAGACCGCCCCGGACCCCACACCGGGTCCACTCTGCACAGGGGGGACGACAGCAGGGCAGGGAGATCCGCCCCGGGCCCCTGTCTGCTCTGCCCCGGCCTCCTGGGTGTGGCTGGGCCACATGGCCCCTGCAGAGGCTTCGGCCCACCCTGCTCACCTGCTGGCCGCCAAGGCAGCCAGGCCTCGGCAAACTCAGCTCGCTCTGCTTGGAGCCCCCAACCCTCAGCCACCTCTGCGCCCCCCCGCCCCCGCCCTGCCTCGGGAGGGAGAACCCTGTCCTTGTGCCTGCCGACCTGTCTGCACCCACCGCGCCCACCCTGGAGCTCAGCACTGGCAGGTCGTTGTCAGGTAGCAGGTGTGGAGTGGATGGATTTGCTTGGGGAGGAAATAATAGAAAAAGGCAGCCTGGGAACAGGGAGGCAGATTTGCCAAAAAAGGCCTGGCGAGGGCATCTCAAGTGGGTGAGATCAACCAGTGAGGCGGGTGGGGCACAGGCAGCCCAGAGCGGGGCGGCCCCAAGGGTTCGGGGAGTCCTGGAACGCCCACCCCGAGGCGCAGGGTGCAGGGGGAGCTCGCGGCGGGCAGCTGTGTGAGGAGAGGCAGTGGAGGCGCCCCGGGCTCCGGGCAGAGGTGGGGCTGCTGTCGGGGCGGAAGAGGCTCTGGAGCATCGCTGCCAGTTTAGGAATCGCAGGAGAGTCAGCAGGTTCCGGAGCGGACCTGCAGGAGCCGAGCTCCACCGGGAGACCCACCGGGGGGCGGGGCTTCATGGGAGACCCACCGGGGGGCGGGGCTTCATGGGGAGACCCACCGGGGGCGGGGCTTCATGGGGAGACCCACCGGGGGGCGGGGCTTCATGGGAGACCCACCGGGGGGCGGGGCTTCATGGTGCGACCCACCGGGGGGCGGGGCTTTATGGGGAGACCCACCGGGGGGCGGGGCTTCATGGGGAGACCCACCGGGGGGCGGGGCTTTATGGGGAGACCCACTGGGGGGCGGAACCGAGCGCCAGAGGTCAGGTTCTGTTGGTTGCTGCTTTTCCAGTGCAGTGGTGGATACCCATTTGGGGTAACGACCCCTGTGGGAGCTCCCTGAGGTCAAGCTGCAGAGCTAGAGGGGTGCAGGGCCCTGGCCTCCCCGTGTTTGCCTGGCCGGCTGTGGGCGAAGGGCCACTCCAGGCCCTCGGATGCCGCCTGGGATGTGTGCTGGAGTGGATATGGAGCGGGGCTTAGTGCTGGGCTCTGGCCTTCCCTGATGCCCCCACATTTGCCTTTGCGAGGTGGAGGACAGTAGAGAAGGAACAGTCCTGGGAGGGGGCCCCTGGACCACGAGATGGCAGGTCTGCAAGGCCAGAAGCAGACCCACATCCACGCGGAGCCGCCGGGGCCCCAGCCTTGTTTTCCGTAGCGGAGGATGTGCTTCTGTTCACACAGGCCACAGGGCTGATCTTACAAACCACTTATAAAAAGCCGCGGGGGCGGGGGGAGGGGTAGCTGCACCAGGCCGACATGTTTCCTATTCAGAGAAAATCGCATCTTGTTTTTTAAACTGATAGGTGCTAACACGTTTTAACAACATGGATTGCAACGTCTTTCTTCAGCAAATCCGTATTAACCTCTCAGTAAACGTTTTGATCCTGTTTGAGGTTCAGTGTGGCTGCCTGTTCCTTCTCGTTGGATAGGGTTAGGGTTTGTTTTTTTGTTTTTTTTTTGAGACAGGGTTTCACTGTGTTACCCAGGCTGGAGTGCAGTGGCGTGACACAGCTCACTACAACTTTGACCTCCCGGGCTCAAGCGATCCTCCCACCTCAGCCTCCCAAGTAGCTGGGACTACAGGTGTGCACCAACATGCTCAGCTAATTTTTGCGTTTTGTGGTGATGGGATTTCGCTGTGTTGCCCAGGCTAGTCCCGAACTCCTGGCCTCAAGTGAGCCACTTGCCTCTGCTTCCCAAAGTGCTGGGATTACAGGTGTGAGCCACTGTGTCCGACCAGGGCTGGGATTTTTGTCCTGGGGTTCATGATTGGGCTTCAGGGGGTCATAATTCCCTGGAAAATGTACTTATAACATATGGAAAGCCAAGTGTGGTGGCACATGCCTGTAATCCTAGCACTTCGGGAGGCTGGGGCAGGAGAATAGCTTGAGGCCAGGAGTTTGAGACCAGCCTGGGCAAAATTGCGAGACTCTGTCTCTACAAAAAATTAAAAAAAAAAAAAAGTTAGCCAAGTGTGGTCCCAGCTACTTGAGAGGCTGAGGCAGGACGATCACCTGAGCCCAGTGAGGTCCAGGCTGCAGTGAGCTGTGATTGCACCACTGCACTCCAGCCTGGGCAACAGAGTGAGACCCTGTCTCTAAAGAACAACAAACACAAGCAAGCATATGGGGCTTGACTTTTTCTGAGGAGAGGCTCTGTGTGTGGCCTTCTCTGGGGTCCTGGACCTGAGAGCGTGGAGACCCGAGTGTGAGACAGCAGCTCTAGCCGGTCCAGCCTCCACTTTCACGATGGCACTTACGAGCACTGTCAGCCCTTCCCTGGCCTGGGTGGCCCCTCCACCCGCTCCAGGAAGAGCACCAGTGGCTGGGGCAGGGCCCCCCATGCCTTGGCAGGGCCACATTTGGAGGGTGGGCCAGCCGTGCTCTTGCAGCCACAGTGCCCCAGAGCCTGGGCGGGCTGCCAAGGTGTCCCGTCTTCCTTCTTGCTTCCTTCCAGGGCATTTGCCCATTTGCATGAGTTCCCAGCCATCCAGCCCTGGCCACATGGTCCCTGTGCCACCCCAAGCTGCCCCTGCTGCCTCCTCAGGTGCCCTGGCCCCTGCACACATGGGAGCCTAGGCCTCAAGGGGCCTCAGTGTTTTTCACTAGCCCCGCTCCAACCCTTCCTGGGCCTGTGTGCACCAGGTTACTGTGCTGGGAAGTTTCTACTGTGGCTTGTCTTGAATTTTTGTTCTGGAAGTCCTTGGTTTAAAATACAGCAAAACAGGCTGGGCGCGGTGGCTGACGCCTGTAATCCCAGCACTTTGGGAGGCCAAGGCGGGCAGATCACGAGGTCAGGAGATCGAGACCATCCTGGCTAACACGGTGAAACCCCGTCTCTACTAAAAATACAAAAAATTAGCTGGGCGTGGTGGCGGGTGCCTGTAGTCCCAGCTACTTGGGAGGCTGAGGCAGGAGAATGGTATGAACCCGGGAGGCGGAGCTGGCAGTGAGCCGAGATGGCAACACTACACTCCAGCCTGGGTGACAGAGCGAGACTCTGTTTCAAAAAAATAAATAAATAAAATACAGCAAAACAAAAGCCCAAAGGAGCAGTTCTGGCACCAAGTTGTCTGAGGCTCTGTTTCTAGGGTTAGCGTGTTTGGGCATCTGAGGTGTGCTGTGTGGTGCTGCCCTGGCCCTGAAAGCCACCAGCTGCCCCTGAAGGTCTCACATCCCTGGACAGCGCCCATCCCGGTCCAGGCTTAGAGCTCACACAGTTGCTCTGGAAGCAGACATTTGAGAAGTGAGGTCTTTATGGTTCCCGGCTTTGTGGAAGAAGTTACAGGCACCTCTGCCCTCAAGGAAGCGGGTCTAGAAGGGGAGGTCGGGCCGTGCTGGGTGGCCTGTCGGCCTGTGGATTCGGAACACTGAGGCAGGAAGTACGTAAGGGCCCGGGTCCAGCCCCAGGATGGGGAGGTGGTAGCTGTGGTGCCTGCCCGTCAGAGGTCTTTGCAAGTGTAGCAGGACCGTCTTCCGCCATGACACACATTGATTATGTATGTACTTGCTCATGGGAGAAAACTGGTGAGTTTGGAATGGTTTAAGGAAGAGCTAAACTCACAAGCACATCCCAGCCTCAGTTCTCCGTGCAGCCTCAGAGGTGCTGCAGGCCCCGGGAGACAGCCCTGTGGATGGAGGGAGGAGCCGAGGGGAGCCTGGGGTCATTGCCGGGTTCAGCCTGGAGGACTGACCTGAGGCCAGCCCACCTCAGAGAAGCCCCTCGTGTGGACTTGGCCAGGGGCCAGGGGTTGCTATTGGGGTCCTCTGTGGGTCCTGCCCTCTCGGTCCTTGGAGGGCAGAGACAGGGGCTGTGCTGTGAGGGATCAGGGCCAGCCCCCCAAGGCCTCCTCTAGCTGGCGTGGCCGAGGGTGCCCGTGAGTGGGTACAAGGGCCACCTCTCCCCATCCCTGGCCATGTCTGAGGTCTGGTTCTGCACAGCACAGGTGTCCACACCCACCCTCAGCGGAAGCCCACCTGGGGCCACATGTCCCCAGCAGTGTGTGGTAGTTCCCTCAGGCCTTGAGGCCAGTGCTGAGACCCTCCAGGAACCCAGCACCTCGCGTCCTGCCACATGGGCCCTCTTCAGGGTGCTGCCCCATCTCCCTGCCGGGCCCAGCACAGGGCACAGCACGACTGCCCTCCCTGGCAGCCACACCTCCTCCTCTGACCATAAGTGCTCATCTCTCTTCTTGCATGTCTCAGTCGACCTTGAAACAGCCTGAGAGTGGGGGAGTTGCCTCCTTTACACGTTCCTGGAGTCAGGGTCGGGCTGAGGGGTCAGGGACTGAGGGGGTCAGGGGCTGAGGGGGTGTCCACGCAGCCAGGCTGAGGTGTGGGCCCACCTGCCCGGCTGGCAGCCCCAACCCCGGCCCGTCCCTGTACGGCTGGGTACAGGAAGAGCTCTGTGAGCTCCAGTCCAATGCGGGGCCCTCAGCCTGTCCTGCAGGGAGGTTTGGAGGAAGCCAGGCTTTTAGGCAGAGGCCGGTGGTGTGACCCCCGTGAGAAGTGTGTCAACCCAGGGGGCCTCTGGTGGGGGTGCTTGGACACACAGTGTAGACGCTGAGACTGGCCCACCTAGGGGCTGGGTTTGCGGGGGAGGGGCACTGCCGCCCTCGTGCCAGCATCCCCTTGGGACAGGGCTGCCTTGGTGCCACCTGCAGTTCTGCTGTGTGGCTCTGATAGGAGCTGGGGCTCAAGGTCTGAGCACTCCTGTCTGCGCACCTCCCCCACCAGGAGTCTCTGCCTGTGCAGACACTCGGAGGGCCCGGGAGGCTGTGCCCCCCCAACCCCAACCGGGCCCTGCTCACCCCCGCACCCCCCCCACCCACCAGGCCCTGCTCACCCCCTGGCCCCCCTCCCAACCTCCACCGGGCCCTGCTCACCCCCTGCCCCGCCCCCCCCACCTCCACCAGGCCCTGCTCACCCCCTGCCCCCTCTTCCAACCTCCACCTGGCCCTGCTCACCACCTGCCCCCCCCACCTCCACCAGGCCCTGCTCACCCCCTGCCCCGCCCCCCAACCCACCAGGCCCTGCTCACCCCCTGCCCTGCCTCTGCAGGTCCACAGCAAGGACAAGAAGTATGTGTGCAAGGTGTGCAGCCGCGTCTTCATGTCCGCCGCCAGCGTGGGCATCAGGCATGGCTCCAGGCGCCACGGTGTGTGCACCGACTGTGCTGGCCGCGGCATGGCCGGGCCCCTGGACCATGGCGGCGGAGGCGGCGAGGGCTCTCCAGAGGCGCTGTTCCCAGGCGACGGGCCCTATCTGGAGGACCCTGAGGACCCACGAGGGGAGGCGGAGGAGCTGGGCGAGGACGACGAGGGCCTGGCCCCTGAGGATGCGCTGTTGGCGGACGACAAGGATGAGGAAGACTCGCCGCGGCCGCGCAGCCCCCCAGGAGGCCCTGACAAGGACTTCGCCTGGCTCTCCTAGGCCCGCCCGCCGGCAGGGTCGGTGGCTGCCTCGCTCCGTCCACCCGTGTGTGTGTCCGGTGGGTCTCCACTGCGGGGCCAGGGCCACGCTCACCCCTCTCGCGGCCCCTCCTCTGCTTCCCCCTGAACCCACCCCCCACGGAAACCAGCCCTGCGGGCTAAGCAGGTGCGACCCCAGCAAGAGGGGTGCTCTGGGACCAGACATGAAGTGAGTTGGGGGAGGGCACAGGGTGGGTTTGAGTGAAGGGAGAGCACGGTCCTAAGTCCCCAGCAGGTGGTGCGGGTGTGTGAGTGGCCCCTGTGATGGCCAGCCTGGCTTGGACACGTGATGGGCCTGTGGCCGGGTCCAGTGGGCACTGGGCGGGGTGGTGTGTTCGGCCCAGAGGCCCCTGGCCTGAGCAGGTGCAGAGTTTTACAGACACCCGGTCAGCCCGGCTGGAGCCCGCCCTCCCCTCCCCTAGCAGCCAGGTCACTGCCTGTGGCTGCAGCCGTGGCCCGTGGTGCAGCCGTGGCCCATGGCAGCCTGTAGAATCCAGGTGCACAGAGAGCCCTGCCACCGTCTTACCTCTGGGCTTTGGTGCTTAACACACAACACAGCTGCAGACCCTGCTGGAGGCCGAGGGCTCCAGGTGCTATCTTAGGTGGACACAGCCCTGGGGGCTCCTTCCAGGAGGGGACCCTCAGCCCTGTGCCCCCCACCACTTCAGGCCACACCAGGTTCCCTCTGCAAGGGCCTCGGCTCAGTCGTGTGCACTTCCTCGGAGAGCCTTGGGCTGCCACGTCCACCCCGGGCTCTGCCCGTCCTGTTCTGCCCATGGCCCAGCCCGGCCGCTCCTGCTGACCCCTCCTGGACGGGCTGGAGCTGGGCTCCTGCCTTTGCTGCTAACACTGGAGGCGGTGTTCCTAACTGCAGTGTGCTGCTTACACCTCCCCGCGTGGGTAACCAAATTTTTAAGTAGTCAGAGACATATCGAGGTAGTTACATAAAATTATTTTGTTTGGCATTATTTTTCTCACTCGAAGAAACTATATAGGGTTGTTTTTCCTTTAGCTTGTGCTCAAGTCCTCTTGCTGTGTTTTCAGAAGCACTCACATGTTCTTTCTTTTCCTGAGTGAAAAGCAAAGGTCCCACGGTGTGTGCTGTGGTGCACCGCCTGGCTTTGGGGGTCCCGGAGGCAGGCTGCCTAGACTCACAGCCTCGGGACCGTTGCCACGGCCTGTCTTCTCGTTCAGGCCTGCCTCTGACAGCACTCACCATGAGGACATTCCATCCTTCACCCCCTCCTCTGGCACAGGCCACCACTGCGGTGCTGTGCCTTCAGATGGGAGGTGGGCGCGGTGGCCTCCTCCTTCCCTCCAGGACCTGCCCGTGTGAAGACCCCCCGGAGTGCTGAGCTTCAGGGCTGCGTGGAAAGAGTTTTTACTCTCTTTTTCTAGCCTGTATACCAGGCTTTTCCCCACATTGTCAGGTAGAGCACCAGCTTCCCTGACCGCTGCTGCTCGGGGAGGGCTGGGGCTGGCCGGGGGTCCTGTGGAGGAGTACATGGAGGACTCCAGGTACAGCGCAGGAGTCACGGCTTTTGTTTTTTGACATTGGCCCCCGGTTCTACCAATGACAGGGTGCCCTGGCTGGAGCTGTCATCACACACACCCCTCAGCTCGGAGGCTGTGGGCTCCTCAAAGCTGGAGAAAGAGGCCAAGATTTTTCTGCACACGGAGTGTGGGGATAGGAGCCGGGCCAAGCGCTGGCCCCTCAGCGGTGAGCCCTGCCCACTCTTACCGAGCAAGGTGGGTGGCTCTGGCACGAGTCCCCCAGGGGGAGAGCATGGCTACCAGGGAGCTGCAGCGGAGCCCTCCAGCCCTCACCCCAGGCCAGCCCCACCCCGGCCTCTTTGAGAATTCTCAGAACTTTGTACCTTTCCCCTGATTTTTAAACCCTTTTTCTAAACAGACTGACTTTCTTACAAAATGCATTTGGAAACCAGACCTTTGCTACCCACCAATGTCTCTGGGTTTTGTACCAGTCCCTGCTCTCAGGCCACCCTGCCCAGGACCCAGGCCCGCCTCCCCCTCCACACTCAGGATGTCCTGCTCCATCTGGCCGGCTCACTCCGTGTGGCCTGCCTTTGCTGACCGTTTTGGGGTTCCCCGCCGGAGCTACAGGGGCATTTTCTTCCCTAAAACCAACAGTGTCCCACTGACCTCCCCAAGTGTTTGCTGCGTGGCAGATTTCCTGTTCTTGTTCGCAGTTTGCCGACTGAAGAGTGTGGGATTTCCGAGGCCCAGGTGAGCACGTCCATCTCAGGAGGCGTGGAGGGAAAAGACATGTCATGAAGGGTTTTTTTTATGTGACTGATTTTTTTTTAAATCGATGTTCAAACTAATAAATATTTTTTTATGAAGAGGAAAAATGTGTAGATTACATTTCACATTTTGTATTTTTGTTTGTGTCTGTTTGTATTTTGGTGTTTACAACACCAAAGTGGGAAATACAGTCCATTGGGGATGGTGTTATTTGGGGGCGGGGAGGGGGCAGGGACACCACGATTTTTCTGTCAAGCTCTGGATCCTGACCAGGTTGTACACTGGGGCTCTCTGAGCTTTGGGACACAGGACACTGCCAGGGCTACGTAGGGAACTGACTCAGAAGACGCAGCTTACTGCTTCCAACTTTGCACATCTTCCTCTTTAAAAAACTGAGAAAATGCAAAAACTGGAACTTTTTGCAATATTATAAAAGAAGTAATCTTATTTTAGCTCATTCTGTGACATGTGCGACTCTTAAGAAAGCCATACTTAATGGTGGTGGTTTTTTTTAGATCTTATATTGTGTTTTGTATGCAGCCCTTTTAGAACTACTTGTAGTGAGGGTGCTGTGTGTGCTTTTCTTAAATATTTATTTTTTTCAACATGCTTTCAACCTGTCAACAAAAACAAAACACACAAAAAAAGGGCAGTGTTTGAAGATTGTTGATTTTTTTCTGGGGATAATCTATATTATATTGACTTCCTATTACTTATTATAAACCTGTGTTTGTATTGGAGATGTGTCTACTATTGGGGGAAGAGGTTCTCGTAATCGCTCGGTGGGAAATCATGGCTCTGCCGTCCTGCCTCTCTGTGGCCGTGGGTTCACGTGGCCTCTGCGGTGAGTCTCCAAGTTTCTGCCTAGGCGCCTGTGCGTTTCCTTTCTGTGACGGGATTAGCTTAGACATCCTTGCAAAGCGATCACTTTCAATAAATTGGGAAATTGCTGCTCCAGCAGATGCCTCCTGCGTCTCAGATGATCCTTCCTCCGGCCTCGCCTGGGGTGGCGGCGGCCGACGGGTGACCCTCGGCCCTCTGTGGGCAGCTGCCAGACTCCACCCACTTGCCCACCACAGGGTCCCAGCCCCACGGCCTTCCTCCCGAGAGGCAGACAAAGCTTCTGGAAAAACCTCAAATCTTTAATTTCTCTCTTCGCCTGGTGCAGCCCAGACGTGAGACACCTGAGCTTCAAAAACAAACATGGTAAAAACAGCCCCAGGGCCCGAGAGCCGTTGAGTTAAGTGCGAGTGGGGGAGTCCCCTCTCCAACACCCCTCAAAGTGCATCGGGACTGGCCCCCCAAAGCTGGGCCCATAACACCCTTGATAAATCTACGGGCCGACAGGCGGGAGGGTGGCTGCCCCCAGGGCCCTTGGGGCTAAGGGGACAGCGGTGTGGTTTGGCTTTAGTGCAAAAAGCTGGTTTCTTTAGAGGCACTTTGAGTGGTGGGACCCCTCCCCGACCTGGCGGGGGGGAGGGTTCAGGGTCAGCCCCGCCCCCCCACCCCAAGTAAAAGCAGACCCTGCAGCTGGTGAAAGCCAGCCCCTGGGGCTGTCCTCGGGCTGTTTCAGCCCCGGGCCTGGAGGGGGTGGGGAGGGAGAAGGTGGTAGCTTATGTTCTTGAACGAGCCGGACTTAGTCCAGGAACCGCTGGCAGGCTTTCTTCCAGCGGCAGGCTGTGCACCAGAGGTCCCGGCGCTCCATGCCATACACCTTCCGGCACTTCTTCGCGTCGCCGCGGGGCTTCCTGTGCGGGGGGTCACAGGACATGGGGTGCTGTGAGACCAGGACCCTCCCCACCTGGTGCCAGCCGCAGGCCCTCAGCCCACACGCACCTCAGGGTGACTCCGATCCTGGAGGACAAGGCGGGTGGGCAGGCTCCGACCTCCGTGGGCTGCGGCTCCAGGCGGGCGGGCGTCAGGCAGCCCTACAGGGAGACACAGCCAGGGCTTCACTCCCCTCCAGAGAGCCCTGAGACCCGCCCCAGCTGCCACCCGTGGCCTCACCCACCTGGTAGACACGGTCACTGTGACAGGACTGGGGGTTAGCAACGGTGCTCAGGACAGGGGGCGGGGGCAGGGGCGGGGCAGGCGGCCGCAGGGGACTAGGCAGGGCTGGGGGCTCCAGCAGCTCTGGCAGCTCCAGGCGGGGGAAGGCAGGCGGCATGGAGGCCGTGGGGGACACTGGAGTCAGGCTGGACAGCCCGTCGGTCAGCGTGTCCACACCAACATCCAGCTCTGTGTAGTAGAAGTCCTCCTCACCATCACTCTGCTCAGGCTCTGCCTGCCTCCTGCGGGAGACACAGCCAGCCAGTGGGAGCTGAAGGGGTGGCCTGGCCGGGCCTCACAACCCCAGCCAACCCGCAGGCCCCGCCGCACCCCAGGCCCCGCCGCACCCCAGGTGCACCAGGCGGATGTGTCTCTGCATCGCCGACGCCGTGCTCAGCACCTTCCCGCAGCTCTTCCACAGACACTGGAACATGACCTGGGCCGGGCTCTGCAGCAACAGGGGCCAGGGTCAGGCTCAGCCGCCACACCCGCCCCTCCCTGGGGGCCGCCCCCAAGCTCACCTTCCTTTTTCTCAGGGTGGGCTCCCCAAACAGAAAGTGGGCTGCCTCGGGGGGCAGTGGGGGTGACGGGGTGGACGGAGAGGACTGGTCACTGGCCAGGTCCCATCCCCAGTCTCCACTGTTGCTGCTGCTGCTGTAGCTGCCTGGGGGCCGCACCAGGGCCTCCTTCCAGGGCTCCAGGCCAGGCTCTGTGGGGACACGGGCCCCCCGCCTTAGAACTTCGGGTGGGTCCAGGGAGTCCCTAATCCTGAGCTGCCCCTGTTCACCAAGTCCGGTGAGACTGGTGGGCAGAGCGTCTTGGAGGAGCTGGCCCCAGGGCTTGGGGAGAAACCCCCCCGGCACAGGAAAGGGTTGGCAGACGTGTGTGGCCAGCCGCGTGGAGGTGAGCAGGTCAGGGAGGCCAGAAGGCCTGGGTCCTGCCGCTTTGGCCTCAGTAGGGGGCACTGAGGGTGCGGGAGTCCATTTTAGAAAGGAGTCCCAGGTTTGAGGGCTCTGCTTGCCCCACAGAGGCTGGGTGGCTGTAGGTTCTGAGCCCTGTCCCCACCCACACCCCTAAATGCAGACATCTGAGTCTTACCTGGGCTGAAGGCTGCAACCGGGGCCCCCAGAAGGAGAGGGCTGGTGGACAGGCTTGTAAGGGCAGCGGCAGCCATGACCTCGTCCAGCCGGGCTTTTCCTGGGGTGGCTCTGGAGGAGATGGGGGCGGGGTGCGGGTGACCCAGCCAGAGCTCTGGGCCCCTCCCCTGGTCGGTCCACGTGCAGGCCTGGGCACGCGTGCACACCAGGCTCCCCACTCCCAGCCCTGGGCATGAGGCCTGGCTCCTCCCCCAGCTCAGGTTGCAGAGAGAGCTGAAAGCCACCCGGAGCCGCCAGGAGCAGGGCCAGGGTCTCCTGAAGCCTGAGTTCTCCACATCGCGGGCTTGGCTCCACTGTGGTTCCTTCAGATACTGGGGCTGGGCAGGGGTCTGAAGCCCTGGCAGAGGGGCGGGCCAGGCCCAGGCCTCCCCCCATCACACATTAACCAGGGTTGTGCAACAGCAGCTGTGGGCCTCACGCCAGGCCTGGGAGGTGGGAGTGGCCAGCAGCCGGCAGCAGCCAGGGGGAGACTGGGCTGGAAGCACGGGCAGCTCCCCAGGCCCCAGCGAGCCAGGCCAGGGCCCGCCCCTGCCCTGGCAGCCAGACCGAGGTGTCCGGCCTGGCAGGGGTTGGGAGGTGGCGGTCAGGAGCCCCAGGGATTCCTGGACAGTCGCCCCATGCCGACCGCGCAGCCTCTTCTGCACAGAGACGCACAGCCACCCGCTCCGGGTTCTGAGCTCTAGCCCCGAGGAACTGCGGTGGAGGGAGGTGTAGGGACTCCCAGTCATCGATCATTTCTGCTCAGCTCCTCCAGGGCTGAAGAGCTTGGGGGTGGCTGGTAATTACAAACCTGGGGCCCTGACCTGGCCTCCGTCGGGGCCGGTGTCTCCGCACCCCACCCACCGCCCCTGCGCACACCGAGTCCCGAGGCACCGGGCCTCCCGCTCACCTCTGCGCTGGGACGGGGATGTGCGCCGACGGAGTCCGGGGCCCCGCCGCCGCCCCCGTCCACGTCCGGGGGGCCCCCAGGTCCGAGGCCCGCGGCTCCGACTCCTGCGGCCGCGCGAACTCCAAGCCCGCGAAGCCGCCGCCCACGGAAGAGCCCTGCGGATGGGGAGGGGGCAGACTCAGCGGAGGCGGTGGCCGGGGGAGGGGGGTCCCTCAACCTCCGCCGCGGATCCGCTCGGCGCCCGCCTCGAAAACCGGCTGCGGCCGGTGTGGACGGCGCGGCCCCGCCCCCGGCCCCGCCCCCAGCCCGGCGCGGCGGGAAGGGCTCCCCGGCCGCCCGGCGCAGCCCCGGCGGGACCCACGGACACGCGCGGACCGACGCGGCCGCCCTCCCCGCTGCCCCGCCCCCGGGGGCCCGAAGTTTGGGCAGCACTGACGCCATCTTTGCAGCGAGAGAAACTTGGTCGGCGCCCCCGCCCACCGGCGCCCGGTACCTGCGGCGGCGTGGGCACCGTCACGGGCGCGGCGCGCGGCCCCGGACCCTCCGCGCGCAGCCACGGCGCCTCGGCCCGCAGCGCACTGGGGTCCCGGCCGGCGGCGCGGGGCGGGGGGCGCTCCATGGCCGGCCGGCCGGGCGCCGAGGCTGCAGCGGCGAGGGCTGACTCTCAGGACGCGGCCCCGGGCCGGGCCGGGCTGGCCGGGCCGCCGACCCCCGCCCTGGATCCGGCCGCCGCCCGCGCCGCGCCGCCCGGAGGCTGCCCGGCCCGCCCCGCCCCGCCCCGTCTCGTCCCGCCCCGCCCCGCCCCGTCCCGTCCCGTCCCGGCGCGCGCATTGGCCGCGCGGCGTCCACACCGCAGGCGGGCGGGCCCGGCCGGCCGCGCTCCCGCCGGCCAGCGCTTCGAGGCCCCGCCCCGGGCCCGCCCCCTCCGGGTCGCTCCCGCGCTGGCCTAGGGAGGGAGGCCCGGCCCGGCACAGCTCCGAGGCCTCCGCCCACCTCGCGCGCCCGCGCGCCCCGCCGGGGAGGGCCCGTTCCCCACGGGCGCGCTCGCAGAGCTGCCAGAGCCGGGGAAGGGGCCGCGATTGCTTGGCGGGCTTCCCGGCAGCAGGTTACTCTTTAACGCTCGACTGCCCACCTCCACCACCCCTTATGTAACACCAGGCTGGGTGGCGGAGCCCTCCCGTGGAGTCCAGGGTCCAAGTCCCACCCGGGGGCGGCCACCCTGCCGGCTGCGCTGCCCCCTAGGAGTGGCTGGGACCCCGTGCCCGCACTGACCGAGAGTCTGGCCGGCAGGAGCACCGCCTCGGCTAGGCCCGGGCGCCCCGGGGGCAGCCAGTCCCCCAAGGCCAGAGGGGACAGCTCCAAGCCTTCCAGAGAAGCCCCCCGCCCCAACCCGCCCAGCTTTCAAGAAGAGCAGGCTGCGAGGCTGGCCGCTTTCATCCTGCGCTGGCGCTTTATTTAGACGCGGGCCTTCTCTGGAGCCCGGGGAGGCCGCGGCTGTCAGAGCGGCCAGGACCTCACGGACCTCACGGGCTGGCAGCCCGGGGACCTGGGACTGGCGCTGTCAGCTGTGAGGCGGGGCGGGGCGGGGGACGGGCCTCACTCTGGAGGAAGGAGCACAGGTCCTTGAGTGTTCAGGGCAGGGAGGCAGGGAGGGGTCTCCAGCCCCTCCCTAGGCTGGGGCAGCTGGAAGCAGGGGGCGTCCCAGCCCCGCACGTGCTGCTCCTGCCAGCAGGGTCCCCCAGCTCCCGGATGCTCTCATACACGTTTTCCAGGGGGCCGCTGTCCACATCCAGGGCCCTGAGCGGGAGGGTCTGGTAGGCCAGGTCACCCGCCAGGGCCAGAATCGCTCCCTGGCCCTTGGGGTCCAGCGGGTCTGTGGTGGGTCCTGGGTCCCTCCTTTTAGGCTTGCAGACCCTGGAGTACAGGACGTCCACCTGGAGACAGGAAGCCAACCCGAGGAGGGGTCAGCACCATCCAACCTGCTGAGGATCTGCCGGCCCCACCCACAGCGCCCTACCCTGGCCCACGTTACCTGAGCGGCCGGGGTCACCTCAGTCTTCCCCTGCTGTGGCTCTTGGGGACTGCGATGGGTCCCTTTGCGCTTCTGGACGCGGGCATACTCGGCCACCACAGGGCTGGCCGCCAGGCTGACCCCGGGAAGGGCCGCCAGCCCCACGTTGGAATAGGTGGCCTCGAGGCCAGCGCACCCTGCGGTGGCTGCAGCTGCCGGCAGAGCCCGGGGCAGCTCCTGGTGTGGGAAGGCAGAGGGGGCTGCCTGCGGTCCGGTGATGTCCCTGGACACCTCCAGCCAGTGTGGGCGCAGGAGATCCATGCTGGCAGGCCGCAGGGCTGGGGGTGGGGTCAGGGCAGAGTTCACTCCGGGCAGGGGGCAGGAGCGGGTCTGGCCCAGGGGTTGGCACGCGCTGCACAGTAAGCCCCGCCCGGCCGCCCCCGCCCCGCCCTCTGCTCACCCCTGCTGCTGCGCGGGCCCCGGTGCAGCTCGTGCAGTCTGGTGTCCGACTTGCTGAGGGAGCAGAGGTGGGTCCGCCTCAGTAGGGACTGGGGGCGAGGAAGGCTGGTCGGTGCCCTGCGGACCCCACCCTGGTCCCCGGGACAGCCTGGCACTCACCGCTTCCGCCGCCGTCGCACTGCCCTGCAGCCTCGCCCGCTGCCTCCGCGCCCTCTTCCTGGGGGCTACAGCGTCCTCGGGCCTTGGGGGTAGAGGTGGGGGGCGGGGGGCGGGGTCGTCAGCCTCGGGTCCAAGGCCCGGTGCAGGCGCGCGTGCCGAGCTGGGTGCGCGGACCTGCCTCCAGCCCCTTCCCGCGCTGGGCTGTGAATGGCAGCCGCAGCGAGGCCCCAGACAGAACGCGGCTGAGGGACCTACCTGCGGCAGGCTGTGCACAGCGCCCACAGCGAGAGGAGCAGGGCGCAGCACCCTAGAACCCAGAGGGCAGGAGGGGCCCAGGACACTGGCAGCCCCATCCTGTGAAGCCGAGGCCCTGGGGACAGAAGAAAGGGGCGCTGGGGGCTGGCCAAGGGGACCTGGCGCCACCTGGCAGCCCCAAATCTGCACCTCCCGCGGCTGCGGGGCTCCTGCGTCTCCCGTTCCAGCTCTGACTCAGCACAGGAAGCCCCAAGGCCTGGCAGTCCCTCCCTCCCAGAGGTGCCCACCTTCTGGCGGGGGCTCCCGGTGAGGTGAACTAGGGCTGCTCTGCCTGGCCCCTCCGTGTCCCTGCGGGTGACCACGGTAACACCCAGCACGGCCGTGAGGAGGGGCAAGACAGCTGTGGCCACCATAGCCCAGATAGTAACCAGCATCGGGGGAGCCCCTGGGTGTGCGCCACAGGCCACAGACTCCACCTGCAGCCACCCTCTGCCCAGACATGGTCTCCTGTGTCAGGTAGTGCCCCCAAGCCGCTCGCTGCGGAGCCCAGAACTGGGAAGAGCTGGAGGCTGGTCAGCAGGAGGGACCCTGCACCCGGAGGAGCTGGAGGCTGGGTCAGCAGGCAGCAGCAGCTGCTGGGGGTGCTGATGCCCCCACCCCACTTCTCTCTGGCTCTTCTTGTCTGCCAGTGTCTCTGCCAGAGAGGATCTGTCCCCTTCTTGGGGATCTTAGCAGAACTTCTCGGGGTGGGGGATGCCTTACAAACAGCACAGTCCAGCAGCAGAGACAGAAGCTGGGGGGTGAGGGGTGGTCTCTGGAGTTTGGGGCCAGTCTGCTCAGACCCAGGGAGTGGGCTTCAGCCTGGCTGACTGACCCAGCTGCAGCCACATCCCAAGGCCTCCCAGACCCCAGCTGCCCCCCAGGAGGGCACTTACCAAGCCCACGGCCAGGGGTCCTCAGCTCTGTCTGGGGCAGGCCAGGAAGGTCTTTGTGCAGCCCTCGGCTGAGCTCCCCACCTCATCACTTCCTGCTCCTGTCGCCAAGCGCCTCCCCTGAGCCTCCCACCCTGGGCAGCAGCCACCACCGCAGCCTCACCCACCTGCTGCGCCCCGCCCGAAGCCTAGATGAAACGTGTGCGCCTCTAGCCCGCACTGTTCTGACAGCCTAACTCACAACCCCTCCACACACGAAGACGTGAGCAGAGCTGGCACAGAACCCCCAAACCCACAGGGCCAGGTCCGCCTGCCTCACCAAGAGTGCCCCACGTGGTGGGCCACAGTCCTCTCCCGCCCGTCTCGCCCGCTGGAGCAGCACTGAGCTCCACCCATCTGTGGGTGTCAGGCAGCCTGGCGGGCACCCTGGCCTCCGATCTGCCTTGGTCAGAGAAGGGTAAGAAGGGAGAATGCCGGCCTCCTAGGCCCCTCCAGCCCAGCCCGTCTCTCACCACAGCCCTGCACAGACCCTTCTCTCCCCAGAGACCCTGCAGCCAGCTGATCTCCACTGAATGACACTGTGATGAAATCACTTTAATGTCCTTGCCAAGGAAATGCCCAAGACACTGGCAGGTGGGCAAGTAAGTGTCCAGATGGGACCCCGCAGCTCTGTCTCCACTCAGCAGTGTCTGCACGCCCCAGGCCAGCAGGCCGGCCCCTCCTCGGGCAACACTGGTCTTCCTGAGGGCAGCCCGTGCTGGGGTCCCACGCTTCGTCCATAGTGCTTGTGGGGTCTCTAGAACTCAGTCATCTTCTTGTGGGTGTCTGCCTTCCTCTGCTCCTGCTGCAGGCCGGCTTCCTGAGCCCGGAGCTGCCCCAGCTGGCGCTGGGCTCCTGCCAGCTTCTCCTGCAGCTGGGCTGACGCCACGCTATGCCTGCGGAGGGGCTCACTAGTCAGCGTGGGGTCCTGGGCCATGCCACCAACCCCAGTCTGCCGTACCCACTGCCTGTGTGCCCGCTGCCCGTCCTCCAACATGCAGACCCCTCCTGGACTCAGCCCGCTATGCTTGGGTCAGGTGACCTCCAGCATGTATCCCGGGGGCAGGGCCACCCTGGGTCGCCCTTTGCCCTGAGCTGGGCCCCACACGTACCGGCCAGCGTTGCGGGCGAGAGCCTCCTGGATGCTCCTGATGTCCCGCTGGGTTCGCTCGATCTTCTCCTCAGTCTGGAAGAGCCGCAGGCTCAGGGCCCGCTTGGCACTCTTGCTGGCATGGTACATGTCCTTGCTCCTCCTCCCCGCTGGGGCCGCCCCGGCTTCTAGGGCCCCAGGAGCCTGACCTTGCAGCTTTTCATTGAGGAAGTCAAACACATTCCGAGGAGCTGGGCGGCCCCCAGGCCTGGCCCCTCTTCCCCGGCACCTGGGGGGCTTGTTGGTGCCAGCCTTGCCAACCCTGGTCTGCTTCTGCAGGGTCTCCACACACTGGTCCAGCGACTTCCCTCGAGGCAACACCACAGCATGGATGGGCTCCACCCGGCCTTCCGCGTGTCGGCCCAAACCTGCGGAGGCACGGGGATGGCAGTGCTGTGGCTGCGGGACCCCGGGAATCTGAGGAGCACGGGGATGGCAGTGCTGTGGCCACGGGACCCCGGGAATCTGAGGAGCACGGAGATGGCAGTGCTGTGGCCGTAGGACCCTGGGAATCTGAGGAGCACGGGGATGGCAGTGCTGTGGCCGCGGGACCCCGGGAATCTGAGGAGCACGGGGATGGCAGTGCTGTGGCTGCGGGACCCTGGGAACCCGATGGCTGCGGGACCCCGGGAACCTGATGGCTGCTGGACCTGGGCTATGCTGCAGCAGCCTGCCCACTTCTCCAGGGCAGCTTGTACTCACCCTTGCCAAACTCATAGCCCATCTTGGTGAGGAGTCTGGAGCCTATACCTCGCGTGTGCACCTCCCAGCCAGCAAAGGCAGAGCTGCAGGTCCCAGAGTCCACAGCATCTGACCCCACCACTGCAAGAGACGGACAGAGGGCAGAGGACTGTGCAGAGTCCACGGCGTCCGACCCCACCACTGCAAGAGATGGACAGAGGGCAGTGGCCCAGCCAGGCCAGAGGATTGTGCATGGTGACCCGGGCTTTGACCAATGAGCTCAGATCCTGGGCAGAGCCACGACACCCCACCTCTTGGGCTCCGTGCTCTCGTCACCGAGGCTGCTGTGGGCATGTGACACCAGGCAGAGTGCATGGCAGTCCCCACGGCCTGCTGCACCGTGGCCCCTCCTCCGCAGCCCTCTCCTGCCCCTGCCCTTCTCCACCTTCGCGAGGCTGTGAGCGCCTCACCTGCCCTCACAGAGTCCTTGGTTCAGTCCTCCTTCACCAGGGACATGGGGCTTCAGAAACCACCATCACTGATCCCTGGGTACACCTCCAACATGCAGACCCCTCCTGGACTCAGCCCGCCATGCTTGGGTCAGGTGACCTCCCACATATATACACACACACGCACACGCATACACACACCCCTCTGGAGAGCTGGACACTGCCCACCAGTTCCCATTCCCGAAACTTCCATGCTGGCTGTCTGGACACAACCTCTGTCTGCCAGGATCCCAGGCACCCAGGTCCCAAGTCTGAGAAGCCATGCAGAGGAGCTGCCCCTCCTGCACTCCAGGCCCCATCAGTTGGTCATTTTCTGTGACTTCCTCGGCAACTCCAGGCCCCTCCTCTCCCATGGCCACAGCCACGACCATGGCCTCCCATCAATGAGACTGTAGCTGTTGCACCCACACTCCTTGAAGATAAAGGCCGCCACGGATCTACCCCTACCCACACGGCCTCCTCAGGCACAGGTGGCACCCTCGCCGCAGTCACACACTCTCCAATAGTTTGGTTAGATGGTTGGTGCCCTCACCGGCCAGGAGCCTCTCAGGGTGACCCCACCTTCCTGGCTCCTGGGCTCCGCAGCTGCTGCCATACCTCTGGCATAGCTGGAGTCACCCGTACCGTCGCTGTCTGAGTCGGACTCTGTGGCCTCTGTGCGCAGTGGGGGCAGGATGCCGTCCCCCTCCACCACGGCCTCCCTCAGCAGCAGCGAGTCAAACTTGACTGTGTAGTAGCCGTTGTCCACATCTGGGGGCAGAGACAAGCTGCAGGTCAGAATCCTTGACAGCAGGTGCCACTGAAGGGAACCACCCTGGACATGAGGAGCAAGGCAGGGCAGAGGCTGAGGGTAGGTGTGCTCATTTCGGGCCCAGAGCCAGAGTCCCGACACTCAACCCAAAGGAAGCAGGGAGCAGCCACACAGTGACAACACACGTGGGGCCTGGGAGGGTGTTCCCGGGAGGCCCCCACGGCCAGCCTCACCGGTGATGCGTGCTGCGTGCCAGAGGCCATCCTGGTGCTTGGCCAGACACGCAGAGCCGGCCTGCAGGGAGCTCAGGTCTGGGTCCTGGAAGGGGCGCAGCTCATCCAGAGAGACCACCTGCCCATGGGAGAACCTGCAGACAGAGCCGTAAGGGGCAGGGCTCAGACATGGGCCACCAGGGGCAAACCAACCCAGGAGCACTGACCCATCCGCCTGGGCACTGTCCTGAGGGAGACAGACACACACGCGTGCGTATACATACACACTCTCACACACTCACGCACACACATACACACGCACACATACACACACACATGCACACACTCACGCACACATACACACATGCACATATACACACGCACATACAGATACACATGCACACATACACTCACACATACACATATATACACACTTGTGCATATACATGCAGGCATATACACACACATGCATATACACACGTACACATACACGCATACGCACACGCGCATATACACATGTACACACACATGCACTCACACAGGCACACACAAGTACACATACACACGCATAAACATGCACTCACATGCATACACACACGCATATACATACGTACACAGGCATACACACACATATACAGACATACACATATACACATACACAAGTACACATGTATACACATGCATACACACATGCACACAGGCATATACACATGTACACACACATTAACACATGTACTCACACGTCATACACATACACAGAGACCCTGACACGCGTATAAACATGCACTCACACATGAACTCATGCAAATACAGATGCAGTCATACATGGATATACGCACACGCCATCTCACCCACACGCGCGCACACGTGCCCTCACCCACACACATACGCCCTCACCCACACACATGCGCACACAAGCACCCTTACCTACACACATGCGCACACATCTCTCACCCACACACACGCACACACAGGCCCTCACCCACACACATGCGCGCACACACACCCTGACACATGCACACACACACCTCACCCACACACGTGCACACACATGCCCCCTCACCCACACACATGCACACACACACGCCCTCACCCACACACATGCGACCTCTCATCCACACACACGTGCACGCACACATGCACCCGCACCCAAACATGCACACACAGATGCACCCGCACCCACACATGCACACACATATGCAGTCACCCACACGCGCACACACATGCACCCTCACGTGTAGACTGTCACGTGCACTCACTCATATATGCATATACACATACATGCACACACATGGCATGCATATACACACATGCATATACACACTCACACTTGCATACACACGTAGTCTCTTGGTATCCATGGGAAACCCCCTGTGCAAACCAAAATCCAAGGATGCTCAAGTCCCTTATATATAATGACATAGTGTTTGCATATAACCTACGCACATCTTCCCACGTACTTTAAATCATCCCTAGATTACTTGCAGTACCTAATACGATGTAAATGCTATGTAAATAGTTGTTATACAGTGTACAGACGCAGCCATCCTTTTCTTCCCCAATTATTTTCAACTCGAGATTGGTTGAAATGATGGATATGGAACCTGCAGATACCAAGGGCCAACTGTACACTTTACACACGTATGCACACACAATCTCACACACACAAAGGGCCAACTGTACTTTACACACATATGCACACACAATCACACACAGGGCCAACTGTACACTTTACACACATATGCACAATCACACACACACCAAGGGCCAACTGTACACTTTACACATGTATGCACATGCACACATACACACACCAAGGGCCAACTGTACACTTTACACACGTATGCACACAATCACACACACACCAAGGGCCAATTGTACACTTTACACACGTATGCACATGCACACATACACACCAAGGACCAACTGTACACTTTACACACGTATGCACATGCACACATACACACACACCAAGGGCCAACTGTACACTTTACACACGTATGCACATACACAATCTCACACACACAAGGGCCAACTGTACACTTTACACATGTATGCACATGCACACACACACACAGTCTCACACACATCACACACACAGACACCCGCATTCTCTCTCGGGATGGACTTGGCTGCTCCAGAATATGCCCCGTGTGTCCCATCGCCTCTGCTGGAGTCACAGTGTGGCAGCAGCCTTCTGACAGCAGCTCCCACAGCCTCACTACTGCACAGGCCACAGCACCAGTGCATCAAGGCAGATGTGCTGGGGGTGTGTATGTGCATGACTGAGTCCTCCCCCAAACTAGGAGAACCTGCTTATGAAATAGTGATGCCTTGACTTTTAGGCATCAGTGAACCAGTAAAATTAAAACCAAAACCGAGACACACACACACACACACACAGAGAGAGAGAGAGAGAGAGAGAGAGAGAGAGAGAGAGAGAGAGAGAGAATGAAGAGGAAATGTGGGGACAGACAGAACTGCAATCTTCAACTTTGCCAAATAAAGACATGAAAAACCAACCGCCATCCACTGCTGCCATGCCATCGTTTCAAAAAGGAAGTTCTTTCAACCCCACAAAAGCAACTGAGGGGCCAGGTGCAGCGGCTCACGCCTGTAATCCCAGCACTTTGGGAGGCCGAGACGGGTGGATCACGAGGTCAGGAGTTCGAGACTAGCTTGGCCAACATGGAGAAACCCGTCTCTACTAAAAATACAAAAATTAGCCGGGTGTGGTGGCGCGTGCCTATAGTCCCACCTACTCGGGAGGCTGAGGCACAAGAATCGCTTGAACCCGGGAGGCGGAGGTTGCAGTGAGCAGAGATTGTGTCACTGCACTCCAGCCTGGAAGACAGAGTGAGACTGTCTCAAAAAAACAAAAAAGGAGCAACTGAGGACAGGCCTTCAGCCCGTGACATGGAGCCAAGGCTGTCTTTCCAGTAGGAACGGGTGGGTGGAGCAGAGTGAGGTGGAACAGGGATTTTGTCTCATGCGTAGACAAAGGTGGCCTCGTACACCTCCCCAGGCCAGGATTTTGGGCGGTTCCTTCTAGTGCCTACTGTTCTTAGGCACACAGGGCCCTGCCAATGACCGGGGGCGCCAGGGGCTACAGGACTGTGCCTCAAATGCACTGCAGCAGAGACTGGCTGAAAGGAGACTGAGAACATGTTCAAAAAGAGAGGGTTAAACCCAGAGTGAATTCGATTAAATACGCCCCTTCAGCACACCCACACCATCATTAGTAAAACCTCTTCTAGAATATTTGACAATATTAAAAGCCTTGAAATTTGTAAACTCTTTAACCCAGAAAGTGCTTCTATTATTTTGTGTGTGTGTGTGTGTGTGTGTGTGTGCGCAGTAGAGTCTTGCTCTCTTGCCCAGGCTGAAGTGCATGGTAGGATCACAGCTCACTGCAACCTTGACCTCCTGGGCTCAAGCAATCCTCTTGCCTCAGCCTCCCAAGTGGCTGGGACTATGGGAGTGTGCCACCATGCCAGCTAATTTTTGAATCTTTTTGTTGAGCCAAGGTCTTGTCATGTTGGCCAGGCTGGTCTTGAACTCCTGGGCTCATGTAATCCTTCCGCCTCAGTGACATGATTTTTAAGGAGAATGTATGTAAAGATTTGGCCACAAAGATATTAACCAAATATGAAAAACTTGGAAATAACCTAAATTTCTAACCATGGAGAGAAGTTAATGGCATATCCATGAAGTTAACTGAAAACCAAGAGAACAGGCAAATCGATCAATGGAGCAAAAGAGAGCCTCCAGGAAGAGCCCCCCCTCACACAGAAAGCCTCGTGTGGCAGAGGAAGCATCACAGATGGGGTGCAAGGAGAAAGACGATGGATTTCACAAGAGAAAATTAAAAACTGGGTTTTCATACATAAAAGATCCCAACCCAATCACCTACCTCACAGCATTGACAGAAATACATTCCAGAATTAGTAAAGACTTAACCCTGAAAACAAACAACATCTAAAACTAAAAGAAGCTTCTGAGTTCCAGCCACACTCAAGTAGAGAGGTCGTTGAATCGAATATGGGCCGGGAGCGGTGGCTCACGCCTGTAATCCCAGCACTTTGGGAGGCTGAGGTAGGCGGATCACTTGAGGTCAGGAGTTTGAGACCAGCCTGGCCAACGTGGTGAAACCCCACCTCTACCAAAAATTTAAAAATGAGCCGGTGTGATGGCGTGCGCCTATAATTATGCTACTCGGGAGGCCGAGGCAGGAGAATCGCTTGAACCCAAAAGGCAGAGGTTGCAGTGAGCCAAGATCGCACCACTGCACTTCAGCCTGGGTGACGAAGTGAGACTCCATCTCAAAAAAAAAAAAAAAGAAAAAAAGAAAAAATAATCTAAAACTAGACAAAATTATCAAAACTCACTGATTTAGAACTTTTCAGAGTTCTGGAAACTGACCAAAGCTGAGAACTCACTGAGAAGAGATTCTTCTTGAAAAATGTTGGGCCTTGGGCCAGAATACTGGGAAGTCTACAGCCTTTGCACCTGGGGCTGCCCCTGGCTCCTACTCCTGAGTCAGCAAATCTGAGTGATTTACCAGGTCAAGGCTGGCTGCAAAAACCAGCAGCAGCAGAGGTGGATGTGGGACAGAAGGGAAAACCCAGGCCTCGTAGTTAAAAGTGGTGACTCGATAAACACTTACAAAGAAAACTGACAGCCCTGATCATTTGGGGCTGTGATCCCAGCTGGAGTGAGCACTGGGCCAGCCAGATACTTAACAGGAAGACTCTGAAAATGAGAGCCACAGAAGGGCTCAGCTCTCCCAGGAAGGGCCTGGCTCTTGAGGAAACCACTGCAGGTGTTGGGAGCTCCAAGAGAGGCCAGGGTGAAGTGAAAGCAAAGAGAGAGGGGCTGGCTGAACTCACAACGTGCTCTGAAACCACATGGTGTGGTGGGGAGCCTTTTGGGTTAGGAGTGTTTGAGCACACCCTCTTGCCCAAATCCCTGGCTGACCACTACCATATGCAAACACAGAAGCAACTGCTAGGAAGCCAGACTAAAAAATAGAATTTAAGGCCGTGCGTGGTGGCTCACACCTGTAATCCGAGCACTTTGAGAGGCCGAGGTGGGCGGATCACAAGGTCAGGAGATCGAGACCATCCTGGCTAACACGGTTAAACCTCATCTCCACTAAAAAAACAAAAAATTAGCCAGGCATGGTGGCACACATCTGTAATCCCAGCTACTTGGGAGGCTGAGGCAGGAGAATTGCTTGAACTCAGGAGGTGGAGGTTGCAGTGAGCTGAGATGGCACCACTGGCACTCCAGCCTAGGCAATACAGCAAGACTCCATCTCAAAAAAAAAAAAAAAAGAATTTAAAAATCTGAGCAGAGATATCAGAGGCTGCAGGGGTGGGTGGGCAAGTTTTGCAGTTTAAGTCCAAACAACTTAACTAAAACAAACAGAACACAAGACTCAGGAAAACAACTCAGAATCCAGACATAGATCATCTGAAATGTCCAGTATTCAACAAAAAAAATTATAAGACAGGTAAACAGGAAACCATGATCCATATTTAGGAAAAAAAGCAGTTGATATAATCTGACTCTGAGTGGGCCCAGATGTTGAGTTTAGCAAAGACTTCAAAGCAGCTACTATAAGTATGTTCAAATAATTAAATGAAAATATGATGGCAATGATTCAGGAAATAGAGAATCCTTTTTTTTTTTTTTTTTTTTTGAGACCGAGTCCCACTCTCTCACCCAGGCTGGAGTGCAGTGGCATGATCTCAGCTCAATGCACCTCCACCTCCCAAGTTCAAGCAATTCTCAGGCCTCAGTCTCTGGAGTAGCTGGGACTACAGGTGTGAGCTACTACGCCCAGCTAACTTTTATATTTTTAGTAGAGATGGGGTTTCACCATGTGCCTCACCTGAGGTCAAACGTTCAAAACCAGCCTGACCAATATTGAGAAACCCCGTCTCTACTAAAAATACAAAAATTAGCCAGGCGTGGTGTCATGAGCCTGTACTCCCTGCTACTTGGGAGGCTAAAACAGGAGAACTGCTTGAACCCAGAAGGCAGAGGGTTGCAGTGAGCCGAGATGGCACCACTGCACTCCAGCCTGGGCAACAGAGGCAGACTCTGTCTAAAAAAAAAAAGAAAAAAAGAAAAAAAAAAATCAAATGGAAATTCCAGAGTTAAAAAGGACAATCACTGAAAGGACATTTTTAGTGAATGTAGTGGGGAGGGCAGGATGAACAGGTAAAGTACAGAGAATGAGGTTGTGAAGCTTCTCTGTCTGATACCACAATAGTAGATGCCTGTCATTATACATGTGTCAAAGTCCATAGAATGTACACCACCAAGAGTTAGCCCTAATGTAAACTATGGACCTTGGGTGACAATGATGGGTCTGTGTAGGTTTATGGATTGTAATAAACGTACCAGTCTGGTGAGGGAGCATGATGGTGTTGTGGGGAGGGGCTGTTGCATGTGTGGGGGTCTGGAGTATATGTGAAATCTCTGTATCCTCCACCCAATTTTGTTGTGAACCTAAAACTACTCTAAAAACTAAAGCCATGGTCAGGAGCAGTGGCTCATGCCTGTAATCCCTGGACTTTGGGAGGCCGAGGTGGGCAGATCACCTGAAGTCAGGAGTTCAAGACCAGCCTGGCCAACATGGTGAAATCCTGTCTCTACTAAAACTACAAAAATTATTTAGCCAGGTGTGGTGGAGGGTGCCTGCAGTCCCAGCTACTGGGGAGGCTGAGGCATAAGAATCGCTTGAGCCTGGGAGGCGGAGGTTGCAGTGAGCCGAGATTGCACCATTGCACTTCAGCCTGGGCGACAGAGCAAGACTCCATCTCAAAAACAAACAAACAAACAAACAAAAAGCCTATTAAAAAAAAATTCAAGGCCGGGCTCATGCCTGTAATCCCAGCACTTTGAGAGGCCTAGGCGGGCGGATCACCTGAGGTCAGGGGTTTAAGACCAGCCTGGCCAACATGGTGAAACCCTGTCTCTACTAAAAATACAAAAAAATTAGCTGGGCGTGGTGGCGGGCGCCTATCATCTCAGCTACTTGGGAGGGTGAGGCAGGAGAATCACTTGAACCTGAGAGGTGGAGGTTGCAGTGAGCCAAGATCGCGCCATTGCACTCCAGCCTGGGCGACACAGTGAGACTCCGACTCAAAAAAAAAAAATTAATTAGATGTACTCAACGGCAGATTTGAGATGGCAGAAGAAAAAAATTCATTAAAAATTATCCTGGCCGGGTGCAGTGGCTCACGACTGTAATCCTAGTACTTTGGGAGGCTGAGGCAGGTGGTTCACCTGAGGTCCGGAGTTCAACACCAGCCTTGCCAACATGGTGAAACCTCGTCTCTACTATAAATACAAAAATTAGCTGGGCATGGTGGTGGCACACTCCGGTAGTCCCAACTACTCAGGAGGCTGAGGCAGGAGAATTGCTTGAACCTCGAAGGTGGTGGAGGTTGCAGTGAGCCGAAATCGCGCCACTGCACTCCAGCCTCAGCAACAAAAGCAAAACTCCGTCTCAAAAAATTAAAAAATAAATAAATAAATAAATAAATAATCCAGTTTGAGGAATAAGGAGAAAAAAGGTTGGAAAAAAAAAAAAAAAGCTTTAGAGAACGCACACCAACATACATGCAGTGGTACTCCCAAAAGGAGATGAGAGAGGGGCAGGAAAAAAATTTGTTGAAATGATGAGTAAAAACTCTCCAAATTTGGTAAAACAAAACAAAACATTAATCTATGAATCTAAGAGGCTTACTGAAGCCCAAATACGATGCACACCAAGAGATCCACACCTAGATACATCACAAACTACTAAAGGCCAAAGACAAAGAGAAAATCTTGAAAACATCAAGAGAAAAAAAGATAATTCTTCAAGTACAAAGGGACAATTTGACAGATGACTTCTCATCAGAAACAATGGAACCCAGAAGGTAGCATGATGACACTTTTAAACACTGAAAAGAATGATCAATTAATAATTCTATAGCCAGCTAAACTATCCTTCAAAAAATGAAGCTGAAATAAAGACATTCCCAAATAAACACTGAATTGGTTGCTAGCAAGCCTGTCCTACAAGAAATTCTAGCCGGGCGCGGTGGCTCACGCCTGTAATCCCAGCACTTTGGGAGGCCAAGGCGGGCGGATCACGAGGTCAGGAGATCAAGACCATCCTGGCTAACACGGTGAAACCCCATCTCTCCTAAAAATACAAAAAATTAGGTGGGCGTGGTGGCAGGCGCCTGTAATCCCAGCTACTCGGGAGGCTGAGGCAGGAGAATGGCGTGAACCCGGGAGGCGGAGCTCGCAGTGAGCCGAGATCGTGCCACTGCACTCCAGCCTGGGAAACAAGAGCGAGACCCCATCTCAAAAAAAAAAAAAAAAAGAAATTCTAAATGGGCTGGGCGTGGTGGCTCATGGTAATCCCAGCATTTTGGGAGGCCAGGACAGGCAGATCATGAGGTCATGAATTCGAGACCAGCCTGGCCAACATAGTGAAACCCTGTCTCTACTAAAAATACCAAAAAAATTGGCTGGGGGTGGTGGCAGGTGCCTGCAGTCTCAGCTACTTGGGAGGCTGAGGCAGGAAAATCACTCTAACCAGGGAGGCAGAGGTTGCAGTGATCTGAGACTGCACCATTGCACTCCAGCCTGGGCAACACAGTGAGACTTTGTCTCAAAAAAAAAAAAAAAAAATTCTAAATGAAGTTCTTCAGACTAAAAGGAAATGACACTAGACAGTAACTCAAATTCACAGGAAAGAAAAAGGGGCAAAAAAAAGAAAGGTAAAATATGGATGATACAAAAAAACAAGTATACTTTTTTTCTCTTTGAATTTCTTTCTTTTTTAAATAGAGATGGAGTCTCGCTATGTTGCCCAGGCTGGTGTTGAACTCCTGGCCTCAAGTGATCCTCCTGCCTTGGCCTCCCAAGGCTTTGGGATTACAGGCATGAACCACAGTGTCCAGATCTTAATTTCTTTTCTTTTCTTTTTTTTTTTTTTTTTAGGCAGAGTCTCGCTCTGTCATCTAGGCTGTAATGCAGTGGTGCGATCTTGCTCACTGCAACCTCCGCTTCCCAGGTTCAAGCGATTCTCTTGCCTCAGCCTCCCGAGTAGCTGGGATTACAGACACCCACCACCACACCCGGCTACTTTTTGTATTTTTAGTAGAGACGGGGTTTCACCATGTTGGCCAGGCTGGTCTTAAACTCCTGACCTCCGGTGATCCACTCACCTCAGCCTCCCAAAGTGCTGGGATTAGAGATAAAAGCCACCATTCCTAGTCCCTTTACTTCTGAGATAAGATCTGCACCCAGGCTGGAGTGCAGTGGCACAATCTCAGCTCACTGCAGCCTTGACTTCCCAGGCTCAAGTGATCCTCCCACCTTAGCTGGGATCCTCCCCCAAATAGCTGGGACTACAGGCGCGTGCCACCATGCCAGACTAATTTTTTGTAATTTTGGTGGAGATGGGTTTCGTCATGTTGCCCAGGCTGGTCTCCAACTCCCTGGCTCAGGCGATCTGCCCACCTCAGCCCCCAAAAGTGCTGGAGTTAAAGGCATAAGCCACTGCCTCCAGGCAACTTCTTTCAAAATACTTTTGAAGCAATAATTATAACGCTGAAGAGCTGAAGTTATAACATACATAAATGTATATATGGCAATAATACATGAAGGAGAAGAGGGGATGGAGCTATGTCAGAGGAGAAGGGAGGATGGAGCTATGTCAGAGGACAAGGGAGGATGGAACTATGTCAGAGGAGAAGGGAGGATGGAGCTATGTCAGAGGAGAAGGGAGGATGGAGCTATGTCAGAGGAGAAGGGAGGATGGAGCTATGTCAGAGGAGAAGGGAGGATGGAGCTATGTCAGAGGAGAAGGGAGGATGGAGCTATGTCAGAGGAGAAGGGAGGATGGAGCTATGCCAGAGGAGAAGGGAGGATGGAGCTGTGTCATAGGAGAAGGGAGGATGGAGCTGTGTCATAGGAGAAGGGAGGATGGAGCTGTGTCATAGGAGAAGGGAGGATGGAGCTGTGTCATAGGAGAAGGGAGGATGGAGCTGTGTCATAGGAGAAGGGAGGATGGAGCTATGCCAGAGGAGAAGGGAGGATGGAGCTGTGTCAGAGGAGAAGGGAGGATGGAGCTATGACACAGGAGAAGGGAGGATGGAGCTATGTCAGAGGAGAAGGGAGGATGGAGCTGTGTCATAGGAGAAGGGAGGATGGAGCTATGTCAGAGGAGAAGGGAGGATGGAGCTGTGTCATAGGAGAAGGGAGGATGGAGCTATGCCAGAGGAGAAGGGAGGACGTCATAGGAGGAGGGAGGATGGAACTATGTCAGAGGAAAAGGGAGGTTGGGACTGTGCTATAGGAAAATGGAGGGGGAACTATGTCATAGTACAACGGAAGTAGATCTATGTTATAGACACGTTGCCATACTTAGGCTCAGTGCAGTCGCTCACACCTGTAATCCCAGCACTTTGGGAGGCCAAGATGGGCGGATCACCTGAGGTCAGCAGTTCGAGACCAGCCTGACCAACATGGTGAAACCTCATCTCTACTAAAAATACAAAATTAGCCGGGTGTGGTGGGGGTGCCTGTAGTCCCAGCTACTCAGGAGGCTGAGGCAGGAGAATGGCGTGAACCTGGGAGGCGGAGGTTGCAGTGAGCCGAGATCACACCATTGCACTCCAGCCTGGGTGACAGAGTGAAACTCCATAAAAAAAAAAATGCTGTACTTTAAGTGTTAAGTTAGTAATAATCTGAAGTACATTGTGGTAAGTTAAAGATGTACATTGTCATCTCTAGAGCAACCACTAAGAAAATAACTTAAAACAGCATAGCTAAAAATTCAGCAACAGAGCTGGATATCACCAAAATGATGGAGTTGGCAGCTCCAAAGATCCGTCTCTCCAGCAAAGCAACTATTCTGCTGTCAAAACTGTCACAATAAACTTTTTTCTATTCAGCTGTCAAAACTGTCACAATAAACTTTTTTCTATTAAACTGTCAAAACCTCCCAATAAACTTTTCTGTAACTCTGGTGTCTACGAACCAGATGACTGCTCAATGAAGTAAGACCCTGCTAAATTTCAGGAGGACAGCTGGGCTATTTCTGCTCAGCCACTACTACCAGCTCACATGTAGCCATGGGGAAGGCAACCTGTATTTCTGATGTGGCTTGCTGGTGTCAGAAGGGATGATACAGACCTTTTCTCAAGGAATCCTGCTTATGCATTTGGATCTTTCTAGTGTCTCCCTGAAGGGCTTGCCTTTGTTTCACCCCCTCGAACTCTCTCAGGGCTGGGGCAGCCTCCAGGGTCGTGCTGTTGATGGCATTTTTTTTTTTTTTTTTTCCCCGAGATGGAGTCTCACTCTGTCGCCCAGGCTGGAGTGCAATGGCACGATCTCAGCTCACTGCAACCTCCGCCTCCCAGGCTCAAGCAATTCTCCTGCTTCAGCCTCCCGAGTAGCTGAGATTACAGGCACCCACCACGCCCAGCTAATTTTTGTATTTTTACTAGAGACGGGGCTTCACCATGTTGGCCAGGCTGGTCTCGAACTCCTGACCTCAAGCAATTCACCCGCCTCGGCCTCCCAAAGTGCTGGGATAACAGGTATGAGCCACCGCGCCTGGCCTGAAGGCATTTACAGGTAGATACTACCTGAAGTTGTGGGGGAGGGACAACAACAGATGGGCAAAGAGCTGACAGAAAAGCCTAGGAAGGAAGAGGCTGGGAAAAGAGCTACATGAAGGTCTAAGGGCTTTGGAAAGCTCCTGTTCATGCTTGGAAATCCAGAAGGCCATGCACACAGCTGGGGCTAGACAGGGGCTCAGAAACACCTGAGGAGGCCCTCAACTTTCACCTCTGGTTCATCCTTAGGCTCCATGGGAGCAAGAAGTAAAGGCTGAGGAAAAGCCGTGAACAGCCTGGCGGACACTGAAGGACTTGCCCCAGTACAGAGGCAACCTGGAAAGGATGGAAGACACTCTTTATCCTTTTTTTTTTTTTTTTTATTTGAGACAGAGTCTCGCTCTGTTGCCCAGGCTGGAGTGCAATGGCGCAATCTCAGCTCACTGCAACCTCCGCCCCCTGGGTTGAAGCGATTCTCCTGCCTCAGTCTTCCCAGTAGCTGGGACTACAGGCAGGTGCCACCATGCCCGGTTAATTTTTGTATTTTTAGTAGAGACAGGGTTTCACCATACTGGCCAGGCTGATCTTAAACTCCTGACCTCAAGTGATCCACCCGCCTCCACTTCCCAAAGTCCTAGCATTACAGGCGTGAGCCACTGCGCCCGGCCTCTTTATCCTTTTTGCCACTAGATATTTAAAGAAATCTCTTTCAAAGCACAAGCTAACCACTAACCTAAAAGAACAGAAACAAGCACCCCTGACAGAATATAATCTTTATTTAAAAAGGTCAGGAAAGTAACTAAACAAACGAGAAACGACAATCCACAACAAACAGCAACAATGAACCCTGCAGAGGGCGGAGGATCTGATTTTCAAAGTAACCACATTATCATCTTCAAATTGTGCAGGTTTCAACAAAAAATTACAAGGCATGCAAAGAAACAAGAAAGTGTGGCCCATTCACCGGAAATAAAGAAATTAACAGGCCGGGTGCGGTGGCTCACACCTGTAATCTCAACACCTTGGGAGGCCAAGGTGGGATGACTGCTTGAGCCCAGGAGTTCAAGACCAGTCAGAGAAATGTAGCAAGACCCTGTGTCTAAAACAGTAACAACACAACCAGCCAGGCATGGTGGCACATGCTTGTAGTTCTAGCTACTCAGGAGACTAAGGTGGGAGACTCACTTAAGCCTGGACGGTTAAGGCTGCAGTGTGCCAGGGTTGTGCCACTGCACTACAGCCTGGGTGAGAGAGGGAGACTTTGTCTCAAAAAATAAAAAATAGGCTGGGCGCGGTGGCTCACACCTGTAATTCCAGCACTTTGGGAGGCCGAGGCAGGAGGATCATGAGGTCACGAGATCGAGACCATCCTGGCTAACACGGCAAAACCATGTCTCTACTGAAAATACAAAAAATTAGCCAGGAGTGGTGGCACGCACCTATAGTCCCAGCTACTCAGGAGGCTGAAGCAGGAGAATCGCTTGAACCCAGGAGGCAGAGGTTGCAGTGAGCCAAGATCAAGCCATTGCACTCCAGCCTAGGCTATAGAGTGAGACTCCATCTAAAAAAAAAAGAAAATTAAAAAAAATTTTTTAAAAATAAAGAAATTAATAGAAACTGTTCCTGAGGAAGCCTAGACATTTGAATGACTAGACAAAAACTTTCAATCAATTACCTTAAATACACTAAAAAAAGAGGCTGGGCACAGTGGCTCACATCTGTAATCCCAGCATTTTGGGAGGCTGAGGCGGACAGATCACCTGAGGTTAGTAGTTTAAGACCAGTCTGGCCAATGTGGTGAAACCCAGTTTCTACTAAAAATACCAAAAATTAGGTGGGTGTGGTGGCACATGCCTATAATCCCAGCTACTTGGGAGGCTGAGGCAGGAGAATCACTTGAACCCAGGAGGCGGAGGTTGTAGTGAGCCAAGATTGTGACATTGCCTGCCAGCCTGGGTGACAAGAGTGAAACCCCGCTTCAAAAAAAAAAAAAATTAATAACTAAATAAAAAGAAATTTAAAAATAAAGGAAACCATGGATAATGAACTAAAGGAAAACAAAAGAACCATGTCTAACCAAATAGAGAATACTAGTAAAGTGATAATTACTACAGAAAGAAACCAAATAGAAACTTTGGAGCTAAAAAGTACAGTAACTGTAGTGAAAATTTCACCAGAAGTTTCAACAGCAGATTTGAGAAGGAAGAAGAAAGAAACAGTGAACTTGAGGACAGGTCAGCTGAATTTATCCAAAATGAGGAGCAGAAAGAAAAAAAGAACAAAGAAAAATGCCTAGAGCCCAAGGGACCTGTGCTACACCATGAAGCACATCAATGTATGCATAAAGTTCCATAAGCGGCAAACAGACAGAAAGAAACAAAACTAGTATTTCAAGATGCAAAGAATAGTAGCTGAAACTTTGCAAATTTAATGAAAGACATGAATTTACACATCCAAGAAGTCCAATGAACTCCAAGTAGCTTATAAATTGAGGGATCCACACTGATACATTATAATCAAACTGCTGAAACCCAAAGATAGAGAATCTCCTAAAACAGCAAGAGACAAGTGACTAGTCAATATATAAATGTTCCTCAATAAGATTAACAGCCAATTTCTCATCAGAAACTATTGGACCAGAAGGCAGTGAGATGACATTTTTTTTTTTTTTTGAGATGGAGTCTCGCACTGTTGCCCAGGCTGGAGTACAGTGGTGTGATCTCAGCTCACTGCAAGCTCCACCTCCCGGGTTCACGCCATTCTCCTGCTTCAGCTTCCCGAGTAGCTGGGACTACAGGCACCTGCCACCACACCTGGTTAATTTTTTGTATTTTTAGTAGAGACAGGGTTTCACCATGTTAGCCAGGGTGGTCTTGATCTCCTGACCTCGTGATCTGCCCACCTCGGCCTCCCAAAGTGCTGGGATTACAGGCGTGAGCCACCGTGCCCAGCCAAGATGGCATTTTTAAAGTCTTGAAAGAAGGCCAGGTACTGTGACTCACACCTGTAATCTCAGCACCTTGGGAGGCCGAGGAGGGATGACAGCTTGAGCTCAGGAGTTCAAGACCAGCCTGGGCTTGAGTGAGACCTTCTCTCTATTAAAAAAAAAAAATTGGGGGCTGGGCATGGTGTTTCACGCCTGTAATCCCAGTGCTTTGGGAGGCCAAGGCGGGCAGATCACCTGAGGTCAGGAATTCGAGACCAGTCTGACCAGCACGTTAAGACTAAAATACAAAAATTAGCCAGGTGTGGTGGTGTGTGCCTGTAATCCCAGCTACTGGGAAGGCTGAGGTGGGAGGATCACTTGAACCCGGGAGGCAGAGGTTGCAGTGAGGCAAGATTGTGCACCACCATTCTCCAGCCTGGGCGACAGAGCAAGACCCTTTCTCAAAAAAAAAAGAAAGAAAGAAAAACTTTTTTGGAAAATTTACAAATATGCAGAAATAAAGACACTCTTGAATAACGAGTAAGTCGAACAAAAAAACAAAAGGGAGATTAGGATGTCTTGAGATCAATGAAAATGGAAATACAACAGAACAAAACAGCCAAGTGGCAGGGTGCGGTGGCTCTTGCCCATAATCTCAGCACTTTGGGAGGCCGAGGCAGTAGGACTCCTTCAAGTCAGGAGTTTGAGACCAGCCTGGGCAACAAAGTGATACCCTGTCTCTGCAAAAACTTTTTTTTTTCTTTTCTTGAGATGGAGTTTTGCTTTTGTTACCCAGGCTGGAGTGCAATGGTGTGATCCTGGCTCACTGCAACCTCTGCCTCCCAGGTTCAAGCGATTCTCCTGCCTCAGCCTCCTGAGTAGCTGGGATTACAGGCACCTGCCACCACGCCCAGCTAATTTTTGTATTTTTAGTAGAGATGGGGTTTCTCCCTGTCGGCCAGGCTGGTCTCGAACTCCTGACCTTAGGTGATCCACCCACCTTGGCCTCCCAAAGTGCTGGGATTACAGGTGTGAGCCACTGTGCCTGGCCTCTGCAAAAACTTATAAAAGAAATTAGTTAGGTGCAGTGGTGTACACCTGTAGTCCCAGCTACTTGGGAGGCTGAGGCAGGAGGACTGATTGAGTCCAGGAGCTCAAGGCTACAGAGCTATGATCGCATCGCTGCTCTCCAAACGGCAACAGAGTGAGACTGTGTCTCAAACAACAAAACAACAACAAAAAACAATCTTATGGAATGCAGTGAAAGCAGTGTTTAGAGGGAAATCTGTAGCTGTAAATGCTTACATTCAAAAAGAAACACCTTGGCCGGGAAACGTCTACTCAGGAGGCTGAGGCAGGAGAATCGCCTGGGCGGCGGAGGCTGCAGTGAGCTGAGATCATGCCACTGCACTCCAGTCTGGGTGACAGAGGGAGACTCCATCTCAACAGCAACCAAAAAAAAAAAAAAAAAAAAAAAAAGAAAAGAAAAAAGAGATCTCAAATCAATAACTTAACTGTATACCTT